>NC_000008.11:100089222-100714222 GCF_000001405.40 Homo sapiens
CACACACACACACGATATTCTCATAAGATGATTTTCTAACCTCTACTTGAATACCTCCAAGTTTACTCCTTCACAAGTCAGCCCATTTAATTGTTAGAAAACAAATTCTAAAGTTCCTTCTTATGGTGAGTGAAAATCAAATCAATTTCTCTCATAAATGCTGGCCGTGGTTCTGCACTCTAGTTTCACAGAATACGTTAACCCTTCTTCCTCAATCAAATCATAAAATATTTGAAAGGGACTACTCCATTTCACCCCTGCTACCCATTCCCAAGCCAGGTTAAACACCAAACTTCTTTCAACCCTTCATTTGACATGGTTTCCAGAGTGATCATTGGCTAAGACTCCCTGAGTCTGGTTTGGCAGAGCAACTCTTAACATATGGCACCAAAAATGGAACACAACGGTCTAAGTGCAGTCTGACAATTTAACTCTATTCAAAGAAACATTTATTGAGTGCTTTCTGTGCTCCAGACTAATATTTTTCTTGATCTTGACTACATTTCTATTAATGACCCCTAAAACCACATTAGCTTTGTTTGTTTTGGTCCATTTCACACTATCGGGATAAAAACAAGACCAGATTCTCTTATCCAAATCATTAGTTTACTCCTCTGCTGCCAGTTCTATAGACATCATAGCATGATGGGACAATCAAAAGTTTTGAGCCATCTGAACCTGTGTGGACCATTATTTACTAGATGCATGACCTAATACTGGAACTTGCAACTTTTCATCCAAGTCCCTGATAAAAACAGTTAAAAAGGCAAAGCCAATGACAGATTTGTTTGGCACATAAGATTATCCTCTATATTGACCATCCACCAATCCCATTAAACAGTGATTGCCTGTTATGCTGCAGGAATGGAGGACGAGATAGTCTAATTAGTGAAGGAAAAGAAAAGTGAAGCACTAAACCTGTGCCAGGCGCTTAACATACGTTACCTCACTTGATAATAATTTTGTAAGATAGTCATATTGTCTTCATAGAGAAAGAAATTGGGGAATTAAGTAAGCAAGGTTTCTAAGATCATGCTGGTAAGAGTGGAAAAGCTGGAATCAAACACAGTTCTCTCACTCCTAATACCAACAATTACATGGTGAGATTTGAGCATGGGAAGAATAAGTGTGGTCAAGATGGATTGGTGGGCTAGGGGAGGCAGGAAAGAGTATGCAGGATGGCAAAAGTAATGTGAAATGAGATATAAAGGTAGAAAGATTAAGTTGAAGCCAAATTACAAAGGGTCTTGAATTGTATACTAGCAAATTTGGAATTCAATCTGTAGGTTATTAAAAATCAACCCCTGCTGGTTATGGTTAGTCAACCAGTTCAAATACTTGAAAACTAATTTCACAGATAATGATAAGGTCTTTGGAGACAAAGCACTATAAGTGGAGCATGTGTTGAGGTTGTTATTTTAGATAGGGTTGTTAGGGAAGGCTTTCTAAACAGAAGGGATTTAAGTCAAGGAGAAAGTGATACAGGTATCTCAGAGAAGAGCATGCCAGGTAGAAAGACCCTGAGTATATCTGGCATATTCATGTTTGAGAAGCATAAAGAAAGTCAGTCAGGTTGGAAAGTAAGTAGAGAAAATAAGTAGAAAATAAAGATCAAGAGATAGCAAGAGCCAGATCATATAGGATTCTGGATTTTATTCTTAGTGTAATGAGAAGTCCCTAGACAGGGTTTTGAACAGAGCAGGAAGTAACATGATTCAATTTATTATTTTTATAATACTTTATTGAAATCATAATACATTAATTTATGGTTCCCTAAAATACCAGTCTATAACTATCCAAAAAAAGAAAGATTAGTTTGGCATACTTACTCTCAGTAAACCCATACTGGCTTCTAATATTTAGCTAAGTGCTCATAAACCAAACATTACTAATCTGTTCTAGAATTTTGCCAGACACTTAGTTTGAGAATACATCATTCCTTCTCCTCCCTGTCCCCAGATTCTTTTTGAAAACCCGCGACAACATTTTCTCTTCTCTTGTCTTGTAATGTGAAGAATGGGTAATTAATTGGTAGACTGTGTGATCCTGAATGTAGATGCAAGAGGAACTCCAAAAAAAAAAAAAAAAGAGGAGGTAAAAACAGAAGGATTTGGAGAGATGGAAAACAGGAAAAAGGCAGCCCAGGTGAGTGCTTGGGACACACAAAGGGGTCAAACTTCAGGTCTTGCTCAGGAGGGATAAAAACATTACTACATAGAATTCAACAGAAATCACACTGTCCTGTCACCTAAAGTCTGAAAGGAAACAGAAAAATGGCAATGTCTATTCTGACTGGGTGGCAGGATTATCACATTTTTGGTAAACTGTCTATAATATTGTTATGTCATCTCTATAACTTAAAATAGATTTTTTTAAAAGAAAGTTAAGAGAATTTATTTCTTTTCCAAAACAAGTTGATGTAATCACAAATCCCAAGACACTGAAATGTAAATGTTAAGAAACCGACATTAGATCTATATAGAGATTTTTCTATTTAAAATTTCACAAAAATGTACTTGTTTTGGAGGGAGAGTGGAGATTGCAGAGCCCACAGGAAAGACTATGTAATCTGGAAAAGCAAAATTCTGGCAATTTTGTCATGCTACTGGGTCTTATATAATATACAACTGGACAACAAAAGTTAAAGAGTCAGACCAAACAAGAACTCCTTGAATATCCTGTGGTGTTGCTCAGGCTTGTTCTTGGAAAGGGAGCAGGAGCTTTGGTGTGTCAATCTAATTTCCATAATGGGTCCAGAGACCTAGCTATGCCCAACAGAGAGAGTACAAAATTATTTTAGAAAAATAAAATCACAAAACAAACATGCATGCATGCATAGATACATATATATATATATAAAACTAATCTACACAAGAAAGTGCTGAATAGTACTTTCCCTTCAAAAGGTATTCCAGTGTTTAGGCTTTAAGAGACTTCACATTTATGGTACACTCCCTTAAAAATTACTTGTGATTTTTTTTTATGTTTCAAATTTTCCCTGGAAAACAGTTTCATAACACAATAGCAAAAACCTTTTCTTATACATCTTTTAACCAGCATTCCTTATTAACTTTATTTTCATACAACAAGATAGGTCTTTTTATGACCCCTCATTTCACTTTTCCCCAATTCCTTAATGTGGTTTGAATGTGTCCCCCAAATTTAATGTGTTGAAAACTTAATTCCCAATGCAACAGTGTTGGGAGGCGGGGCCTAAAAAGAAGTGATTAGGTCATGAGGGCTCTGCTCTCCTGAATGGATTAATGTTGTTATCTTGAGAGTGGGTTGGTTATCAAGAGAGTGTTATAAAACTTGTTTAAAGTTTGTTATAAAAGTGAGGTCAGCGCCCCTCTTTCTCCCTCATTCTCTTAATCTCTGTTTTCCCTTCCACCATGGCATGATGTGGGAGGAAGGCCCTCACCAGATGCAGCCCCTTGATCTTGGACTTTTCAACTTCCAGAACTGTGAGCCAAATAAATTTCCATTCCTTATACATTACCCAATCTCAGTTATTCTGCTATAGCAGCATAGACTATATGGACTAGGACATCCCTTAATACTCACAATACATGTTACTGCTGTCTATGACTGAAACTATTAATTGGCATCAATCTATGTTACACCAATGACAGTGTGCCAAGTCCTATTTACTACTGATATAAAACTCTAGTTGCCTTAAATACAAATTCCACTTTAAGTTCTATCCAAGAGGATGAAAATAATTGCTTGAAAGCAAAAAATTAGTTCCTTGACTTTTTTGATATTTTGTCCTTATTATCTCTGTCAAAAGTCTAACTGTTAGCTGGGCATCATGGCACATGTCTGAAGTTCCAGCTACTTGGGAGGCAGGAGGATCGCTAGAGTTTGAGAAGTCGGGGCTGCAGCGAGCCATGATCATACCACTGCATTCCAGCGTGGGCGACAGAGCAACACAATGTCTCAAAAAAAAAAGCCTAACATGGTGCCAAATACAGCTGAACCAGAGTTTGTACAGAATGCTTTTTAATGGTTAGAAAAACTCCAGATTTCTTCAATAAGAATAATTTCTAAATATGATTCAAATCCAAATGATTAACTATGTAAAAAGATAAAACCTTTACCTAAATGCTTTAATATTTTTTTAAAAAGCATTATCCCTGATAAATTGGTTTCACAAGATAACCCAGTGATTAAAATATTTTGCTTTGATAATATATATTCAATAGATCATAATAATAAACTCACTGGAAGGCTTAGGAATTCATTAAAGTAGTCTACAAGGAAATCATCTGTTGCCAGAGAATCTTCCTGCAAAAAAAAAACATAAAAACACAGTATTATAATTATACATTTTAAATCATGCCTATATTATTCTCTATTTCTGCTACGAATTTATTATCACATAGATCTTCAAATCTCTTTTAGTCAGTCAACAGTGAACCCTCACTATAAACTGAACACAGTTTATGGTGTTTTATTGTCTCCTTCCAATCTCTGAAAGGAAAAAATAAGAAAACAGAAGTGGGCATACTCTTAAAACACTTTGCTACTATACTTAGTTGGAAAACAGAACACATGAAAAATATAGCACAACACTTAAATGAAACATCAACAAATACAAAATAATACCACCACATGGTAAGTTTCACACAGACTTATTAAATATATACATATTTCATAAAAATAAAGGCAGAGTCAACAAGAAGCAGTGTTTGGAGCCCAAATGAAATTGAGAATGTAAATTTCTTGAATTGCCCAATGAAAATGATAAAGGAAGTGAAGAAAATGTTCTACTGTCCCCCACCCCAGAATGAGGTACATTTTTAAATCTGGATCCTGCTTCACTTTTGCACGAGGAAAGTTTGACAATGCATGTGTTCTAAGAATAAAGATTGTATGCATTTTTTCCATAACTATCTCATCCACCAACATAGCCACTTTTCAAATTGGCAAAATTGAAAAGCCACTGCCAAGAACAAAATTTCTCTTCCAAATCATAAGACACCTTATTTTATTAGCAATTGTTTCCATTATGTCAAAAGCACATCATGGCATACTGTTGTATGGTACATGTGTTTATTTTGTTATTCATAATTATACTTCAATTTTGCAAATCTAACATGAAAGTTCACAATATGACACAATGCTATTATTTCCATATGGCTGATTACTTTCTTTTTATACTGGCCAATTTTTAAAAATTTATTGAAGTATATAGTGCTATCAGGAAGACACTATAGCATATTGCACCTACTTTGGAAAGTGGATTTTCAGGGTAATTTCTTTAAGTAATTGCAGCATCAGAAGAGAGTTATAAACAATCACTTATAGAATTTATATCAAGAAACTTACTAGAAACCTTAAAAGATTTAGTTTTCTAAAAATTTCAACTGATTAAAATAACAACAAACTAAGGATTTAATAAATTTACTACCTTAGTAGTAGTACCTTAGTAGCATGTGCTCAAAGAAAGTCCTGATTGGCAAAGTCTAACAAAGCAGAACAAGGCAGATATCCTTTTGGGGGAAGCTATAAGGCATTTAGTAACCTATCAAACTTTACCTTTCAAAGTTACTTTAATAATTCCTACTGTATTTAGTGGACTATCTAGTTTTTGCTAATTCTTATGAGAAAACATCTGAATTCTGGGTAGAAGGCATTGTGCTACAATAAGGGTGGCCAAATTTGGCAGTACTGGATCACATGATCAAAAATCCACAGATGTGAACAGTGAATAGCTTAAATAATTTGCAGTAGTGCAGTACAATCCCTTGTTAGTTTTTCTAAAGTATACATTTCATTTTTAATTTTTAGCCATAATACAGAATATGTATTTCATAGCACCTGGTGGACGTAAGTATTGCCTAGAATTGCCACCTTGTCTGAAATTTCTAATTTTCAGATTCATATATTCATTTCCAGATGTCTTGCACTTCTAAAAGATTCTAACTCAATGAACTATCTGAGATGAGATACCCGTTTTATTTTTGTTTTTGTTTTGAGACAAGGTCTTGCCCCGTCACCCAGGCTGGAGTGCAGTGGTGTGATCTCAGCTCACTGCAACCTCCGCCTCCTGGGTTCAAGTGATTCTCGTGCCTCAGCCTCCTAAGTATCTGGGACTACAGGCACATGCCACCGTGCCCAGCTAATTTTTGTATTTTTTGTAGAGACAATGTTTCACCATGTTGCCCAGGCTGGTCTCGAACTCCTAGCCTCAAGTGATCTGCCCGCCTCGGCCTCCTAAAGTGCTGGGATTACAACCATGAGCCACCATGCTCAGCCCTGTTTTGTTGTTGTTTTTTTCCTTAACGTATTTCAGACAGATAACTTTGAAAGAATAATTAGAAAATGAAATAAAAGATACATATTGCAATCCCAATTTTTTGTTATTAAATTTAACAGATATAAATATACTCTGTCAAACTGCCATAAAGGTTCTAAAAGTTTACTCTAGATTCCTGAGCTCAGCTCATCTCACTACAGACTGATAAGAGTTCTCAGGTGGCAGCAGTAGCACTGCTCTAACCCCTTGGTGACTTGACATTTCCTAGGCATTCAGTCATATCCTTTGGTTTGCACTTACAGAAAACTATGAAAACCTCAGGTATTATCAAATACATCAAAATCAATTATATCTTTTATAAAATTGTGCCTTAATTTCTATCAATATGAAACCTCAGCAATTCCGTTGATATTGGGTAGTTCCACAATGGGAAATAAGTGTTGCCTGCAAGTGCGATCTGCTCAACCCACATCTGGCACCTGAGTGGAAAGGCTTGTCCTTCTCTTAGTAAATAAAGGAACCTATTTTCCCACTGCAGTTTCTAGTTCAATGTGTTCAAAATATCTTGTCACATCACTAAGCAGTCTTGTAAACCCATGAGTATCTGATAAGCTGTTTACACCACAAACCCTTTAATTAAAAAAACAAAATTAAGCCTTGAGCTGAAGAAGTAGCTCAGTCACTCTCAAAGAGTTTCCACAGTCCCATTACTTGGCTATATTAAAATGCTCTAAGTCTCTATGCTTAGGTTTAACATCTTCCAAATAATCAATAAACTGGTGATGGTTAATGGTACAATCAAGAAGAAAATTGAGTTACAATCATTTCCTCCATTACATCATTCCATAAGCCTGACTGCAAAATTTGCAACACAGATTCTCTGTTGAATGAAGGTAGGAACACTTCTTCAGAATTGAATGTACTCTTGAAACCTGTTTTTTCATGTATTACAGGTGTGCCATCTGTGAAAATGAAGTCAGCTTTTCCATTTTTAGTCCAAACTTCTCAAAGGTCTTACTGAAAGAGGGTTAACAAAATAGTTTATGTGTGCTTGCTAATTATGGTAGGTAAAATTTTTTGCTTAAACTTATTTTGCTGCACCTTCAAATCAGATGAACTACAATTTTTTTTTTTTTTGAGACAGGTTCTTGCTCTGTCACTTAGGCGCTTAGCTAATTTAAAAAAAATTTTTTTTTTTTTTTTTGGTACAGACAGGGTCTCACTATATTGCCTATGCTGGTCTTGAACTCCTGGGCTCAAGCAATCCTCCCACCTAGACCTCCCGAAGTGCTGGGATTACAAGCATGAGCCAACACACCCAGCCTAATTTCTTTACAACTCTAAAAGATGCAAGATATACAAAGACACTATAAACAAGGAAGAGGAAATAAGATACAGACAAAAAAACTACAGTCCAAGAAAGAATGTGATACATGCCATAAGGGAATTACAATATAAACTGTTTCTTCCAAAGGAAGGAAAGACGTTATCTGGTAAGATGAATCAGAAGAGACTCAAGTGGGAAAAATGGCATTTGAAATGCATTTCAAATAACTTCAAATTCTGTATTTAGAAATATAAATATGAGGGGCAATAATGCTGAGGACATAGATAAACACGAGCAAAGAAGAGAGGCCAGAAAGCAAGACAGCATAGCAGGTGTCTCTGGGGAATGGGGGCGAGAATCAACTGACAAGGAGCTTGAAGAACTTTCTAGGACTATGAAAATGTTCTATGTATGCACTGGAGTTTGGATTACACAAGTGTATACATTTGTCAAAATTCATCAAATTATCATTCTTTAAATGTTTGCATTTCAGTGTATAAATTGTGCATCAACAAAAGAATCATAAACTAATATTGAATATTATTAATAGTTCATGATACTTATGAAGTATTTACAGGTGAAGTTTATCAATGTCTGTAACTTACTTTGAAATGCATAAAAAATAAGATGGACTGATGGATGATGAGATAGGACAGCTATGTGAAAAAGCAAATGTAACAAAAATTGTGAAATCTTAGTGGTAGGTATATCAGTGTTCACTATACAATTCTTTTAATTCTTATATGTTTAAATTTTTTCCTAGTAAAATGTTTGGAGGAGGGCTTTATGTACAAGGAAATAAGATCAAGTTTCTCTGCACGTTATGGACAGGCTTCTTAGCCTTCTGTGTATTAAATATCAGATTCTCAAATCAGCATCGTTGCCTCTAGAATAAATTCCTGGTTATCTGACCATCTTCTGATTACTACTCTGGAATCCTGTCCACTAAGGGACTGACCTCGGTTCACCGTACTGTCCATCATATGCCAAACCTCATCTTTCCTATTCCTTCTTATCCACACCACCCTATGGGTCAGCCTTCCTAGCCACACCTCATTTAATACAAGGGATCCATTGTTCCCCCAATCTCCAATCCTTTTCTACTACAAAAAGGGCTTATGGTGAAAGCAATTTGGCTCCTGCCCACTGTCCAGCCTTATCTCATACTACACGCTGTGGTCATAGCAATTTTTTTATAGTTCTGCACCTTGGCACATGCTGATTATTCTGCCCAGAAAAATTTTCCCCTTTATTCACGTACCTATCTTTTTTCTTCTCCAGAAGTCTGGAGTAGTGGTCATCTATATTTCCCCTATAAAAACCTTTATCACTTCATACTATAATTGTTTACATGTCTCATCCACTGGATTGTGAACTGGAGGAAAAGGGCTGTTTCCTATTTATTCTTTTAATTTCTCAATGCCTTTAGATAGTAAATGTTTAGAACATTTTTACTGAATAATTGAATGATTACACTGAGGACATGAAACCTAAAGAGAAAAGACTAATAACTTTAAAAAGACTCTAACGAATAATACTAATTAAAAGAAGAGATATTGTCAAAAGAGAAAAGGGTCAGAAAAAGAGAATGCAAGGTGAGACAAGCTCCACAACACATCTTGTTGAAAGTATAGCTTGCCTAGATCAAGGCATTTTTGAAATTTGAAAACCAAAAGCCCGCATATCAGATCCCCACTGGTTTGCAAAATTATATTTTCTTAGAAACAAAGTCTATGAAGGAGGAAGATATTAAAGTGGTTCATGCAATGAGGAGCAAAAGTATGGACTCTGCTTTTATCCTCCAAAGGTTATCATCACAGATTACATCAGTATCTATCCAGAAGCACTTTTCCATCGGGTTTCTGTTCTCTTCTCTCTTCTTCCCTCTTTCTTCCTTCTTCTTCTCTTCTATTCTCTTTTCTCTTCCCTTTCCTTCTCTCTGTCTCTCTCTCTCTCAACAAGTACCCAAAAGGCTTGAGAAGGTGAAGGAAGCTCTGGATGCTCCCCTGCCCCTGACCCCCTTTTATTTTTTTATTTATTTTATTATTTTATTTATTTTATTTTATTTTATTTTATTTTATTTTATTTTATTTTATTTTATTTTATTTTATTTTATTTATTTTTTAATGAAGTCTCGCTCTGTCACCAGGCTGGAGTGCAGTGGCAAAATCTTGGCTCACTGCAACCTCCACCTCCCAGGTTCAAGCGATTATCCTGGCTCAGCCTCCTGAGTAGCTGGGACTACAGGTGCATGCCACCAAGCCCAGCTAGTTTTTGTATTTTTAGTAGAGACGGGGTTTCACCATGTTGGCCAGGATGGTCTGAATCTCCTGACTTCATGATCCACCCGCCTCGGCCTCTCAAAGTGCTGGGATTACAGGTGTGAGCCATTGCGCCTGGCCCAGACTCCCTTTTATCCAATCAATTTTATCCAATCCAATACTTCGAATTATACCTACTAGGCTTAAGACAATCCATTAGGCACAAACACCCTAAGGCTTTCTCCTTGTACAAAGATACTTACAACTCAATAAACTCATTTAAAGCAGAGAGTATCTCACACCCTTGGTCACCTTGTCTCCCATTCTATACTTTACAGGTAAAAAGAGGATGTGGCAAGCTTCTCTAAATCCCAATGTACTTTTAATTCAAACCTCACACTTAAACTATAAACTGCTTATCCTTTTACTGTTTCATATTAAAGGCCATCTCTCTGATCAGAAGGTATGCTACTTTGGGGACTAATGACAATGTTTGTCCCCAGTAGTGTCTAATATGGCCATACCTTGAAAAAGTTGCTTAATGATATACTTATTTACCAACTTATCAATGGGACTGTTAACAGTTTCTGTAGTTCCAAAAAAGCATCAGAGAATTTGATTCCTACTCAGAGTAAAGGATTCCATAGAGATGAAAGAATTCCAAATAGCATAACACTTTACAAAGGACCTCTGGGACCTGTCTTAGTTTCCTAAAGACTTGTTCACAACACTTCTGGCCCCTAGCTCTGCAACCTCTTAAAGAAACAAGAACAGGAGAACGTAGGGGTAGTACTTAGGTCTAGCCCTATCTTCCAGTGTTTCCATATGAAGCTGCCTAGTGTGTCAGCCCCAGTAGGCTCTCACTGTTCATTTAACCCAATTATGTGTAATTTAACATATTTTGTTTGAAAAAAACCACCAAGTGGTCATTAATTGCCAAGTAATTAGTCTTGTTTAGGAGGACTGGAATTATGGACCTTTATTCTATACAGTTGTCCCTTGGTATCCACAGGGGATTGGTTCCAGGACCCCCCACAGACACTGAAATCTGGGGATGTTCAAGTCCCTCATATAAAATGGCATAGTATTTGCATATAACCTACACCCAACCTCCTATGTACTTTAAATCAACTCTAGATTTCTTACAATACCTAATACAATGTAAATGTTATGTAAATGGTTGTTATCCTATATTTTTAAAGTTTGTATTTTTTTCTGATTTTTTTTTTTTTTTTGAGACGTAGTCTCATTCTGTCACCGAGGCTGGAGTGCAATGGCATGATCTGGGCTCACTGCAACCTCCACCTCCTGGGTTCAAGCAATTCTCCTGCTTCAGCCTCCCAAGTAGCTGGTACTACAGGCATGTGCCATCACGTCCAGCTAATTTTTGTATTTTTGGTAGAGACGCAGTTTCACCATGTTGGCCAGGCTGGTCTCGAACTCCTGACCTCAGGTGATCTGCCTGCGACGGCCTCCCAAAGTGCTGGGGTTACAGGTGTGAGCCATTGCACCTGGCCTTTTTCTGAATATTTTCAATCCAAGTTTGGGTGAATCCACAGATGTGGAATCCATGGATATGGAGAGTCAACTATGTTACTGTATGTTAAAATAATGAGAATGTCTTCATGCTTGGGAAATACCCTATGTTTATTATAATTTCATTCAACCTGTAAAAATAACAAAATAGAAATTTGAACAGACTAAAAATTAGTTAAAAATGAATACCACTTTTAACAACTAAAATACAAGTAAATACTGCTTAAAGCTAAAGTTTATCTTAATTTGATAGTAAGATTACAAGGTAGTCTCTTTTTTAACTTTTCCTTTTTTAAACAGCTTTTAATCCAGTTTTAACGTTAATAAAACTGTGGGTTTTCTAAATCAGAAAACCTTCAACAAAATAGATCATTACACTACAATGTTTTTACTCCATAAAGAATTTTCTTTCCTGGATTCCATTTTTTGATGGAAGACTTGATAAAGACTTTTTTTGAAGTCTGGCACACTTACTTGCATAGTTGCAAACTAACTACTTTTAAGGCACAAGAAAAAGATATTATTTTGAATGTAAAAGTCAGGCTCTTAAATCTTCGCTATTAATGCACTCTATTTTAATGATAAAAAAATTTAAGAGTCATTCTCACTTTAAACTTTCTGAATGTGTACCTTACACCTTACTTTAGCTGTAAGTTTAAAGTGACAGTGACTCCTAAATTTCTTTTTTTTTTTTTTGAGATGGAGTCTCGCTCTGTTGCCCAGGCTGGAGTGTGGTGGCGTGATCTCAGCTCGCTGCAACCTCTGCCTCCTGGATTCAAGCGATTCTCCTGCCTCACCCTCCCGAGTTGCTGGGACTACAGGCATGCCCAGCTAATTTTTTTTTTTTTTTTTTTTTTGGTATTTTTAGTAGAGACAAGGTTTCACTGTGTTAACCAGGATGGTCTCGATCTCCTGACTTCATGATCCGCCCACCTTGACCTCCCAAAGTGCTGAGATTACAAGCATGAGCCACTGCGCCCAGCCCTAAATTTTAATGTGTAAATTTTGTAATTCACTCTCACTTTAAACTTTCTCAATGTGTATCTTACACCTAGGTAAAAAATTAAAAATATATACAAGGTATGTGTCCCTAACAAACAAATAATTTATTCTAAATGAGTTATTCTATCCTTTGAGAATGAAGACCCCATGTTGAGGTTCAAATATTATTTTGCAGATGTCTATAACAGCATGGTACTTTTAGATCCACTGAGAAAATACAATATGAAAAAAAAGCTAGTATGAACACAGGAGCACGAAACCAAAAAAAAAAACTACTTAAATAAAATAATAAAATATTTTTCTCATGTAATCAAAAGCAGTTGTAATCATAAGACATTAATCATAAGGCATTGTGGCTTCCCAAATATCAGGGACCCAGGCCCCTCTGATCTTATGTCTCCACCATCCTCAAGATGCCACATCCATCTCATGATTTAAGATGACTGCTTTAGCTCCAGCATCACAACTGTATTCCAGCTGGCAGAAAAGAAGAAAAAGGGCTCATTCTTTCCTTCTACACTTATGTAAGTATTAAAGTTAGAATAGCCCAGCTTCTAACTGTGGCTCAACTAATTACTAGCTGTGTGACCTAAGGGTCCATTATTTGATCTCTATAAACATCAGCTCTCCAGAGAAGTAGGACACAACACTTCTGCCTACATCGTATTGGCCAGAATTTGGTTCTGTGACCATGTTTGGCTGCAAGGGAAACTAGAAAATGTAGTCTTAATTTGGGATAGCAATGGGTCTGATATCTACCATGGAAAGGAGAGAATGGAGTTTGGGGAACTACAGGTCCGTGACACATTTTTCCTAAGAATACGTAATTTATTAATGAAAACAATACTTTCACACTTTTGAAAAACAGGGGTAAATACATGTGCAAGACATGTTAATTATTTAATCTATAGACAATACTTGGTTGAGCATATGAATTTGAGAATCTGGTTATAAACTGCTCTCAGCTAAAAGATGCTCAGAGCTCACAGGCAGTCTGGATGATGTTAGGTTGGAAAGGCTTCATGGAGGAGATTAGCTGGGCCTTGAAGAATGTGCAAGATTGTGAAATAGATGGGGAAGGGCAACTGAGACAAAATTTGACAGCAAAGGCAAGGAGACAAGTGGGGTATAGTTTGGCTGGGGCAGGAGGCATGTGGATGTACTTTATAAATCAAAAACAGTAAGAATGTTGTCTTTATCACAGAGAAAAGCATTGGGAGGTAAGGTTAAAGAAGGCTGAAAAGTTATAGAAAAGGTTTTGAAGGCTAAAGCAAAGCATTTGACATTTTGGCTTTACCAGTTATGAGATATGTGGCCTCAGGCCCAGTTAGTTAACCACTGTGAACTTCGACCTCCTCTTCTGTGAAATGTAGGCAGTAATAACCACCTAATAGGGTTGTTTTGAGACTAAATACTAGCATGTTGTTAGCATTCAATAAATACTAGCTATTAATAAAAGCTCTGAGCAAGCCAGTAACAAGGTAATGTTTTAAAAAATTAATAGCAATCTGATAGCCAGGGTAAGAGTGATAGGAGAAGGAAAAATCTAAAGGTAGACAGAGCAAAGGAATAGGAAGTAATCTAATACAACTGATGCTCAGGAGCTTGAATTTTATGCTTTAGACAAAGAAAAACTGGAGTTGGCAGAAGGAATATTGGAGGCAATGGTATCAGTTAGGATTACTACCAAAGTCCAGACCCAGGGTGGGGGCCTGAAATGAGACAGTAGTTGTGTGGATGGAGAAAAAGATCTGGCTATGAAAGGAGCTTGGTAAATGATTGCAGGCAGGGGATGAAGAAAAGGGAAGAAAGTCTTTGATGTGAGTGACTGAATGGCCAGTGGCACCACAAACCAAAATAAGAAGTGGAGGAAAGACAGCATAGTGTGGAGGGGCCTGGGGAGAAAAGTTCAGTTTAGACTGTTGACACGGACATTCAGATGATAAAGAGTCCCAATAACCGCTGGATATACAGAGCTGGCATTAAAAGTGGTGTCTGGACTGGAGGTATGGAGATGTGGAAGTCCCACGAAACAGGGGTACTGAAGCTACAGGAGGAGAAGAGGAGCTCACCCAGAGAAAGCCCAGAGAACAGAATCCTGAAGGTCAATACTTTCATGAGAAAAGAAAAAGAGAAGCCAGAAAGGGGGAATAATAATGAAAGATAAGAGAACTCGGAGACAGTGAAACCAAGCCAAGAGAAAGGGAATGCCTAGAGTCTTCAGGCTATCATGAGTTCAAGGATGGGGCCAACACCTAAAATAGTGAACTGTTCAAACAGTAAGTGGCGTGTTGTTGAGTAGTCTTCAGCAGCATGGGAAAAGATTTGCTGGCTTCAGAAATGCTCACCTCCTGCTGGAACTAAGAGTAAATTCAGGAAGGCCTGGAGCAGCTTAAAGAAATTTCCCATTAAAAGCAGAGCTCTGGGCCTGGAACAGTGGCTCGGGCCTGTAATCCCAGCACTTTGGGAGGCCGAGGTGGGTGGATTGCTTGAGCCCAGGAATTCGAGACTGGCCTGGGCAACATGGTGAAACTCTGTCTCTACAAAAAATATAAAAATTAGCCAGGCGTGCTGGCACGTGCCTATAGGGACAGTGACTCAGATGGCTGAGACAGGAAGATCACCTAAGCCCAGGGAAGTCAGGGCTGCAGTGAGTTGTGATGGGGCCACTACACTCCAGCCTGGGTGACAGAGAGAGACCCTGTCTCAAAATATGTGCGTGTGTGTGTGTGTGTGTGTGTGTGTGTGTGTATTTTTTTTTTTCTTAAAGCAGAGCTCTGTCAACATGGCCAGAAGATGGAAGGAATTTCTGACTTGTTCTGTGTACCTCTACCTTCAGTGGCTGTGTGTGTGTATGTGTGTATGTGTAGATGTGTGTGTGTCTGTCTCTCCCAGCAATGGACCAGAGCTCTGGAAAGGTGAATGTGAAAGCCACCCGCGCACACAGGCTTAGCCCTTTCTTCTCTCTTAGTCCCTGCTAGACTGTGAACTTCTTGAGACTTAACCTCAGCATCTAGGACCACACTATGACTATACAATCATGCATGTTTGTTGATTGAAAGCCAAAAGCAAATAAGATAATTAGCCAACAAGAGAAGTAAGTGCTGGAAGACATAAATAAATAATAGAAGTGGTTAGAGCTCTTGGAATCAGACTCAGATCTTGGTAGGAATTAGGCTCTGACAGCTCCTATTTGTCTGTGTAACCTCAGGCAAGTTCCTGAAACACTGTATACAATGGGAATTACAATGGAACCCAGCCTAAATGTAGCACTCACCTAAATGACAATGTATAGGATATATTTAGCAAATACTTTTATTACTTCACCTCTCTAGAAGTCTGAAATGGGAGTATTTAGTACATTTGTAAAGGAATGATAAATTGACCACTCTTTATCCATCAACGCCATTTACTTATGTTTACTCCAACCAGGAAATGCACAGCCACATCATAATACAGCCATGGAGATAAAACTTTCCTCTCATGGAGTCATTAAAGAGTTTAGAGAAATTAAATGAGGCCATTTATGTGAAAGAACTTTAATGATGAACAGCATCCACCATACAAATTAATTGGCCCCTTCTTAAAATTATGTGCCAGATAAAGAATTTAAAAAGATCTTGTACACAGTTATTACAATTGTTACTAAACCAAAACTCTGGCAAAAAGGAGGAAAGAAAACACACAGCTTTCTTCTATGATCTAATATTTGCTATTTTTTTAAAGGCCAAAGAAAAAAATAGCCCCTTGAAATGATACTTACAAATTCTTCTTCTGTAATAGTTGGTGGCTCTGAAACAAGACAAAATATTACATTATCTCCCTCAAATCTGATTTCCTTTGAGTAAATGAAATCATGGGAGACAGCACCTAGCCCTACGTTATACACAGGCAAACGTAGCACATTTCTGGCCCTCTGTTCATTCTCTGTACATGGCTTGCATTTTAAGTTGGAATTCAAGGTGGAAGTGGGAAGGAAAGGCCTCTGGAATCCTGCCTGGTCACTAATTCACTGTGACCCAGGAGTTACCCTTCTTCATAGACGGAACCCTCTATTATTCTACGTACAATATGCAGAATTAAGCGAGATAACGTGGTGCCAGCATAAACCGGCGAGGACGTGAAATTCGTCATAAAATCCAACAGGAGGGCAGTGAAGCCCTTTTTTCTCATGTCTGGGAGCGGGGATACCGCTAGGAGGGCAGGAGGTAAAGTCCAGAGGCTGGCGCGTGGTGCGGCCCCGACGCCGCGGGCTGATCCTCTGTCCCTGTGGGGCCGCCACCTACCCGCGGTGAGCCTCTTCTCGGGCATGCCGTCCCCGCTGCCCGCGCCTGGAGCCCGCGCGGGCCGTCAGGGCCCTAGCGCGCGGGTCCAGCGCGGGTCAGGGCCTGAGCGACGCGGCGACGGCGCGCGGGCTCCGGAGCTACGCTGGCTAGCGTGGCCGGCGCCGCGCCGGGGTTGCTATGGAGCTTAGACAATACGGCCGCCCAGGGAGGCCGAGGCCGGCCACTCAGGTGCCTTTCGGGGTTCCCAAGCTGCGACGGGAACACCCCCGCCGCCCCCTACCCTCCCTTCCTCCTCCTCTGGGCAGGGACCAGCGCGGCGAACGAAGGCTGGGGGCGGACGCGCGTGTGGACCCCCAGCGCGGTCACCCGGAAGGGGCGCCCTGGAGACGCCTGTGTCCCTCGAGACTCCACTGGCAGCGAATTCGTTACTGTGGTGACCGCTGCTCAGGTCCGTTATTCCTCCACTACAGCCCGCCAGCAACGGCCAGGGAAACGCGGTGCTCCACGGGAGGGAGAGGCCGCGGGCATGCGGGGCGCCAGGCGGCCAGGACGGCTGGTCCCGGGAAGCGGAGGAAGCAGGGAAGTCAGGCCTCCAGTTTTCCTCATTCCTCAGGAGGCCGGCAACACGTAGCTCTTGATCTCCATCACAGTTGTATGAAATGCTTGTGTAAAAAGTTAAATAATTCGCGGCCTATAGGAACCGCAAACTTCCCCAACACGTGTGTGCCCATCAGGACTGCTGCATTTTCAAGATAGCTAGGCTTAAAAATTACCCGAGGAGGCCTCATGTTCACCTAACGTGGTACCTTCGTCTGTTAGGTTACTCAAGACTCAAGCCAGAAACCTAGGAGCTTTTCCCTGAAACTTACTGCCCGACCCCCAAACGGTCTTATTCAGTCAAGCACTAGGTCCTCTTTATTCTGCCTTAGTGTTTCTGAAATCTGGAGTCTCCTTTGCGCTCCTGCTGAACAGTTGTAAAAACTTTTTAATGGTTTTTCAGTCTTTGCTTCCAGTGGAGTTCAGCTTAAGCCCATTCTCCATGATGAATGCAAAATCATCCATCTGAACGCAAATCTGACCTGTTTAAAACCTTCGGTGGCTTTACATTTGCCTCCTACATTGTAGGAATACTCCAAGGCTGGCAGGGGCCCCACAGGTATATGAATGCTTAACAAAAGAATAAGACAATTAGTGCTTGTATTGCAAGGAAACGTAACTCCCATCTAGTTGTATTCATTGCCTTTTCCCTATTACATAGAAAAAGACAAAAATAAACCACTATCTTGGCCAGACAAAATTAGAGGACCAAATGAAGTGACGGGATACTGGCAGAAGATAATGGAGAGGTGGGAGGTGGGGGGTTGGGGGACAAATCACAAAGGGCTTTGTGGGCCCTTGGTAAGGACTCCAGGTTTCATTCTGAGTGAAATGCAAACCATAGCAGAGTTTGAACAGAGAAATGACATGACTTTACTTCTATTTGAAAGAATCGCTCTGGGTGCTGTCTAGAGAATATATTAATATTAGCATGACTCGAAGCGGGCAAGAGCTAATCGTAGCTCAGACCGGGTGGTTCAGAACAAGCAGTACAGGTTTCAGATAGATTCTGCAGACATTTTAACAGTAGACCCAAGAGGATTTCCTGACAAGTTGGACATGGGAGTAAAACAGAGTAGTTGAGAATGACTCCAGATTTGGTCTGAACAGCCAGAAAAGTTTAGCTGCCATCAACAGAGTTGGGGAAAGCTGTGAGTGGACCACATTGAGAGGGAGAGTTTAAGAAGTCTATTAGCCAAAACCAAGTTGAAAAACATGCTTCAGGATATCATCCAGGAGAACATCACCAACCTAGCAAGACAGGCCAACATTGAAATTCAGGAAATGCAGAGAACCCCAGGAAGATACTCCATAAAAAGATCAACCCCAAGACACATAATCGTCAGATGCTCCAAGGTCAAAATGTTAGAAAAAATGTTCAGGGCAGCCAGAGAGAAAGGCCAGGTCACCTACAAAGGGAAGCCCCTCAGACTATCAGCGGACGTCTCGGTGGAAACTTTACAAGTCAGAAGAAATTGGGGGCCAATATCCGGCATTCTCAACCGAATTTCCAACCCAGAATTTCATATCCAGCCAAAGTAAGCTTCATAAGTGAAGAAGTAATAAGATCCTCTTCAGACAAGCAAATGCTGAGGGAATTTGTCACCGCCAAACCTGCCTTGCAAGAGCTGAAGGAAACACTAAATATGGAAAGGAAAAACCATTAGTAGCCAGTAAAAAAACAAACAAGAAACACCAAATGAAGCACACAGACCAGTGACACTATGAAGCAACCACATAAACAAGTCTGCAAAATAACCAGCTACCTTTATGAAGACAGGATCAAATCCACACATAACAATACTAACCTTAAATGTAAATGGCTAAATGCCCCAATTAAAAGACACAGAATGGCAAGCTGGATAAAGAACCAAGACCCAGATTGCTGGCAAGATGGCCGAATAGGAACAGCTCTGGTCTGTGCTTCCAGTGAGATTGACACAGAAGGAGGGTGATTTCTGCATTTCCAACTGAGGTACCCAGTTCATCTCATTGGGACTGGTTGGACAGTGGATGCAGCCCACGGAGGGCAAGCCAAAGCAGGGTGGGGCGTCACCTCACCCGGGAAGTGCAAGGGGTCGGAGAATTTTCTCCCCCAACCAAGGGAAGCTGTGAGGGACTGAGCCTGAGGAACTATGGCACAGATACTGTGCTTGTCCCATGGTATTCGCGACCCGCAAACCAGGAGATTCCCTCCAGTGCCTACCCGACCAGGGCCCTGGGTTTCAAGCACAAAACTGGGCGGCCATTTGGGGAGACACCAAACTAGCTGTAGGAGTTCTTTTTTTTCATACCCCAGTGGCACCTGGAACGCCAGTGAGACAGAACCGTTCACTCCCCTGGAAAGGGGTGCTGAAGCCAGGGAACCAAGTGGTCTGGCTTGGGGGTCCCACCCCCACAGAGCCCAACAAACTAAGATCCAGTGGCTTGAAATTCTTGCTGCCAGCACAGCAGCAGTCTGAGATAGACCTGGGACACTCAAGCTTGGTGGGGGGAGGGGCATCCGCCATTGCTGAGGCTTGAGTAGGTGGTTTTCTGCTCCCAGTGTAAACAAAGCTACTGGGAAGCTCAAACTGGGTGGATCCCACTGCAGCTCAGAAAGGCTGCTGTGGCCAGACTGCCAGATTTCCCTTCTCTGGGCAGGGCATCTCTGAAAAAAGGCAGCAGTCCCAGTCAGGGACTTACAGATAAAACCCCCATCTCCCTGGGACAGAGCACCTGGGGAAAGGGGCGGCTGTGGGCACAGCTTCAGCAGACTTAAATGTCCCTGCCTGACATCTCTGAAGAGAGCAAAAGACCTCCCAGCACAGCATTCCAGCTCAGCTAAGGGTCAGACTGCCTCTTCAAGTGTATCCTGACTGGGAGACACGTCCCAGTACGGCCGACAGACACCTCATACAGGAGAGCTCTGGCTGGCATACAGCAGGTGCCCCTCTGGGACGAAGCTTCCAGAGGAAAGGTCAGGTAGCAATCTTTGCTGTTCTGCAGCCTCCGCTGGTGATACCCAGGCAAACAGGGTCAGGAGTGGACCTCCAGCAAACCAGCAGGCTTGCAGTAGAGGGGCCTGTCAGAAGGAAAACTAACAGAAAGAAATAGCACATCCACTCAAAGACCCCATATGAAGGTCACCAACATCAAAGACCAAAGGTAGATAAATCCACAAAGATGGGGAAAAACCAGCACAAAAAGGCTGAAAATTCCAAAAACCAGAACGTCTCTTCTCCTATAAAAGATCACAACTCCTTGCCAGGAAGGGAACAAAACTGGATGGAGAAAGTTTGACGAATTGACAGAAGTAGGCTTCAGAAGGTGAGTAATAACGAACTCCTCCGAGCTAAAGGAGCATGTTCTAACCCAATGCAAGGAAGCTAAGAACCTTGAAAAAAGGTTAGACAAATTGCTAACTAGAATAACGAGTGTAGAGAAGAACATAAATGACCTGATGTAGCTGAAAAACACAGCATGAGAACTTCATGAAGCATACACAAGTTTCAATAGCCGAATCGATCAAGCAGAAGAAAGGATATCAGTGACTGAAGATAAACTTAATGAAATAAAGAGAGAAAACAAGATTAGAGAAAAAAGAATAAAAAGGAGTGAACAAAGGCTCCAAGAAATATATGTGAAAAGACCAAATCCACGTTTGATTGGTGTACCTGACAGTGAGGAGGCGAATTGAACCAAGTTCAATTCTCAAACCAAGATCAGGATATTATCCAAGAGAACTTCCCCAACCTAGCAAGACAGGCCAACATTCAAATTCAGGAAATACAGAGAACACCATGAAGGTACTCCTCGAGAAGAACAACCCTAAGACACATAATCATCAGATTTGCCAATGTTGAAATAAAGGAAAAAATGTTAAGGGCAGAGAGAAAGGTGGGGTTACGTACAAAGGGAAGCCCATCAGACTAACAGCAGAGCTCTCTGCAGAAACCCTACAAGCCAGAAGAGAGTAGGGGCCAATATTCAACATGCTTAAAGAAAAGAATTTTCAACCCACAGTTTCATATCCAGCCAAACTAAGCTTCTTAGGGAAGGATAAATAAAATCCTTTATAGACAAGCAAATGCTGAGAGATTTTGTCACCACCAGGCCTGCCTTACAAGAGAAGGAAGCACTGAACATGGAAAGGAACAACCAGTACCAGCCACTGCAAAAACATACCAAACTGTAAAGAACATTGACACTTTGAAGAAACTGCATCAACTAATGGCCAAAACAACCAGCTAACATCATAATGACAGGATCAAATTCACACATAACAATATTAACCTTAAATGTAAATGGGCTAAATTCCCCAGTTAAAAGACACAGACTGGCAAATTGGATAGAATCAAGACCCATCAGTGTGCTGTATTCAGGAGACCCATCTCACATGCAAAGACACATATAGGCTCAAAATAAAGGGATGGAGGAATATTTACCAAGGAAATGGAAAGAAAAAAAAAAAAGCAGGAGTTGCAATCCTTATCTCTGCTAGAACAGACTTTAGACCAACAAAGATCAAAAGAGACAAAGAAGGGCATTACATAACGGTAAAAGGATCAATGCAGCAAGAAGAGCTAACTATCCTAAATATATATGCACCCAATACAGGAGCATCCAGATTCAGAAAGCAAGTTCTTAGAGACCCACAAAGAGACTTAGACTCCCACATAATAATAGTGGGAGACTTTAACACAACATATCAATGTGTCAGAAAATTAACACGGATATTCAGGACTTCAACTCAGCTCTGGACCAAGCAGACCTAATAGACATCTACAGCACTCTCCACCCAAGATCAACAGAATATACGTTGTTCTCAGCATCTCATTGCACTTATTCTAAAATTGACCACATAATTGGAAGTAAAACACTCCTGAGGAAATGTAGAGAACAGAAATCATAACAAACAGTCTCTCAGATCACAGTGCAATCAAACTAGAACTTAGGATTTAAAAACTCACTCAAAACCACACAACTACATGGAAACTGAACAACCTGCTCCTAAATGACCACTAGGTAAATAACAAAATGAAGGCAGAAATAAAGATGTTCTTTGAAACCAATGAGAATGAAGACACAACAAACCAGGATCTCTGGACACATTTAGAGCAGTGTGTAAAGGGAAATTTATAGCACTAAATGTCCACAAGAGAAAACAGGAAAGATCTAAAATTGACACCCTAAAATCAAAATGAAAAGAACTAGAGAAGCAACAGCAAACAAATTCAAAATCTAGCAGAAGACAAGAAATAACTGAGATCAGAGCAGAACTGAAGGAGATAGAGACATGAAAAACCCTTCAAAAAATTAGTGAATCCAGGAGCTGGTTTTTTGAAAAGATCAACAAAGTAGATAGACCACTAGCCAGACTAATAAAGAAGAAAAGAGAGAAGAATCAAATAGATGCAATAAAAAAATGATAAAGGGGATATCACCACTGATCCCACAGAAATACAAACTACCATTAGAGAATACTATAAACACCTCTACGCAAATAAACTAGAAAATCTAGAAGAAAATAAATTCCTGGACACATACACTCTCCTAAGTCCAAACCAGGAATAAGTCAAATCCCTGAATAGACCAATAACAACTTCTGAAATTGAGGCAGTAATTAATAGCCTACAAACCAAAAAAAGTCCAGGACCAGACAGATTCACAGCTGAATTCTGCCAGAGGTACAAAGAGGAGCTGGTACCATTCCTTCTGAAACTATTCCAAACAATAGAAAAAGAGCAAATCTTCCCTAACCCATTTTATGAGGCCAGCATCATCCTGATACCACAACCTGGCAGACACAACAAAAAAAGAAAATTTCAGGCAATATCCCTGATGAACATCGATGCAAAAATCCTCAATAAAATACTGCCAAACCAAATCCAGCAGCACATCAAAAAGCTTATCCACCACGATCAAGTCAGCTTCCTACCTGGGATGCAAGCCTGGTTCAACATACGCAAATCAATAAACGTAATCCATCACATAAACAGAAACAATCACAAAAACCACATGATTATCCCAATAGATGCAGAAAAGTCCTTCAACAAAATTCAACACCCCTTCATGCTAAAAACTCTCAATAAACTGGGTATCAATGGAACGTATCTCAAAATAATAAGAGCTATTTATGACAAACCCACAGCCAATATCATACTGAATGGGCAAAAACTGGAAGCATTCCCTTTGAAAACCAGCACAAGACAAGAATGCCCTCTCTCACCATTCCTATTCAACATAGTATTGGAAGTTCTGGCCAGGGCCATCAGGCAAGAGAAAGAAATAAAGGGTATTCAAATAGGAAGAGAGGAAGTCAAATCGTCTCTATTTGCAGATGACATGATTGTATATTTAGAAAACCCCATAGTCACAATGCAAAATCTCCTTAAGCTGATAAGCAACTTCAGCAGTCTCAGAATACAATATCAATGTGCAAAAATCACAAGCATTCCTATGCACCAATAACAGACAAACAGAGAGCCAACTCATGAGTGAACTCCTATTCACAATTGCTGCTAAGAGAATAAAATGCCAAGGAACATAACTTACAAGGGATGTGAAGAACCTCTTCAAGGAGAACTACAAACCACTGCTCAAGGAAGTAAGAAAGGACCCAAACAAATGGAAAAACATTCTATGCTCATGGATAGGAAGAATCAATATCGTGAAAATGGCCATACTGTCCAAAGTAATGTATAGATTCAATGCTATACCCATCAAGCTACCACTGACTTTCTTCACAGAATTGGAAAAAACTACTTTAAAGTTCATATGGAACCAAAAAAGGGCCCGCATAGCCAAGACAATCTTGGGCAAGAAGAACAAAGCTGGAGATACCACGCTACTTGACTTCACACTATACTACAAGGCTACAGTAACCAAAACAGCATAGTACTGGTACCAAAACAGATACATAGACCAAAGGAACAGAACAGAGGCCTCAGAAATAACACCACACATCTACAACCATCTGATCTTTGACAAATCTGACACAAACAAGGAATGGGGAAAAGAATTCCCTATTTAATAAATGTTGTTGGGAAAACTGGCTAGCCATATGCAGAAAACTGAAACTGGACCCCTTCCTTGTACCCTATACAAAAATCAACTCAAGATGGATCAAAGACTTAAAGGTAAGACCTAGGACCATAAAAATCCTAGAAGAAAACCTGGGCAATACCATTCAGGACATAGGCATGGGCAAAAACTTCATGTCTAAGACACCAAAAGCAATGGTAACAAAAGCCAAAACAGACAAATGGGATCTAATTAAACTAAAGAGCTTCTGCACAGCAAAAGAAACTATCATCAGAGTGGAGAAATAGGAACACTTTTACACTGTTGGTGGGAGTATAAATTAGTTCAACCATTGTGGAAGACAGTGTGGCAATTCCTAAGGATCTAGAACTAGAAATACCATTTGACCCAGTGATCCCATTATGGGGTATATACCCAAAGGATTATAAATCATTTTGCTATAAAGACACATGCACACATTTTTATTGTAGCACTGTTCACAATAGCAAAGACTTGGAACCAACCCAAATGTCCATCAGTATAGACTGGATAAAGAAAATGTGGCACATATACACCATGGAATACTATGCAGCCATAAAAAGCATGAGTTCATGTCCTTTGCAGGGAGATGGATGAAGTTGGAAACCATCATTCTCAGCAAACTATCACAAGAACAGAACAACCAAACACTGCATGTTCTCACTCATAAGTGGGAGCTGAACAATGAGAACACATGGACATAGGGAGGGGAACATCGCACACCAGCGCCTGTTGGCAGGTGGGGGGCACTAGAGGAGGGATAACATTAGGAGAAATACCTAATGTAGGTGACAGGTTGATGGGTGCAGCAAACCACCATGGCACATGTATATCTATGTAACAAAACTGCATGTTCTGCACACGTACCCCAGAATTTAAAGTAAAAAAGAAAAAGATATTTTAAAAATAATAATAAAAAATAAAAAAAGAGATAACACACACAAACAAAAAAGAACCAAGACTCATCAATACGATGTCTTCAAGAGACCCATCTCACATGCAAAGACACACATAGGCTCAAATAAAGGGATGGAGTAAAATTTACCAAACAAATGGAAAACAGAAAATAGCAGGGGTTGCAATTCTAGTTTCTTATACAAAGGACTTTAAACAAACAAAGATAAAAAAAAAAGACAAAGAAGGGCATTACATAATGGTAAAGGGTTCAATTAAACAAGAAGAGCTAACTATCTGTGATGGTTAATACTGAGTGTCAACTTGATTGAAGGATACAAAGTATTGATCCTGGGTGTGTCTGTGAGGGTGTTGCCAAAAGAAATTAACACTGGAGTCAGTGGGGTGGGGAAGGCAGATCCACCTTTAATCTGGTGGGCACAATCTTATCAGCTGCCAGTGAAAATAAAGCAGGCAGAAAAATGTGAAAAGGAGAGACTAGCCTAGCCTCCCAGCCTACATCTTTCTCCCATGCTGGATGCTACCTGCCCTCGAACATCAGACTCCAAGTTCCTCAGTTTTGGGGCTCGGACTGGCTCTCCTTGCTCCTCAGCTTGCAGACAGCCTATTGTGGGACCTTGTGATTGTGTAAGTTAATACTTAATAAACTCCCCTTTACATACATACATATATATGTGTGTGTGTGTATATATATATATCCTAATAAGCTCCCCATTATATATATCCCTTTATATATATATGTTTATAATATATATCCCTTTATATATGTTTATAATATATATCCCTTTATATATATGTTTATAATATATATCCCTTTATATATATATATGTTTATAATATATGTCCCTTTATATATATATGTTTATAATATATATCCCTTTATATATATGTTTATAATATATATCCCTTTATATATATATGTTTATAATATATATCCCTTTATATATATATAAAAGGGAGCTTATTAGGATGTATAGCGATCCCTATACACCATAGGGATATATATATATATACACACACACGCACACACCCCTATAGATACATACATATATGGATATATATATATATATACCCCTATATAGAGATACATATGTATGGATATATATATACCCCTATATATAGATACATATGTATGGATATATGTATACCTATATATAGATACATATATATGGATATATATATATATATATATATATCCATATATATGTATCTCTCCTATTAGTTCTGTCCCTCTGGAGAACCCTAATACACTATCCTAAATATATATGCACCCAATACAGGAGCACCCAAATTCATAAAGCAAGTTCTTAGAGACCTTCAATGAAACTTAAACTCCCATACAATAACAATGGGAGACCTACTGACAATATTAGACACTCTACTGACAATATTAGACAGATCATTGAGATAGAAAATTAACAACGATATTCAGGACCTGAACTTAGCTCTGGATCAAGTGGACCTGATAGATGTCTACAGAACTCTCCACCCCAAAACAGCAGAATATACATTCTTCCCATTGCCACACAGTACTTACTCTAAATTTGACCACATAATCAGATGTAAAACACTTCTCAGCAAATTCAAAATAACTGAAATCATAACAGTCTTTCAGACCACCGGGGAATCGAATTAGAACTCAAGATTAAGAGATTTACTCAAAACCACACAACTATATGGGAATTGAACAACCTGCTTCTGAATGACTCTTGGGTAAATAATGAAATTAGGGCAGAAATCAAAAAGTTCTTTGAAACTAATGAGAACAAAGATACAACATACCAGAATCTCTGGGATGCGGCTAAAGCAGTGTTAAAAGGGAAATATATAGCACTAAATGCTCACATCGAAAAGGTAGAAGGATCTCAAGTTAACAACCTAACATCACAACTAAAAGAACAAGAGAACCAAGAGCAAACAAACCCCAAAGCTAGCAGAAGACAAGAAATAACCAAGATCAGAGCTGAACTGAAGGAGATAGAGACATGAAAAACCCTTCAAAAAATTATCGAACCCAGAAGCTGTTTTTTTTCTTTTTTAAGTAATAGACCACTAGCTAGACTAATACAGAAGAAAAGAGAGAAGATTCAAATAAACACAATCAGAAATGTTAAGGGGGATATCACCACTGATTCCATAGAAATACAAACCACCATCAGAGAAAACTATAAACACCTCTATGCACATAGACTATAAAATCCAAAGGAAATAGATAACTTCCTAAACACATACACCCTCCCAAGACTGAACCAGGAATAAATTGAATCTGTGAATAGACCAATAATGAGTTCTGAAATTGAGGCAGTAATAGCCTAACAACAACAACAACAAAAAAATGCTGAGGACCAAACAGATTCACAGCTGAATTCTACCCAGAGATACCAAGAATAGCTGGTACCATTTCTACTGAAACTATTCCAAACAGTTGAAAAGGAGGGACTCCTCCATAACTCATTCTATGAGGCCAGCATCATCCTGATACTAAAACCTGGCAGAGATACAACAAAAAAAAGAAAACTTCAGGCCAATATCCTTGATGAACATCAATGCAAAAATCCTCAATAAAATACTGGCAAACAAAATCCAGCAGTACATCAAAAACTTATCCACCACGATCAACTAGGCTTCATTCCTGGGATGCAAGATTGGTTCAACACACACGAATCAATAAATGTGATTCATCACATAAACAGAACTAAAGAAAAAAACCACATGATTATCTCAATAGATGTAGAAAAGGCCTTTGATAAACTTCAACATCCCTTCATGTTAAAAACTCTCAATAAACTAGGTATTGAAGGAACATGCCTCAAAATAATAAGAGCCATACATGACAAACCCACAGCCAATATCATACTGAATAGGCAGAAGCTAGAAGCATCCCCCTTGAAAATCAACACAAGGATGCCCTCTCTTGCCACTCCTATTCAACACAGTATTGGAAGTTCTGGCCAGGGGAATCAGGCAAGAGACAGAAATAAAGTGTATTCGAATAGAAAGAGAAGAAGTCAAGCTATCTTTGTTTGCAGATGACATGTCCTATATCCAGAAAACCCCATTGTCTCAGCCCAAAGGCTTCTTAAGCTGATAAGCAACTTCAGCAAAGTCTCAGGATATAAAATCAATGTGCAAAAATTACTAGCATTCTTATACACCAACAACAGGCAAGCAGAGAGCCAAATCATGAATGAACTCCCATTCACAATTGCCACAAAAAGAATAAAATACCTAGGAATACAACTAACAAGGGAAGTGAAGGACCTCTTCAAGGAGAACTACAAACCACTGCTCAAAGAAATCAGAAATGACACAAACAAATGGACAAACATTCCATGCTTATGGAAAGGAAGAATCAATACCATGAAAATGGCCATACTGCCCAAAGCAACTTATACGTTCAGTGCTATTCCCATTAAACTACCATGAACATTCTTCACAGAACTAGAAAAATATAAAACCAAAAAAGAGCCCAAATAGCCAAGACAATCCTAAGCAAAAAGAACAAAGCTGGAGGCATCATGCTACCCAACTTCAAACTATACTACAGGGCTACAGTAGCCAAAACAGCATGGTACTGGTACAAGAACAGACACATAGACCAATGGAACAGAATAGAGGCCCAGAAATAAGATCATACATCTACAACCATCTGATCTTCGACAAACCTGACAAAAACAAGAAATGGAGAAAGGATTCCCTATTTAATAAATGGTGCTGGGATAGCTGGCTAGCCATATGCAGAAAATTGAAACTGGACCCCTTCCTTACACCATATGCAAAAATTAACTCAAGATGGATTAAAGACTTAAATGTAAAATCCAAAACTTGGCCAGGTGTGGTGGCTCACACCTGAAATCCCAGCACTTTGGGAGGCCAAGGCGGGTGGATCACTTGAGGTCAGGAGTTCAAGAGCAGCCTGGCCAACATGGTGAAACCCTGTCTCTACTAAAAATACAAAAATTAGCTGGGAGTGGTGGCTCACACCTGTAGTCCCAGCTGCTCGGGAGGCTGAGGCAGGAGAATCACTTGAACCTGGGAGGCAGAGGTTGCAGTGAGCCAAGATCGTGCCACTGCACTCCAGCCTGGGCAACAGAGTGAGACTCTGTCTCAAAAAACAAACAAACAAGCAAACAAACAAACAAAGCAAAACTATAAAAACCCTGGAAGACAACCTAGGCAATACCATTCAGGACATAGGCACCGGCAAAGATTTCATGACTAAAACACCGAAAGCAATTGCAACAAAAGCAAAAATTGACAAATGGGATCTAAGTAAACTAAAGAGCTTCTGCACGATAGAGGAAACTATCATCAGGGTGAACAGACAACCTACAGAATGGGAGAAAGTTTCTGCAATCTATTCATCTGACAAAGGTCTAATATCCAGCATCTGCAAGGTACTTAAATAAATTTACAAGAAAAAAACAACCCCATTAAAAAGTGGGCAAAGGATATGAACAGACACTTCTCAAAAGAAGACATATATGCAGCCAACAAACATGAAGAAAAGCTCAACATCGCTGATTGTTAGAGAAATGCAAATCAAAACCACAATGAGATACCATCTCGCACCAGTCAGAATGGCAATTATTAAAAAGAAGAAACAATAGACGTTGACAAGATTGTGGAGGAAAAGGAACACTGTTACACTGTTGGTAGGAGTGTAAATTAGCTTAACCATTGTGGAAGACTGTGGCAATTCCTCAAAGACCTAGATGCAGAAATACTATTTGACCCAGCAATCGCATTCCTGGGTATATACCCAAAGGATTATAAATCATTCTATTATAAAGATATGTGCATGCATATGTTCACTGCAACACTCTTCACAATAGCAAAGACATTGAACTAACCTAAATGCCCATCAATGATAGACTGGATAAAGAAAATGTGGTACATATACACCGTGAAATACTATGCAGCTATAAAAAGGAATGAGATCATGTCCTTTGCAGGGATATGGATGGAGCTGGAAGCCATTATCCTCAGCAAACTAACACAGGAACAGAAAACCAAACACTGCATGTTCTAACTTATAACTGGGAGCTGATTGATAGCACATGGTGGGAAACAACACACACTGGGGCCTGTTGGAGGGTAGAGATGGAAGGAGAGAGCACATCAGGAAGAACAGCTAATAGATGCTGGGCTTAATACCTAGGTAATAGGATGATCTGTATAGCAAACCATCATGGCACACATTTATCTATGTAACAAACGTGCACATCCTGCACACGTACCCCTGAACGTAAAAAGTTTGAAAAAAATAAAAAAGTCTATTAGTCATCCAAATGAAGATTTTCAGTTTGCATTTGACATAGGAACCCAGAATTTGGGAGATAGCAGTTTGAGAGTTAGCATGTAAGTGGGCTCTTCAGGCATTTGCTTGTGCTGTTTCTACCACCAGAGAAACTCTCCCGGCCTTTCTTTACCAGGCTAAATTTTCTCATTCTTCAAAACTCAGCTTGGGTCTCATCTCCTTCAGTATACCTTCCCATGAATTATTTTCATTTGTCTCTCCTCTTGCTCTTGAATACTTGGGGCAAACCCATATCTCAAAAATGTATTAAAATCACTGGTACAAAGAGGTACACCCTCTTCCCCTAGTGCCACCCACCAGACAGTAAATTCCTGGGGGCTGAGGGAGCTATATTTTATTTTAACCTCCTCCCAGCCCCACCACATCCCCTGCTGAGTGCCTACCACTCACTAGATCTTTGTTGAAATGAACTTCTGGAGTTGCTCTCCATTGCAATCATTCTGCATGGTGCTTTGCTCACAGGCAGGATTTGTTCATCCCTATTTTAGATAGCCCATGCTGATGGGAAGTCAATTTGTTTTAACATTAATAGTAGCTAACATTTATTACATTTATTACATATTTGCTATGGGCTCCTAACAATAGCCCAAAGAGATTGATATTAGTCTCAGTTTACAGTTTACAAAACTTAGAAAGGTGAGATGATTTGCTCAAAGATACATAGCTTGAAAGTGCTGAAGCCAAAAGTCTGATTCCAAAGCCCTTGCTCTTTGACCACTATGTTATGTGGCCTTTCTCTCTAAAAGCAATCTCACGAGATTAAAGAATGGTGTGAGAACCACAAAGACAGTAATTTGAACCCAAATGCCTAGGTTATAAACTGTTATAATGTTTTGCTAATTTCTTTGGTAACAACTTCATTGAGATATAATTGACATATCACAGTTCACCCATTTAAAGAACACAATTCGGCTGGGCACAGTGGCTCACGCCTGTAATCCCAACACTTTGGGAGTCCGAGGCAGGCAGATCGCCTGAGGTCAGGAGTTCAAGACCAGTCTGGGCAATATGGTGAAACCCCATCGCTACTAAAAAAAAAAAAAAAAAAAAAAAAAAAAAAAAAAATAGCCAGGTGTGGTGGCACACACCTGTAATCCCAGCTACTCGGGAGGCTGAGGCATGAGAATCACTTGAACTATTTACTTTTAGCACATTAGATTCTGTCTTTGCCCCCCAAGTGATAAACCCTAGCCAGTTTTTCTTTTTTTTTCTTGAGATGGAGTCTCACTCTGTCATCCAGGCTGGAATGCAGTGGTGCAATCTCAGTTCACTGCAACCTTCACCTCCTGAGTTCAAGCAATTCTCCTGCCTCAGCCTCCCGAGTGGCTGGGACTACAGGCACGCACCACCATGCCCAGCTATGTTTTGTAATTTTTCTTAGTGGAGACAGGGTTTCACCATGTTAGCCAGGCTGGTCTTGAACTCATGACCTCAAGTGATCCATCTGCCTCAGCCTCCCAAAATGCTGGGATTACTGGCATGAGCCACTGCACCCAGCCCCTAGCCAGTTTTTCTAAAACTGTAGAAAAGCCTTTTTTCTTTATCATTGTTGAAACCAAGATAGTTTAAAATCAAAGTCTTTAATGGCAAATAGAAATATAAACATAAATGGAATTAAGCTTCTCTGTTTATTCTCTTCTAACTCTGGACATATAATCAGCAAATTTGAAGTGTTTGTTTGGGATGTTCTTACATAAATTTTTTTGTACACCTGAAATTCAGCTTGGGGAATCCTGGAGAACATCTCAGGCAATCACCCTGCAAAACAGCTAAAACTATGATATGAGAAACCAGTATAATTGTGGGACAAAAGTGATATCATATTAAGCTGCTACAGACAGAGAAAAAGACCGTAGGTTTTCCAACATGAGCCTCAAACCAAAAACCACAAGGGCTGACCTTCTGAAGTACAATGATTAATTTGCTTTGGGGTATTTTATGTAGCTTGTTTAGTGTGAAAAACTACAGGGATTTAATGATTCTCCCAAGTACTGTTGGAGAGACTGGCTAGTATATGTATGTGTAAATATCTCCTTGACAATCAGAAGCATATTTTCAGGCATCCTACCTATTGTTTAATGATTTTAAAGTGTCAGTCCTTCTCTGAGTTTGGTGTGGTAGGGTCCAACATAAGCCAACGTAAGCCTTGTTCTTAACTTTTCTGAGTGTGAACAGGAATAGCACCAAGAGACAAAATTCATATTATCATTGTGATTTTAATTTTTGATGGAAATTGGATATTTTATATGGCTGAGAGTCTGAATATACAAATGGACAGTGGCCATGCCATGTATGACAAAACTCTGGCAGCAGTCAGCCTTGGAAGCCAACACAACTTTTGCAGCAATAGGATCAGAATGGTATGGACTTGGTAACTGCCAGCTTCCCTAATTTTGCCCTCTCTTCCCTCTCTTTGACCTCTTTTGTTGGTCCTGGTTCTCTTCAGGACCAACAAAAAAAAGCCGAGTATGTTCCCTAAATCAATCACATAGGATGCCCACTAGATTCTAGTTAACTCATTTTCAGCTTCCTATGTTAACAGCCTCCAATGGGAGTATGCCTAAAATCTTCTCTTTTTTTCACTATAAAGATTTCCCACTACTTTGCCTATATTTGAGTCTCTGCAAAATACAAGTGATGGAGGCTGACTCCCTGGCTATAGCAAGCTCTGAATAAATAGCCTCTGTTCCTATTGGGGATGTCTTCATGTATTTCCACATAGCTAAGGCATACTTTAAATTTGTATACACAAATGAATCTGAATGACAGGACAGTGCATTAGAGTGTTTTTCCTAGGAGCTGGATGGCAACTCCACATGGAATGATATGTGGTACCACCCCCACATTCCAATCTCTAAAGTAACTGCGTGTGGTAAGGAGATTTAGAAACATGGGTTATAAATTTTATATATTGCTTATTTCCATTTTTTAAATAATCATTGGTTATTTTTACTTTTGTTAAATTATGTATCTTATCTATACTGGATAACAACTACCCACATCATTATTACATTTAACTGGAAAATGACTTTTTTCCCTTATTTCCTAACTTAACAGTTCATACTTTTTTTGAAAAAGGAACATAATTAGTTTAATATATTCATTAGGCAATTTCTTAACTTATCCAAGATAACTACCATCTGGACCTGCTGGTTTAGATTTATTCTAATTGTCAATATATTCCATTACATTACTTTGTTTCTTGCACAGACTGATGAGATAATTCAATTTTTAACCCTTCCCTAGTCAAAGTTTGAAAACTCTTAATATTGCTTTAGGACATTATAATTTTTACTAGTAGATAATAATTTATTTTTCTCTTCTCCTCCTTTGTTTCTTCTTCCTCCCACCTCTTTTTTTAAAATGGATTTTAGCTCTAAGAAATTTTTTTGACCTGTGTTGGTCTCTCCTGTAGCCCCAGCACCTAGAACAAAGCCTGGCATAATGCAGTAAATGCTCAATAAATATTTGTTAAATGAATTGACCATATTTAATTAAGAAATAAAGATTATGTTATTAAAATTTATAATAAGAATATTAGATTGGTCAAAATAAATGATCTCAACTTTTAATCCCCCAATCAGGTATCGGTGGTCAGAAACAAAGAAGTCCAATAACTTGAATTTCTAATCTCCTTACCTAAGGCTAAACCAACAGCAAGTGATTCTTTAATAAATCAGGGGTTAGCAGCACCAAAGTTGGGCTGATGCAGGAGAAGAGTACTATTCAGGAAAGTATGAGCAGGCAGAAAGCCAAGGTGAAATATTTGGAATCAAACAGCCACCATTTTTTTCACTCCAGCTCTGAATTTACTAACGTGGAATGAACATATTTTTAAGCTCCTCTAAGCCTTGGTTTCCTTCTCTGGAAAAGAAATTGCAGATAATAGTCGTACTGCCTCATAGGGTTGCTCTTAACATAATGAGATAATGTCTGTAAGACATATAGTTTACTGCCTGGCCAAACTGAAAATTAGCCACCAATGATAAAGATATATAAAATGTATGCATACTGACAGCAAGGGGAAAGAAGGGAAAAAAGATATATAAATATTTTTAATTGGTGTCACTGTTTTAGGATTCTACAGCCCTTTTCGTCAACATTTACTGTGTCTCTATCTGATTATAGTACCTGTAGCAGACACTAGAGCACTGGAGAGAGGTAAGCACAGCCCTTGCCCTTGGGATATTTACACACCTCATAAAACAATTCAAGAGTACTTATAAAGTAACTGGAAAATGAGTGCAAATTATACTCTGTATCAGTACATAAAGAGGGAGGTAGCAGTTTATATATTTCTCACAGCACAGAAGAAAAAATGAGATCTTTGACATCAGCAGCCTGGACATCTCTTTATTTTTTTTTTTTTTCAGACAGAGTTTCACTCTGTTGCCCAGGCTGGAGTGCAGTGACACAATCTTGGCTCACTGCAACCTCTGCTTCCTGGGTCCAAGCAATTTGGCTGCCTCAGCCTCCCAAACAGCTGGGATTACAGGCATGTGCCACCATGCCCAGCTTTTTTGTATTTTTAGTAGAGACGGGGTTTCACCATGTTGGCCAGGCTGGTCTCGAACTCCTGACCTCAAGTGATCCACCCGCCTTGGCCTCCCAAAGTGCTGGGATTACAGGCATGAGCCACCGTGCCTGGCCTACATTTCCTCATTTTTAACAACAATAGGGAAGAACTGTTTGACTTAGGCGCTCCCTCTTTGCCCCATAGCACTGTGTGTATACCCAACTTAGACTGGGAACAGAAGAGGTGGCAGGGAAGGCTTTTGCCAAACTGAACATCTATTCAGTGCTGAGACACTAAACAAAATAAGTATTGGGGACACAGACACAGGTCAAAGGAAATCACTGTCTAACAAGGAAAACATAAAAGATCTGATAAATGCTGTGATAACACAGTATAGAGGGGCTCCAGCTGTGTTGAGGAGAAAGATACAACCAGCCTGGGGAGGTGATCAGTTGAATGACCCCTGAGTAGTCTTCAAAGGCAAGTTCAATTGGGACACATGGGGTAGGGAGAGAACAACAATCCAAGAGGGAAAACAGCATTGGCAAAGGCAAGGAGGAATAGAAAAATGGAATGCTGTCCAAACTCCAAGTAATTGGAGGGTTAGAGCAAAGGGAGTGTGAAGAGGGTGGTGTCTCCATTTTAGCTCGCTCAAAAACAACTGTATTTCAAGTTCCCCATGATACCAGCTGAAAAAGTAAAGAAAATTGAGATTTGGATGAAATTTGTCATATCACATGACAACCAGTCATCACTACTTCAGCAATTCAATGAACACTTGCTGCACATTTTGTCATGCACAAGATACCATGCTAAAGGAGGTAGAAAGAGAAAACAGTTTGGCCCTTAAGGAACTTGCTAATGGTAGAAGACAAGTAAAGAATTATCACAAATAAAATATGCCATAAATACCATAAGAAAAGTATAAATAAACACCAGATTCAATGAAGGTAAATATCTCATCTTGTTGGAGAGATCAGAAAATGATTCATGGAAATAAACTAAGGATTAGCAGGATTTTTATGTGATTTAATATGGTAAGGAGGAAGGAAGTAGAGAAATCACATGGCAAGTTTAGAAAACAACAAAGAATCTAGTTTGGCTAGAACAAAGTGTACAGAGTAGAATGATGGGAGAGATTGCTAGAAAGTTAGGACCATTAGGAGATTCTAAATTCTGCTACGTTTTTAGTAGGAGGCAACATGACGGGCCACATTTTGGTACAAATAACCAGGCAGTGGACGTTTAGGAGAGATTCAAATGGGGAGAATTTGAATCTCCCCAAATTCAAATTCTCACGTTTGAAACATGAGAAGAAAGAAACAAACGTGTTAGGAGGCATTTATAGTAATCTAGGCAGGATGAGATTAGGACCTGAACTGAACACTACCTTTCTGCAGGAATGAGAATGCCAGAGGGAAATCACTGGTTGCACGCCACCACCATTCACAATAGCACTCACCTGCCAGGTTTCCATTGCTCCTTCTACTCCTCTGGCTCCACAGTCCATGCTGAGGGAGCCAGGAGTGCAGAGCTGTTGGGCAAGTAAACACAGATGGCCAAAGCACAAACCAGGGCCTGCCAATAGGTGTTCTGGGGAAACCAATAAGGTATTCCAGGAAAACAGTACACTCTTGCAAGCCAACTAAAATATTTTAATTACCAACTCTAAGTAATAACTATTACCAAAATTTATTCTATATACACTTTAAAAATTAACTCAAGGAACATTTCCCCTATTTGGCAATGTCACAGCACATCAGCGTCAAATATATAAAAGCTACATTTACTTTTTTGAAGAAAAGCCAAAATCATCATAAATGAGTCTTTGGTGCCCCCTTGTGAAATGTTCAGTGTAATCCTTGAAATACCCTCCATACAGAAATAATGGGTATTTCAATTTTTAAAAACACTTAAAGCATTTTCTATTTATGGTACACTATTTTTAATGGAAATAACTGAAAATAAAGCCATAATAAATAACTTAGTGCAAACCAGGAACATAACAGATAAAATTTTTTAAAGTTCCGTAAATTTTTGTGTCATACAATTATGACAATTTTGCTTTGTGTTGTAAACTAAGCAAAGGTAGTGAAAAAACTTAGCTTTACACAGTGCTAAGTATCAAAATATTTTCTCAAGAGCAATTCAATCCTTAAATTATTGCTAGGAAATCCATAATAAGACTTAAGTCTTTCAATAGCTAGGATAAATGTAAATCCATATTTGTGTATAAAATTATCAGATAGCTCTTAAAGTGTTGTTTCTCTTTACATTATTTGCCACAAGTTTCTGGCAATTTTTTCTAAACTATGGAGTTAGAAACAGAAAATACCTGCCCTTCCTGAAACTAAGTAGAAGTCAAATAGGAAGAATAATCTTACCCATTAGTTAGCAAGACTGTCAAGGCAACAGACCATAGGGAGAAAAGATTGAGAGGTTATTACCCCAAGTCAATAGAAGGTAAAACATTTATTGGCTTTCCTCTTAATTTTCTTTTTTTTTTTTTTTTTTGAGATGGAGTCTGGCTCTGTCGCCCAGGTTGGAGTGCAGTGGCGCAATCACCGCTCACTGCAAGCTCCGCCTCCCGGGTTCACGCCATTCTCCTGCCTCAGCCTCCCCAGTAGCTGGGACTACAGGCGCCCGCCACTACGCCCGGATAATTTTTTGTATTTTTAGTAGAGACAGGGTTTCACCATGTTAGCCAGGATGGTCTCGATCTCCTGACTTCGTGATCCGCCTGCCTTGGCCTCCCAAAGTGCTGGGATTACAGGCGTGAGCCACCGCGCCCGGCCAATTTTCATTATTTTCTTATATCCTTATTAAGAAGTGAAACAAACCACAAAAATAAAGTGCTAAATTTAATCATTCCTCTTGTTTTGGAACCTCCTTGGGAGCCCACAGTACATCCATCAATAAATGTTTGGTCAATTTTTCTTATTGCTTTCCCTCACCTAATAATAAAAATCTGATAAGAACGTAGCAATAACTGGAATGTAGAAATACTTACTCTTGTTTTCATGCCATATCTTTATAAACACTTTGGAACTGGAGCAGTTCTCTTTCTTTTGAGCTGAGCTCTTGGATAATAGTATACTCATTTCATTCATTTAGATTTTCAAGTAATGAAATTGTTTAAGCTACTCATGAGCTAAGGAACTACTTTATTCAAGCAAAATTATTCTCAATTAGAATTGTTTTTTCCCTGAGTAGACCAACTTATTTTTAAAAACAGGAAAACAATTTTCCATTTATGACATTGTAATTACATGTGTACTGAGTTTACCAGTAGCTCTACAAGGAGTTTTGTTATGTACTAATGGCAGACTGCTTGTTAGAATACTGGCCCCTACTTTCTGTGTGATTTTTTTTTTTGAGACAGCGTCTTGCTGTGTCTCCTAGGCTGGAGTGCAGTGCTATGATCATGGCTCACTGCAGCCTTGGCCTTCTGGGCTCAAGTGATCCTCCCTCCTCTGCCTCCTGAGTATCTGGGACTACAGGCATGCACTACCATGCCCAGCTAGTATTTTTTAAATTTTTGTAAAGACAGGGTCTTGCTATGCTGCCCAGGCTGGTCTCACACTCTTGGGCTCAAGTAATCCTCCTGCCTCAGCCTCTGAAAGTGCTGAGATTACAGGTGTAAGCCACCATGCCTGGCCTAAGCCGGACATTTTTTTGCAAGCTGGTTAGAAGTTGATTTTATAGTTTCATTTGGCAGGATGATAATGATATCAAGGTTATATATTCTATCCCCACAAATGCTATTTCATTTTATTCTATTCACATGCAGGCAAATGTGTAGTAACACAAATTGGTGTAAGAGTTTCCAGAGTGAGTTCACAATACATCATGCCTTTTAACTTTCCATTTATAGATAAAGGAAATAGGCTCAGATGCAATAAGTAACTTGCATAAGGGGACAACTAGTAAGTAGCTCAGGAGACCAACCCCAGCTTTTTAACTTCTAGACTAAGGTTCCTTCCATTATACCCTAAATGGTTCTACTCAGCTAAAAGAATGAGTAGACCAAATATATTCATGACTATATATTTACATGGAATTTAAGAAATCATTTAGATCCCACTTTTTGTATATTAAAGCATTAATCACTGAAAATCAAACATTAAGAAATTAACAAATTATTAGGATAAAATTGTTTAGTTACTATTTTATAGTGGTTTACTTGGATGAAAGTACCAATAGCACCAAAAAAAGCAACTTGTTCAATAACTATTTACTAAGCACCTTTTACTTGGCTGGCACTATGCTAGGTGCTAGGGATACAATGGTATTTACATCAAACGTGCGATACTCTAGGACTTCACAGAGGTTACAGAGAAATAAAGTTAACAACTGATTTAAATAAAGTGAACTAAGTGCCATGACAGAGGATGTACAAGCTGCTATGGAAGTACACGGTTGGGAAAACTGGTCCAGTCAGTTATGACAATACACAATAACAATAGTGTCGCTTTTTTCTGGGTAGCTGGATCCTCTGTTTGATGAAGTTGTATACAATACTATATGATTTTCTTCTAGTTAACCTATCTCTTGACCCCATCACAAACATAAAACCCACCAAAAAGAAATGCCTTTTGAATTCCTACTCTGATCTTTTTTCTTCAGAGTTTTATTACAAAATCATTAAAATACGGGTATTCAGTCTTAATACTACTTCATTCACATATACTTGATTGTAATATTTAAACCCCAAATAAAATCAGAAATATAGAAAACATCCATTTCCATTGTTTCACAGTACTTGTAGTAAAGAGAACCACTTATTTATTGTTGATTTCTAAAATTAAATGTGATAAAATATTTTTCACCACCAAAGTGAAATAAAAGATTACATTCTAATGGGCTGGTGTATTAGTCCGTTTTCATGCTGCTGATAAAGACATACCCGAGACTGGGAAGAAAAAGAGGTTTAATTGGACTTACAGTTCCACATGGCTAAGGAGGCCTCAGAATCATGGTGGGAGGCAAAAGGCACTTCTTACATAGAGGTGGAAGAGAAAATGAGGAAGAAGCAAAAGTGGAAACCCCTGATAAACCCATCAGATCTCCTGAGACTTATTCACTATCCTGAGAATAGCACAGGAAAGACCTGCCCCCATGACTCAATTACCTCCCTCCTGGGTCCCTCCCACAACATGTGGGAATTCAAGGTGAGATTTGGGTGGGGACGCCACCAAACCATATCATTCTGCCCCTGGCCCCCCCAAATCTCATGTCCACACATTTCAAAACCAATTATGCCTTCCCAACAGTGCCCCAAAGTCTTAACTCATTTCAGCATTAACTCAAAAGTCCAGTCCAAAGTCTCATCTGAGATAAGGCAAGTCCCTTCTGCCTATGAGCCTGTAATACAAAAGCAAGCTAATTACTTCCTAGATACAATGGGAGTACAGGTATTGGGGAAACGCTACTGTTCCAAATGGGAAAAATTAGCCAAAACAAAGAGGTTACAGGGCCCATGGAAGTCCAAAAACAAGTGGGGCAGCCAAATTTTAAAGCTCCAAAATGATCTCCTTTGATTACAGGTCTCACATCCAGGTCACGCTGATGCAAAAGGTAGGTTCTCATGGTCTTGGGCAGCTCTGCCCCTGTGGCTTTGCAGGGTATAGCCTTCCTCCTGGCTGCTTTCATGGGCTGGCATTGAATGTCTGCAGTTTTTCCAGGCACATGGTGCAAGCTGTCAGTGGATCTACCATTCTGGGGTCTGAAGGATGGTGGCCCTCTTCTCACAGCTCCACTAGGCAGTGCCCCAGTAGGGACTCTGTGTGGGGAATCGAACCCCACATTTTCCTTCCTCACTGCCCTAGCAGAGGTTCTCCATGAGGGCCCCACCCCTGCAGCAAACTTTTGCCTGGGCATCCAGGCATTTCCATACATCTTCTGAAATCTAGGCAGAGGTTCCCAAACCTCAATTCTTGACTTCTGTGCACCCACAGGCTCAACACCAGGTGGAAGCTGCCAAGCCTCTGAAGCCACAGCCCAAGCTGTACACTGGCCCCTTTCAGCCATGGCTGGAGTGGCTGGGACACAGGTCACCAAGTCCCTAGGCTGCACACAGCCCAGGGACCCTGGGCCAGGCCCATGAAACCACTTTTTCCTCGTAGGCCTCCAGGCTTATGATGGGAGGGGCTGCTGTAAAGGTCTCTGACATGGCCTGGAGACATTTTCCCCATGGTCTTGGGGATTAACATTTGGCTCCTTGCTACTTGTGCAAATTTCTGCAGCCGGCTTGAATTTCTCCCCAGAAAATGGGTTTTTCTTTTCTATTGCATAGTCAGGCTGCGAATTTTCCAAAGTTTTATGCTCTGCTTCCCTTATAAAACTGAGTGCCTTTAATGACACCCAAGTTATCTCTTGAATGCTTTGCTGCTTAGGAACTTCTTCTGCCAGATACCCTAAATCATCTTTCTCAAGTTTAAAGTTTCACAAATTTCTAGGGCAGGGCCAAAATGGCACCAGTCTCTTTGCTAAAACATAACAAGAGTCACCTTTACTCCAGTTCCCAACAAGTTCCTCATCTCCATCTGAGACCACCTCAGCCTGGACTTTATTGTCCATACTGCTATAAGCATTGGGGCAAAGCCATTCAACAAGTCTGTGGGAAGTTCCAAAATTTCCCACATTTTCCTGTATTCTTCTGAGCCCTCCAAACTGTCCCAACCTCTGCCTGTTACCCAGTTCCAAAATCGCTTCCACATTTTTGGGTATCTTTTCAGCAACACCCCACTCTACTTGTACCAATTTACTCTATTAGTCCATTTTCATGCTGCTGATAAAGACATACCTGAGACTGGGAAGAAAAAGAGGTTTAATTGTACTTACAGTTCCACATGGCTGGGGAGGCCTCAGAATCATGGTGGGAGGCAAAAGGTACTTCTTACATGGTGGTGGAGAGAAAACGAGGAAGAACCAAAAGCGGAAACCCCTGTTAAACCCATCAGATCTCCTGAGACTTATTCACTATCTGGAGAATAGCATGGGAAAGACCTGCCCCCATGATTCAATTACCTCCTCCTGGGTCCCTCCCACAACACGTGGGAATTCTGGGAGATACAATTCAAGTTGAGATTTGAGTGGGGACACTGCCAAACCATATCAGCTGGGTAACCACAAAATGACAAAGGTGATCAGATCAAGAGATCAGTATGACTGCAATATATAAAAGACAATAACAGAGTGTCTCATGATGGACTAGAAATAGGATTCCAGATTCCTTCATCGTACTACTGACATTTTTCACATGTAAAGTAAATGTTTCTATTTCCTTTTGCATTATTCTGTAATAAAATAAGAAAAATTCATAAGATATTGGGAAATGTGAGTATTTAAAATGACCCATTAAACTGAATAGACAACATTGCATTTCATTTTTTTTAAATATGTCAAGGAACTGGATCTGTGATTTTTAAGATCTAAAAAGTCACTGAAGGAATGTCATTTAGGCCAGGCAGAAATCAAGAGTATAAAATAGCAATACTGTTCATATGACAGATGAAGATATGGTTTGATCTGAGCCACAGAAAGAGAGGGCTTAGGTCAGGCACAGTGGCTCACACTTGTAATCCAAGCACTTTGGGAGGTCAATGCGGGCAGATCACTTGAGGTCAGGAGTTTGTGACCAGACTGCCATACATGGTGAAACCCCATCTCTACTAAAAATACAAAAATTAGCCAGGTGTGGTGGCAGGCACCTGTAATCCCAGCTACTCAGGAGGCTGAGGCAGAAGAATTGCTTGAACCCAGGAGATGGAAGTTGCAGTGAGCCGAGATCACACCACTGCACTCCAGCCTGGGTGACAGAGTGAGGCTCCGTCTCAAAAAAAAAAAAAAGGAAGAGAGGGCTTAAATAAATTAAATAATTAAATTAATCAAAGAATTAACTTCATAAATTAAGAGAATCAAGACTGGAATAAATTTCCTAAACACAAATAAACTTCTCTTATAGAGAAAAAAAGTTAAGACTAAGTGAAGAATATTAACTAGTAAATTGATCCTGATGTGAAAGATGTCTCAGAAAATTTATGAGTAAATGTAATTTACATAAATATAATTTAGTCTCCAAAAACCCTTTGTGGAATTAGAAAGGATATAGATGAAAATTTAATATTTAGCAGCTAATCAAAATTTTATAGCAAGTTAAGTAACAAGTTAAAATTTCAGGCAGATTTCCATCACGTATGTCTATATCTAACTCATACTTTAAATTGCTTTGTTAAAATAACATATAAGAGCTACATTTAAATCTATGCATAGATTGTGAACACAGATATGTATATATATCAGTTACCCATATACAAACAAAAAAATTATGAAACTATCTTCAAATTTTCTCCTGGTATTAGTAATTTGTTCAACAGTAGAACTTATCTCTTAGCCTGGCGCGGTAGCTCATGCCTGTAATCCCAGCACTTTGGGAGGCCCAGGCGGCTGGATCACTTGAGGTCAGGAGTTCGAGACCAGCCTGGTCAACATGATGAAATCCCATGTCTACTAAAAACACAAAAATTAGACAGGCATGGTGGTGCATGCCTATAATCCCAGCTACTCTGGAGGCTGAGGCAGGAGAATCGCTTGAACCTGGGAGGCAGAGTGTGCAGTGAGCCAAGATCCTGTGAGATCATGCCACTGCACTTCAGCCTGAGGAGACAGAGCTAGACCATGCCTCAAACAAACAAACAAAAAAAAACTTATCTCTTTCTTGCTGTTCTATGAATGGATCATGCAAACTCAAATCATTTTTGGAAATGATTTATAAATCGTTTAAGTACTTTATAAATAACTTAGTAAATCTTCTTACTTAAATCTGTCTTTTCCAAGCAGCCCAAATTTGTCAGAATTTCCAGATTAAATAAATGAAATCTGTGCCTGTAGTTCTAGAATTTTTTAAAGTACTTATTTGAAATGTGTTACTTACAAGGGTATATTAGCTAAGACTCCCATTATGAATAACTATATACTTCCAATAATTTACTCTTTATGTCTTCCTAGTTATTAATATTCAGTAAATTTTACTTAACCAGAGACTGAAATTATAGAATAAATTCAATAGAACTTCTGAAAATATTTTATTTATATTTCATTTCAGTCAAGTACTCATTTTCCAAATCTATAAGGCCATCTGTCTAGAGTTCAAAATCTTTAATATTATCTGAAAAACTATTTTTTAAAAAATGATTGAAGAACATGTCAAGAGTGATGAAATGCACAAATTTAAAATGTTACATAAAACAATAAAGTACATACATATAACAACAATGAAAATTCTTTATTTAAAATACCAAGTTATTAAAATGGGTAAAATGACATAGTAAAATAAAATTTTTTCAAAACAACTTTAAAGAAAACATACAATGACATCGATTATAATATATACAAAATAGGAAATTAATCATCACCTGTCATTAATGGGAAGATTTGCATGTATTCAAAATATTCATAATTTTAAGTCAGATAAATAGAACACTGCATGGGGGAGTTCTATATTTAGTCTCTTCAGAGGCGTTTTAAATTCCGCTTACTCTGGGCACTTCCTGGGAGAGCATCTTTTCTATTTCTTGGCTTTGCTGCTCCTCTACTACATTCTTCAGACCCATGATAAGCACACAGACATAACACACAAAAGTCAAAACCACAGGCTGTTCGGCTACACAGTCCCCTTTTCTTATATGGCTGGTACTTAGCAGGGGACTGGCACCTTGGGCAAGGTTTTAATGCTTCATCAGTAAAAAGTGTTTTGGCAACCTGCAGTGAAAGCACACACACTAAATCTTCTGGTTTCATATAGAGGAGCACTTTATTTCAAACTCTGTAAATATTTATTTCTAATAACTTATGACATAATAAATACTTACCTTAACATATTCTTCCTGTTTACTACTTAAGTGAGTAACAGAAGAGCTTGCTAGAGGTGTCAAAACTTCTCCCCAGGGAGATAATGTTGACCCTTGCTCTCTCTGAGAACCAGGTATCCTAGCCTGTGCCTGCACAGATCTTAAAGCTGAGCGATTTAAAAGCTGGAGCCGAGTGGCAGCATCCTCGACATTTAATACAGCCCCCTGTGGTAAAGGACAAGAGGCATCAATACTGCAATACCAAAACAGTTCCGGGATAGCTTTCTGATGCACACGGATTTATATGCTTTGAAGAGGTTTTTTGCCATCCGAATTCTCTCCCTAGGCTGTTCCTTTTCAGAAAAAAAAACAAACAAAACAAAAAACCAACCTTTTCTCACCTAACATATAAAAGTTAAATAAATATAAAAAGAAAAAAATTTAAATTAAATTCTTCATCTAAGTTTGTATGGCTGGTTATTTTTCCATTTATTTTAAACTTGGTTCAGCAAACCTTTCCTGCAAAAGGACCAGATAATATAATATATAATCTAGACTTTGTGGGCCATGTAGTTCCAGCTACTCAACTCTGCGGTTGTAGAAAAAGCAGCTGTAGACAAGAAGTAAACAAAAGAGTGGAGAAAACCATCAAATAACTTTCTTTTATAATTTTTTTTGTTTTGGTTAATAATACATTAGAATAGTTCAAGTAGAAAGCAACCAGTCTATGTTGGAATAGGACAGCAAAGGGCCCCAGGAAGGATGTCTCTGAGGAAAAGAAGGAACAGGTAGAATACCTGATTTGTTTGGACTTACACAGAGGAGACTTTCAGTTCTGGTGGATAATGGGAGATGAATCAGGGATCTGTATAGAGAAACACTAAGCAAAAATAAATAAATAAAAGAGAGAGAAAAAACTATGCAATTATTAACTGGAGGGAAAAAGTTACACTAGAACGGAAGTGTAATCATAGTGTACAACATACTATAGCTGTGAAAAAAGTTATAATAATCTCAACACAATCTTTATAATGTCAGCACCTAATTCTGATTCATTCCCAAATGGTGGTGTAATTATAGTCATAAGATAGGAGAAGAGAGAAAGGAATTCAGAGAGAGAGGGGTTATGTAGGTAGTGGCAGTAGTAGTGAGAGGTTAGAGAACCTAATCCTTCTATAGAAAATAGTAAAGAAATGACAGGGAAATAAAATTATTTCGAAATATGGAGCTAAACACTAGAAGAAAGTGTTGAAAATGATTGTCTTGATGGATCAAGAATCAAGAGTATGAAGGCATAATGGTATATTTTGTTAGGATAGTCCAGTTTGACTTTTTAAACCATGTATTACTTTGAAAAAGATTTTAAAAAGCAAGTCAAAATAAGAAAAAGAGCATAAGAAAGGGGGGAAAAGTACAGTTCTTTAAGAAACTGAGTTTTTAAAAAAGTGATTGCTAGAATATAAGGATATAATTTTTTTTTTTTGAGACAAAGTTTAACTCTGTCATCCAGGCTGGAGTGCAGTGGCATGATCTCAGCTCACTGCAACCTCCACCTCCCAGGTTCAAGTGATCCTCCCACCTCAGCCTCCCAAATAGCTGGGATTACAAGCCTGCACCACCACACCCAGCTACTTTTTGTATTTTTAGTAGAGACAGGGGTTCCACCATGTTGGTCAGGCTGATCTTGAACTCCTGATGTCAAGTGATCCACTAACCTCTGCTTCCCAAAGTGCTGGGATTACAGGCATGAGCCACTGTGCCTGGCCAAATATGAGACTATTTCTTTTCTTTTTTTTTTTTTTGAGAATAGAACATTTCATTATTTGGAGTTACATGGAGGGTTGCCAGCACAACAATATGCTTCTTCCTTAGAGGAGTTAAGGAGTATATGGAGCCAAATGTTTAAATATTAATAAGTGCATGCTTAAACAACTGTTTTTTAAGTCTGTCCCTAGCATATAGGGCAGCATTTGAAAAACAGATGTTAAGAAGGCAATTAATATCTTCCTTATTACAAACTCCCAGAGCCAGCAGCTGCAGAAGCAGCCATGAGCTCTGAACAGGTGAAAAGGTAAAGCTTTTCTTCAAAATAAAAAAGAAAGTCAAAGTTTTAGTTAATAGCAGTCCCTAATAGTTCACTGTAATGAGAAACCTGTCAATCTATATCTGGGTGTTCATATTTGTTTATGCCATGCTTTATTCCAATTATTATATTTAGTCAAATTAGAAATTTACTTATAGTATGTTATTAAATATTTTTCGCTAGAACAAGAATGAATTAGTGAACTCTCAGAATCTTTTTTGGCCTAAAGTTGAATCTATAATCAAACATGGGTGCTAGTCATCAGATGCCTATTACACAAAATAGCATGCCTGAGAGGAATCCATCAGCTTCTATAGGACTTTTCTTGTAACTTTAAAGCCAGAATTCAAATCCTCAAGGGAGTGCAAGTTTATGATGCTTCACAGGTACTGATGTGCTTTGCTCACTCACCTTCAGGCTTGTACATATGCTACTTTCTCTGCTAAAACCCTCTTCTCTGTGTTCACCTGGCTAACTGCTAACTCATCATTCAGGTCTCAGTAGAGATGCACTTCTCTTGATTCCCAAGTATCAGTCAAAAACTCCTTTAAATAACTCTGGGCTTCCTCTAACACACCTGGATTGTAGTCACCTATTTACCTATATCACCCTCAAGGTGTGTGCTCCAAAAGAGCAGGAACCATGTCAGAAATGTTCACCATTGTAATCTGAGCACTGGCACAGTTAACTAACATGTAATGTCCACTCAAAAGACTCGGTTAGAAATGCTATAAGGGTATCTCATTATAATTAGGATCCAGCATATCATTGGTATTCAAATGCTGTTAAGAGCACACCCACGTAAGCAGCAACAAAGCCCAACAAGATGTTCTTTTTTTTTTGTTTTGTTTTGAGAGAGAGTCTCGCTCTGTCGCCCAGGCTGGAGTGCAGTGGCGCGATTTCGGCTCACACTGCAAGCTCCGCCTTCTGGGTTCACGCCATTCTCCTGCCTCAGCCTCCCGAGTAGCTGGGACTACAGGCGCCTGCCACCACGCCCGGCTAATTTTTTGTATTTTTTTAGTAGAGACAGGGTTTCACCGTGTTCGCCAGGATGGTCTCAATCTCCTGACCTCGTGATCCGCCCGCCTCGGCCTCCTAAAGTGCTGGGATTACAGGCGTGAGCCACCGCGCCTGGCCAACAAGATGTTCTTGATGCTATGTTGTTTATTCCATTTACAGACTGGGTGAAAATTGAGTTTGGGAAAACTAAGGAATTTATGAGTGAATGTTTGTTAAATGGAAAAGGTTAAAGATAGCAGGAAAACCAAATTAGGTTGTCTAGCAACATGAGATTATTATGTATTTATACAAATCCATTTTAGAGAAGTATTACATACATTACCTCAGAATCTGTTTTCAGTTGTGTGATATAAAATTTCCTCCTCCGATTTGCATTTTTATCTTGAACAACAATTTCACGCCAATTTCTGCTTACTTTCCAAACACTATAACAAAAAGATCCATCCTTATATTGCATACATTCTATAGGATTAACATTTTGTTGTATACGCTAACTAATGAGAAAAATTTGTTTTAAAGATTTCGGGCAGTAAATTTAAACCTAAAAATTTACATAAAAATGTGACTTGGTCAACATTGTTATTTCATATTAATTCATCATATAAAAGAATTCCAATTGTATATGCCAGCAATATACAGATAGATTACTCTTTTATAAATGGTCATATAAAGCCAGTATGAGTCCACTGGGAGACTGATTAAGAGGATTTAACTTCAAATGTAACATTAAAAATTTGGAACAAGAGATGCAGGAAATGATTGTCATCTATAACACAAGAGGTTTCATCAATTTCTCCTATTCCTGTGTTTAACAAATCTCTGTCATTTTGATTACATAAACACAAGCACAATTAATCCTTCATTGGCATTACTAAGTGCCAACTATAAATACTATTATGGGTCGCACCACAGAGTTCCTATTTCATTAACCAAAGTTTATGAATATGAAGCAGCTAAAGAAAAAACACAATTTTTGTCCAGTGATTGCTGATTTATCAATAACTTTGATAATATTATTATTAAAAAGTAAGACTTTGACTATTAATCTGGTCTTTCTTTGTTATTCTAACAAATCAAAAGGAGTAAGGTCAGAAAAGATTGAAATAAGTCACTTCTTACGGAGGGTCCCAGTTGTCAACGCTACTATTCTTCCAGCTACCATGCCCACTTCAATTGTCATTGACTCTCTCTAGGCTGATATATGTGCCCTATATCAGAGGGAAGGAAAGGAACAGGCAGAAGTCACCCAATGATGGGGAAGAAATGAACTACATAATTGGGTATTTGCCACAGACATTGCAACTGATCAACTCTCAAGTTACCAGGAACAGTACTGCCAACATAGTTACATACTTTGCAGTACAAATACTGTATGTTTGGAGAGATGGGAAGGAGAGATAATTGTTGAAATATGACTGAAAATCAACTGCTCACATAAGCAAGCACCCAAAAGTGTCACCCAATTTTAATTTTAACTGGCCCAAATACTCCAGCATATAAAAATAGCATTCCTGGCTGGTCACAGCGGCTCACACCTGTGACCCCAGCACTTTGGGAGGCCAAGGCAGGAGGATTGCTAGAGCCTAGGAGTTTGAGACCAGCCTGGGCAATGTAGTAAGACCCCATCCATACCAAAAATATTTTTAAAATCCTATATCTCAGCCATCTCCTTAATTTTTTAAACAGTTTATCGTTTGAACATTTTTAAAAGGCACACAATATGGGTGCACTAATCTGTTTATTATCCTACTTAAGATACACCAAATACATTCTTGATCAAATCTATTCCAGAAAGCCTTAAACCTTAATAAGAGTTTATGGAAAAATACTGGATTAGAAATCAGAGGGCTCATTATAGACCTAGATCTATTCCTGTCGCCTTGAGTGGCTGTTAGCAGGTCACTTCTCTGGGGCTCATTTCCTCATCTGCAAAACATGTGAACTAGATACCTTAGAAGACTTCCAGCTAAGAAATCCTACAGTTCTCTATAATAGACATACAATTAATGTATGGAGGAAAGATAAAGAAGGGCTTCGATAGAAGTAGTGGCCATAAAAACAACAAGAACAGAACAGGCAGTGGCTCACACCTGTAATCCCAGCACTTTGGGAGGCCGAGGTGGGAGGATCACTTGAGCCCAGGAGTTGCAGACCAGCCTGAGCAACACAGTGAGACCCCATCTCTACAAAAACTAAAAACAAAACAAAAAAACCAAGGACCCTGTAAAAAACTCTTTTGACATATACCTATCAAGAAAGAGGCTCACTAACTTCCCGCATGCTCCTCCATAACCATCATCTTGCAGAAATCCTGTTCCACATGACTTCTCTCCTTCATTGCCACGGCATTCCCATGGGTCTTGTCTTCTGATAGTCCTGTAACTCCCCCAAATTGGCATGAACAGAGTCTCATTTTAGTCTTTGTAACCTTAGTTCCCACCCTCAATATTCTGAAATTTGTTTCTCCTTATTATGTAGCAGCATTCAATCTACTGCAACATCTGTGAACACAAATTCTTCAGTTTCTAATTTCTTGAAATTCCCCAAAGTAATTAACTTTCACTGCTGTGTTAACAATAAAAATGAAATAATCCACATTCCCCTGGTTCTGGAAAGATCAAACCCTAAAATGAAAGCTAACGATTGTTTTTAAATTCTAGAACTTAAATAATTAAGTGGTATTATTTGTACACTGTCATTTCTCGGTCACCACAATGCATTACATTATTTCTGACCAAGTGTCATAACTTTAATACTGCTTGCAATCTGACAATATGATCTGAACTATTAAATCATTAAACAACTTCCATGGAATAGAGCTTGCCATCTTGAAAATTTAAAATTCAACTTTTAGCAACTCTCTTTCCAAATAACAGTGACAAGAACTTTATTCAGAAAAAAAAGACTATATTATTGCTACTTAAGCAGGCTTTTAAACAGAAGGATCAGCAGGTGCTGTGGCTCACGCCTCTAATCCCAGCACTTTGGGAGGCCGAGATGGGTGGATCTTGAGGTCAGGAGATCAAGACCATCCTGGCTAACACGGTGAAACCCCGTCTCTACTAAAACTACAAAAAATTAGCCGGGCATGGTGGTGGGCGCCTGTAGTCCCAGCTACTTGGGAGGCTGAGGCAGGAGAATGGCGTGAACCCGGGAGGCGGAGCTTGCAGTGAGCCGAGATCACGCCACTGCACTCCAGCCTGGGCGACAGAGCGAGACTCTTGCTCAAAGAAAAAAACAAAACAAAACAAAACAAAACAAAAAAACGGAAGGATCTGTACTAGGTAGCTCTGTTGGGACGTTCACTTAAACTATCTTTGATATAAGACAACAAAAGACAGAGATAATAAAACAAAATAAAGGACAACCACTCAAGTCACAGAAAAACTTTTCAACTTAAAAAAAGAAGTTTTATTTCATAAACAACTCTTACTTCTTACCTGCATAGGCTCTCTGCGGTCAAGGACTCTAAAACCATAGCAAGAATATGCTTTAAATTTCTATATTTTAATTCTGTTAAGATGTCCAGTTTTTCTATACCCATTTTCTTGCCGATCAGTCCTGCAAGTATACACTGCAGTACAGCTATTTTCTCCCCATCCCCTTGCTCTAAGAATTCATGTCCACTATTTTCCTGTAATCTTTTCCTCTTGCTTTTCATGAACAGCTCATGTACCAATTGCAAGGCTGGGGTCTTTGATAAATTCTTTAAGCTAAAGGTCAAATCCCCACTCTCATCACTACTCAGCTGACCCTCTGAGATGGCAGAAGCAGCTGCTGCTCTTTTTTCAGAGTCAGGGTGGACAATCTGCTTTTCCTCTTCTGTCTCTGACTGCGAGCTTTGTTCCCGAAGGGTGGACAGTCTTCTCGACCTTCCAAGATGTCTTGTCTTTCTTATGGTGTCCCCAACTTTGGGAGTCCCCTTATGTTTCTGCAGTAGTTCTTGAAAAGAACCCTCCTGGTCAGACAGGGAATCTTCTGATTTCTCCAAGCTAAGTGAGTTAAAACCACTGTCTTCAGGCGTTGAAATACTGCCTCTCACTTCAGGTGAAGGAGAAAGTATTTGACTTGCGTTAAATCTAATGTTTGCCACAAGATTACTTATCGGAGTCACAAATATGTCCTCATCTGTTCCACAAGTTGTTCCACTAACAGAGGAGCCCAGGAGCTCTGGACATGCATTCTCATCATTAATGCATAAACTGCTATCACTAAAGTCATGTGTGATAGAGTCTTTAAAATTATTGCCCTGAATTGGAGATATACATTCAACTTCAAATAGGCTACAATCATCTTTGGAATCATCAATTGTGGAAGTCTTTTGCTGAGAAAAATTAAGCCTCAATTTTTGACTGCATGAAGTCACTTCTTCTGTTTTTAAAGTGCTAGTAACTAAAGGGCTAAAATTATTTGCCCTGGAAAAACCTGAAGCACTGCTTGGAATATTTTTTTCTAAGTTGATAACTTGGCTTATACTACTTTCTAAAGAACTATTTTGTGATTCAAAGTCCCCTTTTAGAAGAGCGAAAGATACATTCAACCTTCTGCGAGGTAAACATTTTTTCCCACTGATTTTAGGTGTTTCACAAAGTTCTGGGGTTTTATCCTTTTCCTTTCTAGGCAAGATACATTTCTTTTTTTGAGTGGGAGATTCTAAAGGATGTGTTAAGCCCAGGCCTGAAGTTTCAGGGTGCTCATAGAGTAATGTTGGGCCTTTTTCTTTCTTTCCAAGATATTCTTTATCTATATTATCAAAGCTACAAGATTTTAACTCATTGTAGCCACTATCTTGAAATGAAGATGTGGAACAAAAATCTCTGAAGGTGGAGTACTTGGAGTTGACAATTGGAGGAGAGTCCGCCCCATTTCCTGCTTCAGTGCCAGCTTGACCTGAGTGCCTTTGCGACATCTTCAAAATCTCTGTTTCTGCAAAGTGACAACAAAGTTATTCTGCCTTTGAAATGAGTATCCAGGCAGCTTATACCAAAATACATTATTTGTTATGAGTACAGATAATAATGGAAAATTGTATGACAATTTTTGAAAAGTTACTTTAAAAAAACAATTCTACCCCATAAGAAACTGATGTGTATCCTACTTAAAACGAGTTCTTGACATCACAAAGCCAAAATGTTCAGGTTATAAATATTCAAAGATCACTTGATTAATCATAGGCTAAGCATCATGCACACATATTTTATTGAGCTACCCTAAAGAGAAAAAAACCTAGAAGCATTATTTTTAGATTATTTTATTACCTTATGATTTTCACAGAACTAAACAATTTTGATTTTAATATTCCAGCTTATTTGTGCCAGCCTATATTAGTCTACTCAAAAAATGCTATATGCTACTTTTTAAACACCTTGGGAATGTGTCAAATAATGAGTGCTGCCTCTAGATCTACCTGCAATCAGGCTGAACAACTCAAGTAATGTTCAAACATGTAACATAGACCTGTTGTAGAAACCTAGTCCCCATAACCATTCACGAGATGTGAATTCCCAGACTTAAGACTTTGCAAAGACTGGCTCATCAATGAACTACTAACACATTCTTCTTGAGCTAACCATAATGAACCACTGCACCACAGATAGGGCCATTTCAAACTTGGCATGTTGTACTTATTCATATCTCACTTTCTAAATATTTTGTGATGCAAGGTCCAGTTTCAGCCTTGAATTCACAGTTAATAGGCAACTATTTATGGGAAAACCACCATTTAAAATATTCTTGAAGTTGCAAATAAAGAATGCAACTCAATTACTTAAAGAACAGTTACTCAGTAGTTACATGAGCAAGGAATGACACTAAGAAATATTTTACTCCTTAAACTTTTCAACAGTGTCATCACATTCCTTCTTTTTAGAAACTTGAAATAAATCTTAACTCAAAGCTAACAAATTTGTTTTGACAAAAATAGTGTTAAGAAAAAAATTTATTATAGTTTTTGATATTTTTCCAGATGATTCAAAGGACATGAAGAAGACTGTCATTCCTTCAAAGTTTTCTCCAGGACAAATGCACAATTTTTCTCCATTAAAAGATCCTGGGAAGATCTATTTATTGGCTGTAATGCGACAGTAATTTATTTATGCTTAAACTTAATCAGATATATGAGTGAATGATCTTTGTTACAAAAGCAAATTGCTACTCTAAACACAAAATATTTCTTTATGGTTTGATGATCATTAAAAGATTATTTTTACTAAACAAAGTCTAAGTATTTTTTAACCTTTTAAATCTATACTCGTTTTTGATAAATGTCATACATGTCCCCTTCTGATCTACATCCTCTCAGATCACTGCTAACTTCTGCACATGGTCACAAACCAAATAGATTTATCAAATTGCTTTTTATAATTTTGTTATATTTTTAAACAATTTTGTTTTACAAATATTAAATAAGTAGAATGCATATTAAAATTACATCTCCACCCATGAACTGTTTTCTCCCTCTCTGAAGGTAATTCTGTTAAATAACACTTTTCACTCAATTTGCGTCACAGCCCTTTTATTTTTAATTTTTAATTTTTTTATTTTTTATGAGACGGAGTCTCGCTTTTTCGCCCAGGCTGGAGTGCAGTGGCGTGATTTCTGCTCACTGCAGCCTCTGCCTCCCGGGTTCAACCAATTTTCCTGTATCAGCTTCCCCACTGACTGGGATTACAGGCGCCCACGACCACGCCCGGCTAATTTGTGTATTTTTAGTAGAGACGGGCTTTCGCCATGTTGGCCAGGCTGGTCTCGAACTCCTGACCTCAGGTGATCCACCCAACCTTGGCCTCCCAAAGTGCTGGGATTACAGGCAATAGCCAACGCGCCCGGCAGGTCACGGTCCTTTTAAAAGGTTATGGCAATTGTACTGCTACTTCACCACTAGGTGTCTCACAATGCTAGAATTTGGGAAACTCAGAGGCAAATTGTTAAAAACAAAGTGGGGAATGCAGATATTATCTCTTTCCTCTAAAATGTTATCCAAAAATCTATTCTGGCCGGTGGCTCACGCCTGTAATCCCAGCACTTTAGGAGGCCGCGGCGGGAGAAATGCTTGAGTCCAGGAGTTTAAGACCAGCCTGGGTAACATAGTGAGACCCCATCTCTTAAAAAAAAAATTGTTTCTGTTCATCTACACACTTGAAGTTGCCTCCAACGTCCTTTCTCTGCTAGCATTTTCATCTTTCTACTACCCCAAGACGTTGGTCTCAAACGTGGTTCTTCGCAACTGAATTTTAAAATTATTCATGTAAAATCATGGACTGTCTGTTGTATTTTATGGACTCAACAGTTCACGGATAAATCAATCAAGCCTCTTCGATATTCATTTTTAAAAACTAGGCTTCTGATAAAAGGCTGAGAAAACTTATTCCTAAAGTGTTCTTTAAGAAAAAAAAAAAAAAAAGCAGCGGCCGGGCGCGGTGGCTCACGCCCGTAATCCCAGCACTTTGGGAGGCCGGGGCGGGCGGATCACGAGGTCAGGAGAGCGAGACCAACCTGGCTAACACGGTGAAACCCCGTCTCCACTAAAAATACAAAAAAATTATCCGGGCGTGGTGGCGGGCGCCTGTAGTCCCAGCTACTCGGGAGGCTGAGGCAGGAGAATGGCGTGAACCCGGGAGGTGGAGCTTGCAGTGAGCCGAGATCGCGCCACTGCACTCCAGCCTGGGCGACAGAGCGACTCCGTCTCAAAAAAAAAAAAAGAAAGAAAAAAGAAAAAGAAAAAAAAGAAAAAGCACCTACCACATCAGAGAATGAAGTACTTACATTAAACCCAAATGTTCTTCATTTGTTAAAGTGGAAACTCTTACCATCAGTAAATCTTGAGCTCTTAGATGTCAAAGTTACGTAGGCTTCCAAACAAGAAATTCTCTCATCTTTGTCTTTAAAACTCATGCCAAAATAATGCCACTTAAAGAGGAAAACTTTAGTTTGCACAATTAATTGAAAGGTGCAGCAGCATCATGATTGCTCAAAGTCGAAGGGTACACAGGGTGCATGCCGCAGGGATTATTCCTAACACTTGAGAAGGTCTAAATCATTTTGAATTTCCTTCAGCCCTCCAGAAAATAGTTATCTTAATATCCTTGTTTTCTCCAGCTGGACTTAGACATGAGTAAACTTCCCAAATTCGGGTTCCTGAAAAGGCAGCGTGTGCTGCAGCCTGGCACTGACTCCCCCGAGGAGCTATGGCGGGCGGGTGGGTAACGGTCTCACCAGGGCGTCAAAGATCCGCTAGGCCCAGAAAGCCAAGGGCAGCAGGGGATGGGCTGGCGTCACCAGGAGCGGAGGAGTGAGGGCTGCCGCGCGCCTCCCTAGGCCCAGCACCTGGAAGACACAGGGCGACGCGGGGCCGGGCCGCCGGGAGACCCGCTAACGGGCACTCGCCTGGGGTCCCGCCGCCTGCCTGGAGGCCGCGGGGCCGGGCGAGGCGCCGAAGCGGACAGGTGGGAGAGGAGCCGGGCAGCAGCCGCTGGATGGGCCGGGGAGAAGCCTCGGCCTCGCCCCCTGGGATGCGGGCTATGGCAACCCCCACGCCAGCTTCGCGTGGGGCCGCTGCCTTTACCTCCTTAGGTTTGAACGGCCCGCCCGGGGTAACCGCTAAGCGCAGCCCCGCCCCGCGCCGCGCTGTCCCGCCCCTTCCTCCGGCTCTGCAGCGCTCCCGCCCGGCCGCCCGCAGGCCTGGGTCCTCGCTTGAGCGGGAGGAGCGCCCCCTCTCTCGCTCACCCCTGCACCCGTCCCGAGGCGGGTCAGAAAGGCTCTGCTTCTCCCCATTCCCACTTTGGGAAGCATTACCGTATTTAGGAATGCTAACGTGGCCTACAGTGGGATGCCATTAGAAATCATGTATGAGAATGTTCCCTTGGAAATGATTCTCCAAACTGTCAAGTGCAAAAAGCAAGTTACAAACTGACCCCTTTTAGGTTAAAAATATGGATATACACAGGATGAGGTCTGAAAGGTATGAATAACTTGGATACGGTAAATTTGTACAGGATTATGTTTGCTTTTTAGTTCTTTTTATCTGTGTTTTCTTCTCATGTTTCAACAATGAATATATACAGATTTTGTGATAAAAAAGCTGAGCCGGGCCTGGTGGCTCACATCTGTAATCCCAGCACAGAGGTGGGAGGATCACTTGAGCCAAGGAATTTGAGACCAGCCTGGGCAACATAGTGAGACCCCCATCTCAAAAAAAAGATTTTTAAAAAATCTATTCATAAAAACCAGAGTGAAATGTGTTCATTGTTTACAAACATCCATTTTTGGGCATCATGAACTCCCAAGTACCCTCAAAGCCAAATAAATTTTTTAAACCCTAATTTTTTCATTCAATAAATATTTACTGGGCGTCTATTATATGCCAGGGACACTCCTGCTGCTCTTGGCAGCTTCTTCCTAGTCTCCTTTTTCTGGCTTCTTTTCCTTGGCCTACTCCCTAAATGAGAGGTCCTACCTCAGCATTTTTATTAGTTTATCATCCCATGCTTATGTAATTCTTATTCAGAACTTCAACCATCACTTTTAAGCCAATAACAGGCACTACCACCACTCTTCTCTGACTGGACATTTCTCCAACTGGATGTCCCTCAGTCATCCAAAACCAAACTCACTAAAATTATTATGAGACAGGGTCTCGCTCTGTCACGCACGCTGGAGTGCCGTGGTGCAATCTTGGCTCACTGCAACCTCCACCTCCCAGGTTCAAACGATTCTCCTGCCTCAGCCTCCCGAGTAGCTGGGATGACAGGCACCCGCCACCACGCCTAGCTAATTTTTGTATTTTCAGTAGAGACGGAGTTTTGCCAGGTTGGCCAGGCTGGTCTCGAACTCCTGACCTCAGGTGATCCACCTGCCTCAGCCTCCCAAAGTGCTGAGATTACAGGCATGAGCCACTGTGCCCGTCCACTAACAGTTATTAAATTCCAACTATGTGCCAATTACTGTGCTAGGTACTGGGAATACAGAGCTGACACAGCCACAGTTACTGCTGTTAAGGAGCTCATTGGTATAGAGCAAGTGCTGTAACAGAGGAACAGTAGCAGCACAAAGGAAAGAAGAACCAGCTAACTCTACTGGAGAACAGAGTGCATGAGATAGATTTTGATGTACAAGTGGCAATTTAAAAGGCAGACAGCAGGAAATTCCAAACTTAAAATGTATAAGGGCAGGAAAATTTCAAACTCAAAACAAAATGTGCAAGAGCAGTTGGGCACATGGAGAAGCTGCAAATAATTTGTTATAGGCAGAAACTAAGAGTTGTTAGAGGAAAGGATTAGAGAAAATTCCTGAGAAGTGAAGAAGCTAAGTCTTGGGAAGTTCTGGTTGCACCTTCAGAGTTTGAAGAGCATTTTAGAAAGTCCACTCTGGTGGCAGAATGGAGGACAGAATGAAGAGAGGCAAGGGTGGCTGCTAGGAGACCAGTAGGAAGCTACTGCATTTCTCCAGAAGGCAGTGGGGGGTGGAGCAGAACCAAGATGTGACATGTTCAGTTGGCAGAATCAACTGCATGGGGCAAGGAGTGAGGGAATGAAGAGTATAGGCTTGGGAGAAAATAAGATGCATTTAGTGTGAGGTTGTTAAGTTTGAGGTACCTGTAGGACTGTAAAGAATTAATGAATTACACATTCTTCAAGACAGCACCTCTCTGAAGCCTACCCCCACACTCCCTGGTAGAGTGAATAGTACCCTCTCTAGCTCTTCAAACAAATCTCTATTACAGCCATTTTACCCTTTCCTGCCCCACATTTGCAATTCTCCTGCAGAATTCTACTGAATTTTCTCTGTGTAGTTTACTACCTTCTAAAATCCCATATTATCTACTCATTTTTGTTTAATGTCTGCTCCCCATCTCCATCCCAATGTAAACAGGGCAGGGAATTTTGCCAATGGTTAAGTAGAATCCACATAACCCCAAAACCATTTAAACATTGCCCTTTTCTTTTTTCTCCAGTTAATTTATTTTTCTTGAGATATTTTATTATGTCTGAGGAGTGAAAGACTATATCATATCTCCTTTATATTGTTCAAGGAAGAATCATTGTCACCTCTCCCCACCTAAAAACGGGCAAAAAGACACCTAGTTATATGTAGTTTGCCTGAGCTTTACTTACATACTCCAGATTGAAGCCACTGAGCTGTAATTTCATATTCTTTACAGTCTTTTGCCTTTTTGCTTCCCTTTTTTTTGAGACAGAGTCTCACTTTGTCACCCAAGCTGAAGTGAAGTGGGGCAATTTCAGCTCACTGCAACCTTCGCCTCCCGGGTTCAAGCGATTCTTGCACCTCAGCCTTCCAAGTAGCTGAGATTACAGGTGCATGCCACCATGTCTGGCTAATTTTTTGTATTTTTAGTAGAGACGGGGTTTCATCATGTTAGCCAGGATGGTCTTGAACTCCTGACCTCAAGCAATCTGCCCGCCTCAGCCTCCCAAAATGCTGGGATTACAGGCGTGAGCCACGGTGCCCAGCCCTTTGCTTTCCTTTCTTGCATTGGGTGTCATCCCATCACTAATTTCAGAACTCTAAAACCCACCTGCTTGCCACAAAATCTGATGCTTCTTTTTGGGACCATCCAATAAAACGTAATGGGAGATTTCCCAAATTACCATGATATTCAAGCTATCTGGATATATTTAAGTGAATATAATCAAGGAAAAAGGAAAGACAGAGATTCAGGGAAAAAATAGCAACTTGCATCTCCATAACCTTCTTAATAAAGAGTTAAAAGCATTGTTTTCCAGGATGGCAAGACAACTACCCCCATTAAAACAGAGCAATGCAATGATGTCTGGCATGTAGTACATGCTCAGAAAAAGTTAATGCTATCATTGATAATAGTGTAGCTTACACTGACCAAACTCCCAAGTGATCCTAGAACTACCAGTCTCTGTTGATAGGAAAGAGCGTGTTGGATTGGGAACTAGCACCAACATGAATTCTTGTTGAAATTCTGGATCTTCTTGCTATGACTTGTCATTACTTTGCCCTTTTGTAGGGCCCCAGGACCCATTTGTATTCTACATATGTTGATCCATTCTGATCTCCATAAATTGTTCTGCACGAGAATTATCTTGATATTTCAACTGGAGAGTTAATATACAAGAGAGCTTGTAAATATGAAAGTTTGACTTTTGGGATCACTCTGTCATCTTTCGCTTAGGATAACAATGGTTCCATCTAATAGTTCTTACAGGGAAGCCTATTGTGCCTCTTGTATTAGATCACCTCTTTGGTTAAGAGGAGAGGTACTTTGTAACAGGGCTAATGGTTAAAATATTTATGCTCTGTTAGCCTGTCTGTGAAGAAAGAAGCCAGGAACTGCTGCGTTTTCCTGAAGGGTTTTTAAATGGCATCTTCCTGGAAAGATCAACTTAAATCTCTCAAGCTGGTCTGGGGAGATGCAACAGAAGGAGTTTGAACTTCTGGAAGTGAAAGGTGAAGCTCAAAGTTCTCAGATTTCTGGATGGAGGGCCCGAAAGGAGTATAACCTGCTTAATAAAATATCAGACATAGTGCGTGTTGGGAGAAAGAACGCCTACTTCTTTCACTAACTTTAAAATAGTTATTAACAATTAAGTTATTTTTAAATTTTTTAAAATAGCTTCATTTTCTTCACCCTACTAAGTAAAATATCTTCTGGAAAAAAAGGAAACAAATGTAAACGTTCTGAACCCAACTGATCCATCATACTGAAATTCTGATACTTGAAAGAACGCACCTCCACTGAGCAGGGCGTTTTGTTCTTCTATGGTGGAATACATAGAACGGAGGGCGGGTGAGTAGACAGCGAAAGCTACCAAAATCTCTTAGATTTAAGAGGGAGTTGTTCATGTAGCTACCGTCACACTAACCTTTGCTTTAAAACAAGTAAACGGATTGGGCGAGGGATGTGACAGTAGCCTATCAGAGAAGGGGCCAGAAAGCAAAAACAAAATCAAGAGAAAGGTAGGAGGCAGCTGCCCCACTGCCCCAGTACAGATATCAAACAATTTTTAAAAACAATCTGGAAAAGTGTTTTTCTACGTGAAAATCATTGGTGTAGTCGATTCTTCTATGTTCGTCCGAGTAACGGCTATCCTAGTACTTCTCGGACACTGTCATCTCGGTTTTTCTTCTAACCCTCTACCCTTCTGGAAAAGTGTTACTTTGTACCACTACATTAGTCAGAAACACACACCGCCTTGTACTTGCATAACTGTTAAAATGCTCTGCTTTCCTGCAAAATTAAAATAGCTGGGGACCAGGCACTTAAACCCGTAGAATCTAATAGACAGAAAGCCCCTGCTTTACCGCCTTTGCGCCATCCGGGTTGTCTGGCCACGCCTGGGGCGGAAGGGGCGGGGAGTAAGAGAGAGAGAAAGAGAGACAGCACTGTGCGTCATGTACCAGCGCCGGAAGTTGGTCTCGACACCTGGACTAGCCGGGTTGTATTTGGAAACGCGGAGTGAGTTTTTCCGTGCTGTGTAGGTAAGCGAATTGGCGGGTTGGGGTTTGTGGTGGATATTTGGGCCAAAACTGGAAAGACACTTGGGGTAAAAAGGTCCGGTATGGGGGTAGAGTTGAGAGTGGCTGGGGATACGGTCCATGCTATCGCTCTTTTCCCTATTTTCTTTTAGTTTAGATGTTTAGCCAGTAGGAGTTATTTCATTGTTCTTCCCTCGGTGAGCCTGTTCCCCTGTTGAGGGATATAATTTTTTTTGGCTAACTTCTGCTAGAGTTTGGGAAAATAGAACTTGTGTTAAACGAGAACGCGAGCTTTACAGTCAGATCTGTATCCCTTTGACTTTTAGTAGCTGAGTGATCCTGCGGAAATTAACATGTCTAAGTATCGGTTGCGTCCTCTGTAAAACAAGAGTGATGTCTCCTAGGATTGTTATGAAGATTATAATGGCCTAACACGTATGAAGTAGTTATTATGTCCAGTTTGGGGTAAACGCTCAATACTTGTGTGTATGCGTTTCGTCCTTGAGACCTAACCCATAGGATTTGGGGAAAGGAACAGATTAGGAATTGGATCTTTGTAGCTTTTCCTGAGAAAAATGGGCCCGGATGGACTTGTGAGAAGCCCTTTTGAGATATTCAGTATTTGAGTCTGTGATTTCAGGGGCTAACAATGGACACCCAGAAGGACGTTCAACCTCCAAAGCAGCAACCAATGATATATATCTGTGGAGGTAAGAGTAGCACTTACCTAAAGTAAGAATATTTTATTTAAGTTTTTTTGAAATTGTTACATTTATTCTTTGCTTAAATGAGTTACTGGTCTTCAGAGTTATAAAGTAGAACACTTTAGCAACCATAAAAAAAATCGTTGAGGTCAGTAGACCTGGGTTCGTCCTTGGTCTTCTGTTTACTAACAGAAAAAAACAAAGCTCGTTGAGATTTCATTCTCTCTCCTGGAAATATGCATGGCCTACAACCTTTTTCTTTCCTATTTAATATATTTAATAAAAGCAGCAGACCCTTGAGATTGAGTATATTTTAGTGTTTTGGATTGCCTTAGGTAAATAATACATTTAAGATAATTTGTCTGTAATATTTTCCTCTTAGGCATTGAGTAAATTTTTTTTTTTAATTCTAGAGTGTCACACAGAAAATGAAATAAAATCTAGGGATCCAATCAGATGCAGAGAATGTGGATACAGAATAATGTACAAGAAAAGGACTAAAAGATGTATCCTTTTAACGATGCTTTCTAAATATGAGTTAGGAGGAAATGAATAATGCTGGGGTTGATAAAGATTAATTTCTGGTTAAAATGATAACTTTCTGGATTACAGTACTTAAAAAACAAACATGATTAGCATTTTCATGGACCAATGCATAGGCTCTAAATAATCTAAATAATGCTAGTTGATTTTGGTTCTCATAAATTTATTTTTTAGGGATTCTGTGCAGTCAAGCTTGAGGATAGGGATACATTCTGAGAATTGTGTCCTTAAGCAATTTCATCATTCCTACAGAAACCTAGACCGTATATCCTACTATACATACACATCTAGGCTATATGGTATAGCTTATTGCTGCTAGGCTACACACCTGTACAGCATGCTATTGTACTGAATAGACAATTGTAACACAATGTTTTTGTATATCTGAACATAGAAAAGGTACAGCAAAAATAGAGTATAATCTTATGCGACCACTGTTTATATGTGCTCCATCTTTGACCAAAACGTCATTATGGGTGCATGACTACATTTATATAAGTATTCATTCTTGAGCTTCAGTTTATGGACAAGCTAAAGTTCACGAGGAGAAATACAAATATTGTGTATACTACCTAATGGAAAAAGTTGGGCATACAAATTGTTCAAATACTGAGAGTAGGCCCAGCATGGTTGCTCACACCTATAATCCCAGCACTTTGGGAGGCTGCAGGAGTTCAAGACCAGCCTGGGCAACATAGTGTGACCCCCATGTGGAAAAATAAAATACAGAGTAAATTGTTATGATACAACTAACACACATTGTAAATCGACGGATTATCCGCTTTAACATTACTTTAGTGTTTTTTTTTGTTTGTTTTTTGTTTTTTTTTGAGACGGAGTCTCGCTCTGTCACCCAGGCTGGTGTGCAGTGACGCAATCTCGGCTCACATTGCAAGCTCTGCCTTCCGGGTTCATGGCATTCTCCTGCCTCAGCCTCCTGAGTAGCTGGGACTACAGGCACCCGCCACCATGCCCGGCTAATTTTTTTTATTTTTTAGTAAAGATGGGGTTTCACCATGTTAGCCAGGATGGTCTCGATCTCCTGACCTCGTGATCCGCCCACCTCAGCCTCCCAAAGTACTGGGATTACAGGCGTGAGCCACTGCGCCTGGCCTGCTTTAGTGTTTTTTGATACATTTTATGGAAAAGGTGGTAATAAAAATTGAAAGTGTTTTTAGTTTATTTAAAAACCAGTTGTCATAGTAAATAGTGAATTCCATTCTTTTTTGCATTTTAAGTTAAATAACAAACCAGCTTATTGCAAAGAGAAAGTGACTTTGAAACCTTCAGTCTTAATAATGTTTAAGTACCGTTTTTGTCCTTAACTCAAATTAATACAGTGGTCGTTTTTGATGCTCGATGAATGCTGGGAATTCAGAGGAATGTCTTCACTTATACTTGGATTTGCTCTCTTCCCATTTCTGATTGTTGTATAGCTTTCGATTTTGCTTACAGTAGTTCCCCCTTATCTTCGGGAGATACATTCCAAGGCCCCCAGTGAACTCCTGAAACCTCAAACAGTACCAAACCTTTATACACTGTTTTTTCCATATATATATACCTATGATAAAGTATAATGTATAAATTAAGCATAGCAAGAGATTAATAATAATGTAATAGAACAATGATAACATACTATAATAAAAGTTATGTGAATGTGGTTGGTCTCTCTTGCTTTCAAAATATCTTCTTGTACAGTACTCACCTATTTTAGAATGTGGTTGACTACAGGTAACCAAAACCACAGAAAGGGAAACTTTGGATGAGGGGGGCACTACTGTACTTAGGAATACAACTATATACATATGATTTTATTTTTAAGACCATATTATATTTGGGTATCTACTAATATTTTGTATAAAGCAATTTTTTGTTCCATTACGTGACTTTTTGTTTTATTGTATATGTAATTTAACACACAATAAAGGGTAAAGTTGCTTCCCCAAACCACACTTTTAATCAAAACCTAGAATCATCTGCAGTCCTTGTTAAAAATGCAGGTTTCTAGAACCCTCTGAAGTTCTGATTAAATAAATTTATTGCAAACCACTGTCCTGTGTCACTGTGTCATTTGATATGAAGTATACCATTGTGCTTGGTGTCAGTATGCATATGTCATCTTGAGTTCAGTTTTTCATTTATTACTAGGTATAGGCCTTTCTGTATTTTCATATAATGCTTGGTTCTCTTTTAAATCTCAGAATAATGAAGGGAAACTTTAATTGTTTTCTGTAAGGCAAAATCAACCCCAAGCAAAGTGAATGAAGCAGGCTGTTAAGCCAAGTGCAGTTTCCAAGGTGTAATCACTCATTAAGGTCAACAGTTCTGCTTTTAGGATATAAAAAGAACAGGCAGTGACTCGGGAGGCTGAGATGGGAGGATCACTTGAACCCAAGAGTTTGAGGCTGCAGTGAGCCATAATCATGCTGCTGCACTCCAGCCTGATGGACAGTGCAACACCCTGAGTCAAGGGCTGGGGAGGGGAGCGTTGGTTTACACTGAATTATTGGATAAATGTTTAAGTCTTCAGCCTTGATCTTTGGGATGTAGAATTAATGGTCACACTTATACGCTATTCTGTTCAAGGATTCCATGGTTGTGGAATGTCATGTTGGCCAGCCTGATGTGCATTTTAAAGATTAGATGTATTCCAACTTTATTAATAGTTATGTCTGTCTTTGACATTCAAAATATTGTCCATAATACTTTGTTAAAAAAAACCCTGCATTTTTACCACCATCTTCATATATTAAATTCTATAAATTTATTACATGCTATATGAAATACTTCCATGCTCAGATTTTTGTTTTGTTTTGTTTTTTTAAGACCGGGTCTCCCTCTGTTGTCCAGACTGGAGTGCAGTGGCATGATCATAGCTCACTACAGCCTCCATCTCCCAGGCTTACACAATCTTCTCACCTCAGCTTCCTGAATAGCTGGGACTGCAAGCACACACCACCATGCTGGCTGATTATTTTGATTTTTAGTAGAGATGAAGTCTCACTACATTGCCCAGGCTGGCAATGAAATTGAGCTTTCATAATTTTATAATTTTAGTATATTCCTTCTTGAACTTTTTAGATATGGGAGTCTCAATACATGGTATTTCTTTATGACAGTTCCCTAAACAGATAAATCCCCAACTTATGGGATAATATACTTCTCTTAACTCTTCTCATTTTAGACTAAGTCCTTTGCATATCAGTAGTTTAATTGAATATTGTTATCTGGTTAACTGGGCAGAATAACTTCATGCAAAATGTATTACAGCTGGAACTCAGACTGCTTTCAGTCAGCCACTTTTTGTGCTCCCTTCATGTATAAACTAGATGTAATTTTACCTCTTACCTACCTAGACAGTTTCAAGGAAAAAACTGATATAAAATTGCTTTTAAAACATTCTTTTGACTAGTGCTCTGTCAATATGAAAATTAGTAAGCTTGAGCTTGATGTTAGCACATCACTTGGTACCCTGTAAACTGCTTACTGACTGCACACACTGAAAAGCACATCCTTGTCCATGGGAAAAGCACTGAATGGAGATTTGTTCAAATTCAGCCCTGCCCCTCAATGACTGGCCAATTCACTTTATTTCTTTTAACTTCAGCTTCTTTATCAAAGTGGAGGAATTATGATTATAAGTAATCACAGGGATTATAGAGATAACAGTGCTTTAAGATAGCTATCTTAAGAGATTGGAGTTATGAAAAATTCAAAAATGAAATCAGAAATGAAGCCAGGAGTGGCGGTTCACACCTGTAATCCCGGCACTTTGGGAGGCCAAGGCGGGAGGATCGCTTGAGCTCAGGAGTTCAAGACCAATTTGGCCAACATGGTGAAACCCTGTCTCTACTAAAAATACAGAAATTACCTGGGTGTGGTGGTACATGCCTGTAATCCCAGCTAGTCGGGAGGCTGAGGCATGAAAATTGCTTGAACCCAGGAAGTGGAGGTTGCAGTGAGCTAAGATTGCACCACTGCACTCCAGCCTGGGCGACAAGTTGCCTCATAATACATAATACACACATGTCCTCACCCTTCCTTAGAATAAGCTTTGTGTAATAAGTTTAGGTGGCGTGGTTATTTGAACAGAGAGGACTGAAGGATGAGAAAGAACATTACCGAAACAGAAAACACTCCATGTAAAAGTCATGGGGTGGAAAGTGAGCTTAATCTTGTTCCCACTTCAGAATCAAGCCCATGTGACTCAAACTTTATGACAGGAGGGATAGTGGGAGGAGATGAGGTTGCAGAGGTGGGCAGAGGCCAGCTCACTTAGGGTGTTGTGATGCAAAGCCATTGGGACAGTAAGCAGGAGAGTGACCTGGTCTGATGTGAAGAATTACCAGGCTGTTGTGTGAGAATAGACTATGTAGGACAGGTAGCAACAAAGAAACAACAGACCGTCTGTAATAGTTAGTGGTAATGGTGGCTGGGCCAGGGCTGTAGTTGTGGAGGTGGTGAGAAGTATCTGGCTGTGGGACTTACTGATGGATTGGTTAGTAATTAAGTGCTCAGTAAACAACATGGGCTTTGGTGTAAGGCTTTGGGTCCAAATACGTGCACCACCCCTTGTTACCTGGCTAAGTGACCTTACCAGGCCTCACTTTATCTCCTTGTTTCTTGGATGATATCTTCTTTTATCTCTATGAAGACTAAAGTGATTTAAAAAAATTTTTTTTTTATTTTATAGAGCCAGCCTCTCACTATATTGCACAGGCTGGTCTGAACTCCTGGGCTCAAGCAGTCTGCCTGCCTTGGCCTCCCAAAGTGCTGGGATTACAGGCATGAGCCACTGTGTCCTGCCAAGCATTAGAATTTTTGCCACTAACAGTGCTTGGTAGCAGACCGCAGGTCTGTAATTTAAGTGCAAAAGGGAAAGAGAAATACATTTACAGAACTGCCAGACACTGTAAATTAACTTTGATCTTCATCATCTATTTTAACTAGTTTGAAATTATAAAACTGAAATAAATTTCCTGACAAGTAACCTCTATTGTTTTATTCATCTGAATTGTATTAGTATTTTGTCTTATTCACCTTTTCATCCCTGTGCTGAGTATGGTGCCTGACTCATAACCAGCACTCAGAAAACGTGGAATTCATGAAAAGGAAGAGGGAATTTTGTCTTTCATTTACTCTTTTTTTTTAAAGAGGAAGAGGTAAGTAAATCTTGGTTGCAATGCACTCTGAAATTTTAATTACATTTTTTATAGTTAAATAGGAGTAATCAATTTACTTAGCAGGGAATACAGCAGTCCGGGATAACAGAACAGTAGCAGCGTTTTAAAAAAATATTTTATTTATGGGCCAGGTGTGGTGTCTCATGCCTGTAATCCCAGCACTTTGGGAGGCCGAGGCGGGCAGATCACTTGAGGTCAGGAGTTCAAGACCAGCCTGGCAAACACGGTGAAACCCATCTCTACTAAAAATGCAAAAAAATTAGCCGGGTGTGGTGGCGGGCGCCTGTAATCCTAGCTACTCAGGAACCTGAGGCAAGAGAATCGCTTGAACCTGGGAGGCAGAGGTTGCAATGAGCCAAGATCACGCCACCGCACTCCAGCCTGGGCGACAGAGCGAGACTCTGTCTCCAAAAACAAAAAACAAAAAACATAAATACAATAAAAATTTAAAGTATTTAAATATATATATACATATATATATGTGTGTGTGTGTGTGTGTGTGTATATATATATATATATATACACACACACACACACACATATATATATGTATAGTGTAGAGGCAGGGTCTCACTGTGTTGCCCAGGCTGGTCTCCAACTCCTGGCCTCAAGCCATCCTCCCGCCTCGGCCTCCCAAAGTGCTAGGATTACAGGCGTGAGCTCCCGCGCCCGGCTGATGCCAGCGTTTTAACTCTACAACAAACTGAAACTCAAACGAGAGGAAGTGGACCTCTCACACCAACTCTTATGCCCAATTGGTCCTCTGCCAGTGAAGGCGGGGAAGGTGAACCTGTGGCCGTCGGCAGATCTGCAGATCTGCCGGACTGCGGGTCGGGGCGTGGCAGGGGCCTAGTCCCCGCCCCGGCCGTCAGCCTGTCGCCTCTGGCTCGGGCCGGGCGACGAGACCCTCCCTCAGCACCTGCAGTGCAGCCAGAGCCGGTGCGGCGGCCGCGACTTCCCCGACGCGGGGCGCTGAGAAGCAGTGAGTGCCTGTGTGTACCTGCCGGCCGGGAATATAGGACTTGTCGCATCTCAGCCCTTCCCTCCCGGAGCGGGGGCGAGAGGTCGAGGCGGGGAGGCGAAGGGGCGGTGGGCCGCGAGGGAGAAGGAGCGATGGGGTGGACGTCCTTCAAGGCCGGGGAACACGCGGGGCTTTCCAGGCCGCGGGGGACGGTGGCGGGTGTCGGGGCGCGGTGGCAACGCTGGAGTTCCCGGGTCCACCGGCGCGGTCAGCCCTGGTGACCCAAGCCAGGGGCTGGGGAGCAATCTGAGACCATTGCGGCTGGGCTGTGGGGCTCCCCAGTCCCGGCAGGTCCTGGCGCCGCTGTACATAGAAACCGTTGCCACGGCGGGAGGATGCCGTTTCTTTTCGGTCTCCGACTGCAGGGGGCGGTCGGCCCTGTGGATGCAGGAAAGAGGGTGCCTCGGTGGGAGAGACCCAGCTTTTCGCGTTAGTAGGCCCGAGCAGTTTGAACTGGAGGTATTACTAAGCTGGCTACGAAATATGGGAGGTGGATGTGGATCAGGATGATGGAGAAATTAAATCCAGCTAGGATCGAAGGTTTTCCCAATTAGAAACAAAGACTGCAAACAGAGGTGGAAGAGTTCTAAAGTATTGTATAACTTGTTTTTTGGAACTTGAGATGGACATTCAGTAGTCTTGAGAAGGTGTATCCTACAGAAAGAAAGAAAAAAAGAGAATCCTTTTTTTTCAAAAAGGATTCTCAGAGAGACTTGGTCCAAAGGTAGTGAGTTCTCTCACTTGATTGTTCAGTTATAGATCCACCTCCTCGTTGTACTCTTTCTCCCCTTCTCACTACTGCACTTGATTAGTCAAAAAAAAAAAAAAAAGATTCTCAGAGAAATGTTAAAATGATGTTCAGAATGAAATTCATTTGATTAGGTAAGAGATGGCTCTATCATTTCATGTGTTTTTAATCACATTTTATTGAAATCATAAAATCTCAGGGGTTGCAAAATACCTTCAATTCAAGGTAATCTATTTTAATCCCATTAGATGCTTAGATCTCTCCCACCAAAGATCCCTTGCTCTTTGGAAAAATCCTTCTAAGGCAACCCATTCTATTCTGGGCAGCATCAATAATTTACGAGTTCTTCATCTTGCTTTCCTGTAACTTCTACCCTTGAGGTTATCCTTGTCCTGGGAGCCATTCATCAATAGGCCCTGAAGGTATGGTGTGAAAGCCACATCTAATTTCTCAGCTAGATCTCATCCGGAAGCCTAAGAACTGTCATCTATATCATATACCTAAGTCAAAGCCGGCAGGAATTTGGAGAAGTGGACAGTGTCATCCTTTTCTGCAGAGGTCTGATATATGACCAGACTCCCAGAGGGCTGAAAGAAATACTTCTATGAATTAGACCCATTGCTACTTCTTGTTTTTAAAATCATTGCCCAAGTACAGTGGGTTTTCTTTAACCTTTGACAGTGACCCACAATAAGAAATATAGTTTACTTTGTAACCTCGTGCATTTATATACACACATAATTTCCATTTATATAGACATGAAGTAAAAGTTTGTATAAAGCAATATTTACTTTAATGTTATATGTCAGGTAGTCTATTTTTTATTCTATTCCATCTCATTATAAAACAATGTTAATTGCAACTCACTAAATTTATTTATGGGTTGCTACCTGCAGTTTGAAAATCACTGGTACAGTGGTTAAGTATGTGGGCTCTGTAGTTAGCCTATTGAGACTCGTATCCTTAGTTCACATGTCGACTTGCTCATTTGTAAAATAGGAGTAATTATTAATATCCTTTATGAGAGAGGTTTTGAAGATTAGGTGAGATAAGCTATGGCACATGGTAATTTAGCTCCATAAATGTTAACTGTTATTACTAATGTCACTTAAAACCTACCCGGTACAGTAATTGAGGGATTAAATGAAGTAATATATGTAAAGTACTTAGAATGGTGCCTAGCACACATTAAGAACTATATATTTGTTGCTATTATTATTATCATTAGCATTAGCAGCAGTATCTTTAAAGTGATGTTCTCCAAGACCTCCTTATTCCCAATTCAATTAAATGCAGCGAATGTTTCTGAAGGGGTATAGGCACTACTTATTATGTTAGTCCTGGAGCTGTGAGGATAAATAAAGTAAGTTCTTTCACAAACTAGAAGGGAAGACAAATAAACATAATTCAAATTTGTGCTAAGAGAGAGGTATGTACAGGGCACGGCACGGTGGCTCACGCCTGTGATCCCAGCACTTTGGGAGGCCAAGGCAGGCAGATCACTTGAGGTCCGTAGTTCAAGACCAGCCTGGCCAACATGGTGAAACCCCATCTCTACTAAAAATACAAAAATTAGTTGGGCGTGGTGGCCCACACCTGTAATCCCAGCTACTCAAGAGGCTGAAGCAGGAGAATCGCTTGAACCCAGGAGGAGGAGGTGGCAGTAAGCCAAGATTGTGTCACTGCACTCCAGCCTGGGTGACAGAGCAAGACTCCAACTCAAAAAAAAAAAAAAAAAGGAGAGGTATGTACAGAGTGCCCTTAGAACACAGTTCATTGTGTAGTAGGGAGAAGAAGTAGGCAGGGAGTGGGAAAAGGATTGTGTTAAGGCAAGTTACAGAAAGGATGTTATTATTTATGTTTATGGTGAATCACAAAGAATGATTGGGATGTTAACAGCTAAACTAGCAGAAGGTCATTCAAAATTAACATTAAAAAATCTTAAAAAGCAATTTGGGCACCACAACCTTCTCTGTCATTGTATTCCAGCTTTGCTTAAGTGAAGATTAAGTGAGGTAATCTGTGTATGGCACACAGTAATTTAACTCCATAAATGTCAATTGTTGTTATCAGGGACAGAGAATTCAAAATTAGTTGACTTCCTCCATGGAAAAAAACCTCTACCTTCTTTTTCTACAGAAGTACCTAGAAGGGCTGGGCGTGATGGCTCACACCTGTAATCCCAGCACTTTGGAAGGCCAAAGTGGGAGGATCACTTGAGTCCAGGAGTTCGAGACCAGCCTGGGGAAAATGGCAAAACCCCATCTCTACAAAAAAATCTAAGAGAAATTAGCTGGGAGTGGTGGCACGTGCCTGTAGTCCCAGCTACTCAGGAGTCTGAGGTGGGAGGATCACCGAGTCCAGAAGGTCAGGCTGCAGTGACCCACGATTGCACCACTGCATTTCAGCCTGGGTGACAGAGTGACACCATCTCAAAAACAAAAACAAACAAAACACTCCACCTCCTTTTATACAGAAGTACCTATGTGGCAGGCCAGGTCTCACTAACACAGACCTCCATAACAATGATTTCGGTACTGACTGAGTGGTTAAGTTAAATATTAAAAGCCAGTGCCCTTATACAAAGGCTGGGATGTAACAAAAGCCCACCAAGAGTTTTGCCTAGGCCTTTCCTGGGCCTTAAAGCATGACAAAATAGAAAAGGAATTTTTAATGACCCACTTAGGATTAAACAAGTTTTACTGTGGGTCTGAAGAAACTCCCCAGACCTCCACAAACAAGTTTATGGAGGGTCTGAAGGAACTCCCCAAACCTCTGTGATTTAGCAGGAGACAAGATAAGGGTAATTGCCCCAGCACCTGGACCCATTTAAATTAAGTAAATTTACTGAGACCCCAGAGGAAGGTCTTCAGCACTCAGACTTTAGATATAGATTAAAAGAAGTTAATCACTTATGTCTTTAGATGAATGCACGCTTACACATGGACATATGGCTTAGAAGGTATATAAGCTCTGGAAAACTTTGTAATTTTGAGTTGGTCTGGTGATAATTTCCAGGCCTTCTCCCTGTAGCCAGTTGCAGAAGTAAATAACGTCTTCCTCCTCGGTTCATCTGCATCTCGTTATTGGGCCACAAAACTAGCAGGCCAACCCTCAGTTTGGTCCAGGAACACCTAGGTGGGACAGGCACAATGGCTCATGCCCATAATCCCAGCACTCTGGGAGGCTGAAGCAGGAGGATTGCTTGAGGCCAGAAGTTAGAGACCAGCCTGGGCAACATAGGGAGACTCTGTCTCTACAAAAAATTTTTAAAAATTCAAAAAAATACAAAGAAGTACCTACATGGTTACCACTATCCAAATTGAGTATTATTTATACATTAGATTAATAACTTTTAAATATTGTATTTCAGCTATGACCACCAAAGATTATCCATCATTGTGGGGCTTTGGAACAACAAAAACATTCAAAATTCCCATTGAACATCTAGATTTCAAATACATTGAAAAATGTTCAGATGTTAAACATCTGGAAAAAATTCTTTGCGTGCTCAGGTAAGCATTTTAAAATCATTACATGTTTTAGTATGACAGTTTTAATTATCTTGTTGTTACCTTCTAAAGGTAAAAGCTACATTAGAAATATCTGTTTTTGCCCATGCATGGTAGGTCCCAAAATAGTGGTTTTGATCCTATGGTTAGTTTGGAGAGTTCCACCTAGGTCTACTGCCAGCATGAGACGCAGGCTAATTAATATCCAGGAGGGTATTTTTCTTGCCTTCTCTACATTTTCTAGGAGAAGGTAAAGTAGCTGTGAAAGCAGCCATTAGGATGGGCTGTGATGGCTCACGCCTGCAACCCCAGCACTTTGGGAGGCTGAAGCAGGTGGATCATTTGAGCTCAGGAGTTCAAGACCAGCCTGAGCAACAGGGTGAAATCCTATCTCTACAAAAAATACGAAAATTACCTTGGCCTGTAGTCCCAGCTACTCAGAAGGCTGAGGTGGGAGGATTGCTTGGGCCTTGGAGGCTATAGTGATCCCTGGTTGTGCCACTGCACTCCAGCCTGGGTGACAGAGTCTCAAAAAATAAAAAAATAAAAAATAATAATAAAAAAAATAAAAAAAGCTATTAGGAGGTAAGCTTATCTCACCAGCCTAGGCTGGTGGCACTTTCCCACTTCATATCACCTGACAACAAGGGAGGGTGACCCACCGCACACTGATCACATGGAGGGTGGTGGGGAGGCCTGACGGTAATACCAGAAGGCAGGGAATTAGGACCTTCTCAGGATAGAGCTCCATTCTAGTGACTGTCCAACTGAATATACATCAAATGTGGTTGTTAAAAATGCACATTTGAGGGCCCTATTCCCAGCGATTCTGCTTCAAAAAATCTGGGGTAGGGCCAGGGAACATGTGTTTTTAACAATGGAGCTGGCTGATTGATATGTAGGTGTTCAAGGAACCCACTTGAAGAAACACTGTCCTGAGTACCACCAACCTGTGACACCTCTTTTGGATTTCTTTTCTTTCTTTCTTTCTTTTTTTTTTTTTTTAAGACTGGATCTCACTATGTTGTCCAGACTGATGTCAAACTCCTGGACTTGAGCAATCCTCCTGCTTTGGCCTCCCAAAGTGCTGGGGCCTCTTTGGGCCTCTTGAGCTATTTTCATTTGGATACCAGAGTTCTATTGCAGAAGACACTTGTGGAGCATGAACTGCTTTCCAGGACATCTAGAATTCCTATTACCCTGTGGTGGTTCTTTATTTCCTCTATCCCTATTCCTTATCACTGGGTTCTTCCCTTTTTCTCTTTCATCACCTTTAGCTTCCTTTCTTCCCTGTTGGTCCACAGCCAGATGCTGATGTGATAACATCATCATTTTTAAAATGGAAAGTGAAAAATCAATAATATCAATTGTTTTCCCTTTTTTAGCAGAATATTATCATGTATACTTGGTCAAGGACGGATAAATAAAAATGAAAAGTTTATTGGATGAAACAGTTGGAAAGCTACAGTTATAATAATGTTGGTTCCAAGAAATTTTATGAATAGCCTAATTCAGTGATAATATATTGAACTTGGAATTGTTTTTTAAAATTTAATTTGGAAATGAAATTTATTTATATTTTTCTAGAAATGTAAGAGTGAACAGACCTAAGAAAGAATGGGAAAGGACTGATTTTCCTTAAAATAAAAGGAACAGATGTCTCCATTTAACTCTCTAAGGAAGGAATTCTGTTCCTTGAGTGGTTGGATTTCAGGGTGTTTTGTTTAAGCTGTTTATCTGCCATTTTCTTCCTACCTCTTTGAAATAAAAAAATTTATGAACAGAAACTCCTTGTTGAAAAGGAAGTCCAAATTCTCTTTCTGCTAGTCTCTAATATTGAATTTATGAGCTTAATATCATGTACAAAATGAACATATGAACATATATATGTTGAAGAGAAAATATTGTTTTTGTTAGATTAAAATTTTGTTTCTTTGGTTGATATTAAACTGAAATTTATATGATACATGAGATTTGAAACTTAGAAAAAGTAAATGATAAAATTTTTTTTTATTTTTATTTTTTGAGATGCAGTCTCACTCTGTCACCCAGGCTGGAGTGCAGTGGTGCGATCTCGGTTCACTGCAACCTCTGCCTCCCAGGTTCAAGTGATTCTCCTGCCTCAGCCTCCTGCATAGCTGGGATTACAGGTGCCTGCCACCACGCCCGGCTAATTTTTGTACTTTTAGTAGAGAGTCCATTTCGCCATGTTGGCCAGGCTGTTCTCGAACACCTGACCTCAAGTGATCCACCTGCCTTGGCCTCCCAAAGTGCTGGGAATACAGGCCTGAGCCACAGTGCCCAACCTGATAAAAATTTAATATAGTTAACTATTCATTGATATGTTTATTGACTTCATCATAAGCTATATATTTAATTAAAAATCAAACTATGAGTCTGCAAACCAGATGCTATCAAGCAAATTACCATCCATGATCCATAATTCTTTTTATATTTTTAACTCAGACAAATATGTAAGATTCAGTAAGTTTTAATGTTTCAAATGTTTTCCAAAAAATTATCAGAAGCTCCCAGTTATAAAATAGTTGGAGAATCCATTCACCCCAAATGAACTACCTGTTTGTGTGTGAGGTAGCAATCTTCTGTGACACTATTACCCTTAATTCATATGAATTCCCTCTTCACATGAAGAGTACAGACAACAAACAGGGACAGATGAGTCTCATTATTCATTGACTCTTGGTGTTTTCATAGTGTGTTAAATGCCTGATTTCAATTTTACAGCAACAAAAAATACCAATATTTATTCTGAAAGGTAATTGTATGTTCCAAGCAGCCGATATTAACAACTTCCATCACGACTCTAGGAATAATTCGCAGTTCTGAACCATGTTTTAGAAAAACATTTCCAGCAGGTCTGTGCAGGATTTTTTCCTATTCCATCATTGGTAATAATTGCACTTCTTGCAGCAGGAACTTGAAATTCTTCTGTTGCAAACTGTAAGACTGCTGTGAAAGGTGTACTTTCAGGAACAGAGTACTTTGTACGCCAGCCGCGGGTCAGACCTCAGAGTGATCTTAAAGGAAACCTTTGACATGGTGGCGCCGGGAGGAACCCAGAACCCACGCCAACTCCGCGGAGCAACCCCACTTCCTCCACGGTGCCGGGGACCACACCGCCCCACTCACCCTTATCCAGTTTTTAAAGTGTGTGATGAAAATTGGTTACTTTGGAGTTCCTTTTTTTCTTCTTTTAATCATTCCATAGATTAACGGGTAAAAATGGAGACTATGCGGGTTAAGGAAAGAGACTGGGAAGCAGCCCTTGAGATCTCCACAGAACCTCAGGGTTCCATGGAACCCAGCCTGCAAACCGCTGGTCTAGATGATCCTAAATAAGGTGCTAACTCTAAAACTTATTTATTTCTTTTTAAGATCTGGTGAGGAAGGATATTATCCTGAACTTACAGAATTTTGTGAAAAGCATCTTCAAGCCTTGGCCCCTGAAAGCAGAGCTTTGAGGAAAGATAAACCAGCAGCAACAGCAGCCAGTTTTACAGCTGAAGAATGGGAAAAAATTGATGGTGATATAAAGGTATATAGTAATACCAATTTTCCATAGATATTGTTGAGACATTCTATATATGTTTACTTCACTTATCGGAAATCCTAGGCTTCTTGTTTGTCCGTAAAGGGCTTTTAGTGTCAATTAGGCAGGATTGGTTGCTTTTTACACCCAGGGGAACATTGCGAATTCGCGTGTGTGTGCGTCCGTACATGTGTATATTTAAATTGATTAAATAATATTCTGTCCTATTAAAAAACCTATAATTTAATCATCTTCAATAAATAGTGCTGTATAAACATGTTTATTTGTAATTTTTTTTCTTTTTTTTTTGAGATGGAGTCTTGCTTTGTTGCCCAGGCTGGAGTGCAGTGGCACGATCTTGGCTCACTGCAACCTCTGCCTCCCAGGTTCAAGTGATTCTCCTGCCTCAGCCTCCCGAGCAGCTGGGATTACAGGTGCATGCCACCATGCCTGGCTAATTTTTGTATTTTTAGTAGAGATGGGGTTTCACCATATTGGCCAGACTTCTCGAACTCCTGACCTCAGGTGATCCACCCACCTCGGCCTCCCAAAGTGCTGGGATTACAGGTGTGAGCCACCATGCCTGGCCTATTTGTAATTTTTTTGCACCTCCCTGATTATTTCCTCAGGATAAATTATTATAATTCAAATTGCTTGGTCAGATGTGGTTGCTCACACCACCTGTAATCCCAGCACTTTGGGAGGCTGAGGCAGAAGGATCACTTCAGGCCAGGAGTTTGAGACCAGCCTGGGCAACATAGGTAGAGCTGTCTCTACAAAAATATAAAAATTAGCTGGACGTGGTGGCATGTGTCTGTAATCCCAGCCATTCAGGAGGCTGAGACAGGAGGATCGCTTTATCCTGAGAGACCGAGGCTGCCGTGAGCTGTGATGGTGTCATTGCACTCCGGCCTGGGTGACAGAGTGAGACCCTGTCTAAAAACAAAAAGCAAGAGAAAGAGAAAAAGAATTTAAATTGTTTGATCAAAGGATTTGAATATTTTTAAGCCTTTTCAAACATATGTTCTCAGAAAAGTTGTACCTTCATACACCACCCCCAACAGTGTATAAGAATGCCCAAGCCAGGTGCAGTGGTGTGTGCCTATAGTCCCAGTTACTCAGGGAGGATTGCTTGAACCCAAGAGTTCAAGGCCAGCCTAGACAATACAGAGAGACCTGGTTTCTTTATTAAAAAAAACAAAAACAAACAAACAAAATGCCCATTTTTAGGTACTCTTTGCTGGATACTGTAATCATTTTTAGTCAATTAAATAGTTGAAAAAATGGTAGTACCATAGTCCCTTCTTATCTTTGGGGCATACTTTCCAAGACCCCCAGTAGATGCCTAAAACTGCAAATAGTACTGAAGCCTAAATATACCATGCTTTTTCCTCTATATGCATATCTATGATAAAGTTTAACTTATAAATTAGGCACACTAAGAGATTAACAATAAAAAACAGAACAATTATAACAGCATACTGTTGTAAGAGTTATGTGAATATGAGCTCTCTTTCTCTCAAAATATCTTACTGTATTGTACTCACCTATTTTTGGATGGCAGTTGACTGTGGGTAACTGAAACCACAGAAAGCAAAATTACAGATAAGGGGAGGACTATTGTAGTATATTTTTTGATTGCTAGAAAAGTTGAGTTATTTTTCATGAATCTGTCACTTAAATTTCTTCTTAAATATTTACAGATTTCTTTTAATCAGCTTTATTGAGATAAAATTTACATTCCATATAAATTACCAACTTTATAGTGTACATTTCACTGAGTTTTGACAAACGTATATGATACAGAACATTTCCATCACCACTAAAAGTTTTCTCTTGCCCATTTGTGGTCAGTGTAGACCCCACTGCCTGGCCTTTGGCAACCACTGAACTGTCAGCATAGTTTTGCCTTTTCTAGACTTGCATATAAATGTAATCATACAGTATGTTGTCATTCCTGTGTGTCTTCTTTCACTTATATAATGCTTTTGAGATTCATCTGTGTTGTTGCATGTGTCCATAGTTTGCTCCTCTGAGTTGCTAAGTAGTATGAAATTGTATGAATATCCCACAGTTTGTTTACCCACTTACCTTTGATAAGACCCGCAGTGGATGCCTAAAACCTAGATAATACTGAGCCCTAAATATACTATGTTTTGACTGCCAAAATGTTTTCCAAAGTGGCTGTACCATTGTGCAATCCTGACAGCAATATATAAAATTTCCACCTGCTTTACATCCTGGTCAGCACATAGTATTGTCCGTTTTGTTAGTTTTAGCCATCCTACCAGGTATCTCATTGTGGTTTTAATTTGCGTATCTCTAGTGACTAATGATATTGAGTGTCTTTTCATGTAACTTCTATTGTGAGGTGTCTTTACATCCTTTGCCCGTTAAAAAAAAATTGCCTTGTGTTCTTATTGAGTTGCCAAATAATTGTTCTTTATCAGATACGTTGCTTTTTTGCCCAGGCTGGAGTGCAGTGGCACCATCACAGCTCGCTGCAGCCTTGACCTCCCAGACTCAAGCGATGCTCCCACTTCAGCCTTCAGAGTAGCTGGGACCACAGGTGTGTACCACCACACCTGGCTATTTTTTTTTTTTTAATTGTTTGTAGAGACAGGGCTTCACTATGTTGTCCAGGCTAGTCTTGAACTCCTGGGCTGCTTTGGCCCCTCAAAGTACTGGGATTACAGCATGAGCCACCATGCCCAGCCATCTTTTTTTTTTTGTTGTTGAGACAGAGCTTTGCTCTTGTTGCCCAGGCTGGAGTGCAATGACACAGTCTCAGCTCATTGCAACCTCCAACTCCCAGGTTCAAGCAGTTCTCCTGCCTCAGCCTTCTGAGTAGCTGGGATTACAGGCATGCGCCACCACGCCCAGCTAATGTCGTATTTTTAGTAGAGACAAGGTTTCTCCATGTTGGTCAGGCTGGTCTCGAACTCCCAACCTCATGTGATCTGCCCATCTCGGCCTCCCAAAGTGCGGGGATTACAGGTGTGAGCCACCACGCCCGGCCTCTTTTCATTTTTTTTTAACAGTATCTTTGGAAGAGTGAAAGTTTTAACTTTTGATGAAATCTTTTTTTTATTGTTTGGGCTTTTGTGTTTTATCTAAGAAATCTTTGTTTAATCCAGGACATCTAATTTTTCTCCTAGGAAGTTTATAGTTTTAATTCTTATATCTAGGTCTATAATCAGTTTTAATTTTTGTATTGGTGTTTGAACAAAAAGTGTTCAAGCACCATTTAATAAAATATTATCTTTAAATTTCTTGGTACCATTGTCAAAAATCAGTTGACCAAAGCTGGGTGTGGTGGCGCATGCCTACAGTCCCAGTTTCTCTGGAGGCTGAGACAAGGGGATCACTTGAGCCCAGGAGTTTTAGGCTATCATGCACTATTACCAAGCCTGTGAATAGCTGCTTAACTCTAGGCTGGACAACACAGCAAGACCTCATCTCTAAAAAATCTTTTTTAAAAAATCAACTGGGCTGAGCACAGTGGCTCACGCCTATAATCCAGCACTTTGGGAGGCTGAGGCGGGTGGATCACTTGAGGTCGGGAGTTCAAGACCAGACTGGCCAACGTGGCAAAACCCCATCTCTACTAAATACCAAAAATTAGCTAAGCATGGTTGCGTGTGCCTATAGTCCCAGCTACTCAGGAGGCTGAGGCACAAGAATTGCTTGAACCTAGGAGGCAGAGGTTGCAGTTAGCTGAGATGGTGTCACTGAACTCCAGTCTGGATGACAGAGCAAGACTGTCTCAAAAAAAAAGAATCAGTTGATCTTATGTGTGGGTCTATTTCTGACTCTTTCAATTCTGTTTCATTATTTTATTTTTTATATTTATTTATTTATTTTGTACTCCTTGAGGAGCAAGGCTACCCCCTAGGCAGCCTGCCCACAGTAGCCTGTTTCATTATTTTAAATGTCCATCTTTACTCCATTACCTTCTTGTCTTGATTACAATAGTTTTACAGTAACTCTTGAAATCTTACTGTAATAAGAGGCTGGAAAAAAAAAAGAGACTGGAGGTAGTACAAGTCTTCCACCTTTGTTCTTTTTAAAAGTTGTTTTGGCTATTCTAGGTCTTTTGCTTATTACAAAATAACTTGCTTGTGTTTGAATTGGGATTGTGTTGAATTTATGGATCAATTTTGGAAGAACTGACATCTTAATATTGAGGTTTCGGATCCATGAACATTGTATATTTCTTCATTCATTTAAGTCTTCAATTTTTTTTACAGCAATGTCTTATAGTTTTCAGTATGTAGTTCTTGCATATTTTTGCTAAACTTATTCCTAAGCATTATATGTAGCTCATGCTATTATAAATGTTAATATTTTTATAATTTCAATTTTTTGCTCATCCTGTCATCTCAGTTATGAAATTTTGTTTTTTTATTATAGTGAAATACATATTACATAAAATTTATTATCTTAACCAGTTTTGAGTGTACAGTTCAGTAGTGTTAAGCATATTCACATGGTTGTGCAACCACTCTTCAGAACTTTTTCATCCTGCAAAACAAATGCTATACTCATTAAACAACAACTCCCCATTTTCCCCACTCCCCTGTCCCCTAGCAACCACCATTCTATTGCTGTTCCTATAAGTTTGACTACTTTAGATACCTAATTTTAATTTCAATTTTTAATTATACAAGTTTGTATTTATCTAATTGCTTTTTCATATTGACTTCATATCCTGCAATTTTGTTAAATTCATGGATTAGTTCTAGGAATGTTTTTGTAGATTCATTGGATTTTCTACCTGCAGGATCATGCCATCTGTGAAAAATAAGAGATGTGCTTCTTTTCCAGTCTGCCATTTATTTATTTATTTATTTATTTATTTATTTATTTATTTATTTATTTATTTTTTACTTGCTTTATTGAACTGGCTAGAACCTCCAGTTCAGCAGAAGTGGTAAGAGCAGATCCTCGCCTATTTCCCAGTCTTACAGGGAAATCGTTCTGACTTTCACTGTGAAATATAACGTTAGCTTTAAATTTTGTGTAGATGCCCTTTATCAAGTTGAAGTTTTCTTCTGTTCCTTGTTTGATGAGAATTTTTATCATGAATGGGTTTTGAATTTTGTGAAATGCTTTTTCTGCATTTATTGAGATGAACAGATGATTTTCTTTGTAGTCTGTTAATAAGGTAAATTATGTAGATTGTTTTCAAATATTATACCAACCTTACATTCCAGGATAAACTCTACTTGGTCATGATATATCTTTTACAAATATATTCCTGGATTTGATTTGCTAAAATTTTGCGAAGGATTTTTGTGTCTATGATCATGAGAGATATTGGTCAATAGTTTTATTTTCCTGTAATATCACTGTCTGGTTTTGGTAGCAGGGTAATGCTGGCCTCATAAGAGGAGTTGGGAAGTATTGTCTCCTCTTCTGTTTTCTAAAAAAGTTGGTATATGATTGGTATTATTTCTTTCTTAAATGTTTTCAATTCATTGTTGACACTGTATAGGCCTGGAGTTTTCTTTGTAGGAAAGATTTTAACTGTGAATTCAATTTTTCAAATAGATACAAGGCTGTTTAGGTTATCTTTAGAGCTCTCTTTCTGTACGGCTTCCTCCTTTCTGATATTTTTTTCCCCCGAATCCTCACAGTCTTGGCCTCCCTAACGTCCAAACTTTGTCTGCTGAATTCAGCAAGACCACAGGGTTCTGTCTGGGTACTTTTCCTGTGCTGCAGCCTGGAAACTGCAGTGAGTTGGAGCAAATGTAGGGCTTACCTCATTTGTTCACCCTTCTTTCAAGAATCACTGTCCTGTGCCACCTGTTGTCTAGTGTCTGACCACCATCACTCCATATATCTTACCCAGTTTTCTAGAATTTAGGTAAGAGAGTAAATCTAGTTCCTGACTCCGTCAGGCCAGAAGAAATCCCTTTATTGATTTTTCTTTTTTTTTTTCTGAGACGGAGTCTCGCTCTATCGCCCGGGCTAGAGCGCAGTAGCACAATCTTGGCTCACTGCAATCTCTGCCTCTCCAGTTCAAGTGATTCTCCCGCCTCAGCCTCCCGAGAAGCTGGGATTACAGGCACGTGCCACCGCGCCCAGCTAATTTTTGCATTTTTTCTATTAATGTGTTTCTCATTGTTTTGTAAGAGTTCTGTACTGTATATTGTAAATTTTCCTCTAGCTTGTTGTTTACCTTTTAAATGTTGTGTGTGGTGTTTTTTATTTTTTTAAATTTTTATGCTATCCTCTTAATTTTATTCTTTAAGAACTTTTCATTGGCTTTTATAGTTAGGAAGGTTTTCTCTCCACCAGATACATATTTACTTATATTTTCTCAGAGTTTCTTCAGTTTCATTTTGCTTAAGAAATTATTTTTGGGCTGGGCACGAGTGGCTCATGCCTGTAATCCCAGCACTTTGGGAGGCCGAGGCAGGCGGATCACCTGAGGTCAGGAGTTCGAGACCACCCTGGCCAACATGGTGAAACCCTGTCTCTACTAAAAATACAAACAATCAGCCAGGTGTGGTGGTGCATGCCTGTAATCCCAGCTACTTAGGAGGCTGAGGCATGAGAATCACTTGAACCCAGGAGGTGGAGGTTGTAGTGAGCAAAGATGGCACCACTGTACTCCAGCCTGGGAGACAGAGCTAGACTCTGCCTAAAAAAAAGAAATATATGTGTGTGTGTGTGTGTGTGTGTGTGTGTGTGTATGTGTGTGTGTATGTATGTGTATATATATGTGTGTATACACATATATACCTCGCAGATGCTAGAGAACCAGTTTTTTGGTTTACTTTATTTTATTTATATTTTTCTGGGGTTAAAAACAATTTTAAAACATCTAAAAACAATGTTGAGGTATATGTATTCTGTAACTTAGAATGCTGCTTTTTAAACTTTCAGCCTTCTCATTTTATTGGCTTGAGCTCAAAAATATGGTAATTAATCTACCAGTCAAAAATAGCACTTTATGTCCAGACTTTTTGGCTTTGTTTTCAGGATGCAGACAGCTTGATTTTAGTTGAAGAGCCTAGGTTTTTCCCCATTGTGTGTCTTTGCTCTTCTTGACCACTTCTTTTTTTTTTTTTTTTTTTTTTTTTTTGAGATGGGGTCTTGCTCTGTCACCCAGGCTGGAGTGCAGTGGCACAATCATAGCTCACTGCAGCCTTGAACTCTTGGGCTCAAGTGATCCTCCTGATTCTCCCAAGTAGCTGGGATTACAGGCATTCACCACCACACTCAGCTAATTTTTTTGTAGAGACAGGGGTCTTGCTGTATTGTCCAGGCTGGTCTAGAACTCTTGTTGGCCACTTTGCAAGTTAGTCTCCTTCTCACTTGCCTTTCTTTCATACTTTGTTTGCCACTTGTCCCCTTTTCTCCATTCTTTCTCGCTCCCTTCCTCCTCTATAAGTCTTCCTCTTATCTTTTACCATTCTTACCTTATTGCTTTTCTTTTTCTTCTCATATTTCTCCTCTTTGCCCCTTTCCACCCTCCCTGCCTTCTATACAGATAGAACAGATAATATAGTTGTTGGGTTTTTTTGCTGTATCCCAGTGCTTTTAAGAGTGTCTAACAAATATTAGAACCCTCAATACATCTTTTCTGAATAATAAGTAATACAGTTTCACAGATAATAAATCTCTTACTCAATTTTTTTTCTGGCACCTGTGACAATTTAATAAATGTTAAGAACCTACTATATGTCAGACACTGAATCACAAAGATGAAATTAAGACATAGGCCCTGCCCTCAAGGAATTTACAGTATAAGAAGAGAGACTAACAATAGATGATTTTTAAATCTTTATGCTAATGTATTATGGAGGAGAAGCACTTTTAGCCCAACTAGGAAGTTCTGGGAAATCTTGCTGAAAAGAATGATGAATAAGGTATTGCAAGATAAATAAAAGTAGGAAGGGCAACAACAATGTATATATACTTAACAAGACTGAACTGTAGACTTAAAAATGGTTAAGATGGCCAATTTTATTATGTTATACATATTTACCACAATTTAAAATAAAAGGTAGGAAGTATGTTCCAGATAGTGAGGATGGCATGGATCACATTGTCTAAAAAATTGACTCATAGGAAACTATGATAAATATAGCTGACTCTTGAACAACACAAGGAGTTAGGGGCGCTGGCTCCCTACACAGTCAAAAATCTACTTACAACTTTTGACTCCCCCAAAACTTAACTATTGATAGTCTATCGTTGACTGAAAGCCTTACCAATAACATGAACAGTTGATTGACATATATTTTGTATGTTATATAGATTATATACTGTATTCTTACAATAAAGTAAGCTAGAGAAAAGAAAATGTTATTAGGAAAATCATAAGGAAGAGAATATATATTTACAATGTATTAAGTGGAAGTGGATCATCATAAAGGTCTTTATCCTCGTCATCATCACATTAAATAGGTTGAGGAGGAGGAGGAAGCATAGGAGGTGTTGGTTTTGCTGTCTCAAGGGTAGCAGAGATGGAAGAGGTGGAGGAGATGAAAGGAGAGGCAGGTGCACTTGGTGTAACTTTATAGAAATCAATCATAATTTCTGTCTGACTTTTGCTTTTTCATTTCCCTAAAAATGTTACTATATGGTACCAATCCTTCTTCCACCGTTTGCTTTAGTTTTAGTCCCCGTATCACAGAGGGTAGATGTTGTGAAAGAAGTCAAAAACAGTCTTGTGTAATCGGAGCCCTTCTGCCAGATTGTCTAATGTTAGTTTATTTTCTGGCATTGCTTCTTCTATGTCTTCTCATTGTCTGGCACTGGTTCAGAAGCACTTACCTTCATGAAGTCATCTTCTGTTAATTACTGTGGTATGGTGTTAGCACTTGAATTTCTCCAACTTCCATATCTTGAAACACTTCACTCCCAACTTTTTTTGGCATATTCATAATCTCTTTTATGATTTCCTTGATTTACTCTATTGTAAATCCTATGAAATCCCGGACAACATCTGGACAGTTTTTTTCTAGCAGGGATTTATTATTTCATGGCTTTTTTTTTTTTTTTTCTTAGAGATGGGATCTTGCCATGTTGCCAGGGCTGGAACGTAATGGCTATTCACAGGCAGGGTCATAGCACACAGTACAGCCTATAACTCTTGGGCTCAAGCGATCCTCCTGCCTCAGCCTCCTGAGTAAGTGGGGCTACAGGTGCATGTGCCACCACTCCTGGCTTAATGGCTTTTTCTATAATAATGATGGCATCTTCAATGGTGTAGTCCTTCTAGACGTTCATGATGTTCTATCAGGGTTCTCTTCTGTAGTGTTGACAATCCTTTCCATAGAGAAGGGCGTGCAGTGAAGTTCTTTTTTTTTTTTTTTTTTGAGATAGAGTCTTGGTCTGTCGCCCAGCCTGGAGTGCAGTGGCTCGATCTTGGCTCACTGCAAGCTCTGCCTCCCAAGTTCACACCATTCTCCTGCCTCAGCCTCCCGAGTAGCTGGGACTACAGGCGCCCACCACCATGCCTGACTAATTTTTTTTGTATTTTTAGTAGAGATGGGGTTTCACCATGTTAGCCAGGATGGTCTCAATCTCCTGACCTCGTGATCCGTCTGCCTCAGCTTCCAAAGTTCTGGGATTACAGGCATAAGCCACCGCACCCAGCTAGCACGCAGTAAAGTTCTTAAAGATCTTTGTGACCCCCTGATCTAGAGGTTGAATTAGAGACGTTGTGTTTAGGGGTAAGTAGACCACTTGACCCCTTCGGTCTTGAACTCATGGGATTCTGGATGGCCTGGGACATTGTCCAACATCAGAAGAACTTTAAAAGGCAGTCCCTTAGTGGCAAGGTACATCCTGACTTCAGGAACAAAGCATTGATGGAACCAATACAGAAAAAGTGTTCTTGAACCAATACAGAAAAAGGCCTTCTTGTTGTACAGCCAAAAGACTGGCAGCTGATATCTATCTTTTCCCCTCAAGGCTTGAGGGTTAACAGCTTTACAAATAAGGTCAGTCCTGATCATAAACCCAACTGAGTTTGCACAAAATAGTTGAGTTTCCCTATCCCTTCCTGCCTTAAATCCTGGTGCTTGCTTCTGTTCCTTACTAATAAATATCCTTTGTGGCATTTTTTTCCCCAAGAATACAGCACTTTTGTCTGCATTAAAAACCTGCTCAGACAGATATTCTTTCTCTTTATTGATTTTCTCAATGGCGCCTGGAAACTTGTCTGCTGCCTTTTGGTTGGGAGAAGGTGCTTTTCCTGTTCTCTTGACATTTTAAAAGCCAAACCTTTTTCTAAAATTCAAACCATCCTTTGCTGGCGTTCAATTCTTCAGCTTTATAGGTCCATCATCTTCCTTTTGCTTTAAGTTGTCATATAATGACTTTGCTTTTTCTGGAATCATATTAGAGTCTATAGGAATGTCTTTCTTTTTTTTTTTCTTTCTTTCTTTTTTTTTTGAGACTGAGTCTTGCTCTGTCGCCCAGGCTGGGGTGCAGTGGTGCAATCTCGGCTCGCTACAACCTCCGCCTCCTGGGTTCAAGTAATTCTCCTGCCTCAGCCTCCCCAGTAGCTGGGATTACAGGTGCCCACCACCACACCTGGCTAATTTTGTATTTTTAGTAGAGACGGGGTTTCACCATGTTGGCCAGGCTGGTCTGGAACTCCTGACCTCAAGTGATCTGCCCGCTTCGGCCTCCCGAAGTGCTGGGATTACAGGCGTGAGCCACCACGCCCAGCCAGGAATGTCTTTATTACATCAATTTTGCACCCACATGAAGGCTGCATTTTCAATAAAAGATAAAAAGGCATTTCACAAGAAGTGCAAAGTCTTTGCACCTGATGGTGTAGCCGCAGTGATGCAATGATGGCCTCATAAATTTCCCTCTCCTCTCCTCTCCTCTCCTCTCCTCTCCTCTTCTCTCTCCTCCCTCTCCCCTTCCCCATACCCCTCCCTCTCCCTCTCCTCCTCCCCCTCCCTCTCTCCTTTTCCCTCCTCCTTTCCTCTCCCTCTCCTCTCCTTCTTTTTTTCGTTTCTTTCTTTTTTTTCAATGGTCCTTACTCTGGATTCATTTATTTTGAAATGGTGGGCAACTGCAATGGTAGCTTATGCCAGATCTTAATCTCTGGCACATATCAAGCAATTCAGCTTTTTCTTGTAATATCATGTGTTCTCTCTGCTTCTTGGGAGCACTTCCAGCATCACTAGTGACACTTTATATGGGTCCCATGGTGTTATTTAAGGTTTACAGTATTACACTAAACATCATAAAAATATGTGAGAACTGTGAGAGATCACTTTTTATGGCAAGATGCAGTTTACTAGAGACAAACTGCTCCTGCAGAGATGACTAGTGTCACAAGGCATTTTAAGCAGATACTTGTAACTCTTAAGCTTACCACAATAGCAACAGGAGGTGGCTGTGAAATTATTACGTATTATAGTGTCTCCTACAGTCAGTTTTATGCAGCTATGATTTAATACTGCATCTTCATGTCTTTTTTTTTTTACATTTCTCTTTACTGTGAATGGTGCCATTTATGGTCTGTAAGTGTTTGTGTGGGTAAGTTTTGATAAATTTTAACTTTTTATAACTTGTGTATACTTTATGGTAGTAAATGATAAAACAGACTAGTATCTACATATATTTTATGCATTCATGAAATACCTAACTTTATCTTAATTTTTTTGATATTTCTAATTCATCTGTGAGTTTTTTCAAATCGTCACAAATCTCCAAAAATTTTTCCAATATTTTTACTGAAAAAAATCCACATATAAGTGGACCAATGCAGTTCAAACTTATATTGTTCAAGGGTCAACTATAGTTCTTTCTTATGCTTGGTTATAATTATTTCAAACTATATATTTACCCTTTTCTCTATTCTCAGAGTTGGGTATCAGAAATTAAAAAAGAAGAAGATAAAATGCACTTTCATGAAACTGAGACATTTCCAGCAATGAAAGATAATTTGCCTCCAGTTCGTGGTTCAAACAGCTGTCTTCATGTAGGCAAGGTAGGCTTCTTTGATATCTTTGTGGGTGGTAGCAGGAGAGGATTGCTGCTGTTTATTAAGGGGCAATCTCAGTTTAATTGGAGCAGCCTATGTGTGATGTCCTCTAGGAGAATTGGGGAGTTTGTTCAGCTGGCTGGGAACTATCGGCTGGGAACTATCACGTTCTTTACTGTCTCATTACTTGGAAATCAAAATGAAACAGTTTTTTCCTTTGAAGTCCTGCATCTTGGGCTTATTTACTGCCTTTAGTCTTTTTTTTCTTTTTTTATACACCCTGTCTCTTCCGTCCAGTTTTGATGAGAGCAAAAGGTCTGATTCAGTGTGTGAAAATTTCAGGGAACAATTGTATATATCTAGTAGGGCTACAGAGGATATATCATGTTACATAATTTAATTATGGATTTAAAACAGTAAACAGATACTTTCAGTACTTATAAATGTCATTCCTCTGTTTAGTGCATGTTTTTTCCTCTTATTCCCATTTCTCTGTCGTTGGTCCCTATTTTGTCACATAGACCTCTCCTTTTTAATCTGTGGGCTCCACAGAGAAGGGGCCTCTTGAAGTTCCAGGCCCATTCTATTTAACTTTAGGTTGAAACTGGGGTTCCTGGCATCCATCTGACCTTGTAATTTCTCAGATGACTCCCCAAGCCTTTTCATTCTAGGTTAACTCATTCTTGTTATTCTCGTCTTTTCTTTGAATCAATTTTATTTTAAAAACATCCATGGCTCTTCATCACTCTGCTCTCTGATAATTTACCTTCCTGGATCTTTTTACTCCTCATTAGGAATTATGCAGGTAATGGAGGTGTACAGTAATCTGGTGAGGATGCCACTATCTGCAATCAGTGAAATTGTATTTATTGAATAGTTGGCCAGGCACGGTGGCTCACGCCTGTAATCCCAGCACTTTGGGAGGCTGAGGTGGATGGATTGAGGCCAGGAGTTCGAGACCAGCCTGGCCAACATGGTGAAACCCCATCTCTACTAAAAATACAAAAACATTAGCCAGGCATAGTGGCATGTGCCTGTAATCTCAGCTTCCTGGGAGGCTGAGGCACGAGAATTGCTTGAACCCAGGAGATGGAGGTTGCAGCGAGCTGAGATTGTCTCCTCTGTCTCAAAAAAAAAAAAAAAACCACAAAAACAAACAAAAAAACTCTGGGCATGGTGGCTCACACCTGTAATCCCAGCACCTTGGAAAGCCAAGGAGGGTGGATCACTTGAGGTCAGGAGTTCAAGACCAGCCGGGCCAACATGGTGAAACCCCATCTGTACTAAAAATACAAAAATTAGCCAGCCATGGTGGTGGGCCCCTGTAATCCCAGCTATTTGGAAGGCTGAGGCAGGAGAATCGCTTGAACCTGGGAGGCAGAGGTTGCAGTGAGCTGAGATCACACCACTGTACTCCAGCCTGGGGGAAAGAGGGAGAATCCATCTCAAAAAATAATAATAACAATAATAATAGTCCCGGTGTACTAAGACTGTGCCTTGAAAATATAACAATGAACAAGCATTGCTGAAGGAGCAATGGGGTGGATGGACTAGTGGTACAGTAGTTCTTAAAGTATGGTCTAGGAAGCCCTTGAAGTCCCAGAGATTCTTCCAGGGGGTCCAGAAAGTTAGTGCTATTTTGAAAATAATACTAATGCTTTGTCCTTGTCACTGTGTTGGTATTTGCCCTGAGGATAAAGCTGCTATTGCTTTAACATGAAGCAAGGCAGGCACCACGTTGTATATACAGTAAAAACAAATTCCAATTTTACTTAAAAATACCTTTGATAAAATAATAGAATATTTACTTTGTTAGATCTTGAACTTCCAGGACATGTCATTTTAGTATTTTGTGACAAAGTGAGAAGTATGCAGAAAGCACTTCCCTGCATAGTCAAATATGATGGTTATGATATGATGCATAGCCACGTCTTCCTGGAATGCTGTTTTTACTTGAAATAATGGTTGACAAACTGTCATTATTCAGACTTAGGATTTTGGCAAAAATTTTGTTGGAAGTGAATGAAGGAGGCCTGTCGCTTTAAGAAAAACAACTCACAGTATTTGTTGCTAGTAAGAAAATCTGACCTTTCAAGTGCAAATTAGGTCCAGGCACAGGCGGGCAGTGGCTCATGCCTGTAATTCCAGCACTTTGGGAGGCCAAGGCGGGTGGATCACTTGAGCCCAGGAGTTCGAGGCCTGGGCAACATAGCGAGACCCCATCTCTACAAAACATTTTTTTTTTTATTAGTGTGGTGTGGTGGCACATGCCTATAGTTCTAGTTCTATCTATTCAGGAGACTGAGGTAAGAGGATTGCTTGAGCCCTAGTGGTCAAGGCTGCAGTGAGCCATGATGACATCACTATACTCCAGTCTGGGCAACAGAGCAAGACCCTGTCTCTAAAAACAAAGTGCAAATTAGGGCTTGAGGTATTAAATATTTAGTATAATATAACAATATCTAATAATTTAGATATTATGTGTTTCTCAAATATCTGCTTGTGACAGAAAATAGCCCTTAAGGGGGATACTTGTCAAAGGACAAAATTACAACAAATTTCAAGATCTAATTGGCTTCTATTAACAATTCATGAATCAGGATGGCATCTCCTCTAAAAATTTAGAAAATATGCTCCAATGGCCATGGCAGAACAGCTGGTTTTTATAAGGTAGCTTGAGCAGGGATAAGGCATACAAAAAATAGACTATTTAATAACAGGTTACTTTCCTTGTAAGGGTTAAAGCAGAAATTTGGCTATTATCTCTGTCTCTTGATTTCTCCAGTCAGATAAGCAACTTAGTTTTGGTTTGGTGATATGGAACTTGAGCACTAGTGACTGTATTTAAGTCTGTTGGGGCCTAGTGCAGGAGCTTAGTCCAAATCATTGACCTTCTATAAATTTTATTTAACATACTTGAAAGTCTTTTTTGATGATCTCCATGCAGATATTAACAAATTGTGATTTTTAAAATTGCATAATGAAATCTGTGAATATTTGGAAAATCTGTATAACTCCAATGACCAATAATTTTGAGGAGTGCGAGAGTGTCATGATACTGAAAAGTTTGAGCCCCACTAATGTAGCATATAATGGATTATGACAGTAAATATGCAGTGTTATGAGAATACATAGAAGGCACATGTCCCAGCCTTTCAAAGTCAGGGAGCATTGCCTTCTTAAAATATCCAAATATAATATTACACATTAGAATTTATCATGTATACTGAGTCCATGTCTTGAGACTTTTATTGCTCCACATTCTTTTTTTATTTATTGAAAATCTTCTTCTTCTTTATTCAGTCATAATTGATAAAACTTGCATGTATTTATGGTGTGCAATGTGACATTTTGATATATCTACACATTTTGAAATGCTTACCACAGTCAAGCCAATTCATGTCCATTTCTTGATCCCTAAAGGGGGATATTTTTTGTCACAGGTAGGTATTTGAGAGCCACATATGAATATTAAATACCCCTGATTTTGAATCAATGACCTTTTGAAACTAAGTGATACCACTTGTATTAGTTTCCTAGGGCTGCTGTAACACCACAGGAAGTGGTTGGCATAAAACAACAGAAATGTATTCTTTCACAGTTCTAGGGGCTAGAAGTACACAATCAAGGTATTGGCAGGGCCTTTCTTCCTCCAAAACCTGTAAGGGAAGATCCTTCCTTGGCTCTTCCAGCTTTTGGAAGCCCCGGCCTTCCTTGGTTTGTAGCGGCACAACTCTAAGCTCTGTTTTCATTTCCACACCACCAGCTTCCTTCTATTGGAACTTCTTCTCCTCTTTGTATAAGGACACAGTCATACTGGATTAGGGCCCACCCTAATGACTTCATCTTCATTTGATGACATTGCAAAGACCCTATTTCCAAATAAGGTCTCATTCACAGGTACCGGGGTTAGGACTTCATCATATTGTTTTTGGGAGACACAATTCAACCCATAACATCATCTTAGCATTGAGAACATTGTCTTTATGAGTAGGAAATCGAGTTCAAGCATCAAATGATACTTTTTGAGCCTGTAAGGACTGCATAGTACTCATTTATGTAGTTTATATAGTTCTTAGTATTGCTATTAGCAAACCTGAGCCTAATGAGAATGAAGATATGTAATAGTTTAAAAACAAATCAGTACCTACTTTATTATTATAAATTCTGCTATACTTACCTTTCTTCAGACTATATAGATAAATATTTTAAAGTTAATATTCCTTAGTACTTATCTAGCAAAAAATTGTACCCTCTCTGGGAGACTGATTATTTGTGAGCATTATGGCTATTGTTTGCCTTTCTCTCATTCTGTTCTGGTGCAGAACCTGCCCTCTGTCTTTAGCAGTGGGAATGTGGCTACTTTGGGCCACTGTTAGTGCTTGGTTAGGATGGGCCCATGACCCAAGCTAGCCAATCAGTCCTTCCTTGGAATTTCTCTAACTGAAGATGGAGAGAAGAGTCACTCTCCTTTTCCTCTGGTGGAGAGAGCTGTGAGGTTATAATTCCAGAATGCTTGTGGTGATGTTTCCTGCCACATGGAGAAAGCAAGTACCCATCAGGGAAAGTGAAATCAGTAGGTAGAGAGGAGCAGAACCTGGGAGGGGCAGGGAGAGCTGGAGAAAGGGCATAGGAATCCCCTCATCCAGCAGCACCCTTGCCCTTCCATCAGTTTAGTTATATAAGCTGATAATTTCTTCTTTTTTAATGTAATTATTCCAAATCAGATTACTATCATTGCAAACTTCTGACTAATATAGCAATTATTCTTGTTTCTCCAATGCCTAGGTTTGAAAAGAATGAATCAGAATTTAGTACTTTTTTATTATAAGAAAATCAGTAATAATCATATTCACACATAAGTTTTAAAATTTTATATGTATATACTTAAAAACCTATAGATTGTCCCCAGAATTAACTATAAATTTAAAATTCTTTCTTTTACATGCTGTATATTATTATGTTAATAACTGTAATACTGAAGTTATTATAACTTCCAGGGTACCTATTTTTCTTATCCATTCCATTTGTATATCTTTATTTTATTTTTATTTTTTTGAGACAGTTTCTCTTTGTCACCCAGGCTGGAGTGTAGTTGCTCGATCTCTGCTCACTGCAACCTCCACCTCCCAGGTTCAAGCAATTCTCATGCTTCAACCTCCAAGTACCTGGGATTAAAGGTGTGCGCCACCATGCCCAGCTAATTTTTGTATTTTTAGTAGAGACGGGGTTTCACCATGTTGGCCAGGCGGGTCTGGAACTCCTGGCCTCAAGTGAGCTGTCCACCTCAGCCTCCCAAAGTGCTGGGATTACAGGCGTGAGTCCCCGCACCTGGCTTCCATTTGTATATCTTAACCCAATACTTTCCATTGCATTTACAGTAAAACCTGATAATCTTATATTAAATATGTCTCATAAAATATGATTTTATTCTTTTAGGAAAAATATTCTAAAAGACCAACTAAAAAGAAAACTCCAAGGGATTACGCGGAATGGGATAAGTATGTTTTACATGTCTTTATATAAAATGTATCACTAAAAAAGTTATCTACCACAAAATACTGCAATAATTTCTTAAATAATTATTATAAACCTTAACATGTCAAGAATACCAAATTACTTCAATAGAGTACTGAGAATATCTGGCCTCAGCACTTTTGATGTTTTTTTCAGTACATAAAAAACTTCTACATCCTATTTTTTTATAAAGTCAGCCAAAAAAACTAATGTATTTTTTATACCCATCCAAACTAAAAAGGAACAAAAATTTAAAATTGAGATAAGTTAGTCAAAATTTTAATTTCAAAGTTCTGACCAGTTTAGATTTGATTAACGTTTAAGTTCTCACTAAATTGTATGTTTTCTTAAGAAGGAACTCAGATGACTTGAACTATTAACTTACTACATATTTTTGAATATGTATCCAAAGGCATACTTGTACAAATATAAGAATATCAATGATAAATTTATTTTCTTGCCTGTATTGTACTTTTTTGGTTTTTATTGTTCTTTCATTTAAGATTTGACGTGGAGAAGGAATGTTTAAAAATTGATGAAGATTACAAAGAAAAGACGGTAATAGACAAGTCACACTTGTCTAAAATTGAGACAAGAATAGATACAGCAGGTAATTGGAGAAAAAATAATAATTTAGTAGTCTTTAAAGTTTTTCAATTATAATAAAAAGTGTCAATCTAGAAGACATTGTCTTTGAGTACTGCACAGATTACCATGAAAAGTTTATGGATTTTCTCTTACAGTTGACCACTCAACAAATTCACTTCTCTCTTTTACCCACTTAATTTTTAAATGTAGTAAGGCTTTAAAATATAAACCTATTTTTCTTACTGTAATTCATTTGTTTTTAATTCCTTTTTTCCAATCCTCTTTTTCCTCCAAATTCCTAAAATTGTTTTCTTTTTGCTTCAAAACAAAAAGATGGGGCAGTTTATTGGACTAGCACCTATAAAGTGAAACGAAATCAATCATTAAAAAAATTCTGAATCCTCAAAACTTGTGAATGATTTAAAAAGAAAACATCCCTAAGCTTGGGGAACCTTTTATTTTCTTTTGTTTATTTTATGATCTTTCTGCTTTCTTCTGCTTCTGTTAAAATAAGCATTCTTAGATTTAAACTTGAAAAATTCTGTTAAATTATACGTTTACATATAGCAGATAACATTTATTTCTAGGTCTAACTGAGAAAGAAAAGGATTTTCTTGCCACTCGTGAAAAGGAGAAAGGAAATGAAGCTTTCAACTCAGGAGATTATGAAGAAGCAGTGATGTATTATACCAGGTGAGCAGATGTTTGTTGGGGTTTAAACTTGCCTTTTAAAAAATGATAATGTTTTAATTGTTGAAACAATATAAATAAGCGAAAGTCTATGTCAGAATCTCTCAATGTATTGTACTTGTGATTTATCATATATTCACTTGTGTTTCTCCTATTTTTTCAATAATTTTTCTCAAACCTCTAAGCTCCCACTCCACTCCTACTTTTGACAGAAGACTTAACTTCCTATCTTGCAGAGAAAATAGAAGGCATCTGACAGGAATTCAACAGAAGGCCCATATGATATAGAAGTGAATAACTTGGGTTCCATTGTAGACTGCCTGGATTTACTTCTAGTACTTTGGTGCTCCTTCCTACCACAGGGCCTTTGCACATGCTGGGTGCACCATCAAAAATGCTTTTCCCATGGCTGGTCTGAGTACAGTGGTGTTTACAACTAATTGATCACAACCAGTTACAGATTTCCTTGTTCCTTCTCCACTCCCACTGTTTCACTTGACTAGCCTTTAAAAGAGAAAAGGAAATTAAGAAAAAAAATGCTCTTCCCTCGTTCCATTATCTAGTTAATTCTGATTTATCCTTCAGATCTTAGTCTTCACCTTACTTCTTTGGAGAAGTCTTACTTCACCTTCCAAACTAGGTTAAATCTCCATCTCACCCCACCCACCTCACCTCCCAATTTATAGGCTCTTATAGCAGTCTTACCTCTCCTTTGTAGCACTTGTCAGAAGTATAATTTAAGCTTGTGTGATTTGATAATAACTAGAATGTAAGATTTGTAACAGCAGAACCCATTTGTCAAGGATTTTTACACCATTGTATCCCCAAGGCCCAACAAAGTACCTGGTTCATAGTAGATGTTCAATAAATATGTATATGAACTTCTGAAGTTCTTAACAGCCTATGAAAAGTAGACTAAGTTTTTAAAATGTTGTTACAGATAAACTGTTCTTATAGAATCACTAATGCTACCTTAGCACTAAACTCTGTACAATCTTTTTTCCACCTTTGGAAATAAGATAGATTTTTTTCAATGTTGTTGGTGTATCTAAAGAAGTTTTCTCAGATTGTTTAAATGAAGATACGAGGTAAAGAGGATATATGATGGATCATTCATTCAGTACAGCCTCCCCTGTTCAGGCAGGTGGATGTCAGCCTTGATAACTGTTCTTTCTTTTCTTGTAGGTTTATACCAGAGATTCTCTTGTCTATTACAGGTTACAAAGCTCTTTTCTTCTTTTTTGAGGAGTCATATAGTTGAAGAATTAAAGCAGCATAGTATGATGGTTAAGGGAATTCAGACTACCACTTTCTGACCTTGGGCAGATTCTTTTTTTTTTTTTTTTTTTTTTTGAGACAGGGTCTCACTCTGTTATCCAGGCAAGAGTGCAGTGGTGTGATCATAGCTCGCTGCAGCCTCAAACTCCTGGGCTCCAGGGATCCTCCCACCTCAGCCTCCTGAGAATACTGGGACTACAGGTGTGAGTCACCATACCTGGATAATTTTCTCTTGTGTTTTTTGTAGAGACAGGCTCTCATGATGTTGCCCAGGCTGGTCTCGAACCTCTGGCCTCAAGCCATGCTGTCACCTCGGTCTCCCAAAGTGCTGAGATTACAGGGGTGAGCCACCATGCCTGGCTTCAAAAAATGTGTTTGGTATTTGATATTTGATGTTAACTTACATCAACGGTTTTTTTTAAAGTGATCTATAGGTATTTATCTTTTTCTACCTTCATTTTTTATTCCAGTAACTAAAGCTCAGATTCCAGATCTATCAGTATTTAAATTCCCATAATGCCTCTAAAGCCTGAGTTAACTTTAAGGCTATTAACTGGATATTTAAGCATCTGTTTAAATATTGATTTAGTATGCTTGTAGAATTGTATTTTATTATTTTTGATAATATAGGCTGTATTTGTTTGCTAAGGTTGCCGTAACAAAGTACCACAGACTGAGCGGCTTAAACGAGAGAAATTTCTTTTCTCACACTTCTGGAGGCTGGAAGTTTGAGATCAAGGTGCTAGCAGGGTTGGTTTTTTCAAGGCCTCTCTCCTTGGCTTGTAGGTGGCCGTCTTCTCCCAGTGACTTCACAGTCTGTCCATACATGTATGTCCAAATATCTTCTTCTTATAAGGAAACCATTTTTATGGGATCTGGGCCCCCTCTCATGACTTCATTTCACCTTAATTAGCTTTTTAAAGACCCTATCTCCAAATACAGTCATGTTCTGAGATACTGTGGGGTTAGGACTTCAACATACGAATGTTGGGGGATACAATTCAGCCCATAGACAGGTTATAATTGTTTTATGTATAACTGAAGCTGAATTTCTCTACATTCTTATGTTTACCTTAGGCTTGCTTGTTGCCAGTAACTGTTTCTTTTCTAGGAGCATATCAGCGCTTCCCACTGTAGTTGCCTATAACAATCGAGCTCAAGCAGAAATCAAATTACAGAACTGGAATAGTGCTTTTCAGGATTGTGAAAAGGTCTTGGAGTTAGAACCTGGAAACGTAAAGGGTAAAAAATATTATAGAATTCTTTTACATTTACAGCAGGATCCATTAATAAAGACCATTTGTAGATACTTGTAATGTTTACATTAAAAATATTTCAGATAAACTCAAATTTCTGTATGTGAATCACCAACTTCATAAAGTTGCTTTTAAATTGAACTTGTAAGTTAAGCTCCTGATTATTTGTACTGAAGTAGCTAATAATCCCAGAGGATTTAATAAAATACATATATATTTTAAAGAAGTATCTCAATAAACAAAAAACCAACAACAACAAAAATAAAATAAAAGAGAAGTATCTTGGCCAGGCACAGTGGCTCACACCTATAATCCCAAAATTTTGGGAGGCCGAGGTGAGACGATTGCTTGAGTCTAGGAGTTTGAGACCAGCCTGGGCAACACAGCAAAACTCTGTGTCTCAAAAAAAAAACTCAAGCTTGCATTTGAACATTCTTTTTCTCCAAAAAAAATTAAGTATAACTTAATATAGATTTTCTGGTATTTATAAATATAATAAAATAATAAGCCCACACTGGACCTCTAGAACCTTCTCCCAGCTTCTTTGTGGATATTTCCACCTAGGTGGCTATATATAATTTTGTTTGTTTGTATGTTTGTTTTTTTGAGACTGAGTCTCATTCTGTCACCCAGGCTGGAGTGCAGTGGCGTGATCTCGGCTCACTGCAACCTCTGCCTCCTGGATTCAAGTGGTTCTCCTGCCTCAGCCTCCCAAGTAGCTGGGACTATAGGCGTGCACCACCACGCCTGACTAATTGTTGTATTTTTAGTAGAGAGACGGGGTTTCACCATGTTGGCCAGGCTGGTCTTGAACTCCTGACCTCAGGTGATCCACCTGCTTCAGCCTCCTAAAGTGCTGGGATTACAGGCGTGAGCTACTGCTCCCAGCCTGTTTTTGTTTTTTTGAGATAGGGTCTCACTCTGTCACCCAGCCTGGTGTGCAGTGGTGCAATCTTGGCTTACTGCAACCTCCACTTCCCAGTCTCAAGTGATCCTCCCACCTCAGCCTACCAAGTAGCTGGGACTACAAGCACGTGCCACCACACCCAGCTAATTTTGTTTGTATTTCTTGTAAAGATGGGGTTTCACTGTGTCGCCCAGGCTGGTCTCAAACTCCTGAGCTCAAGTGATCTGCCCACCTCGACCTCCCAAAGTGCTGGGATTACAGGCATGAGCCACCAAGCCTGGCCTGCTATAAATAATTTAATTTTCATTTTAAATTAATAATTTGAATAACTTAATTCTAAATTAAATTTGTCCAAAACTGACTCTTTCTGCCAAAAACCTGCACTCTATTTTGATTCCCTGTCCCTCTGACTGACCACCTTGTCATGGTTCAGGCCTGAAATATGCAAATCAGACTCTATTCTCCTTTTCTGTTATCAAGAAGGAGTCATTCCAAGAGGGAGTGACATACATTATAATAGACACATTATATTTCTTTAAATTTTTATGGATTCAAATAAATATAAACACTTTTTTCACATGGAATGTATCCCTTTTTGCCTATAAACATGGTGGAGGTGGCAGAAGCCATGGGAGTGCTAAGGGGAAGCCTGGTGCATCACCTGCCACTGTCATTGCCATGGATTGCCCTCCATTTACCAATAAAGTCCTGTTGGGCCTGTGTTTTACGCAAGCTGGTCTCTGTCACAGAGTATGGCTGGGCTCCCAGCTTTAGGCAGCAGCCCACTGAAGGTTTTGCCAACCCCATACCACTGCTCTGCCAGGCCCCGTGCCAAGCACTTTACATGTATTAACTCTGTTAATTTTAACAAAACTCTCGGCCAGGCTTAGTGGTTCATGTCTGTAATCCCAGCACTTTGGGAGGCCGAGGTGGGCAGATCACCTGAGGTTAGGAGTTCGAGACCAGCCTGGCAAACATGGCAAAACTCCATCTCTACTAAAAATTAAAAAAAAAAAAAAAATGGAGGGGTGCAGTGGCTCATGCTTGTAATCCCAGCACTTTGGGAGGCTGAGGTGGGTGGATCACTTGAGGCCAGGAGTTCGAGACCAGCCTGGCCAATGTGGCGAAACTCCATCTCTACTAAAAACACAAAAAATTAGCTGGGCATGGTGGCAGGCACCTGTAATCCCAACAACTTGGGAGGCTGAGGCAGGAGAATCACTGGAACCCAGGAGGCAGAGGTTGCAGTGAGCTGAGATCACGCCACTGCACTCCAGCCTGGGCGACAGAACGAGAATCCATCTCAAAAAAAACCATAATAAATTTTAAAAAAAATTACTAGACATGGTGGTGGGCACCTGTAGTCCCAGCTACTTGGGAGGCCGAGGCAGGAGAATTGCTTGAACCTGGGAGGCAGAGGTTGTACTGAGCTGAGATCACGCCACTGCACTTCAGCCTAGGGGACAAAGAAAGACTCTGTTTCAAAAAAAATAAATAAATACAGAATATGTTAGCATTAGGTAAAGCTGAGTTAAGGGACACAGGAACTCATTGTACTATCTCTGCAACTTTTCTGTAAATCTCCAATGATTCCAAAATAAAAAGTTTTAAAAAAGGATAATCATTATGTCATGAATATTTCTTCATAGAAATTCCCTTCAGAAATCTGTGTAGCAATAGCAATAGCTAAATTATATTTAAAGTGCAGTGCTACAATTTTAATTAAATTTATAACAAAATGATTTCTCATTTAGATTTTCATAGCTCATTCTAACACTAAAATTCAAATTGGTCAAATTTATAATTATGTTTTAAAATAGCATATTAAAATATGTCAGATAAAATTTCTAACTTTTCAGGCAGGCGCGGTGGCTCATGCCTGTAATCCCAGCACTTTGGGAGGTTGGGGCAGGCGGATCACGAGGTCAGGAGATCGAGACCATCCTGGCTAACACGGTGAAACCCCGTCTCTACTAAAAATACCAAAAAAAATTAGCTGGATGTGGTGGCATGAGCCTGTAGTCCCAGCTACTTGGGAGACTGAGGCAGGAGAATCGCTTGAACCCGGGAGGCAGAGGTTGCAGTGAGCCGAGATTGTGCCACTGCACTCCAGCATGGGCAACAGAGCAAGACTCTGTCTCAAAAAAAAAAAAAAAAAAATTCTCACTTTTCAGAATTACCAAACTTGATTCTTTTTCAAAGTAATGACTTATTACACAAAGTTCTCCTTATATAATAGTTAATGATGAGTCTAGAGAGGCATTCATTGTCAGTATTAAATAATTACCAAATTATACATTGAAACGTACCCAAAAAATCAAATGCGAATTATCAAAGTGCTTAATTTCTGACCTAACTGACTTAATCATCAGGATTCTCTCAGTTCCCTATGCTAAGTCACTCCTTCTAATCATTTTAGAGATTGCTATACAGATGTCACTAATGAGCCACATTCTGAGCTAGATGCTGGTCAGTAATATACTTTTTTTTTCTTTTTTTTTTTTTTTTTTGGAGACAGAGTCTTGCTCTGTCACCCAGGCTGGAGTACAGTGGCACAATCTTGGCTCACTGGAACCTCCACCTCCCAGGCTCAAACAATTCTCCTGCCTCAGTCTCCCGAGTAGCTGGGATTACAGATGTGTGCTACCATGCCAAGCTAATTTTTTTTTTGTATTTTTAGTAGAGATGGGATTTTGCCATGTTGGCCAGGCTGGTCTTGAACTCCTGGCCTCAAGTGATCTGCCCACCTCAGGCCCCCAAATTGTTGGGATTACAGGTGTGAGCCACTGTGCCTAGCCAATATACTAAATTTTGATAAGGGATTTTATGTTTTCAAAAAGTGGCTAAATAATACTCGCCATAATTATAAAAAGGAAAGGATTATTATCAGTGAAAATCATTCCGATATTGCAATACAATGTGTTGCCTGTGAAGGGTTGAGGTATGAAATCTCTTAGTTCTTGGAAAAGCTGGCGGGGCCTGGGGCTGCCAGAGGGCCAGAGGGTTGTTATAGAGGGGACAGCTGGCTGATGTAGCCTCTTTTATGTACCTCAGTGTCATCTCCTATGTGTGTATCAACATGAAAAAGGGTGTAGTTGAGCTTTGGGTAATTACATCCTAAAGTATTCTGTGCTGCTCATATCTTCCACTTGCCAAATATGTTGTAACCATAATGCCACATATTAAAAAACATAACTTTTATATTGGTAAATTTTCAGCTCTTCTGCGTCGTGCTACTACATATAAACATCAAAACAAGCTCCGGGAAGCTACAGAAGATTTGAGTAAAGTACTAGATGTTGAGCCTGATAATGATTTGGCCAAGGTAAGTATAGAATGTGATTTCTCACCTAATTCTGTAGTTGGCTGTTTCTGTATTTATTTTAAAGTGGTATCAATCTTGCCAAACAAATTATGTTGAAGATCAGGTCACAGCTTTAAAAGGTAGGTATATTCCAGACACCCCAAAACGTTAACATCTATTTCAAGTGGAAGAAAGCAGAATCTTAAAATTTTTTTTCAAAACTATAAACCTTCCTCTGAAAGACAAATATCAATTTTTCTTTTTCCTATAGTGTTGTAGGCAATGTTTTTCTCTGAGCCATGTGGAGTGGTATAGAAGGTACCTTCCTAGGTAGGATTAGGGGTGAACTCTGTGGCCATTGAAGAGTGTTTCTCTTTGTAATGAGCATGGTAGCATTTGCTACCTGACTGAGCAGACTGACTCAGTTATACACTTAGGGGATCTGTATTCACGCCTAAAGAGTAGAGGTAAGTGTCAAGAACTGAGATTTTCCCCTGCTTACAAATGAACAAGGTGGCCTACCAGAGGATACAAGATATCCTGAGTCAAACACGAAAAGACTTTGTCACTCCAAGCAGATGAGCTTCACGTTCATGTCAGTTCCCCTTGCTCCCAAGTCCCACAGGGGTGACATAGAGTGGCCCAGATGGATGTTGCACACTCAATGGATTTATGTGATGGCTGACAAATCAAAAATTTAGGAAACCAGCTGAGTGCAGTGGCTCACGTCTGTAATCCCAGCTCTTTGGGAGGCTGAGGCAGGCAAATCACCTGAGGTCAGGAGTTCAAGACCAGCCTGGCCAACACTGCACTCCAACTGGGGCAACAGAGTGAGACTCCATCTCAAACAAACAAAAATTTAGGAAACCTGCTTCTTTTATGATGGGATATAAGCAAACCTGCCCAATCTCTGCTCCATAGGGAAGCATCACCTTTATTACACTGGAGAGCCAACACACCTGCCCTCTCCGCTGCAGATGAATACTATTTCTGTTTGCCAAGGTTGTTCTCAGTACAAACATCCTTAGAGATGTCCAGAAAGAAGGTGGTTTAGTGCCTCTGCTGGCAGTATAGTCAGAAATAAGAGAAACCCATGGAAAAATTGTTACTAAGTTTCCACATACACCTATTGGGTTACCTATCCCACTGTCTCTGAGTGGCAGCTAATGTTCCTAGAATATCAGCTGCTTTGTCAAGTCAACATTTTAGGTTTAGGTTTAGGGCCTGGCTTAGTATTTCCTTTTTGTAATGGTTATGTTTATTTATTTTTGAGACAGGGCCTTGCTCTGATGCCTCAACTGTAGTGTGGTGGGAACATGGCTCACTGCAGCCTCCACCTCCTAGGCTCAAGCAATCCTGCCATCTCAGCCTCCTGTGTAGCTGAGACCACAGGTGCACGCCACCTCCCAAAGTGCTAGGATTACAGGCATGAGCCATTGTGCCTGGTTTCAAATGCATTTTTATCTTAACCATATGCAAAGATTAACTCAAAATGGATCATATACTTTTTGATGTAAGATATAAAATATAAAAGTTCTAGAAGAAAACATAGGAGAAAATCTTTATGACCTTAGACAAATATTTCTTATGTAAGACATGAAAAGTACAATCCATAAAAGAAAAAGTTGATATATTGGACTTCATCAAAATTTAAAACATATACTTTTCAAAGACACTATTAGAAGAATAAAAGACAAGCCACAGCTGGGCACGGTGGCTCACACCTGTAATCCAAGCACTTCAGGAGGCTGAGGCAGGCAGATCACTTGATCCCAGGAGTTTAAGACCAGCCTGGGCAAGACAGCTGAACTTCATCTCCACAAAAAATTTAAAAAGTTAGCCAGACATGGTGGTGTGGGCCTGTAGTCCTAGCTACTCGGGAGGCAGGGGTGGGAGGATAATTTGAGCCCGGGAGGTCAAGGCTGCAGTGAGCTGTGATTGCACCACTGTACTCCAGCCGGGGCAGCAGAGGGAAACCCTGTCTCAGAAACAACAACACCAACAACAACAAAACAAAACAAACAAAAAAGCCACAGACCACAGACTGGGAGAAAATATTTGAAAATCGTATATCCAACAAAGGATGATATATCTATTTTTCATCAGAGTCAGCATAAAATATTTCAGAATTTTCAGCATTACTCTAAAACAGTAATGTGGGCTGGGTGTGGTAGCTCACGCCTGTAATCCCAGAACTTCAGGAGGCTGAGGTGAGAGGATTGCTTGATCCCACCGTTTGAGACTAGACTGGGCAACATAGTGAGACCTCATCTCTATATTTTAAATAAACAAACAGCGTATGTAGCATGATTTCATTTGTGTAAAACTGTACATCTCTGTGGGTATATATGCATAGAAACATCTAGAAAGATGATTATCAAAATGTTAATAGTAGTATCTGAATGGCAAGATTTTAGGTGATTTTTTCTTTATTTTTTATACTTGTTACACCGCTTTTTGTGTGTGTGTGTTTTTTTTTTACAGTGGACATCTATGATTACAATCAAAGGCCACCAAAAAAAAGCCTTGTCTTAGTTGTATTCATTTTTCAACATCTTTATGTTTTTAACCTGAAAGAATGGTTATATTTATTATTAGAGGAAAATATTTTCTTTAATATGGTAATTATGTTGCAGAAAACCTTGTCAGAGGTTGAAAGAGATCTGAAAAATTCTGAAGCTGCATCTGAGACTCAAACCAAAGGGAAAAGGATGGTTATTCAGGAAATAGAAAACTCCGAAGATGAAGAAGGAAAAAGCGGAAGAAAACATGAAGATGGCGGTGGAGATAAGAGTAAAATATTTTTTCTATTTAGGTTATGTAAAAAGCTGCCTTTTAATATGATGAGCTGGCTCAATTTTTCTATTCGTACAGAAATTCGTAATCTATCAGTTTTTCTAGCTTTGCCTTGTAAATTCACAAGCCAGTTTCGCTCATCTTTTTCTTAATACAGCTTGGTAGAATCTCTCAAACCCATTTTCCTTCTTAACCTGTCACCTTTTTCTAGTGCTCAGTTTAATTCCTGGTCATCACCTTTAAATGTAAATGGCTGTGTTTATTTGACACAGACCATTTGCCAGTTAACTTTAAATATCTCTCTTTGATAATTGTTTTGTATATATCTACTTGATTGCAAACAAATGTGTTGGTTTCAAAACAGGTATGGGTAGCCCCATTTATATGCCAAAAATGAACGTATTACTAGAAAATTGCTATGTGTGTTTTTCAAAAATATTTTAAATATGCAAAAGAAATAAGTATAATTTAACACTTGAAACAATATTTTAAGAGAATCTAGACTAGATAAAGGGTTATCTTCATAATATAAAACATCGAAAGTTATGTCAACTTTGAGGGGAAGGATTTGCCTCCTCACATGACAAGGGACATAAAAACTTTTCCCTCCGTCAGCTGGGCGCGGTGGCTCACACCTATAATCCCAGCATTTTGGGAGGCCGAGGCGGGTGCATCATGAGGTCAGGAGTTCAAGACCAGCCTGGCCAACATGGTGAAACCCTGTCTCTACTCCAAATACAAAAATTAGCTGGGTGTGATGGCATGCACCTGTAACCCCAGTTACTCAGGAGGCTGAGGCAGGAGAGTGGCTTAAACCCGGGAGGCGGAGGTTGTGGTGAGCCAAGATGGTGCCATTGCACTCCAGCCTGGGCAATAGAGCGAGACTCCATCTCAAAAAAAAAAAAAGAAAAAGAAAAAAAGGTTTTTCCCTCCTTCTTGAGAACACCTGAGCAACTGGCAGTGGCGGGGCAGTGGAGGGGGGAGATATTATCAATTTTGAAAATCATTCACAAGTAAAAATCAACTTGTAAGTAATTTGACAGAATATTCTAATTTTGAGAGAGATACAAAATGTTCAGTTCATTCAATTTTAAAAATAAAGAACGAGTTTTAATTTTTTTAAGTGACAAAAAATAATGCAATGTATACACTTCAGATTAAAATACAATCAGTTAAGACTGGATAAAGACAAAGGAACAGAAAGGGAGGGAGCGAGAAAGAGGAAGACAATCAGAGAGGTGAGAAGGAAGAGAGAACATAAAAAGGATTGAAAAGGGAGAAATTAAGGTAACCAGTTTTTCAAGGATTCAGGCTTGCCTTTTAGCCAGATTGTAAATACGATCTGGCAGCAAATCTTCTTAGGGTTTATATTGAGCTTTTGCATAATTAACCATATGTCTTACAGTTAAAGGAAACCATTTTAAATCTTATCTGAAGTGAGATGAAGTATAAACTATATTACTTCCTATTATTTTAAAATTGTTATTTTAAAATTTTATATATAGTAAAAATGAACCTTTTGAATATACAGTTCTAATACATGTACGGTTTCATGTAACCATCACCATAGTCAGGATACAGAACAGTTCTACCACCCAAAAAGGCCTTCTTGCTGTCCTTTCAGTGAAACCCTTCCCTCACCCCAGCTCTTCTCTATTCCTATAGCTTTACCTTTTCCAGAATGTCCTATAAATGGAACTGGAAAGTATGTCACCTTTTGAGTCTAGCTTCCTTCACTTAGCATGTCACTGAGATTCATTCATGTAGCTGCATGTATCATTGTCTCATTCCTTTTTACTGCTGAGTAGCATTCCATTAATAGTTGTACCAAAGTTTATACATTCGGTTATTCAAGGACATTCAGGTTATTTCCAGTATTCACTAATCATGAGTAAAAACTGCTATACACACTCATTTGCAGGTTTTTGTGTAAACATATGTTTTCATTTCCCCTGAGTAAATAGCTAAGAGTGGGACTGCTGGGTCATACGGCAAGTATATGTTTAACTTTATTGGAAGTTGCCTGACTGTTTTCCAGAGTGGCTATACCATTTTGCATTGCCATTAGTAACATATGAGAGTTCTAGATGCTTCTCGTCCTTGCCAGCATTTGGTATTGATTTTTTTCCCCTTTTTACCCATTCTATTAGGTGTATAGTGGTTTCTCATCAGTTTTAATTTGCATTTTCCTGATGAGAATCTTTTTATGTGCTCATTTACCATCTCTATATTACTTTTTGTGAAGTGTCTCTTCAAATTATTCCACCAATTTTCAAAAATTGGGTTGTTGTTTTCCTACTGTTAAGTCCTGAGAATTCTTTTTATAATCTTGATGCAAAGTCTTAAAATTTTTTTGTCTGTAGCTTTTTTCATTCTTTTAACAGTCTTTTACAGAGCAAAGGTTTTTCATTTTGTAGAAGTACAATTTATCCAGTTTTTTTAATGGACTGTGCTTTTAATGTTATATCGATGAACACTTTGCCTAAGTCAAAGTCATGAAGATTTTCTTGTAAGTTTTTCTTTTTCAGAGATAGGGTCTTGCTCTGTTGTTCGGGCTAGAGTGCAGAGGTGTGATCATGGCTCACTACAGCTATGATCACTCTTTATTATTTTCTTCCTTCTGCTTGTTTTTATGTTCATTTGCTTCTCTTTTTCTTTTCTTCTTTTTGAGATGGAGTCTCGCCATTTCGCCCAGGCTGGATTCAAGCTCCTGGGCCAAAGATTCTCCCACCTCAGGCTCCCGAGTAAATGGGACTATAGGCACACCACCGCACTCAGCTTGCTCCTCTTTTTCTAAGATAGTTTCTCAAGACAGAAGCTTGGAATATTTATTTGAGAATTTCTCCTCCAAATATAAGCAGTGGATGCTATAAGTTTCTTTCTGATAGAAAGAATATAATTTTTAAGCCAGGCACAGTGGCATGCACTCATAGTCCCAGGGAGCTCAGGAGGCTGAGGGTTGCTTAAGGCCAGAAGTTCAATCCCAGCCTGGGCAACATAACGAGACCCCATCTTTTTTTAGAAAAATAATATAATAGAAATTTTAAGACCAGTAAGTTCCCTTTTATCAGAAAAGTCAATTGAGATGAAGTAGAATAAATAGCCGGAAACTCAGACATAATCTTTTCATCTTAAAATGAAATGAAATCAATTGAACTAGTTTACATTCACCTCTAGTTACATTGAACTAGTTACATTCAAACAAGTTACATATCAAACAGTCATTGTTTGATAGAGTGTGAAAAGAGGTGCTGGAGCCTTGGACACAAGAGAAGCAACCCCAGTCACTTTTAGGAAAATCATGTTAAAGCCCAGAGGAAAGTTATCAAGTTGGAATCTTTACATGTGGTTCTCCATCTCATCACATTCCGGGAAAGAATTCCCAGTCATTATGGGGTATGTTCCAGGACCATGGAAAAAGGCAGCAATTTGTGTTTTTTAACCTTGTCTGGTAATGCTGTCCCTTTATGATCTCCACTCGGGTTGGCCAGGCCCAGTTCATCCCGACTGGGGTATAACATAACTGATGAATTTAATTTAACAACTGACAATTATTGAGCACCTACTCTGTGTCAGGTGCTGAGATAAGACAATTGATAGGCTTTCTTTGCCTCTCCTTCTAAGGGCCAGTATTAACAAATTGCCTATTGGCCAGGATGATTACACCTGGGGATTTGAGTTCATGGGCTTTTTCCTGGAAGCTCCCTATCTGTTTGCCTTCTCTAGTAGAGATCATTTAGAAGGAAGAAGTGGCCATTACCATACAGCTGTAGCTGTCAAAGAGTTTGGTATTTATTCCATCTATCTCCTTACAGAGACGCAATCAGAGGAAAGTGAGCATCTACCCTCCCTTGCAGTGCTGTTGGTGTTGCTACTTAAAAATGAAAGCTAAGAAAATTAAAGTCACTCACAAACAGAAGAATAAATATAGATCAGTATTTCTCTTGTGCTAGAACTGGCAGGATCAGGAGAGTGGAAGTCAGGGATTTCCAGGAGTTCAAACAATCAACAAAATCATAAAGGTGAATAATTTTGATTATGTGAAAATGAAAAACGTGTATGTTAGGCGCCATAAAAAAAACTAAAAGACAAATGACAAACTAGGAAAGATGGCAAAGGGTTGATAACCTTATAATATGAAAAGTTTCTACAAAACAATAAGAAAAAGATGAGGTGCTAGTACAAAACTGGGCGAAGCATACAGACAAATCACTAATGAAGAAATAGAAATGATCAGTAATCTTTGTATTACTCATAAAAATGAAAATCAAATATTCTTTTTCTTTCCTATCAAATTGGCTGAGATAGAAAAAATAGTACCCTTTGTTGTCAAAAGTGAGGTAAGATAAGCATTAAAAATATTTTAATATAATGCATATATAGTAAAATCCATCCTTTTCAAATTCAGTGAATTTTAGTATATTCATGAAGTTGTACAACTATCACCACGATCTAATTTCAGAACATTTTTATCATCCCCAAAAGAAATTCTATACCCATTGGCAGTTACTGCCCATTTTACCCTTCCCCTGGCCCCTGGCAACCACTAGTCTACTTTTGTTTGTATGGATTTGCCTATCTTGAGTATTTCATACAAATGGAATCATAGTATGTAGACTTTTGTATCTGTCTTTCACTTAATGTTTTCAAGGTTCATCTATGTTGCATCTTGCATTAGTACTTCATTCCTTTTTATGTAGAAATAATATTCCATTGTGTAGATAATACCAGATTTTCTTTATTCACCAGTTGATGGACCTTTGGGTTGTTTCCACTTTTTGGCTATTATGAATAATGCTGTCATGAACGCTCATGTACAGATTTTTGTTTGAACAGATGTTTTAGATTTTCTTGTGCATTATTTTGGAGTGGAATTGCTGGATGATATACTAACTCTGTGTTTAACTTTGAGGAAATGCAGACTGTTTTCCAAAGTAGCTATCCCATTTTACATTCCCACCTGCAATAAGGGTTCCAATTTCTTTACATATTTGCCAGCACTTGTTATTGTCTGCCTTTTTGGCTATAGCCATCTTAATGGGCATGTAGTGGTAACTCCTTACGGTTTTAATTTGCATTTTCCTAAGAACTAATTATGTTGACTGTCTCTTCAATCCCTATGGGCTATTTCTATATCCTCTTTGGAGAAATGTCTATTCAAGTTCTTTGCCTTTTTTTTGTTGTTGTTGTTGAGATGGATTTTCACTCTTGTTGCCCAGGCTGGAGTGCAATGGCATGATCTTGGCTCACTACAACCTCCGCCTCCCAGGTTCAAGCAATTCTCCTGCCTCAGCCTCCCAAGTAGCTGGGATTACAGGCTCCCACCACCATGCCCAGCTAATTTTTTGTATTTTTAGTAGAGATGGAGTTTCATCATGTTGGCCAGGCTGGTCTTGAACCCCTGACCTCAGGTGATCCACCTGCCTTGGCCTCCCAAAGTGCTGGGATTACAGATGTGAGCCACTGCGCTCAGCCTCTTTGCCCATTTTTAATTGGGTTATTTATCTTTTTACTGTTGAGTTGTAAGCATTTTTTATATATTCTAGATACTAGACCCTTATTAAATATGATTTGCAAATACTTTTCCCATTCTGTGGGCTATCTTTTAAGTTTTTTGATAATTTCCTTTGATGCAGAAGTTTTTTGTTTTTTTTTTAGGGTGCAGCAACTCATTTTGACTTTTTTTTTTATTATACTTTAAGTTCTAGGGTATATGTGCACAACGTGCAGGTTTGTTACATATGTATACATGTGCCATGTTGGTGTGCTGCACCCATTAACTTGTCATTTACATTAGGTATATCTCCTAATGCTATCCCTCCCCTCACTCCAACCCCATGACAGGCCCCGGTGTGTGATGTTCCTCTTCCTGTGTCCAAGTGTTCTCATTGTTCAATTCCCACCTATGAGTGAGAACATGCAGTGTTTGGTTTTCTGTCCTTGTGATAGTTTGCTGAGAATGATGGTTTCCAGCTTCATCCATGTCCCTACAAAGGACATGAACTCATCCTTTTTTATAGCTGCATAGTATTCCATGGGGTATATGTGCCACATTTTCTTAATCCAGTCTATCATTGATGGACATTTGGGTTGGTTCCAAGTCTTTGCTATTGTGAATAGTGCCACAATAAACATACGTGTGCATGTGTCTTTATAGCAGCATGATTTATAATCCTTTGAGTATATCCCCAGTAATGGGATGGCTGGGTCAAATGGTATTTCTAGTTCTAGATCCTTGAGGAATCGCCACACTGTCTTCCACAATGGTTGAACTAGTTTACAGTCCCACCAACAGTGTAAAAGCGTTTCTATTTCTCCACATCCTCTCCAGCACCTGTTGTTTCCTGACTTTTTAATGATTGCCATTCTAACTGGTGTGAGATGGTATCTCATTGTGGTTTTGATTTGCATTTCTCTGATGGCCAGTGATGATGAGCATTTTTTCATATGTCTGTTGGCTGCATAAATGTCTTCTTTTGAAAAGTGTCTGTTCATATCCTTTGCCCACTTTTTGATGGGGTTGTTTGTTTTTTTCTTGTAAATTTGTTTGAGTTCTTTGTAGATTCTGGATATTAGCCCCTTGTCAGATGAGTAGATTGCAAAAATTGTCTCCCATTTTGTAGGTTGCCTGTTCACTCTGTTGGTAGTTTCTTTTGCTGGATGCACAAGTTTTAAATTTTTATATGAAGTCCAATTTTTTTTTTCAGAGCCCCCCTTAAGAAAGATTTTTTTCAGATTTTTTTTCTTTTGTTGCTTGTACTTTTGATATCATATATAAGAATCCATTGTCAAATCCAAGGTTTAAAAACTTACTCCTGTGTTTTATTTCTTTTTCCTTCCTTCCTTCCTTCCTTCCTTTTTTTAGACAAGGTCTTACTCTGTTGCCCAGACTGAAATGCAGAGTGGCACAATCATAGCTCACTGCAGCCTCTAACTCCTGGGCTCAAGTGATCCTCCTACCTCAGCCTCCCAGGTAGCCTGGACTACAGGCACATGGCAGCATCCCTGCCTAATTTTTTCATTTTTATTTTTTGTAGAGACAGGGGTCTCACTTCGTTACTCAGGGTGGTCTTGAACCCCTGGGCTCAAGACATTCTCCCACCTCAGCCTCCCAAAGTGCTGGGATTACAGGCATGAGCCACTATGCCTGGGCAACTCCTGTGTTTTTCTAAGATTTTTATGATTTTAGCTCTTGTATTTAGGTTATTGGGTTATTGATCCATTTTAATTCTTATATACAGTGTGAGGTAAATGTGTGTGGTATTACATATGTGTGTGTGTATATCCATATATATATGTTTTTTGGTCATAGTTCCTGATTTATACAACTCCCGTAGCCCTTGTTACAGACTTTTGTCATAATGCTGGCTATCTGAGGCTTCAGGAAACAATCTCTCCAGATCTCCTTTCACCTTCCCCAAGGCAGGACTCTAATCTTACTCTGCCTTTCTGATTGTGGGTCAGAAGACCCTCCCCAGAGAGGGTCCTGCCACATACTCTGAGGGAAGGAATGCTGACTTCAAAAATTTTCCTTCCGATAGCTGAACACAGGGAGGTTCCTGGAAGGTGCCTGGCCACCCTAGGCACCTCTTCCTCTGTAACCCTTGCAGTATCCTTTGTAATAAGCCATTAAACATGTTGTCTGGAGTTCAGTGAGCTGCTCCAGCAAATTAATTGAACTCAAAGAGTAGGGGTCATGGGAACCCTAACTTGAAACCTGTTGGTGAGAAGTTCTGGAGGCCCAGACTTGTAACTGGTGTCTGGAGTAGGAGACAGCCTTGGGGACTAAGCCCTCATCCTGTGGAATCTGACACTATCTCCAGGTATATAGCATCAGAACTTAACTGGAAGATGCTCAGCCAGTATCTGCTGCTTGGTGCCTGGGGATAAACCCTCACACATTTGGTCACAGAAGTCTTCTATGTTGATGATTATTGTGGTGGTGTAAGAGTAGAGGAAAAACAGTTTGTGAGAGTTTTTCCAAAAGAGCGTCCAACTTAGTTTTGTTTTCTGTTTTGTTTTTATTTGTTTTTAGTATGTGGAAATCCAGTTGTCACATCACCATTTGTTTAAAAAAAAAAACAAAAAACAAAACAAAAAAACCTGTTCTTTTCCTACTGAATAGACTTGGCACCCTTGTCAAGAATCAACTGGCCAGGCCGGGCGCGGTGGCTCATGCCTGTAATCCCAGCACTTTGGGAGGCCGAGGCGGGCGGATCACGAGGTCAGGAGATCGAGACCATCCTGGCTAACACGGTGAAACCCCGTCTCTACTAAAAATACAAAAAATTAGCCGGGCGTGGTAGCGGGCGCCTGTAGTCCCAGCTACTCGGGAGGCTGAGGCAGGAGAATGGCGTGAACCCGGGAGGCGGAGCTTGCAGTGAGCCGAGATCGCGCCACTGCACTCCAGCCTGGGCGACAGAGCGAGACTCCGTCTCAAAAAAAAAAAAAAAAAAAAAAAAAAAAAGAATCAACTGGCCATAGATGTATGGGTTTACTTATCAACTCTCAGTTCCTTTCCACTGGTCTATGTGTCTTTCCTTATGCCAATACCACACTGTTTTGATTACTCTAGCTTTTAGTAAGTTTTGAAATCCAGAAGAGTGAGACTGGGTGCAGTGGCTCATGCCTGTAATACTAGCACTTTGGGAGGCTGAGGCCAGAAGTTCAAGGCTATATTGAGCCTACCACTGCACTCCAGCCTTGGCGTTTGTGCTGGTTAATACTGAGTGTTAACTTGATTGGATTGAAGGATACAAAGTATTGATCCTGGGTGTGTCTGTGAGGGTATTGCTGAAAGAGATTAACATTAAGTCTGGTGGGCACAATCTAATCAGCTGCCAGCAAATATAAGCAGGCAGAAAAACATGAAAGGAGAGACTGGCCTAGCCTCCCAGCAGCCTACATCTTTCTCCCGTGCTGGGTGCTTCCTGCCCTCGAACATTAGACTCCAATTTCTTCAGTTTCGAGACTTGGACTAGCTCTCCTTGCTCCTCAAGCTTGCAGACAGCCTATTGTGGGACCTTGTGATTGTGAAAGTTAATACTGAATAAGCTTATATATATATATATCTCCTATTAGTTCTGTCCCTCTAGAGAAACCTGACTAGTATAGATTTTAGTACCCGGAGTGGTTCCAGAGGAACAGACTATTAAGGATGCAGTTCTTTCGTTGGTTTTGGGGTTTCTGGAGTTGGCTACTTAATATGATTAGACCCAAAAATGCTAAGGACTCTACTTCTAATAGTATGGAGAATACTGATAGTCCTTGGTGTGAACTGTTTAGAGAGTTATGCAAAATAAATGCATTTGACACTTCTGATTCATCACTCATGAGAGGCAAGGAGTTTAGTAACTCTATACATAGTACCTTTGACCATATGTGGAGAACCAAGGAACATAATGAAGCTGGTTGGTTGCTCCTAAGTTCAGTGGACAAAGTAGTGAAAGAAAATGAACTCAGGGATTCTGTCTCTCAGCTTCAGAAGCAGATACTGAGCCTCAAATCTGCCAAGATTGCCCTGAGTGAGAGTCTTATCTCCTGTAGAGAAAGAGCTGAAATTGTGGAAAAACAGACACAAGCTCTCATCATGCGAGTGGCTGACCTGCAACAAAAGGTGCGTGCACAGCCTTGCCAGGTGTCTACCGTTAAAATAAGGGCATTGATTAGAAAAGAATGGGACCCTACAACTTGGAATGGGGATGTGTAGGAGGACCTTGATGAAACTGGGGACACTGAATTTGTAAACTCTGATGAACCTTTCTTTTGCCAGAAGGAACAGATTCCCCATACCCAGTAGTGGCAACATCCCCTCCCTGATCCATGCTGCCATCAGCCTTTCCACCTTTGTCTGAGGAGATAAATCCTGCACTGCCTGACGCAACAGTGATGGCCTCCCGAGACAGTTGCCAGGCAAGATAATGTTGATTCTCCTCAGAAGCCACCCCCAACAACCTTGTTTGCTTCTAGACCTATAACTAGACTAAAGTCCTGCCAGGGACCTCTGGCCAGCCCCTAGAGGTGAGGTTGAGAGTGTGACCCATAAGGAGGTGCGCTACACTCAAAAATAACTGTTTGAGTTCTCTAATTTATATAAACAGAAATCTGGAGAACAGGCATGGGAATGGATATTAAGGGTGTGGGATAATGGTGGAAAGAACATAGAGTTGGATCAGGCTGAATTTATTGATTTGGGCCCATGAAGTAGGGACTCTGCTTTTAATGTTGCAGCTTGGAGAGTTAAAAAAAAAAAAGGTTATAATAGATTATTTGCTTGGTTAGCTGAATTATGGATTAAAAGATGGCCCACTGTGAGCCAGCTGGAAATGCCTGATCTCCTTTGGGTTAATATAGAGGAAGGGATCCAAAGGCTTAGGGAGATTGGGATGGTGAACTGGATTAGTCACTTTAGACTGACTCATCCCAGCTGGGAGGGTCCAGAAGATATACCCTTGATGAATGCCTTGTAAAATAGATTTGTGAGGGGAGCACCTGCATCTTTGAAGAGCCGTGTAATTGCTCTTCTCTGTATGTCAGACCTAACAGTGGCAACTGCAGTCACTCACCTACAAAATTTAAATACAATGGGAATAATTGGATCCTGAGGTGGCAGGAGCCAAGTGGTGGCACTCAACCATCAAAAGCAAGGTGGACGTAGCTACCATAATGGACAGTAGAGGCAAAGCAGCAATCAGAATAGTCTGACTCATGTAGAGCTCTGGCATTGGCTAATTAATCACGATGTTCCTAGAAGTGAAATTGATAGGAAGCCTACTGCATTCCTACTTAATTTATACAAGCAGAAAACTTCTAGGTCAAATGGACAAAAGACTAATTTGAATTATAAAAACAGAGAATCATGGCTTTTCAATTAATTTCCAGACTTGAGCCAGTTTGCAGACCCAGAACCCCTTGAATGAAGTGGAGTCTGGGTCCCCTTGAGGAAGGACCCCACTACAGTACCAACAATTTATGCAGTGAATCTTTCTCCCATCCTTCCCCAAGGAGACCTCTGGCCTTTTACCAGGGTAACTTGCACTGGGGAAAGGGAAATGACATTTCAGGGACTACTGGACACTGCCTCTGAGCTGATACTGATTCCAGGAGACCCAAAACATCATTGCGGTCCTCCAGGTAAAGTATGGACTTAGGGAGTTCAGGTAATTAATGGAGTTTTAGCTCAGGACTTACAGCGGGTTCAGTGGGTCCCCGGACTCATCCTGTGGTCATTTCCCCAGTGCCAGAATGCATAATTGGCATAGACATACTTAGCAGCTGGCAGAACCCCCACATTAGCTCCCTGACTGGTAGGGTGAAGGCTGTTATGGTGGGAAAGGCCAAATGGAAGCCACTAGAGCTGCCTCTACCTAGAAAAATATTAAATCATAAATAATATCGCATCCCTGGAGGGACTGCAGAGATTAGTGCCACCATCAAGGACTTAAAAGATGTAGGGATAGGGCTGGCTGGGCATGGTGGTTCATGCCTGTAATCCCAGCACTTTGGGAGGCCGAGGCGGGCAGATCACGAGGTCAAGAGATCGAGACCATCCTGGGCAACATGGTGAAACCCCGTCTCTACTAAAAATACAAAAAAAAATTAGCTGGACATGGTGGTGCATGCCTGTAGTCCCAGCTACTCAGGAGGCTGAGGCAGGAGAACTGCTTGAACCTGGGAGGCAGAGGTTGCAGTGAGCCGAGATCATGCCACTGCACTCCAGCCTGGCGACAGAGTGAGACTCTGTCTCAAAAAAAAAAAAAAAAAAAAAAAAAAAAAAAAAAAAAAGAAAGATGCAGGGGTGGTGAGTCCCATCACATTCCCATTCAACTTCCCCATTTGGCCTGTGCAGAAGACCGATGGATCTTGGAGCATAACAGTGGATTATTGTAAGCTTAACCAAGTGGTGACTCCAATTGCAGCTGCTGTACCAGATATGGTTTCATTGCTTGAGCAAATTAACACATCTCCTGGTACCTGGTATGCAGCCACTGACTTGGCAAATGTCTTTTTCTCCATTCCTGTCCATAAGGCCCACCAGAAGCAATCTGCCGTCAGCTGGCAAGGTTACCAATATACCTTTACTGTCCTACCTCAGGGGTATATCAACTCTGCGGCTTTGTGTCATAGTCTTATTCGGAAAGACCTTGATTGCTTTTTGCTTTGGCAAGATATCACACTGGTACATTATATTGATGACGTTATGCTGACTGGACCTAGCGAGCAAGAAGTAGCAAACACACTGGACTTATTGGTGAGACATTTGCATGCAAGAGGATGGGAAATAAATCCAACTAAAATTCAGGGACCTTCTACCTCAGTAAAATTTCCTGGGTTCCGGTGGTATGGGGCCTGTCGAGATATTCCTTCTAAGGTGAAGCAAGATATTCCTTCTAAGGTGAAGGAAGATATTCCTTCTAAGGTGAAGGGGCCTTTGGCCCCTCCTACAACCAAGAAAGAGACACAATGCCTGGTGTCACAAGGCCTATTTGGATTTTCGAGGCAACACATTCTTCATTTGGGTGTGTTACTCCAGCCCATTTATCGAGTGACCTGAAAGGCGGCTGATTTTGAGCAGGGTCCAGAACAGGAGAAGGCTCTGCCACAGGTCCAAGCTGCTGTGCAAGCTGCTCTGCCACTTGGGCCATATGACCTAGCAGATCCAATGGTGCTTGAGGTGTCAGTGGCAGATAGGGATGCCGTTTGGAGCCTTTGGCAGGCCCCCATAGATGAATCACAGTGGAGGCCTCTAGGATTTTGGAGCAAGGCCCTGCCATCTTCTGCAGATAACTGCTTTCCTCTTGAGACAGCTCTTGGCCTGTTACTGGGCTTTGGTGGAAACTGAACATTTGACTATGGGTCATCAAGTCACCATGCAACCTGAACTGCCTATCATGAACTGAGTGCTTTCTGACCCATCTAGCCATAAGGTAGGTTGTGCACAGCAGCCTTCCATCATCAAATGGAAGTGGTCTATATGTGATCAGGCTCAAGCAGGTTCTGAAGGCACAAATAAGTTACATGAGGAGGTGGCTCAAATGCCCATGGTCTCCACTCCTGCCACCTTGCCTTCTCTCCCCCAGCCTGCACCGATGGCCTCCTGGGGAGTTTCCTGTGATCAGTTGACAGACTAAGAGAAGACTAGGGCCTGGTTCACTGATGGTTCTACACGATATGCAGGCATCACCCAAAAGTGGACAGCTACAGCACTACAGCCCCTTTCCAGGACATCCCTGAAGGACAGCAGTGAAGGGAAATCTTCCCAGTGGGCAGAACTTCAAGCAGTGCACCTGGTGGTACACTTTGCATAGAAGGAGAAATGGCCAGATGTGTGATTATACACTGATTCATGGGTTGTAGCCAATGGTTTGGCTGGATGGTCAGGGACTTGGAAGAAGCACCCAATGCTTCTGCCAGGACTACCATCCATGGACTCATGGAATGCCTTATCCGCCATCATGTTATTCCACACGGCATTGCCTTTGACCAAGGCACTCACTTTATGGCTAAAGAAGTGTGGCAGTGGGCTCATACTCATGGAATTCACTGGTCTTACCATATTCTCCATCATCCTGAAGCAGCTGAATTGATAGAATGGTAGAATGGCCTTTTGAAGTCACAATTACAAAATCAACTAGGTGACAATACTTTGCAGGGCTGGGGCAAAGTTCTCCAGAAGGCCGTGTATACTCTGAATCAGTGTCCAATATATGGTACTCTTCCCCCCATAGCCAGGATTCATGGGTCCAGGAATCAAGGGGTGGAAGTGGAAGTGGTACCACTCACCATCACCCCTAGCAATCCACTAGCAAAATTATTGCTTCCTGTTCTTGTGACATTACGTTCTGCTGGCCTAGAGGTCTTAGTTCCAGAGGGAGGAATGCTGCCACAAGGAGACACAACAATGATCCTGTTAAACTGGAAGTTAAGATTGCCACCTGGACACTTTGTGCTCCTCCTACCTTTAAGTCAACTGGCTAAGAATGGAGTCACAGTGTTGGCTGGGTGATTGACCCGGACTCTCAAGACAAAATCAGTCTACTCCACAATGGAGGTAAGTAAGAGTATGCATGGAATGCAGGAGATCCATGAGGGCGTGTCTTAGTATTACCATGCCCTCTGATTAAGGTCAATGGGAAATTACAATAGCCCAACCCAGCCAGGACTACAAATGGCCCAGACCCTTCAGGAATGAAAGTTTGGATCACTCCATCAGGAAAAAAAACCACGACCTGCCGAGGTGCTTGCTGAAGGCAAAGGGAATATAGAATGGGTAGTAGAAGAAGGTAGTCATCAATACCAGCTATGACCACGTGACCAGCTGCAGAAACGGGGACTGTAATTGTCATGAGTATTTTCTCCTTTTGTTAAAAACATGTTTGTGCATGTATACATTTGTACTAAGAAATGTCTTCATTTTATTTCCTTTTTCCTTTATCATGTGACATAAGATTTATTGACTTCATATCAGCATTTAAGTATTAACTTTATATTATAGTATTTGGGTTGGGGATTGGTGCATTTCTGGTTGTACAAAGGATAGTTGTATTATGTTAGGTGTAATTATGACCTTATTATTGTCTTTATTTGAAGATTATGTATAATCTCAGGAAATGTATATGGGTTCAAATTGACAAGGGGTGGTTGAAATGGTTAATACTGAGTGTCAACTTGATTGGATTGAAGGATACAAAGTATTGATCCTGGGTGTGTCTGTGAGGGTGTTGCCAAAGGAGATTAACATTTGAGTCAGTGGGCTGGGGAAGGCAGATCCACCCTTAATCTGGTGGGCACACTCTAATCAGCTGCCAGCGAATATAAAGCAGACAGAAAAACATGAAAAGGAGAGACTGGCCTAGCCTCCCAGCCTACATCTTTCTCCTGTGCTGGGTGATTCCTGCCCTTGAACATCACACTCCAAGTTCTTCATTGTTGAGACTTGGACTGGCTCTCCTTGCACCTCAAGCTTGTAGACAGCCTATTGTGGGACCTTGTGATCATGTAAGTTAATACTGAATAAACTCCCCTTTATATACATATATATATATATATTCCTACTATATATATAATCCTACTAATATATATATTATATATCCTATTAATTCTGTCCCTCTAGAGAGAACCCTGACTAATATATCATTAGAGTGAGACCCTGTCTCAAAAAAAAAAAAAGAAGAAGAAAAGAGAGTCCTTTGATTTTGCTCTATTTTTTCAGGATCTTTTTGGCTATTCTGAACTCCTTACAATATTGTATGAATTTAAGGATTGTCTTTTCCATTTCTGCAAAAAGTTTTGATAGGATTGTGTTGCATCTGTAGATTGCTTTGAGTAGTATTAACATTTTAACCTTAATAACAATAAGTCTTCCTATGATTACAGGATATATTTCCATTTATTCAAGTCTTTTAAAAAATTTCTTAAAGCAATACTTTTATCTCCTTGGTTAAATTTATTCCTAGGTATTTTATTCTTTTGGATGCTATTATAAATATAATTGTTTCCTTGATTTCCTTTTTGCTCTGTTCATTGCTAGTGTATAGAAACACTGATTTTGGCTTGTTGATCTTATACCCTACAACTTAGCTAAATTTGTTTATTGCTCTAGTTTTTTTTGGTGGGGGTGGTGAAGGGGGTGGATTCTTTTTTTTTAATATAAATAGGATCATATAATTATGAATAGAGATACTTTTACTTTCTTTCCAATTTGGATGCCTTTTATTTCATTTTAGTGCCTAATTGATCAGTCTACAACTTTTAGTACAGTGTTGAATAGCCGTGGTGAAAATGGGCATCCTTGTCTTGTTGCTGATGTTTAAGGGAAAGCTTTCATTACTTTTATCTTTGAATATGATGTTGGCTCTGGGTTTTTCATAAATATACTTTATTATGTTGAGGAATTTCACTTCTATTCCTAGTTTTCTGAGTTTTTTTTTTTTTTAAATCATGAAAGCATGTTGGATTTTGTCATGCCTTTTCAGCATCAATTGTGGGATCATGTATGCAATTCTTTACTTTTTCTGTTAATGAGGTGTGTTGGCATTGATTGATTTTCTAATGCTGAACTACCTTTGTATTCCTGGGATAAATCCCACTTGGCCATGGTGTATAATCCATTCAGTATGCTGTTGAATCTGTTCGCTAGTATTTTGCTGAGGATTTTTGGTCTATCAACTACTCACACTACCCTACTTGAGGCTACACTGTTGGCCATTCATTCCTTTGATAGTTGTTATTGTTGACTCCTTTCTTCCCAAACTACTCTTGGTGTTTCTGAGGCAGTATGCGCTCCTGTTTTTTTCTCTCATTTCTAGGCATTTCTGTGCCTACACTGTAGATTTTTCCTCTCTTCATCCTTTAAGTGTTAGTATATCTCAGGGATCCTTATGAGCCTTTGAGTGATCCCATCCACATCCAAACTTTTATTTTTATTTTTTGTAGAGATGGAGTCTTGCTATGTTGCCCAGGCTTGCTTCAAACTAGTGGCCTCAAGCAATCCTCCTGCCTCAGCCTGCCAGAGTGCTAGGATTATAGGGGTGAGCCACCTTGCCAGTTCCACACCCAAACTTTTTTTTTTTTTTGAGATGGAGTTTTGCCCTGTCGCCCAGGGTGGAGTGCAATGGTGTGATCTTGGCTCACTGCAACCTCCACCTCCCGGGGTCCAAATGATTCTCCTGCCTCAGCCTTTTGAGTAGCTGGGATTACAGGCACCTGATACCATGCCCAGCTAATTTTTGTATTTTTAGTAGAGACAGGGTTCACCATGTTGGCCAGGGTGGTCTCGAACTCCTGACCTTGTGATCTGCCTGCCTCAGCTTCCTAAAGTGCTGGGATTACAGGCATGAGCCACCGTGCCCGGCCCCAAACTTTTATATATTAGTAACTCCCAAGTCACTGTCTCTGGATAAGGCCACTTCTCTGATCTACATGTAGAGCCACCCTCTGAACAGCTCCATTGCATTGTCCCACGGGTATCCCAACACCCAACAGAACTCACAAGTCTTTCATGTTTGGGCCTCTGTTTACCTGTCCAGAGACTATCAAAGTTGTTCAGAGCCATTTCAATCTTAAGGTAAGAATGCTTTGCATTCAGTTCAAATCTGGGTTATGGCTGGGCACAGTGGCTCATGCCTGCAATCCCAGGACTTTGGAAGGCCAAGGAGAGAGGACTGCTTGAGACCAGGACTTTGAGACCATCCTGGACAACATAGCAAGGCCTCATCTGTATAAAAAATTTTAAACATTAGCCAGGCATGGTGGCTGGCTCTCACCTGTAGTCCCAGCTGCTCTGGAAGCTAAGGGGAGGATTGCCTGCCCCAGAGGTTGAGGCTGCAGTGAGCTATGATGGCACCATTGCACTCCACCCTGGGCAATAGAGCAAGACCCTGTGTCAAAATAAATACAAACAAATAATAAAAATAAAAACAAGTCCGAGTTATGCTGGCTTCTAGCTCTGTGTACTAGAGCGCATTCCTTAGCTTCTTGTTTCTCTGTTGCCTCATTTGTAAAGTGGGAATGATAATACTTGGTATTAGGATTAATGTGATCCATATCAAGTTCTAAATGAACTGCAGCTCTTTAGTGATAGCATTGGTCAGACCCGAGGGGATACTGTGCAAAGGGGTGGAAAGTAATACCAAGCTGACCATTGTTTCTGCCGACCCTGACTTTTGTGCTTTCACCCAGTTTCTGGTGGAGAACCTGATTGACAGAAACCAGATTAAAACTGGAGCCTTACTCTAATAACCCTACTGGGTTTAATCTGCAGATTTATCTTTATAGCAAAATCTTTTTATTGTTTTAATAATTAAGATCCCTTTGGCTGGTGATCCAAATTGGATGTTATTCTGCTGTATAGAAAACAGTATTTATTAATGTGTTTTTATACTTGATGCTTGTCTTAAGGTGATCATCCACTGATTTTCACTTAAATAATTGTGCTTTTCTATTCCCTCTGTCTCTGTGCTTAAAATCTTGGCTTTACCATTCATGAAAAAGAATGGAAAATATATCCATTAAGAATCAGATAAGAATTCGTTAAAAGAGAAAGCTTGGAAATCTCTATATTTAAGTACTTTTTAACGGTGCTGTGAAATGATTAATTGCTTTGTTTTAAATATTGCTAAGACACCATAAATTAAATATTTACACATCCTTTTTATATTTAAAAATAGATTCAACAATTATTAAAGCTATTAATACCTGAACTCCTAATCAAAATCAAAGAAATTTTTAGTTTGAATAAGGCAATGGGATGGAAAATTTGCTGTGTTTTTAAGGCTCCCTTTAAGTTTAAAAACTAGGTGCCTAATTTGTGACTTTTTTGCTAAATTCACTTTTAAAATGACTTAAAAATCACTTACGCTTTATTTTTCTTTCAAATCTTTTTCTCCTAATCTTTTAAAATAAGGAAAGGTGCCTCCGTGTTGGGTATTATAATTGTATTCAAGTTTTTGCAACTCCATTCAAAAAAGTACGTATTTTGTAAGCTCACCTGGACAGGTGGACTTGATGAAGGGGATGGCTCTGAGATGCCGGTTTTCAGCCACAGGCCCTTCAGCGCTTAAACAGTTAGAGACAGGGTACGTTTCTGGCCGAAACCCGGGAGCCGAGTCCTCAGGAAGCCGCAGGGGGCCTCGAGGGAGCGGACTGGGCCGACTGGCTCTAGAGGTCCGGCAGCACAGGCTCCGCCCGCAGGGGCGGTGCCCGAGCCGGCTTCCCTAGAGCCCGCCCTCCGCGTCCTGCACCCCCGCGGCCTCCGCGGCCTCCGCGGCAACTGCTCCCGGTGATGCAAACCCTCACTTCCCGCATCCACTTCCTCACAGAGCCCGCGGAGCCGGCGGGAGCCGCGCGCGCCGCCCAGCCGTGCGTCATGGGCAACATCCAGAAGAAGCTGACTGGCAAAGCCGAAGGCGGCAAGCGGCCGGCAAGGGGCGCGCCGCAGCGGGGCCAGACCCCGGAGGCCGGCGCGGACAAGCGGAGCCCACGGCGGGCCTCTGCGGCGGCGGCGGCGGGCGGCGGCGCCACCGGGCATCCGGGCGGCGGGCAGGGCGCGGAGAACCCTGCCGGCCTGAAGAGCCAGGGCAACGAGCTGTTCCGAAGCGGGCAGTTCGCCGAGGCGGCCGGCAAGTACTCGGCGGCAATCGCGCTCCTGGAGCCAGCAGGTAGGTGCGCCGCGCCCCGCCGCTTCCTGGGCCCCTCGCGCTGCGGTTCACCCGACCTCCGGGGCCCCCGTGGGAGAGGCGCTGCCGCCTCCTGAATGACAGGCGCCGGCATCGCTGCATTCCTCCCAGGTGACTAAGAGCGCCGTGCCACCTGACCTCAGTGAGCAGCACCTGGGAATGCCGGCATGTTCCCGGCCAGGCACGTTTGCCTCCGTCCCCGCCGGGTTTTCCCTTGGTGGCTGTTGCGGGTAGCAGCTCCGTGGAGTTCTGCATGATCAGTCTGCAGGACTGCAGTGCCACCCCACCGGAGACCTCGGCCGTCTTGTAATTCTGGTGAACTGTGATCTTGCTAATGGATTTTAACTGTATTTAATTAAATGTGATTTTTAGGAAGTGAAATTGCAGATGATCTAAGTATCTTATATTCAAATAGAGCAGCATGTTACCTAAAAGAAGGAAACTGCAGTGGCTGCATTCAAGATTGTAACAGGTAAACTGCACGTTTTCAGGTTTGTCAAGAGATTGTTATAATTTCATTATGGTGAATGCAATATCCAAGATCCTAAATTTTCTGCCTAAGGATCTAATTTCTTAAGAGCTTTATGGTATGTTAATTGATTGATGCATAAAAATCATAAATTATCTTACGTATATGAAGAGAGTTATAGAAGATTGTGCAAACTTTTTTCATTTCCACTGCTACCGCCCTAATTCGTGCTCTTTTCATATCACTCCTAGACTACTGGAGAAGCCTGATAACTAATTCCAATCCACTGCGGCATCAGAATAACTTTCCTGAAACATTATTTTGTTCAGATTGTTTCCAACAGGCCTTTAATGGCTCAGTATTGGCTTCGAAATAACTGTAAACTTCTCTGTCACTACACTGCCTCCAAGCAAGTTTCTCCTTCCGTTTGGTCTACTGGACCACTTGCTTACTCTCGCCCACCTTGTTCTCTGAGCCCTTGCCCATGTTGCCCCTAATGGTGGTAATGCCCTTTGCACATCTTATCTTCTGAAGTTCTTGCTCAGCTGCCCCTTCTCTCTACCTTCTTGAGTGCCCTAGACTTCCTGGTCATCTGCAGGCCTGTAACACCTACACTGACACTCGGTCACACCTCTAAGTCCTGTTATCCACTGAAGGGGGTTTAAACACATCGAGGTTAGGAACCATGTCTTTTCTTTTTTAATAGACAAATAATCACTGTACATATTTATGGGGTACCGAGTGATGCTTCGATATATATGATGTGGCCAGGCACAGTGGCTCATGGCCAGGCACAGTGGCTCACGCCTGTAATCCCAGCATTTTGGCAGGCCAAGGTGGGTGGATTGCTTGAGGTCAGTTTGAGACCGTCCTGGCCAACATGATGAAAGCTAGTCTCTACTAAAAATACAAAAATTAGCTGGGCCTGGTGGCATACCCTTGTAGTCTCAGCTACTCGGGAGGCTGAAGCAGGAAAATTGCTTGAACCTGGGAGGCAGATGTTGCAGTGAGCAGAGATGCCACCACTGCAGTCCAGCCTGGGCAACAGACAAGAGACTCTGTAAACTTTACTCATATATATATATATATATATATATATATATATATATATATATATATATATATATATATATATGAAACTATGTATCATTGTTAACTATAGTCATCCTACAGTGCTATAGAACACTAGAACATGTGCCTCCTATCTAGCTGTAATTTTATATCCTTTAACAAATCTCTGCCTGTCCCCCTCTTCCCCCTACCCTTTCCATCCTCTGGTGTCCTCTGAGGAACCCTGTCTTATACAGCTTCGTACCCCTCGAAGCATAATAGTCACCCGTGGTACTCAATAAGTTACCTGCCTGGATGGTAAATAGCTACATAAATAAAACATTGTTTTCCACCATGAAGTAATAAGAAGCCCTTTGGCAAGAAGCTACTATTAGTACATCTAAAAAAGAAGAAGTCATGTCCTAGTTTGACTAACACAGCTCTGGCTTACTCCTGTTGTCTCATATAACACTCTCAGAAACTCTAGTTTGAACAGTAAATTATGTGGACACTGTTTATAAGGTGAGTAATGTATTATTGTTTTCATTGGCTGTATCAGTTTATTTTGTTTTTTTGTTTTGTTTTGTTTTTGAGACAGAGTCTCGCTCTGTTGCCCAGGCGCCATCTCGGCTCACTGCAAGCTCCGCCTCCTGGGTTCACCCCATTCTCCTGCCTCAGCCTGGAGAGTAGCTGGGACTGCAGGCGCCCGCCACCATGCCCGGCTAATTTTTTGTATTTTTAGTAGAGACGGGGTTTCACAGTGTTAGCCAGAATGGCCTTGATCTCCTGACCTCGTGATCCACCCGCCTCGGCCTCCCAAAGTGCTGGGATTACAGGCGTGAGCCACCGCGCCCGGCCCAGTTTATTGATATGGGTAAAGCTTGCTAGTATCTGTGCCTAAGTTTAAAAAGAAGGCCTTGAGGCACTTGAATTTTTTTGCCAGTTTTACATATTTAAATTTGAAGTGAATAATACTTATATTCTCTTTGGCCTGACATCAGACCGCATCCTCAGTTGTGCTGGCTCACACTCGCTAATCATTACATTTTTCAGGATTTTGTGAGCTGGTTGATGTCAAGTTGATATTTTGAAATCTGCCATGGTGGGATACCATTTAATACCATGAAATGAGCAAATGCCACAAATCTGGGCTTCCCACCCCTCCTTTTTTCTTTACCCAGAGAGCCAGTTGTTAAGGGCTTTTACCAGTGCTCCTAACAGACCAGACCATGTGAATTTGTTGGATACCAAGCCCGTGGTGATTTGCAGCCAACATCCTTTCAGCTCAACTGTCTGTTTCTAATCCATTACCCTTCAGACTTGTTTTAGGCCTTTCCACAGTGAGGGAGGTCAGGACACTTTAGTTAAAACTTGAGACCCCTAACATTAGAGCTGCTGCAAAAGAGTGGATTTGTGTTGTCCTTATCTGAGATCCTCTAAGGTGATTAACATTTACTGGCTAAAATTGGCTGTGTTTCAGTGTAGACAGAGGAGAAAGTCAAGTATGGGACTCCAGCCATGGTGTCCAGGGTGGCTAGAGTAGGGGCTTGTCCAAGGGGAGGGCAGGAGATGGCTCACCAGAGAGGGAAGTGGGCGTCGGTTTAGGTAGGTTGTGCTAACCTTAAGAGCTGTTTTCTAGGCAAGGAACCTGGCCTTGCTGGTTGGTGCTGACCTCCGTAGAGACCGACCTACTCAGATGTTTTCTTTGATAGCTGGCCTACCAGTCCCAGTGTAAGAGAAATGGAGATGAGGCCCAGCAGGGGGTGATTTTACACTAAAGCAGTGATTCTCAATCTTGTTTTAATGCCAGAGAAGCCACTCTGTGCTTTTGTGAACATCTTTTCAGCTCAAGTGACTATATTCAAACAGATTGCATACATGTTAAAGGGAGTTTTTGTGTTTTCATTTTGTTTTGTTTTAGTTTTTCAGTTAATTATCTTTGCTCTTTGGAGAGTTCCATGAGTTCTTTTTTTTTTTTTTTTTTTTTTTGAGACTGAGTCTTGCTCTGTCCCCGAGGCTGGAGTGCAGTGGCGCAATCTCAGCTCATTGCAACCTCTGCCTCCCAGGTTCAAGTGATTCTCCTGCCTCAGCCTCCCGAGTTGCTGGGATTACAGGCACTCACCACCGCACCTGGCTAATTTTTCATATTTTTTGTAGAGAAGGGGTTTCACCATGCTGCAGGCCAGGCTGGTCTTGAATTCCTGACCTCAAGTGATCCACCTGGTTTGGCCTCCCAAAGTGCTGGGATTACAGGGATGAGCCACTGTGCCTGGCCCAAAAGTTCTTATCACCAGATAAGTGGTATCAGGAGTCAAACACTGAGAAAGAAAAACAGGCAAAATTTAAAATAAGAGGAGAAAATTTTACCTATGAAAATAATTTTTAAATGTATTTTGGGAAAAACTACCATTTGATTTTAAATGTCTTACCTCTGAGGAGCATTGGTTGTTTTCCAGGGGTGTGTTTGGAGAGTGGCCATTTGGAGTGCAGAGTTGGGGTTGGGGGGGTGTTGAAGATCTTGAAGGTCTCTAAGCCTGGCCTCTCCCCTCACCACAGCATCTCCATGACTCTTTTAGACCTCCAGGTGAAACATGAAAAGGGGTTATGATGCTTCAGTTTGAAAGCCATCATTTTACAACTTTTAAAATACTCATAATTGTTTATAAGCTAAAATACTTCACTTTTCTCATCTATCAGAACCTTTTTGGTTTATCTAAACCACACCAAAAATCTTTTGGTGACTTTCCATTGAGGACATTTCAACAGACTAAATACAAATGAATGTTGCCTAGTAATTCTCTCCTTTTTCGTTTTTCTTTTCTTTTCTTTTTTTTTGAGACAGAGTCTCACTCTATCACCCAGGTTGGAGTGCAATGGCATGATCTCTGCTCACTGCAGCCTCTGCCTCCTGGGTTCAAGCGATTCTTGTACCTCAGCCTCCCAAGTAGCTGGGATTACAGGTGTGCACCACCTAACCCAGCTAATTTTTGTATTTTTTTTTTAGTAGAAACAGGGTTTTGCCATGTTGGCCAGGCTAGTCTTGAACTCCTGGCCTCAAGTGGTCTGCCAACCTTGGCCTCCCAAAGTTCTGGGATTACATACAGGCTTGAGCCACCGTGCCTGGCCAGTTCTCTGCTTTTTCTTATCTTTGCTACTCTCACAGTCTTGAAATTGGAAGATTTTTTAGGGTCTTAACTGTGTTACCTTGAATAGATAGCCTCTTTTGTAAGCTCTGCTTCAAAAGTTCTCTGTGCTTATTTTTATACATGGGTGGTTTTTTTCCTTAATGGAATTTCCATTCATAAGTTCATATTCATTTTCAGGATTGTAGTTAAAGAAATAAATTTACTGGGCAGAAAGTGCTAAAAATTAATACAGCATCTCATCAGTTTTAGATCCCAAGCTTGGCTTAAGGCCATCTTGAATAGATAAATGGCACCTTGGTCATTGGAAGTCTTCTGTGAAGTGAAGGTAGTCACATGGTTGTGACTCTGCTCATAGAGTTAATATTACCTAAACATTAAACTAAGCTAAATTTAAGGCAGTGGTACAGGTGACAGATCCTGATGCCCACAGATCTATTTTCTAGTGTTGAAATATGTTTACTTGATTTTAATTTTATATTTTAAATAACATTTACTGTTTTAAAAAACCACTTACCTATTATAGAAAACTTAAGAAAAAACTAGCACAGCACAAAGACTATCATTAAAATCACTCACAATCCTAACACCTAGGCAGAGTGAAATTGGTTATTTTTTCAGAGAAGTGAAGCAGATTAGGTTTAACAGCATTTCTAGAGTAACTTCTATGATATGCCAGAAGGGCTCCCACAAGTGCAGCTGAGTATCTGTATGATGTGGTCTGAGTGGCAAATGACTCAAGAGTTCCTTCATTTGCAGTGTTTGTATGTGTACTGCGGTAGGCAGAGTGTAGGCTTTTGAGGGCTCACAGAGAAGTTTGCTGAGTGCCTCTCATGACCCAGGTGATCTAGGACTGGGAATATAGTGGTGCTCAGGACAGGCAATGCCAATTGCCTTCCTGAAGCTCACATTAGAAAGAACTGACCTGTGGGCATGTCACTCCTCATGTTTCTGTTTCTTCACCCACATAATGAACATATTAATATTTACCTGACAGGTTTGTTGTGAGATTAGATGGGGAAGTCTACAGTGACTAGCACATAGCAGATACTCTGTCAATGTTTCCTCATTGCTGAATCATTGTAGACAGGAATAGACAGCAGATTTCTAAGAGTATCGGAAAAACAGCAAGTTAAAGAAAGCAGCCCTTGCTCATGCTTTCCTGGAAAGTTAAATACTTGTTATATTAACTGTTTATAGCATGAGTTGAAAGAATAAATCCACCATCTTCAATGTGGACAGTCTGGTGCAGATGTTAGTTAGGTTATATAGAAAGGAGGCTCTTCATAGGATCTCTGCATGGAGGACTTCTTTGCAGCTTCTGTTGATTTTGTTAAAACCAAGAGTACTATAGTTTTCATTCATAAATACAGATTTGTGATTCCTTAACCAAAGGCTCTGCGCTGCCTTTTGACTTAACATATTTTCAGTTTACCATGGGATTATTGGGACATAACCATATTGTAAATCGAGGATTATATGTACAGTTTTTTTATTGTTTTACTTCAGAATATAATGAAGTACGTTAAATGCTGAAGTAGCTTTAAACACTTCAAACAAAACCAAAAAACACAACCATGAGATACATCTTTAGTGATATTGGAAACACTTCATAGACTAAAACGTGCAAGATGAAAATTCATAACTTAGAAGAAATCATTGTAGGTTTAGTTCCTTGATTCCCCTTTGGTCTGTTTTTGAAGCCCTTTTGCAGCAAGTGAATCATAATGAACTAATAAGTTTTAGAGTGCCGATTTTCAAAATGTGATGCAACTTTTATGGTTCTGTACTTTATTATTAAATACATAGGTGCAAATAAGAATTTTCATTTTAATCTGTCAACGACAATCTGTTGAAACCCTGCTGTGTGCCTTGTGCCATGCTGCTCTGTTAGGGGACTGGGGAGGCCAGGACATGCTGCCAGGGAGCTCCCGGCTCAGTGGGAAAGAGTAAATGCAGAGTGCTTTGCTACTGGTTTAAAAGAAAGGAACACAAATATGATTGCTTTCTTACTCTGGGTTTGCCTTTCTGGCATGTTGCCTGGTTCCCAAGACGAAGTCTCGGATGTGTACATATTTGAGAGTTCAGTACTGCAGTATCTATTCAGTGAAGTATAAACGAAAGAGCATTTTTCAAAACAAATGGTATGTAATATTTTTGTCTTCTTTAGGGCTCTGGAACTTCATCCATTCTCTATGAAACCTCTTCTGAGGCGGGCGATGGCCTATGAAACTCTAGAGCAGTATGGGAAAGCTTATGTGGATTATAAAACAGTGTTGCAGATAGACTGTGGACTCCAGCTAGCAAATGACAGTGTTAACAGGTAATTAATCTGAGGCAGCTACCTAAAATCTAGTTGTTTTATACTGTTTTTCCCTTCCCCTCCTTCAAGAACATGTCAAAATATAGATGTGTTATCAGTTACTTTTATCACCTGAATGATTGCCTTCTTTTATTCCATTACATCAAATGGTTCTCTCCCTTAACTTAATTTCTGACTCTCCCTTAATTAATTCTGACTTGTCCTCTAATGCCTTTGTATTTGTTTTCTGATCCATTTATTACTGTTCAATCAGTATTTTTTTTTGGTCTTAGTAACACAGGATATAACTCATATGTGCTGCTTAAATATATGTGGTGATAAGAGGGTATTTACATAGATATCATAAAATCAGTACTAGTAGCTGGGTGCGGTGGCTGATGCCTGTAATCCTAGCACTTTGGGAGGCCAAGGCGGGTGGATCACTTGAGGTCAGGAGTTCGAGACCAGCCTGGCCAACATGGCGAAACCCCATCTCAACTAAAAATACAAAAATTAGCCAGGTGTGGTGGCGGGCGCCTGTAATCCCAGCTACTCAGGAGGCTGAGGCAGGAGAATTGTTTGAACCCAGGCTGCGGAGATTGCGGTGAGCTGAGATCATACCACTGCACTCCAGCCTGGACAACGGAGCAAGATTCCAACTCCAAAAAAAAAAATTAAAATAAAATAAATAAATCAGTACTAGCTATAGAATAAGATCCAAAAATGTGGTGAAAACTGCTATGTTGAATCCTCTCCTCCCACAGGATTTGCAGGTGTTCATTGGCACCATATCTGTCAGTGGAAACATATCTCTTGTTTCTCCTGAGGAGAATGGATGTCTTCATGAGCCTGCCAGATATTTCTGTTATATGCCCTTGTAAATAGACACTTATCTAGGATGAATAGTAATTTATAATGGCGAAATAGCAAAGAATTTGGATCTAATTTATGTTATGACCTATTTACCCCCAGCGTGAGAATGGGAAGGTAAAAACTTCCAGACTTCATCAATTGCTTTCCGGTGAAATTTGAAAATTAACTAGTTGGATAACATTTCTAGTTATGTATGACATTTTCTGATCCCATTTGCTTAAAGTGTAACTTCTGAAATATTTATATGTTACACTGTACCCCATGCTAGTCTAGTGGACCAGGCCTTGATCCTCTCAAAAAAGAAAAAAAGGGGAAAAAATGACATGGTCTCCGTCTTTAAACATACTAGAATATAGTTGGGTAGAAACAGTGTACAGCAGTTTATCTCCAGGCTCGGGGAAGGGGATCACAGAGAGGCCAGGCCACCTGTGTCTGTATGGGCTGAACTTGTTGCAGAGAGAGCACTTGAAGGGGGCTTTGAAGGATGCTGAGAGAACATGAAGAGACCTTAAACAAAATTGTAGAAAATGAGAATGGTAATTCAAGGTAAGTTTTAAAATCAGACCTTACCTTCCCATGTGGTCCCAGCCCTGCTGGAAAGATACATAGGCAGAAGTGACAACCGTTCTCTTGGTAGTCACAGGGAACCTGTCTGATCCCAGCCTGCCTAGAAGAAAGGGACATACATCCATAATCTGTGATGGGGTGAGATGAGACGTCTTGAACCTCTGGCACCCACAGCCTCCTTGACCTTGAGCTTCCTTGGCCTTGACCAGGCGGTCTCACCTGGCGCTGCACAGCCACCCCACGGTGCGCCATCTGCTGCCTCCTTTTATGTGCCTGCAGGCCCTTTCTCCTTTTTGTCTTTGAATTCCTTCTCATCTATCAGGAGAGGACTTGCCTCCTCTAGGAAACTACTTGCCCTGATCCACTGTCTCCCTACCCCATAGGTGCACCTTAGGTTCCCTTTCTCAGTGCCCCCATAACACTGGGCCCTCTTTTATTACCCAGCTTCTATATTGTTTTCACGTTTGCTGTCTCCCTGTGTAAAATTCTTTTCCTGTAGCTGTAGCCGGTGTTCCCTGAGGTCAGAAATTGTGTTTTTTCATCTTTGTCGCTGCACTGCCTCCTGTGTCTGCCTCCAGTAGACGTCCTCAATAAAAATGAGTGCATTTTCAAACAGAGAACACAGAGTTCACTCCTGTGCTTTGGGGCATTGTTTGTTGCTTTTAATTCGCCCCATCCTCGGCTTAGTAGTTTTCAAGGTAGAGCTGGAGAAAGTAAGATCTTCTCACAGTGTTAGAGGTTATCATGAAATGGAAAGTGGGGAGACACCGGAAGTATCTGGCAGAGAGGAGGGCCTGATGAAAAGGTATTTTAGGAAGTCTAATTAATAGTAGGCTGAATGGTTGAAGGGAGAAATGGGTCTGAGAGAACATGATTACTGACATTTCTGACCTTTTGCATTATAGTTTTTCTAAAAAATTGAGGTAGAATTCATGTACATAAAATTAACTAAGATGTGCAATGCAGTGGCATTTTGTACACTTACCATCTTGGGCAGTCATCACTTCTTTCTAGTTCCAAAACATTTCCACCACCCCAAAAGGAAGCCCTGTACCCAGTAAGCAGCCACTCCCCATTTTCCTTTCCCCCCAGCCCCTGGCAACCACAATCTGTGTTCTGTCTCTACGGGTTTATCTGTTCTGATGTTTTATCTAAATGGAATCATATATGGCCTTTTGTGTTGGGCTTCTTTCACTTAGCATAATGTCTTCAGGGTTCATCCACGGCATAGCATGGATCAGTACTTCATTGCTTTTTATGGCTAACATTCCATTATATGCATGTATATATCATATCACATCTTGTTTATCCATTCACCAGTTGATGAACATTTGGGTCATTTTCACCTTTTGGCTATTGTGAACAGTGCTGCTGTGACCATTCATGGACAAATTTTTGTTTGCATACTTGCTTTCAGTTCCTTTTCGTATATGCCTAGGAGTAGAATTGCTGGGTAATTCTATGTTTAACTTTTTGAAGATTGTATTATATTTGTTATATGTACTCAGGAAGGTTCATTTAAAGTAATTGACTTTTAAGACTGAGTCATTTTTTTTAATTGAATGGTTCTTGTTGATATTTTGTTGATGAGGAGGCTTTGGTTTTGCCATATATATTTTTATATACAATATCTGTTTAAAATTTTTCACTATTTCTTATTTGTGAATCCCACATTTATGCTTGCTTTTCCATCTATTCCAATTCATTATGGAAAATTAAACAGCAGAAGCTTTTTTTTTTTTTTAAATTTAAACATCTGTATTTATTTTGTTTCTGTCTTCCATTAACCATATGCCTCTCTTCCTCTCCAGGAATCTTATATGTTAAATTTCCCTGCATATACTTATTTATTCCCTGGCAACACATCATCTCTTTTCAGCTGCTTCTTCCTTCCTCTCTGCTGGTAATATAAGTTTTGCTTGAAAATTCTTTTTTCTGAAACTTCTTTTTCTTCTGCAATTCTGGGTGGTTATACATTAATTTAAATTTTTTTTTACATTAAAGCATAAGATTCAATTATTATAACCAAAGATCACTATGGAAATTTAAGTTTAAGAAACTGTAGGGAAATTATGTGCATTACATTTGTCTATATATAAATATAAAAGTTTTTCACACAAAAAGTTGCGACTAGATTTAACTAACTTGAATTTATTCTGCTAATTGCCAGTAAACCAATTCAGTCTTAGGAAGCAGTTCTTTTTAACCAGATTTGTTCAAAAGACGTAATTTTTAATTTTATTTTTAAATCTAATTATGACATTCTGTATGTTTAAAATAATGAAAAAGTGATCACTGAGGATATTAATCTAAATTTTATGATGGCCATCAGTAAATGCCATTAATAAAAAAGCCCTTGTAGTAGAATCTAGTATCTTGTATTTTCATCTTTATTCATATGAAAAGAGAATAAATGGGGCTGGGTGCGGTGGCTCACGCCTGTAATCTCAGCACTTTGGTAGGCTGAGATCACCTGAGGTCAGGAGTTTGAGACCAGACCGGCCAACATGGCAAAACCCCGTCTCTACTAAAAATACTAAAATTAGCTGGGCGTGGTGGCGCGTGCCTGTAATCCCAGCTACTTGGGGGGCTGAGGTAGGAGAACTGCCTGAACCCGGGAGGCAGAGGTTGCAGTGAACCGAGGTCGCATCACTGCACTCCAGCCTGGGCGACAGAGTGAGACTCCATCTCAAAAACAAAACAAACAAACACACAAAAGAATAAACTGATAATTATAGAGATGAAAAAAATACAGAGCAAGAAAGAGTATCTTAAACACATGTAAGTGTTTTGAGAAAAAGCATTATTCACATGACAGCGAGCCCTTACCAGTGTTGGCAGCCAGTCTTGTACACCTGTTGTCAACCACAGTAGTTGGTAATGTGGTTATCATAATGTACAGTTTGGGCACAGAAATTCTAAAATACTTCTGATCATTCTCAAGAGTAATACATTATCAATTTAGTAATGATTTTAAATATTACAGGAGACATTTCTTCTAGGCCTCCTAAATTTTAGTTTTATTAATATATTTAACTTTCTCAAAAAATACAATTTTATTATGTATATGTTAAAATTTTTTAACAAATTAAAAATGTCTTTTTTGTTTTGATTAAAAAATAGTCTAAGTTGCATCATTTATGACAACTTGTAAATATCTTTTTGAAAACAGTTTATACGGACAGAAAATGCTCAGGATTGCATGTTTTCTACAAGGAAGTACACATTTGCATAGCATTTGCAAATTTTATTCTTAATCTGACCTTCAGTAATATAAAAAGCAAACTAAATGATCAACAGAGAAAATTCACTTTCTCTTTAGGCTATCAAGAATTTTAATGGAGCTGGATGGACCAAATTGGCGGGAGAAGCTGTCACCTATTCCTGCTGTGCCTGCTTCTGTGCCACTGCAAGCTTGGCATCCGGCAAAAGAGATGATCTCAAAACAAGCAGGAGACTCCAGCAGCCATCGCCAGCAGGGCATCACAGGTGGGGGATGCCTGCACTCATTTCTTCTCAAGGTTACCTTGAGTTGTGTGTGTACTTTCACAGTAAAGCAGAGAGATAAGAGCATTAATTCTAGAATCAGACCTAGGTTTAAGTGAAGTCCCTGTTCTCCCTATTTTATTATTATTTTGAGACAGGGTCTTGCTCTGTTGCCCAGGCTGGAGTGCAGTGGTGCGATCTTGGCTCTGCTTCCTGGGTTCAAGCAATTCTCCTGCCTCAGCCTCCTGAGTAGCTGGGATTACAGGCATGTACCACCACACCTGGCTAATTTTAGTGGGTTTTTTTTTGTTTGTCTTTAGTAGAGACAGGGTTTCACCATGTTGGCCAGGCTGGTCTCAAACTCCTGACCTCAAATGATCTGCCTGCTTTGGCCTCCCAAAGTGCTGGAATTATGTTCTCCCTCTTTAAAACTACATGGTCTTAAGAAGTTGCTACATACCTCCTGTGTCCTACTAGTATACATGTAAAAGCGTTTTTTGTTTTGTTTTGTTTTGAGACAGGGGCTTGCTCTGTCACCCAGGGTGGAGTCCAGTGGCGCAATCACGGTTCACTGCAGTCTCGACCTCCTAAGCTCAAGCAATACTCCTGCCTCAGCCTACTGAGTAGCTGGAACCACAGGTGCACACCACCATGCCAGCTAGTTTTTTTTTTTTTTTTTTGGTGGAGTCTCACTTTGATGTCCAGGCTAGAGTGCAGTGGTGTGACCTCGGCTCACTGCAACCTCCACCTCCCAGGTTCAAGCGATTCTCCTGCCTCAGCCTCCCGAGTAGCTGAGATTACAGGTGCCTGCCACCACGCACGGCTAATTTTTGTATTTTTAGTAGAGACGGAGTCTCCCTATGTTGCCCATGCTGGTCTCAAATTCCAGGGCTAAAGTGATTCTCCTGGCTCAGCCTCCCAAAGTGCTGGGATTATAGGCATGAGCCACCATGCGTGGTTTAAGGCAGGGGAATGTATTAATAAATGTCTCACAAGGAGGTTGTCAGAAATAAATGGAGATGTGTATATAAAATAGTATATTCTGACTTTGTAAACCTGTAGTAACCTCTTAAACATTGTTAACTAAGAAGGCCAGGTGCAGTGGGTCACTCCTGTAATCCCAGCACTTTGGGAGGCAAGTGGATCACTTGAGCCCAGGAGTTCAAGACCAGCCGGGGCAATATGGCGAAACCCTATCTCTACAAAAAAATAGAAGAATTAGCCAAGCGTGGTGGTGCATGCCTATAGTCCCAGCTACTTGGGAGGCTGAGGTGGGAGGATCCCGAGCCCAGGAAGGTTGAGGCTGCAGTGAGCTGTGATGGTGTCACTGCACTCCAGCCTGGGTGACAGAATAAGATGCTGTCTCAAAAAAAAAAAATTTAAATAACATGTAGCTCTACAGTAGACCCTGTATGTGATGAGGCTAAAGGAATAAGACTGATATGTTTAAAATAATAAAGTAAAGCCCCACAACATAAATATAATCATGTGCTCATAATGGTATTTCAATCAACAATGGAGCACATATATGACAGTGATCCCATAAGATTATATACTGTAACTTTACTGTGTTTTTACTGTAAAGGTACTATACTCTTACTGTACCTTTTCTGTGTTTAGATACACAAATACCATTGTGTTACAGTTGCCCACAGTATTCAGTACAGTAACATGCTGTTACAGGTTTGTAGCCTAGGAGCATTAGCTTACACCATACAGCCTGGATATATGGTAGGCTATACCATCTAGGTTTGTGTAACCACACTCTATGATGTTTGCACAATAGCGAAATTGCCCAACGACAAATTTCGCAGAATGTATCCATTGTTGAGTGATGCATGGCTGTGTAATGCAGGTGCTTCCTTCTGTCTTTATTGTAGTTGTTAAAAAATTTGTATTCCCTTAGTGCCTACATTATTACTTTGAGTGTAGTAAGTAAGCATTTAATAAATGTGACTTCACCCTTGCTTTCTGCTTTAAAGCCAGCTGAGGCCCCATTTCTCCCACAAAGCTTAGAAACTCCATATGTGTCCCCAGGCTGTGCTTCATCTTGCAGATGCCCTGAGGTTCCTGACCCATGATGTCCAGATGGCTAGTGTTGGACCCTCATTTTCTTTATTGCCAAGAAAGAGCAGACAGGGAATATCTGCCAAGTAGATGATCTAGCAGTCCTAGGGAAATTATGGAGATCTGTAGTTTTCTAGAGTCCATTATTAATAGGGCCTGACACAAAGCATTTGTTCAGTAAATAAGAGCTACTTCTTATTAACAAAATGCATATATAGCTGTGAGTTAGCAAACCATAGCACAAGTATAATCAGCTGTGTTTGAATTTTTCTGTCCATATTTGTTTACTGATTGATAGTGAGAATGGATACCAAAGGTTTAAAGACACTGGAGGATAAAAGCTTGAGGAAAATTTTTCAGCAAAATCTTCCCTAATATTCTATTTCAGGGTTTATATACCAGGATTGGGAAAGTACCATTTGACCCTATTGTGTCAGATTTTTTTTTTTTTTTTTTTTTTTGAGACAGGATCTTGCTCTGTTGCGCAGGCTGGGGTGCAGTGGTGCAATTTTGGCTCACTGCTGCCTCGACCTCCTGGGTTCAGGCAGTCTTCCCACCTCAGTCCTGAGTAGCTGGGACTACAGGTGTGTGCCACCGTGTCTGGCTAATTTTGTATTTTTTATAGAGACAGGATCTCATTATGTTGCCCAGGCTGGTCTCGAATTCCTGGGCTCAAGTAATCCTTCTGCCTCAACCTCTGAAAGTTCTGGGCTAACAGGTGTGAGTAGCCTAGGCTATGTGAGATCTTTTGAAACATGAAACATGGGCAGAAATATTCTGTGATTTGAAATAGAAGATGAAAAGTAAACTAGCATTTTATACAATTTGTGCAGAGGGACAAATAAGATTATTGTTTACATTCTGAGTTTATATTATAAATTTAGGGGGCTGGGCATGGTGGCTCTTGGCAGTAATCCCAGTAGTTTGGGAGGCCATGGCAGGAGGATCACTTGAGGCCAAGAGTCCAAGACCAGCCTGTGAAACAAAGCAAGACCCCCATCTCTACCAAAAAAAAAAAAAAAAAATTGGCTGGGTGCGGTGGCTCACACCTGTAATCCCAGCACTTTTGGAGGCTGAGGTGGGCAGATCGCCAGAGCTCAGGAGTTTGAGACCAGACTAGGCAACATGGCAAAACCCTGTCTCTACTAAAAATACAAAAATTAGCTGAGCATGGTAGCATGCCCCTGTAGTCCCAGCTGCTTGGGAGGCTGAGGTGAAAGGATGGCTTGAGTCCAGAAGGCAGAGGTTGTGGTGAGCCGAGATTGCACCACTGCACTCTAGCCTGGGCGACAGAGCCAGACCCCATCTCAAAAAAGAATAATAATAATAAAATAATAAATTTATCTATCAGAAGATTTTAAGATTACAAAATTTAAAGGTATATTTTAAATTTTAATTTATGGATTTTTATTATATATCAAATTATTCCATAGGATAAACTTATTACCTAGGTTTAAAACTTTAAATTTTAATATTTTGTGTATGTTTGAAAACTTGGTTGTAAGTAACAGAAAATCTGTTGACTTAAAGTGTAAGGGATGGTCTTGGCTTGTGTCACTGAAAGGGCCCAGACAGGCTGTAAATCAGGCTCAACTCATTAAGACTTAGGCTGTAGCAGGAAACAATAGAACTGTAGCAGTTTTAGGCTTTACATCTGCACATATCAGTGTCCAAAGAGAGAGAGAAACCATTGATTTTGATGGCATTAAGAATGAGGAAGTAGGCCGGGCGTGGTGGCTCACGCCTGTAATCACAGCACTTTGGGAGGCCGAGGCAGCACTTTGGGATCCTCGAGGATCACGAGGTCAGGAGATGGAGACCATCCTGGCTAACACAGTGAAACCCCATCTCTACTAAAATACAAAAATTAGCCGGGCGTGGTGGTGGGTGCCTATAGTCCCAGCTACATGGGAGGCTGAGGCAGGAGAATGGCGTGAACCCGGCAGGTGGAGCTTGCAGTGAGCTGAGATTGCGCCACCCACCGCACTCCAGCCCGGGCGACAGAGCGAGACTCCGTCTCAAAAAACAAAACAAAACAAAACAAAAAAAAACAAAAGAATGAGGAAGTACATTTCCCCAAGGCCCAGGCTTTTTAATCTGTTATTCTGTTCATCTGAATTGGGCCATGTGCCCATCCCTGAGCCAGTCTCTTTTATGAGGAAACACCCCACGCACTGAATGGCTTAGACCTGGGGTTTTGATCAGTGAGGTCAGCCTCCCCTGAACACGTGGTCTGAATAGGAGAGGGGTGATAGCTGAATGAATATTGAGGTCCTGGAAACAGATTCTGAGCAGGGTATCAGCCATGTTCACTGCAAGATAATAGGGATAGTGTGTAATTCTGGTAATGAGCAGTTCAGACTCTGATTGTAGATAACAGAAAGCCCAACTTATAATGCCTCAAGTAAGCAAAAAGCTGTTTATGGGCACTTACTATAGACATATCCACAGGTGGAGTGGCTGCAGGGATGGCTGGATTCAGGACTCAGAGACTCCAGCTCTCCATCTTGGCCTCTTCCTTGCTCTGATGGCCCCATTTTCACATCATCCCTTTTTATCACAAGATGGAAAAATAGCTCCTCCTTTGAGCCTTAAATCCCACAGGAAAGAAAAAGATTTATTTTACAAGAACCTTGCAAAACATTTTATCAGCTCTTATAGACTCATCCCTGAACAATTGGATTACTATGGCCATAGGACCATGATGTGCTGATTAATAAAATGATTATCCCAAAGGTTAGGGCTGGAGTGAGGTTTGCTTCACTTAAACCAAAGGAGCACAGAATGAAAGAGATATGATTTCCCAAGGAAATTTGGGGTGCCGGATAGATGTCCACTTCAGGCTTTAAGAGGAGTGTTCACTATTCACAAAATAATTGCCAAGCAAAACACTGTGGATATTTGTATCCCATTTCATTGACTGGTTCTGTCGTATCCAAGCTTAACCAGAGGTCTGAAGTGCTCGTGTACCACTGTAAAAGCGCTGTGTGAGGCAGCATAGATGGAGATGACAGAAAACACTGTGAGGGTTGCTAGTTCACATGTGCAGCCTTATTGGAGACTCTGCCTCTTGTCATATAGTCACCTGAGCCCTGTTAGCATTGTTTGCTTAATTCTCTCCATCTCTAAGGTGGTTCTGGCCTCTGTTACTGTCTTTAGAATCCCAGTAGAGAAAAGATGGCATGTCAAGATGGATAACATGACAGAATTATTACTTGTATCTTATTTTATTTTTTTGAGATGGGGTTTCGCTCTTGTTGCCCAGGCTAGAGTGCAACGGCATGATCTTGGCTCACCACAACCTCTGCCTCCCAGGTTCAAGCACTTCTCCTGCCTCAGCCTCCCGAGTAGCTAGGATTACAGGCATGTGCCACTACGCCCAGCTAATTTTATATTTTTAGTTAAGATGGAGTTTCCATGTTGGTCAAGGTGGTCTTGAACTCCTGACCTCAGGTGATCCGCCCGCCTCGGCCTCCCAAAGTGCTGAGATTACAGGTGTGAGCCACTGCACCCGGCACTTGTATCTTATTTTCTAATTAGAAAATAATAGTATCATAATTATATAATTATTTTTACTTATAGCCTATTTGTCATTTTAATTTGTCTACAAAGTTTTGTTCTAGTTAGATTTTCACCCTGCATGCTGTGTGGTCAAGTTAATTTGCAATAGAAGATTTACTTATAGTTGTACTTAAGATTTTATAGAGGTGCTTGTACAGATACTTCCTCTTCTTTGTTTTTTTGTCCCATAGATGAAAAAACATTTAAAGCCCTTAAGGAAGAAGGAAATCAATGTGTAAATGACAAAAACTATAAAGACGCCCTCAGTAAATACAGCGAATGCTTAAAGATTAACAATAAGGAATGTGCCATATATACAAACAGGCAAGTTCTTTGTAACTTTATATATTTCTTATGTTAATAGTTTTGATTATTAAAAATATTTTAAGTTATTTTATTAACACAATTAAGTAATTGCCAAAGTTTTTTGTGATGGTTCTAAGAATTTCTATAGCAAGCTGTCCTAACCAAGTGTGTCTGAAAGAGGTGAGGCCGTGGGAGTTCTACAGAGACTGGAAGCCTGAGGTGTGGGCGGGATGGGAGGTCTGACATAGTTTGTGCCACCAGGTTCCCAAAAGCGACCATGGCTGCTTTGGCTTGTGCAACTCTGATTCGGCATTTCCTGGCTTGCCGGCCTCGTTGCAGCTAGCTGGGCCTGGGCATTGTCCAGTGTGGGAGGAGCAGGAATCAATGGCCTTTCAAAATAGTGTCTTGGCTGGGCACGGTGGCTCACGCCCATAATCCCAGCACTTTGGGAGGCCGAGGCGGGTGGATCACGAGGTCAGGAGATCGAGACCATCCTGGCTAACACGGTGAAACCCCGTCTCTACTAAAAATACAAAAAAAAATTAGCCAGGCGCAGCGGCAGGCACCTGTAGTCCCAGCTACTCCGGAGGCTGAGGCAGGAGAATGGCGTGAACCCGGGAGGCAGAGCTTGCAGTGAGCCGAGATAGCACCACTGCAGTCTGGCCTGGGTGAAAGAGCAAGACTCTGTCTCAAAAAAAAAAAAAAATACTGTCTTAGGGAGAATGCCCTTTTCCTTCTGAAGTGCTGCGGGAAGGCACCAGCGTCATTTATAGCGTGCAGCAGGAATGGGCAGATTGTTGCTCAGGTACCGTCTTTACCACGTAGTAAAAGATACCTATATAGAATATGGTGATAGAATATTGGACAAAAGATGTCACTAAATCCAACAGATGTTTTTCTGCCCTTCTGTTCAGCCTCTGTAGGATCGGGCATTATTGGTCACTCAGTTTTCTGTGAAGACTCCTCCTCCTCTTGGCTGCGGAGGAGGAGGCTGGCAGCTCATTGCCTGGTTCTCGTCCTCTCCCTCTCCTTCTGTAGGCTTTTCTTTCCCTAGAATTCTCATAGTTCTGAGGGTCTAGATCCTTTTTCCTTTCTACGTACTCTAGAGGCCATTCCATCCTCTCCCCAGGTCCACTCACCACCTTACAATGATGTCTTCCAAATCTCTGTCTTCTGAGCTCCAGACTGAAGCGCTCCCCATCTCTTCTGCACTCAGGGCTGGATATCATCCCCTACCTCCCTCTTCCAGTCAGCAAGCTCAGATGCTCCTACCTTCTAAATCCCAAATCCATCTTCAGTGTGACCCTTTCTGTCTCCTTGCCACCATCCCCCTGTCATTCCCTTGCTCTGGGCCACTGTCCTCTCCTCCTAAATGTCTGCAGCACCCTTATGGTGTCCTTGCACAGCTTTGTTCCATCATCTCATTCTCCAAGCTGTAGCCAGAGGGACTGTCTAAAACATGGCAAATGTGTCAGCCCCTATTAAAAACCCTTCATCGGACTTCCATTAAGCTCAGTTTATAAAGCTCAACTTCCTTCCATGACTTACAGTGCCCTTCGTGATCTGGCCTGCCTGCTCTTCCAGCCTCATCCCTGCATTCCAGCCATATGGAACTCTTCTTAATTCTTCAGGAACACCATATTCTCTTCCACTGTAGGTGCAGGTCTGTGCACTCGCTGTGTCCTTGGCCTCCACTCCCCGCTACCTCCATCTGAACTTTCTCAACCCAGTGCATTTGCATTGGATAATTCTTAACTTCATACTCTGGATTTCAACTTAAATGTCACTTCTTCCAGGAAGTCTTCCCTGCCTGCTCTGCGCCTTGTCTCAGCCCCACTGAATCTGATGTAGTTCTCAGCTGTGTGCTCCCAGAGTACTTTGCACAGATTTTATTGTGTTTGCTTGTTTTAATGGTCTGTCTCTTCCACTTGATTGCATCCTCCTTGAGGGCTGTGACTGTATTTTGTTTGCGGTTGTATGCCCAGTGCCATAATTGAATCAAATGTTAAGTTTCAATGGAAACCGCAGTGGTATAGCAACAGACATATTGAGCTATTTTCTGATTTTTCTTAGCTGTCTAAAACTTACAGATAGCCAATCTTTACCTTTCATAATACTGAGTTCCATTGCATTATGCCAGAGCTCTCTGTTACTTGAAGCTGTGCCAGTTTGAAGAAGCAAAGCAGGACTGTGATCAGGCACTTCAGCTAGCTGATGGGAACGTGAAAGCCTTCTATAGACGAGCTCTGGCTCATAAAGGACTCAAGGTGAGGAAATCTTCATTTTAATGCATAAACTTCAGCTCTGAACAAATCAAGTGGTTTTCACAAGCATAAATCTCCAGATCTTGGGATGGGATTGAGGTTATTCTTGGATTTAATCCTAGAACTGTACTAACCAGTTCTAAAACCTTGATAGAGGCCTCAGATTTCACCCCTAACCATAATGTGAAACTAGATTGCTTCTAAGATTCCTTCCAGCTCCAAAATAATGATTTATTCTCTAGTTTTCTGAGGAATATTGTTAGTTATAGTAGGTTCATTTTAAGATAGAGGAAGGTTTGGTACTGAATTACCGAAACTAGCAGTAATGCTGCTGGTTCCTCCGGCAAGGATTGCTGTTGGAGGTTGGGTGGGGAAGGCATCAGAATAGAAGATGGGTGACCCAGCGGAAGTTGGGAGAGACACATCGGAGACTTGAAAGCTTATAGTGATCTGGGCCTTAAGCCAGCTGATGGTCAGTGTAAATCTGTAAAATGCCATTCTTCTCTAAGAAAACCATGCCATTAGTTTAGAAGAAAGTGGATATTGTATCATTCCACTTTTCTTCACACAGATTCTTCTGCATGGAAATCCTGAGGAATGAATGTTCATATTTATAGAAAATAACATCACAAGGAAAAACCAGAACATATTGGAAAATAGTACTTCCTGAAATAATTTTTTAAGCTCAATTTTATTAAGGTGTAATACAATGAAGTTCATACATTGTAATTGTGCAGGTCATTGACTTTTGGTATGTGCATATCCTCTTGTAGCCAATATCCCAATCGAGATAAAGAACATTTTCTTCTGAAGGTGGTGTGTGCTAAAAAAAAATAACATTTTCATCTTTCTAGAAAGTTCTCTGTGCCCCTGTACAATAAATCTTCCTCCCTCCACCCCTACCCTCAGGCAGCCATTCATCTGATTTCTATCACTATAGATTAGTTTTGATTGTTTTGGACATTACCATAAATCATATAGAATGGACTCTACTGTTTGGCTTCTTTCAGCATAACCTGAGATTTGTTTATATTGTGTGGGTATCAGGAACTGTTCCTTTTTATCACCGTGTTGTATGAATATATCACAATTTGTGTATATATTCACCAGTTGATGACACTTAGGTTGTTTCCAGTTTGGGGCTGTTAGGAATAAGGCTGCTGTGACATTCTTGTGTACATTTTTAATGGATGGACTTGTTTACAAACTGTACAGCTGGAGGCCAGATGTGACTAGGAGTGGGGATAGAGGGAGATGGTCAGATCCTGAGGGGCTTGGTAGGCCATGCTGAGGAGGCTGGACTTAATTCTGAAGGTGATGGAGCCTCCAGAGCAGGGTAAATGGTGGTGTAATGGATCAGATTTGGGGACCTCATGGAAGGTTGATAAGAGGGGCCCAGGATGAGGAGGAAGGTAAGTGAGAGATCACCAAGGTGAGAAGCAGGTACCTGAAGGAAAGTAATGTCCAAGGAAAGGGAGAAGTATGTTAGCTGCTGTGGCTGCTATAACAAAGCGCCATAGACTGGGTGGCCTGAACAACAGAAATCTATTCTGGAGGTGGGAAGTCTCAGCTTGCGGTGTTAATAGGGGTGGTCTCTTCAGAGGCCTATGTCTCTGGCTTACAGTTGCTGTCCTCTCCCTGGGTCTCCATGTGGCCTTCCCTCTGTGTGTGTGTGCCCAAATCTTCTCTTTTTATAAAGACACAGTCATCTTGGACTAGGTAGGGCCTACTGATTTTAACTTGATTACCTCTTTAAAGGCCCTGTCTCCAAATATGGTTACATTTTGAGGTACTGGAGGTTAGAACTTCAACACAGGACTTTCTGTGGGGACGTAGTTCAGCCCATAACAGAAGGGAAGGGGCCAATTCAAGGGTTTATGGTAAAGTTGACATAGCAGTCAAATGTCTAGGGGAAGTGATGGAGGGGATGCCTCCCAGGTTCTGGCTGGGTGGCTGAGGGTAGTGGTGTGATAATGGGGAGCATTCAGGAGCGGGGCAGTTTGGGAGTGGGGAGAGGATTGTTTTGACTGATTGAGTCTGAGATAGTTGTTTTAATTCCGTGCCCATGACTGAAAGGGAACTATCTAGGTTCTGCAGGGAGAAGAGCAGTCATGTTGCATAATATAGCAAATGAGGACCACCCAGGTGCACTGAATGGCCACCTTTTCCAGATTGTAGATCCACTCTGGCTGCAGTGCAGTCAGCGTGCATGTCCCGCCAGGACCCCCGTGCTGCCCTGTGACCCCCGCCCCATGCTGAGGGAGCCACACAGTGTCCATGTGACCCTAACACATGCCTCCCCGCCGGCCCTCTTTTTTTTTGGTTAGCAACACACTCACTTGTAAAAAAAATTCCTAGATGGTGTATGGCACCACAAATTAAAAGAGACTCCTTTGAAATTTACTCACCTCTTTGAGCTTAGTAGATTTGGTAAATGAGGATCTGTATGGCTCATGAGTTTACAGATGGCCAAACTCTTGGAGCACATTTACCTCTTACTGGCTGCCTGACTTTCTGAACCTGGTGAGCTGACTAAAGGTCAGAAGCTGCACCCTAATGAAAGACTGGACTTTAGTTTGTGTGGGTATCATCATTAATACTTCATTGGACTTTTCTATTTCCTTGGAATGAATTCCAGAAATTATATTATGATGCAGAAAAATAATCCCAAATTTGAGTAATCCTATCCCACTAGATTATGAGGCTGGTAGCTTATAGCTTGATTTGTTGTCCAGTAATTTGAGGTATGTGCCAGGTGAATTTAATTTCAGAATTTTAAAAAATGTTTAAGAGAGACAGGGTCTCACTATGTTGGCCAGGATTGGTGTTAAACCCCTGGCCTCAAGCAATCCTCCCACTTTGGCCTCTCAAAATGCTAGGATTACAGATGTGTGCCACCATGCTTGGCCTAATTTCAGGATCTTCAAAGGCTACAACTGCTTATAGAATGTGTCAGAACTCACGCCCAGGCCTGTTTGCCCAGGGTGACTGCAATGAGGAAGTGGCACAGGGGCTCACGGTGGCAGGTGTCCTGCCTTTAGCTCCCAGCTCAACTCTATGTTTTCCTCAGATCTTCTGTTTGTTTTCTGACTTTGTTATTTTTAATGGTGCCAGCTTTGAAAAATATGAGCTTTCTTTAATGTACAGCTGTTCTTTGTAAGAAAAGATCACTGAACATTTTGCTTTTATTTACAATTTATTTCTCTTATTGAGTGCCAATTATGTGCTAGGTGTTAGGAGTATAGAGGTGAATAAAGACATGGTGCCTACTTAGGGAATTTACACCCAATAGAGGGTGCTGCAAGATCCACCCAAAAGAGGATGCTGTAGAGGATGATACATACAATTGTTATGTATCAATACAAATATCAAAAAGAATATCATAAAATAACTATTGCTTTTATGGTTTCAGCAAAACTATTAATGGTAAATATCACAAACACGTGATTATAATACATCCCTTTTTAAAGGCCTAATGAGGTTAGCAACTTTTAATGCCTTCTTTCTTGTCAAAGCTACATTTTCTGGTTTGTTGTTGTTATTGTTTGTTATTTGTTTATTTTTGAGACAGAGTCTTGCTCTGTCACTCAGGCTGGGGTGCAGTGGCGTGATCTTGGCTCACTGCAACCTCCACCTCCAGAGTTCAAGCAATTCTCCTGCTTCAGCCTCCCGAGTAGCTGGGACTACAGATGTGCACCACCACATCTGGCTAATTTTTGTATGTTTAGTAGAGACGGGGTTTAGCTGTGTTGGTCAGGCTGGTCTCGAACTCTTGGCCTCAGGTGATCCACCCACCTTGGCCTCCCAAAGTGCTGGGACACACTTTCTATGAGCTCTGCTCTTCCCTCTACACTGCATGGCTGGGTTCTCTTCAGGTCTTGACTTCTCTGACACCTGTAACTGTAGAAAAAGGAGGCTCTCTTGTTAGTATCCATCTCAACCTTTAGTTTTCTCCATGACATCAATGACAGTCTGTAATTATCTATTCATTTGTTTACAGGTTTTTAATTGCTTCCCCTCATAGGACGTAAGCTTCCATAAATGTAAAACTTAAGTCTGTCTTTCTTTGTCTTTTCCGTGGTCCTCTTAGCTCCTGGCACATGGACGTGCTCAGAGACCATCTGTGAAGTGAATGAGCCTCGCCCCCTCTTAGCTGCCTCCTTGCCCAATTCTGTCTATGCCCTTGCTGCCATTCTGCCCTCTTCATGCTTGTCTGCAGTGCTAACACTTGTCAACATGCATTTCTTGTTTTCTTATGTCTCTTCCAACCAGTCAGGCTGCTCTTTAGGCAGAGACTTTCCGGATTCATGAAAATGATCCTATTGACTCCTAGGGTGCTGAGCTTCCATTTCCAAGGCTGTGGCTCACAGGTCTCTATTTCCAGTCCTTTCCCTTGAGCTCCATGCCATGTAATCATCCACCTTCTGGTCATTGCTGTTGTGACCATCCCATTCTTCATTTTTAAAATGGGAACAATAGAAGTTAATATTTGTAGGGCTGTTGTGAGGGTAAAGTAATAATTGTAAAATGCTTAGAATGGTAAGAATCAGCCTTTATTACTTCCTCAACTTGCCCTCCTGCTCCACTCCCTTGCCTTTCAGGTATGGCTCCCTGCCTAGAACGCTTAGGATATAAATACAGTGTCATTTTTCCCCCGGTAAGGTTCCAGTGCTGGTCTAGGACAGTGGTATCTGGAGATTTGTTATACTTTGTAAATAATTTACTTTTATAAACTAGAGCAGATTTAAGGTTATCCCTTTAAATATGTCCCTCTTGCTCTGGTGTGTTGCTGTAGGGGAGGGGAAAGGCATGTGGGATTACAGCTAGGCCCCCGGGAATGTCACATAATCACTAGCTCAGCTTATCTGTGCTCAGCCTCTTGTGCATGCTGTTACTGATGTGTCATGAATACTTGAAGAGGTTACACATCCTTGCAATTCTTTGCCTCTTCACAGTTTGGTTTATTCAAAACATGGGTCTAGTCTGTAGTTTAGAACATAGCTTGTCACAGCAGACTGACTTTGGGGCATCTGTCTTTGCTGCTAGATTCAGTGGTCATGTCTTGTTAGGTGCCCTTTCTTTCCCTCAACTTCTTCAGTGTATTGTGTGACTCATGGAAGATTAAATGTTGACTCTAGCCAATTCGAAGAGTAAACAACCTGGAAGGATTTTATGGAACAAAAGTATTATAATAACTACCATTTGCATAGTCCTTTATAGGTTTAAGCCACTTATTATTTGTTCATTTATTTCTTGGTACAGCCTTGTGAAAATTTGAATAGAGCTTTTGTTCCCCTTATGTTAAAGATGAGAAGACTGAAGCCCAGAAAGGTTAAGTAGGATCTTAAGTTTCATTGCTAGTAGGTGCTAATACAAGGATGAGTTCATTCTTTCATTTATTCATTCAGCAAGCAACAAGTGCTTATCATGTGTTAGGGACTGGGAAGGTTGTGGTGATACAGAATTTAACTTGCGTTTTCTAACTCCAGATCCTGTGCTTTTTCTTCTATAGTCGATGTTCACTGTATCATGGGTTATACTATTTCAGCTGCATATTCACCCCACAGGCTCACTTTGTAAGAGTGGTATTAATGTGGACCCTGCACACATACTGCACAGCTCACTACATCCACCCCACTCCCACTCAGGTTACTCTAGGCTCCTTCTATTTATGAAAGTTATTTTCTCTGTCTTCCTACTTACAGAATTATCAGAAAAGCTTAATTGATCTCAATAAAGTTATCCTACTAGATCCAAGTATTATTGAGGCAAAGATGGAACTGGAAGAGGTAACTAGACTCCTTAATCTTAAGGATAAGACAGCACCATTCAACAAAGAAAAGGAGAGAAGGAAAATTGAGATTCAAGAGGTATTTGTATTTGATTATCTTTGAAAGTACTCCTTTGGGGACCTTAGACTGGATTCTAAGGTCATATTCCTGTGAGTTCTAAAACATTTTTAATTTTGTGTTTTTATTCTGATGATCAGTGACAAAATTTTAACCAGCAACAAAATGTCTCCTTTGCAATGATAATTAGCCATTGTATTTCCCAACGTGGGTCCATGGATGGTACTGGGAGTCTCTGCATTACTGCAGTTCTTCCTTTCTTTGGCCTCCATCTGTACTGCTCCCACTCCAGAGTACACTGGGAACCAGCGGCCACTGACTTTGCTCCAGGGTAGACCTGGAGAATCCTGACGGGACTGATTTTGTTACAGGGGCCCTGAAAGCCTCACCTCATAGAGATTATCCAGATTGATTCAGACCTTTTTAGCACTCTGAAATATGACTGCCTCATCAGAGATCTCGAACTACCTCAGGATCAAACTGCTTTTGTGATTCAGATAACTAAAATGTTTTTCTCTGCCTAATATTAGGGAAGAATGTTAGGCTGTGAATCCCTGTACATTCATGAATGCTAATACCCCATTTATAGTCTCACATTTCCACTAAGAGTAAGAGGCTAATATGTAAGAGAAGCTAGGAAGGTTTTTTTTCCTCTTTAAGGAGGGAAGAAAAAACTGTTTTAGGAGAATCGAGCAATGTAAGTTCATTTCTCTGTTAAAATTTATTGTGAAAAGGAGATAAAATTGACATAGGCATTTATACAACAATTGTATAAAGTCTAAAAATTAAATTTTGTTGTCATAGTTTCAATGTCAAATAATTTTTTAAAACTTTTATGAATTGGATCTTACACCCTAAAACTTCTCTTCCTAAAAAAAATTATTACAAAGTTTTCACTTGGAACTGGACTACAGTACAGTCTACTTGTAGTTTTCAATTCTCATTCTGACAGACGTACTTAGGATGTATGTGGTGATTGTGGTTCAGTGTCACAATGCATTTTTCTTTTCTTCATGAAGGTGAATGAAGGCAAGGAGGAGCCTGGAAGACCTGCAGGGGAGGTCTCCATGGGATGCCTTGCTTCTGAGAAGGGAGGCAAAAGCAGCAGGTCACCAGAAGACCCTGAGAAACTTCCGATAGCCAAGCCTAATAATGCCTATGAATTTGGTCAGATTATAAATGCTCTCAGTACCAGGAAGGATAAAGAAGCCTGTGCACATCTTTTAGCCATCACTGCACCAAAAGATTTGCCGATGTTTTTAAGTAACAAACTTGAAGGGGATACATTCCTTCTCCTCATTCAGTCTCTGAAAAATAATCTTATTGAAAAAGATCCCTCATTGGTGTATCAGCATCTTTTATACCTGAGTAAAGCAGAAAGGTTTAAGGTAAGTGGCTAAGTATTTTATTAGTAGAAATTGGTTTTATTAGGGTTTCTGTAACTTAAAAATGTTACTTATGCTAACATAGTTGGTTTTTTGTTTTTTTTTTTTTTTGCTTCTTTTAGATGATGTTGACACTAATTAGCAAGGGCCAAAAGGAGCTAATTGAACAGCTGTTTGAGGACCTTTCGGACACACCAAACAACCATTTTACTTTAGAAGATATACAGGCCCTAAAAAGGCAGTATGAGCTTTAAATCAAGATAATTGTTAGATTTCTTCCATGCATGTATGTGTTCCAGGAATGTTAATGAGATGGTATTGTAAAAGAGTTGCATGGATAAAACTTGGCCTAGAAAAGTTTGGTCTGCACTATAAAACATTTTACTTATTTTCCTACATAGAACATGTATATTCTACAATCTGCTTTTTATTAGTTGTAAATATTTTCTTATGTACCAGAACCAAATAAGTATATTTAGAACTTGTTAAAAATACATTTTAATTTATGATATACATATTATTTTAATTACTTGTTAAAATTTTGAGTTAAGTTGCATTTCTTTGGGCTATGAAGGAGTCCTCTTAAGTTTGATAGAAATGAATTTCTTGTAACATTCTTTTTTAAAAGTGGAAGTCATTAACAGTGATTATTATATCACTTATATCCTGCTAAGATACACATAAATCCCATTTTGTACTAGTACCTGTGGATTACAGTCAGTTAAAATGAAATGCAACACTGAAGTCTATAACATGAAATGATTATTAAATTGTTTATTAATTTAGAGCTATAAGAGGAACTTATTTTTTCTAATACGGAAGCATTGCCTAATAATTAAGAACAAAAATTGCCAAAAATTTCTACCACTTTTTACTAGATTTTAAAAAGCTACTTTCTTTTATATTGCCTATATAAGCAAAAAACCAACCACTGTATTAAAGCAAACTAAGCCTGCATTTATATCTGAATTATTACCTCCATATTTTACCAAACATTTGAATGTCCCCCTTCCCCCTTTTTTGTTTTCTGCTTTTATGACTGTATTTATTCCTTTACTGTAAAAGAATATGAAGAACTCATACATGTTGAAAGCTCCTTTGTTGACTGGGTCAAAGTGAAGGAATTTCAATCTCCATCAGTGTACTGTCATTTATTTCTGCGGTCTGTAGTGCGTTCCCCCTTTCTGGAGCATTTTCTTATTCACTTAGAAGTGAAGATGAAAGTTAGTATCATGTTTACTATTTCCATATTCATTATTATTTTATCTAATCTTTTATAGTTACAGAATATTTTAACTCATCTTGGGTAAATATCTTTCAAACTGTGCCATTTTTCTTTGAAACTGCTTTCTTTGTTCATAAGTGAAAAATCTGTAATGGGACTTTAGTCTTCAAACAAAATTTCTCCTTTTTAATGTTATTGAATTTTTATAAAAGTAAATGGTGGATTGTTAGAAATGTATCCTATGTATGGAGTTTACTTACAGAAATGGGACCACTCTTTTCCTATACATAGCAACTTGAAATTAACTTTAGAGACAAAAGGGAACTTTCTCTTTTGGTGCCTGACACAGTGACATTAATAACTGTAGGTGATTTTGTTGAGCTTTGTGATAGGCACTGTGTGTCATTTATCACACATTGTCTAATTTAATCTTCATAACTCTGCTACAGATGAGGAAACAATGGAACAGAAGGTTGTATAAATTAATGAGGATTTACAAATGTTGCAAGTGGTCTCTCCAGTATCCAAACCTGGGCAGTCTATCTTTTGAGTTCATATACTCTGTGCTGTGTAATGGAAAATATTAAATATGTGAATGGACTAATGGTTCAGGTGCCTATTCCTTAACAGTCACAGATGAGTAAAAGATTAGTGAATGTAAATTGGCAATTTTGGTATTTATAGTGAAAACACAGAGCAAGAGGAATGCCCAGGCCTGCCTGAGAGAGGGTTAGGAAAGGTTTCTCATGGGGCACAGTTCTGCCACAGCTTGAGTATGTCATAGGCAGAGGAAACGAGATGCAAGGGCATCAACGTGCATATTGAAGGTGCAGGTTGAATGAAAGTGTGAAGTCACTTGGCATGTTCAGAGAACTGCGTGAATCTTAATATTACTGGAACATGTGGCTTAAGAGATAGCTGGATAGAACAGAAAATTGCATGCTGCATATAAAATGGCAGAAAATATCAGAATTTTAATTATACTCTGGCATTACTCTTAACTAAGACCTGGTTTTCTTCCCCTTCTGGGCATACACAAGATTGTACTTTTCAGCCTCTTTGTGATTGGTCGGGGCCACGTGACCACTTCTGCCAGTAGGGTTTAGGTAAAAGTGATGTGTCACTTCTGAGCCAAAGTATGCAAGATCTGGCCCCAAACCCTCCCTGATCGTTTCCGTTGCTACAGTGACAAGGCTTCATGTTGCAGTCAGTGCAGTTAAAAGATGACTGGCTCTGTCAGCCTCGTTCTTTGAATGCTGGTTTGAAGCAGGGTTCTGCCAGTCCACATTGGACACAGAATGAACAAGCTTATGCTTTTTTTGTTAAGCCACTGAGATTTTTATTATTTGTAACTATATCCAAACACTTAACCTCTCAGTCTGCTTCTGTATCTCTTCTTTCTTCAGCCTTTAAATCTTTCCTGAGCTTTGACCTGTAAAGCCAACTTCAAACTGTTCACCTCTACACAGATGTCTTACAGATACTGTAACTATACATGCCCTAAATGGAACTCGCTGTTCCCTGAAACTCAGGCTTCACTTATCCCATAGTTCCACAAAAGGTACCAGCATTCACACACTGGCCTAAGAAACCTGGGCTTCTAAACTTTCCTTGCTCTCAGTCCTCACATCTAATATTTCATCCTGGCAGACACTTCATTACACGAACATGGCACACTCACCCAAGACTAACTGCGTTTGCGCAGGATGTCTTACCACATTGTTTTGGTGTTTTTGAGTTTACTTGTCTGATACAAAATATCTGGTTCAGTTCTGTTTCCCATAGTGCTCAGCAAAATGCCTGGCATAATAGATTCAGTAAGTTATTCACTGAATGAATGATGTCTTAGTAATTGTATAATTATATTTGTGGGTACATGTATTACCTAAAGTATTTTAGTGGAATGTCAGCACTTGTTATATCTAATTGGTTTGCTGTAAATTGTGCATCTGGAAGGAGAGAAGTCTCAAAAGTAATTCTATACAGAGTGTGGGTTATTTAATCATCAGAGCTTAACTCATGCCTTAGGGACCTTATGAACAAAGTTTCTAGACAAAAACATCAAAGACAAAATGTTAGAAAAGGAAAGGAAAGAAACTAAAAGCCCTTGAATTAAAACTGTGTGACAATTATTTACTAGATGTAAAAACATCCAAGCAAATCACAGTCACTCTGGGCTTAAATTTGCTTATTTTTAAATGTTAAGTAAATATCATCTGGAATGACAGATTTGTTGCAAAATAACATGAAAATACTTCCTAAATTGCACAGTATATAAGAGACTAATGTCATTACTATTTCTGGCTTGTGGGTAATATGAAAGTTCCCTGTGTGCAGATCTTGAATGCAGGATTCCACACCTCCCATGTCCAGCCTCTTAATATCTGGCCCCTGGAGTTTTTACCACATGCTCCCATGGTCACCCTCAGCCTCCTGATCTTAACTGAAGTAACGGACCATCCCATAGGACTGCTCCAATCAGCTTCCCCTCCTCTTGACTCATCACCAGATCCCCTGCCTCCAACTGTTCTCTCCCTGAAAGTAGTCTTACTCCTCTTTTCTAATGCTGACCCCTGATCTTATTCCTCCCTTTTCTTCTAGGACTTTCCTCTGAGAATAATACCTTCTCTTTCATGTCTGCAATATCTCCCTTTTCATCGCTGCCATCCTGTCAGCCTATAAACCTACGCAGCTATTCTTCACCTAAAGAAAAGTCTCAACCTTTCATCTTTCCCTATACCATTGCTTTCAAAACTGGATAACTTTCTGTTTACAAGACAAAATGAAAAAATCATTCTCCATTTTCCCCACCTCTCACTGATTCCTTTTTTGAAGGAATTTTGGCTTCTGCCTCCCATCACTATTGAATTTAAACTCCTCTCAACAACCTTGATCAAACCCAGCAGCCTTTTTTTTTTTTTTTTTTAAGACGGAGTCTCGTGCTTTGGCCCAGGCTGGAGTGCGGTGGCGCGATCTTGGCTCACTGCAAGCTCCGCCTCCCAGGTTCACGCCATTCTCCTGCCTGAGGAGAATACTCCCGAGTAGCTGGGACTACAGGCACCTGCCACCACCCGGCTAATTTTTTGTATTTTTTAGTAGTGACAGGGTTTCACCATGTTAGCCAAGATGGTCTCGATCTCCTGACCTCGTGATCCACCTGCCTCGGCCTCCCAAAGTGCTGGGATTACAGGCGTGAGCCACCGTGCCCGACCCCAGCAGCCTTTTCTTAGTCATAGAATTGCGTCGCATTGTAGCCTGGAGAGAATTGTTATAGGTCATCTCATCTAAATCCTTTCACTTATATTGAAGCCCAAATAAGAACACACCTAAGGATATTGTGTATTGTGAAACGCCGAGAAACTGTGGCTGGTTTGGCCCTTTTGCTATCTGGGATTTGAGGGAAAAGGTGAAATTTGGAAGGCAAAGAAAGCAAACCTTAAGGACAGCTATGATACTGAGTCTAGACAGGCTATTATATTTCTTTTTTTTCTTTTTTTTTTTTTTTGAGACGGAGTCTCGCTCCGTCACCCATGCTGGAGTGCAGTGGCACTATCTCGGCTCACTGCAAACTCCGCCTCCCGGGTTCTCGCCATTCTCCTGCCTCAGCCTCCCGCCTGGGTAGCTGGGACTACAGGCGCCCGCCACTACACCCGGCTAGTTTTTTGTATTTTTAGTAGAGACGGGGTTTCACCGTGTTAGCCAGGATGGTCTCGATCTCCTGACCTCGTAATCCACCCGCCTCGGCCTCCCAAAGTGCTGGGATTACAGGCGTGAGCCACCGCACCCAGCGCTATTATATTTCTTAATTGCTCAGACTGAGCCATAATCTAATCTAGGCAAATTCAGAGAGTGCCTCCTTCATGAGCAAGATCTTAAAATGAAAAGGCCTCTACAAGTCGAGACTGCAAAGTGATGGATATATTGAGAATTTGATATTTGTCAGGAAAGCTTCAAAGACATGGAGCTTCTAAGCTTAATCTTTTCATTTCCACTTCTTATGCATCTTAGTGAAAACTCCCTTTATCCTACCAAGTGGTGGTGCCTATTAGTAGTATACTGTTCGCTAGAGGCCTCCCAGGAAGTAGTTCAGAAGGCTTGATTTCTATGTTATGTGCAGAGATGAAGCATGAGTTATGGCACAGCATGTTGTTAAAGTGATTTCAAATATATTTTCTTATAGTTACTTTCCTAACACATGGGTTTTGCTCTCTAGGAAGAGAATGGAGCAAAGTGTGTAGCTGGAATTTGTTTTACTTTCCTATTAGCCTGTAGGTACCACTCAGACCAAAAGGACTCCCTAAAAACTGATGTGCAAGTCACAGAATTCTCCTGCCTGACCTCTATCAAGGGATGTCTGTAAGGAGAAATCTATCTCTAAAGTACTATGAATTTTGTCACGTTTATAGGTTTTTTGCTTGTTTTTAGAGACAGGGTCTCAGCTCTGTTGCCCAGGTTGGAGTGCAGTGACATAATCATGGCTCACTGCAGCCTCAACCTCCTGGACTCAAGCAGTCCTTCTGCCTCATCCTCCTGAATAGCTGGGTCTACGGGCATACACCACCATGCCCGGCTATTTTTTTTTTTTTTAAAGTAGAAACAGGGTCTCATTATGTTACCCAGGTTGGTCTCAAACTCCTGGCCTCAAGCGATCCTCCTGCTTCAGCCTCCCCAAGTGCTGGGATTACAGGCATGAGCCACCGCACCCAGCCGAGTTTATAGGTTTTGATGCCTTTTGCCAAAAATCAAAGAGGTGGCTGAAAGTCAATTGATATCAGAAGAATCAATGAAAAGCAAGAGACTCAGCAGCTCTCCTTTTCCTCTGGGAAACTGCTTAAGAGCACAGAATTTGGCATCAGATACACCTGCAATCAAATCCCAGCTCTACTTAGGAGCTGTATAACCTTGCAGTCTTTGGGTTCCTCGTCTGCAAAATGGAGTATCTTCCTACCATTTGGGGTTGCTGGTTTATGTGGTTCATGTAAAATGCCTTTTATTTGATAAGCACCTTATCTTTCCTTCCATGTGTATAACTGCTTTCTTCTTTTAAGTATAATATCATCTATGTGTTAGAAAAATGTAAGAAACCTCTTTTCAAATAGTGTGGACACCTTAATAGTTATTTACTGGAGCAGAGGCACACATTAAGATCCCTCCAATAGAAGTATTAATATAGACAGAAGCAGCTAGTCTTGGACCTCTGGTGTCATCTCCTGGAAATTAGTCATGGTACAACAGCCAAGAGGTTACCCCACAACTTGAGCTACAGAGAATGTTTGCAATAGCATCTTTATTTTCCAATCTGTCATTGTTTTGAGAATGAACCAATATGCAAACAGTTGTACGTCCAGAGTCTGGTATAGGCTAATGGATGCTTAGTAAAGTTTGCTGAATGAATGAATCCAGAGGACATTGCCCCATTGGTGTTCTTGTCTCCAGAGTTCAGATTAGGAAGTTCCTATTACAGAAATGTTTACAATGACACTCTAAATATTTCTCAAACAGTTGTTCTTGAAATGTTTGCACAGAGTCACTTGAGAATCTTACAGTCTAGGGGGTTGGAAATCTAAAAATCTCTCATGATGCTTAGGGAAGTTAGAATTTATGATCTACAGCATAGAAGCTGAGGATGCAATAATTAACATCTGAATTGCATAAGCATTGCCAGTGAATGACACTATTTATGATGCTCTTAGTAAGTATTGTGGGGGATAAACTTTTTAAAAGATAGCCCCTGCTTTTAATGAGCTCATACTTCATTTGCAAAAAAAACTGTCAATAACACCAAGTGCAAGAGACTCTCCTAGGAGAAAACAGCATCAATGAAATGTTCAAGTGTTAAAGGTATTAAAAGGGCCAAATAGGTTACTCAAGAACATTTCAGGAAGAGGTAAAACCTAAGCCATGTTTTGAAATAGACTCAGGTCAATGAGAAGGGAGAGCTCAGTGTGACTGGATTACTTTACTGTAGAATTTCCAGTACCACATTGCAGGAGGAAGGAACTTGGTAAGAAAAATTCTGCCACTGCAGGTATGCTTCACAGTGCAGGAAAGAGCAGACAGGAGACTTACGAAGCAACCTGAATTAATATTCTGTTTTTAATAGTGACCCAAGTTCGAAAATAGCCTAAAATTTAATCTTACTACCTGCCGTTAGATCTCTTTTGTATCAGTTTCCCATCTGTAAAATAGGACCAATTTATTTTTATTTTTAAAAAGGAGGTCAGAGTGTCCCTTTTGTATCAGCTGTTTTTTGTTCTTTTTTGTTGTGTTTGAGATGCAGTCCTGCTCTGTCACCCAGGCTGAAGTGCAGTGGCACGATCTCGGCTCACTGGAACCTCTGCCTCCCAGGTTAAAATAATTCTCCTGCCTCAGCCTCCCAAGTGTCTGGGATTACAGGTGTGCACCACTTCGCCCAGCTAATTTTTATATTTTTAGTAGAGATGGAGTTTCATCATGTTGCACAGGCTGGTCTTGAACTCCTGACCTCAAGTGATCCATCTGCCTCAGCCTCCCAAACTGCTGTGCTGGAATTACAGGCATGAGCCACTGCGCCCGGCAAAATAAGGCCAATTATTTTCTGTAATTAAGCAGCGGATTGGGATGACTATTTCAATAAACATAACTTTGATCCTAATTCATACTTGTGCTAAAACAAGGGCAAAGATTTTGTTAGGGTGGCTACAATAAAAAAAAAAAGGTGGACAATAACAAGTATTGGTGAGGATGTGGAGAAATTAAAAACTGCATACATTGCTGATGGGAATGTAAAATGGTGCAGCTGCTTTGGAAAAGTTTGGCAGTCCCTCAAAAACTTAAACAGAGTTGCCATTTTGATCCAATAATTCTGCAACCCCTATTACTGAAAGTAGAAAACATATGTTCACACAAAAACTTGTACACAAATGTTCACAGCAGTTCTACTCATAATAGCCAAAAAGTGGAAGCCACCCAAATGTCCATCAACTAACTAATGAATAGATTTTTTTTAATAAGGACAGAGTTTCGCCATGCTGGCCAGGCTGATCTTGAATTCCTGACAGATGATCTGCCTGCCTCGGCCTCCCAAAGTGCTGGGATTACAGGCGTGAGCCACCACACCTGGCCTCTATAGGCTTTTCTGTATAGGCTTTCTATAGGCTGAGGCAGGAGAACTGCTTGAACCCGGGAGGCGGAAGTTGCAGTGATCTGAGATCAAGCCACTGCACTCCAGCCTGGGCGACAGAGCAAGGCTCCGACTTAAAAAAAAAAAAAAAAAAGTCTATAGAATCTACAAAAAAACTACTAAAATTAATATGATTTACAAGGTCATAGGATTCAAGATCAATATACAAAAATCTATTGTATTTCTATATACTAGTAATGAATGTAATCATAAATTGATCTCTTTAAGAGATCTGTACACTGAAAACTACAAAGCATTTCTGAATATTATTCAGCCATAAAAAAGAATGAGGTAGTGATACATGCTATCCCTTGGATGAACTTTGAAAGTAGTAAGTGAAAGAAGTGGGACACAAAAGGCCACATTTTATTATTCCATTTATGTGAAATGTCTGGAATGGACAAAGCCATAGAGAGAGTAAATTAGTAGATGCCAGGGACTGAGAGGAAGGGGAAGTGGGAACTGACTACTAATGGGTAAAGGGTTCTTTCTGGGGTGATGAAAATGTTCTGGAGTCAGATATTAGTAACAGTTGTACGACCTTGTAAAAACACTGAATCGTACACTTTAAAATGTGAATTATGCGAACTGCATCTCAATTGTGAAAAATGAAGTGGGGTGGGGGGAAGCAAATCACCCAAGGTAGTGAATAACTTAGAGGCAAACTCTGGGGTTTTCCAATCAATCCTGATAAGGCCACCTACTTGAGTTTTTCAAGAACCTGCCAGGAGGAATAAAAACTGAGGAAGACTGAAAGACTACCTCCACCCCATGACTGGAAACAAAGTAAAGATGTCCTCTTACCCTTCCTATTTAACATTGTACTGGAGGTTGAAACCAGTGCAATAAGGGGTTAAAATGTTATAAAAGGCATCCAGATTGGAAAAGAAGAAGTAACCTTTCTTTATTTGCAGACACAATTATCTATGTAGAAAAGCCAATAGAGGCTGGGTACGGTGGCTCAAACCTGTAATCCCAGCACTTTGGGTGGCCGAGGCAGGCGGATCATCTGAGGTCAGGAATTCAAGATCAGCCTGGCCAACATGGTGAAACTCTGTCTTTATTTAAAAAGAAAACAAACAAACAAAAAAACCCCACAAAAATCAGCTAGGTGTGGTGGTGCACACCTGTAATCCTAGCTACTCTGGAGGCTAAGGCAGGAGAACTGCTTGAACCCAGGAGGCGGAAGTTGCAGTGATCTGAGATCAAGCCACTGCACTGCAGCCTGGGCGACAGAGCGAGGCTCCGACTTAAAAAAGAAAAAAAAGTCTATAGAATCTACAAAAAAACTACTAAAATTAATGTGATTTACAAGGTCGTAGGATTCAAGATCAATATACAAAAATCTAATTTCTATATACTCGTAATGAATGTAATCATAAATTGATATTTTTAAGAGATCTGTACACTGAAAACTACAAAGCATTGTTGAAATTAAAAAACTAAAAGATAGATATACTGTATTCATGAATAGGAAGACTTGATATTGTTAAGATGCCAGTTTTCCTCATATTGATAAATAGGTATCAGTGGTGATTCAGTCAAAATCCCAGCAGACTTTTTGGTAGAAATCTAGAAATGGATTCTAGTGTAAACACAGTATTCAAATCACTGGGAAATTTGGAAAGATTATTTTAAAAATAGTGCCATCACAAATGGCTTTCTATCTGGAAGAAAGTAAAACTGGACCTTTATATTACACTAAATGCTAAGATAAATTGAAGATAGATTTTATAAAATATGAAAAATTTAAAATCTCACTACAAACTACCAAAAGAGACTACAAGTACAATTTAGAAAGAGAGGAGAGCTTAATCATGACCAGAAGGTCTAAAATATTACAATTAAAGACACACAACAGGTTTCATATTGCAGAAAAAAAATGTAAAGAGTATGTGGAAATGCTGAAATATCTGCAACTTTTCTGTAAATCTAAAAATATTCAAAAATTAAAAGTTTACTTAAGGATAAAATAGAATGCACACACAATGCTAATAAAAGTCGAATGACATATTTGGAGAAAAATACAAGAGTCAAACTATTAACAGCTATAGTATAAAAAATATATTTATTTTCATTTTTTTAAATTTATTTTTCTGAGACAGAGTCTTGCTCTGTTGCCCAGGCTGGAGTGCAGTGGCGTGATCTCAGCTCACTGTAACCTCTGCCTCCCGGGTTCAAGCTATTCTCCTGCCTCAGCCTCTCAAGTAGCTGGGATTATAGGTGTGAGCCACCGCACCCGGCCCTATTTTCATTTTTATTTATTAACAGAGATGGGGTTTTGCTATGTTGCCCAGGCTAGTCTTGAACTCCTGGCCTCAAGCAATCCTCCTGCCTCAGCCTCCCAAAGTGAGCCACTACACCTGGCCAAAATACCTTTCAAACTGACAAGAAAACAATAAAAAAAAAAAAATAGGCAAAGGATATAAGAGCCAATTTAGAGAACACCAAACTCAAATACCATCTTCCAGCCCCTAGGCCAAAAAAAAAAAACAAAAAAAAACAAAAAAAAAAACACAAAAAGATGTACACATTTACTAGCCAGGAAAATGTAACATTAGATAATAGATAATACTTTACACCAAACAGTTTAAAAGTTTGTAAAGCTCTAATACCTATTGTTAGTAGAATGCAGGGAAAAGGGAACTCATGTATTGTTAGCAAATTGTAAATTGTGACAGCCTTTTTTGGGAGACAATCTGGTAAACCTTTTAAAAATTCAATAGACATGGACTTTAACCTAGCCATTTGATTTCCTTGAATTTATCTCCCATACTTAGAAGTACCAGAATATAAGGACGTAATTATTAGAATTTTTTTGCAGTGTTTTGTATTGAGGAAAGAAACAACAAATAACAAAGTGAATGCTCATCAATATGAGAATGTCTGAATAACTGCAGCACATCTATACTACAGAATTCTTATGCAGCCATTAAAAAGAATGCGTTGGAGTTATACAGTTGACTTGGACAGATTTCCCAAAGATATTACTGAGAAAAAATCAAGAAAATTAATGTATATATGCATTGTGTGTGACTATGAACATGGAGAAAACTGGCATCACACACATTTTGTCATTTGCACTGGTTATGGGGGAAGATAATGAGGGAAGGAGGCAGAGAAGAGAAGGGGAGAACAAAACACAAAAAGAAGGCAAGGAAAAAAGGATGGGGAAATAATTTGTGCACATTTTAATTAAGCTTTCAATAGAAAGTCTCTAGAACATCAGTTCATGATACCTCTAAGGCAACTGTGATTTCCTTATCTAGTTGAAAGTATTACATTTTCTTTAAACAAGCAAAAAAGCAACAAAAAGCCCCCAAAAGCAAAATTAAAATGCCTTGGCTATATTAACCCTGAAAATTAGGTCCAATGGCTGTCATACATGATAGAATATTTGTAAACTAATGTATTTGGTATAAAACCTTGTTAAAAGTTAACTGTCTTTTCAGCCACTGTATTGCTTCAAACAACTTATTTTACTGTACAATATTATGAAGTGACTGGTTATCAACTCTGAATTGAGTCCAGAAACATCCTCATTCCCTTTGCTCAGTTGTTCTTCTGTCCCATCAGAATTTCCTCTTCATATATATAAATACTATAAGTATAGGAAAAATAAAAGGAAAGACAAGGTCCCTGCCCTCATGAGACTAGAGTTCCTTTAAGATTTGTTCTCCTAATATCTTGAATACAGAATTAAGAATCTGGAGGTATTAATACCTGGAACACATGGTGTTATGTATGTCTATATTTTACCTCCATGCAGGACAAAAAGTGACAGAAATATGTGATCCAACGCTATTTAGGCAAAAGGCTGGAAAGAAAAAAAAAAAAAAAAGCAAAAGCAAGACTATCTTGTCACCAGCCAGCCCACACATTCTAGAATTAGTCAACTCTTATAGAGCAAAGAGACTGCCTTATCTTACTGCTCATATAGATGAAAATGAGCTGCTTACTAACCCTGAAAACCTGGCTCTCTCTTGTACTAAAAAACAATTCAAGTGCAGACAGCCTTAATAGCAATTTCTACCAAACATTCAAGGAAGACATCATTCCAATCTTACATACTCTGATCACTGAAGTTTGCCCCAGGTTAACATTTGAAGAATCAAATTCACTACATTAACATGTTAATCACAATTATATGGCAGATGCTCCCCCCACCAAATAAGCAGCCAATAAAATTCAACGTATTTTCAAAGGTAAAAACTCTTGGCAAACTAGGAGTTAGAAGATAATTTACAAAATTCAATAAAGGATATCCTATAAATATATCTGTGGCAAATAATAGCTGAAATGATGAAAGGTTTCCCTTTGAGGTTATCAACAAATCAACAATGCCCCCTATAACCACCGCTATTCAGAAGTATACACTAGAAGTCCCAGCCAGTGCAAAAGGCCAGAAAAATAAATAAATGATGCAATGATCTAAGAGAAAAAAACCAAAACAATGGGAATCCCACCTCTACCACTTAGCAGCTGTGCAACTCCAGGCAAATTACTTAATATCTCTGTGCCTCAGTTACCCCCATCTGTAATGAAGATAGTAATACCTCCTTCACAGAGTTGTTCTGAGGAATAAGTATTTTATTTTGAACCAACTCTAATGATAATTAAGACTTTAGTATATAATTTGATATACAATTACCTTTTGCATCTTTCTAAATTATATGACCCCTATTCACTGTTCAAGGTAAACCTAATATTACTTTTTAATTTAACTTTAAAGTTCAGGGGTACATGTGCAGGTTTGTTATATAAGTAAACTTGATAAGTTATATTTTTCTTTTATTGTTTGCTTTTCCATAAGTTACTATTTTAAAAGTGCTCGGAAAGTATTTCACACTTCAAAGCACTGTAAAAGTGTTTAATACAAACATTCACAAGTGATAATTGTACAGTGATATCCCAAAGAATCTGGAGATAAACCATTGGAATTAAAAGAGTAAGATTCACCAGATACAAAATTGTTAATACAAAATCAATGGCATTTCTCTATACTATTAGTTACAAACAGAAAATGAGGCTGGGCGTGGTGACTTATGCCTGTAATCCCAGCACTTTGGGAGGCCGAAGCAGGTGGATCACTGGAGGTCAGGAGTTTGAGACCAGCCTGGCTAACATAACGAAACCCCTTCTCTACTAAAAATACAAGAAATTAGCTGGGCGTGGTGGTGGGACACCTGTAATCCCAGCTACTCAGGAGGCTGAGGCAGGAGAAACACTTGAACCCAGGAGGCAGAGGTTGCAGTGAGCTGAGATCGCACCACTGCACTCCAGTCTGGGCAACAAGAATGAAACTCTTTCTCAAAAAGAAAGAAAGAAAATGACATTTTAAAAATATACATTATAGGATAAAAAATATCAAGTACCTGGGAATGAAATTTAACAAAAGATGTAAAAGAATTCTATGGGGATAATTATAGATTCAATGTAATCCCAATCAAAATTAGTGAAACACAACAAGGTTATTCTAATATGTTTATGGAAATATAAAGTGCCAAGGACAGTCAAGACACCATCCAAGGAAAAAACAGTGGCAGACTTGCCCTATTAGATAGCAAATTCAGATTCCAAGACTGATGTCTAAATTGTCCACTAACTCACCTTGGAGATGTTTCTGAAAATGCTCATTCACCAGGTATGTTTTTACATGGTTCCTTCATTTCCTTTAGATCTTGGGACAAATGTCTTCTAGAGACTTTTCCTGTTCTGCCCTGTATAAAACAGTACTGCTTCCCCAAAATCCCAGTCACTCTTATTGTGCCCACCTCTAATTTTTCATAGCAATCATCATCTGGTTATTTTACATCTCGTTCCATTATTTTAAGCTACATGCATATGTTTATTATTTTTGTATCCTCCAAATTCTAATACAAGCCCTCTGAAGCCAGGGTGTTTGTTTATTTGGTACTATGCTGTATTTCCAGCATCTACTTTGTTGAACGAATAAATTGGTAGAAGTCACAAAAATTCTGACTAGCATATGATGTACAGTGATCCAATCTGAACTAAATTTTAAAACTGCAAACTTTTTCATATCCAGCTATTAAATAATAGCCACCCTAAATAACATAACTCTCCCCAAGTTTAGAATACTATTTTTGGCATTCAAAAATCAACCAGTATGTAAACACTGGCTGTTAAGCAATGATATCTCATGCTCTAGTGAAGGAAATAAATGAAACAACAAATCCATTAAAAGGAACCATATGAAATGCAGCCTTGAGAAAAGAATTTTTTTCCTTAGATCCAAGTACAGACTAGAATCTGTAAGAAGCGTGATGACTGTGAATGGAAAGGCAAAACAATCTATGGAGCAGGAGTTTCTTTTGCTCATGTCATGTAGCAATTAATAGCTCCGATAGTTTTCAACACATACTTTATCCTTTGGTGATTTGTCTATATGTTTACCTAAATAACAGGCTAGGGAAAGTCTTACATGTTTACAAATTAACACAATTTCCAGGAAAAATAAGTTAGGAGTGGTGGATTATGTGCATTTAATATAAAAAGCTAACTAATTAAGTGCTCTGAAGCTGGGAATTTGTACAATGAAGTGAATCTACCAGTTAAATTGGTGGTCTACATAATCAACAGTAGGATATACTATTATAATCTTTGTATTTCTTTTCTCTCATTACCAGATGATTTTTCCAACAGGCTTTAAAGTACAAAGAGTTTTAACAAGATTTCAGTGAGTTAAGGTTTATTTTGAATACCCTGGAGGTATCTCTTGTTCAAGGCTAGCCCAGAGTTGAGTTCCAGGGAAAACTGGCTTGGTCCTAAATTAATCCAACTTTGAAGGATACAGGAGACAAGGAATTTCTGAAGCTAGTTGAAAGGTCCAGGAGACAAGGAATTTTTGAAGCTAGTTTTAAGGTGAGACTGAAGTGGTACTGGTTGGGAGTATCACCAGAAGTAGGTGTAGGGTGAATGAATGCACCAGCCTCCTATAGGGCACTATTTTTGCTGTATTCCTCTGAAGATCATTTAGCTTTCCATTTCATCTTTAGCCTTTTAAAGAAATGTCAACAAGGCAGTCAACATATTCATAAGATTATTTTGGCCGAGCATGGTGGTTCACGCCAGTAATCCCAGGACTTTGGGAGGCCGAGGTGGGTGGATCACTTGAGCTCAGGAGTTTGTGACCACCCTGGGCAACATGGCGAAACCTCGTCTCTACTAAAACACACAAAAAAATTAGCCGGGCGTGGTGATGTTTGCCTGTAATCCCAGCTACTTGGGAGGCTGAGGCACGAGAACTGCTTGAGCCCAGGAGGCGGAGGTTGCAGTGAGCTGAGATCGCACCACTGCACTCGAGGCTTGGGCTACAAAGTGAGACTCCATCTCAAAAAAAAAAAAAGATTATTTTCATGAAGCATTAACTATATACCAGGGAAACAGAAAAACCATCTATGCATTTTACAGAAGCTACAAGAATAGAAAGCATCTGATTACAATTAGCTTGAATTTAAATGGCTCATTTCATAATCTAATGTTGCTAGAATAGAATCTCTTAAAATAGTCTTTTAAGATCTTTTTACTTTTTTCCCCTTTTCCCAAGTTAGCTGATCTTTCCACTTTTCTGAGGATTTATAATACTGATTTCTCTTCACAATTTAATGATACATATATTTACTCAAGTTAAATTCAACCAATTTACTCAAAAAAATTATGTTGATGTATACAGTATCTTTTTTTCTGGTGGAAAGGCAGGAATTAGACAGGAAAAAAGGGTAGTTTCTAACACTGTTGAAAAGTTCAGCAAATGCTTCCCCTTGAGCTGAGACCAGAAGGCAGAATAATCACAATGGCTTGCAATATTTATGAATACTACCACATGGCCAATGAATATTCTCATTCTTATTAAAAAAAAACACTTGTGTACACACCAGAAGGCAGCAGTACATTAGTATTTACATTTATTTAACGTATGCAGTTTACACACTCATTATTAAACAAAATTGGAATGCAAACAAATATACAAATACCATAAGCATTATCAAATAAAATAACTGGCACTAGTGTTATAAGCATATTAATGGACCTGGTAGGGAAAAGTGATGGAAGAAGACTGCAGCCCATGGCATTTTTCTTTTTACCAAAAGAAAACGCTCAGTAGCACCATAATGGTAATACTTAAAAGAAATACATAAGATAGAACATTTTAACTGCTATCATTGAGGTTAACCTGCTTTTATTTAAGTGAATTATACAGGAAATTAACAGTACAGGCAGTATTTTGGCCAACTTCTGCTTATGTCAGCTGAACATTGTCCATAAACAAAAGCAAAAGAAAATAATGCTAATCATACATGGACCTTTTGTACTTGGTACAAGTTCTGCACCGTGCTTTGATTTCATGGTTGGAGAAGATATGCATGTGTTAAAAACTGAGGTTATGTAAAGTTATTCACTAAAGCCTGAGTGTGTCTTTGGTAGGCTAATACTTTTTCAGCATTATTAATCACATTCATGTTTATCTATTTCCTGTATTTTTATATATAATCCAAGGTGACCAGAGAAGACATGGAAAACAACACAGCAAAATCCTCAAATAACTAGGCCATTAAAACCCAGTCGATCCCAAAGGCACCAAGAATCAATGGGGTACAAACTTCCCCTTAGAGAAAGGTGGATTTTTTGTAATACTTATAACCTAATGGGACTTTATTTTGTAGTTTTATGTATCTTATTTGTTGCTGTCATATGCTTAATTACTTACCTTTACATTTTTTCCTCTAAGATGGCATCAACAATAAACAAGATAGAGTACCAGGTATTTCTATTTCAAAGTTGTGCAAAAACTGCCACAATCTTGCTCAAAGTGTCTAAGTATCCAAATGGTAGCAAATGAGCTGCATTAAGCTTTATATAACCACATTGCATATGAAGAAAAAAAATGAAATTTATGCCGATATAAATAGAAATGTTACAGAGTATCATATACTGAGAGTAACCTATGCAGTTCTTTTAAACTTATCTCTTTAGTGGTTTCAATAAAATATCACTAACCACTTATCCCTAAAGCCTCAAGTTTTCTTCATTTGAATGCTGTAGAATTGCATTAGTATTTTATATTGATTATATAAATTAAGACCAATTTCTATCTAAGTATGTGCTTCAAGCAATGTTTTGTGGCAAACACACAAAACATGCTTTGCTCTTCAAATTTATTATCCTTAAAATAATGCACTTTTAAAGCCTTCACTTCATAGTTTGGTAACTAAGATCCACATGACACACAATGCCTTGCTGAACACAGAAAATGTATCTGCATTATGATAATGAAACCCGGCTTTTGCTGGTAACCTGAAACTTAAGTAGTCACATGTAGTTCAACCAGCTCCAAACACGGTTGTACAGTGGTAATTATTCTGCAGCATTTATGGGCCTAAATTTCAGTCTGAATTGCAACTTTTAATTCCATTGTCTGATGTGAGTGGTTGTTATTTGTTTCTTTTAGTGCATCGCCAAAATATAAATCAACATTAGGTTTTATTCCATTGTTACCATGTTCTTCAGCAATATGATTCAACTGTGAAACTTCTGAACAGGAAGCAGTTTGGGTAACCACAGAAATGCTACACTGATGTGGGGAATTTTCCAGACGGTCATTTTCTACCTCAGGAAGAATGTTAACAGTAGCAAAGCGGGTGTGATAATCACTGGAACCATGACTACAAGAAGTTTTCATGCTTTCTAGGTCAGAACAACTAAATTCAGAAAAATGACTAGAGTGAGAATCTGCTACAGAAGGCATACTGTCACTGAGGGATGGAGCCTCAAATTCACTTGAGTTCGTGCTTTGTTGTTCTAACAACTGTGCATCCATGTCCTCTCTCGTCTCATTTATCTTCATGTTACCCTTTTTCCTCAGTTTACCACTTTTTGATTTTTTCCCTGCTGTTGCTTCTTTGGACCACTTGGTGGCACTAGATTTACCTTCAGGCAAGCCACTGGATGAACCGCCAGCATGACTTCGGGTGGCACTGCCATCATCCACACTACTGCTTCCACTGTTGTGCCTGAATTTGGATGGCTTTGACTCAATATCTACTTGCACCTCCATACTGTTGCCTTCTCTGAAATATAAGAGTAACAAATACAAACATAATTGCTGACTTCTTTTTGTTCAGATGACTGGGGGAAGGGTTTCTATGTGGAAAATTCAGACTATATATAAGCTATGAGAACACCTTAACGCAGAACACGTTCTACTTAAAAAACATACTTGATATAACAGAACTCTTTATAATGCTTCAATGTTTTAAAATAGTGGTGGACACATTTATTGCTTATGCTGTTCTAGACACTATGCTACCTTTTTTTAAAGAACAGCTTTATTCAGATACAATTCCCCTGTTTAAAGTGTACAATTCAGTGATTTTTAGTTGTGATCAGAGCTGTGCAACCATCACCACTACCTAACTTCAGAACATTTTCATGATCCCAAAAAGGGATCTTGCATCCATTAGCAGTTAGTTACCATTCTTCCCTTTCCCAGCCCTTGACAACCACAAATCCACTTTATGATCTATACAGATTTGCCTACTCTGGACAGCTCACTGTTTCCTTTTCTCAGAGAACTTAATAGTTGGTAGCCACTTTTCACTGGTAATTTGTCTAATGATAGGAATTATTCCTTTAATTTAAAAAATACTTTCAATTTTTTAACAGTTTTTTCCTTACTTGTCCAATGGGATGTAGGAATTCAGAATGGATCCTGCCATTGCTTTGGTGCTGGCATTATCACTAACTGTTCCCAAGCTGACTGTGCCAGATTCTCCACTTAGACTGTACCGTTCTTTCTGTACATCTGCTTGTACTTCCAACCTTAAAGGGGGGTATGAAATCACCAAAATTATATTTAATATCAGCACTACTGTAATATGTATCTTTAAATAATTCAGTTAAGAACCCTAGTAACCAGAAGCTATTTTAGGAACCATTATTTTTTATTTCCTTTTATTTAATTTAAATTCTACTGCAGCACACTGCATAGTACCAGCCATCCAAATAAAATGGGGAACATCAGCTGTCTGCCAAGTAAAGTGGTAATGAAATAACACAAAAAAGACACAAAGGATTTTCACTTAAATGTACTCCATTATTCTCACTCAGCATATGGCACTTTGTAATGTTTCAATGCAAAACACAAAGTTAGAATACATTATTAATCATTAAACATGACACACCAATGAATCCAAAAATCCTGGGCATCTATATTAAAAAATGACTCTATAAATAACACCTGCCTTTTAATACTTTATTTATTTATATATATTTTTAGAGACAGGGTCTCGTTATGTTGCCCAGGCTGGTCTCAAATTCCTGGCCTCAAGCTATCCTCCCAACCTGGCCTCCCAAAGTGCTGGGATTATAGGTATGAGCCACTGAGCCCAACCAACATTTGCCTTTTTAAAAAGAGGTAGTATATACCACTATAACTTAAGAGTTTGTATTTAAAAGGCAAACTACCTAAAAATAAGATGTCTAATTTATCTTTTAATTCATGTATTCTCCCCTACACTTAAAAAAAGCAAGGCTAATAAGCCTAAGTGAAAAATAGTGAATTAAAGAGAAACAGGGGAAGATAATTTTTCCTACTTATCTATATGGCTATTGATAAAAGACTTGGTGAGAACAAAGTAAGCAAGCATTAATACATAAAAGGACCCTAGCCGATTATCCCGGTCCCAGTTCACACATTCCTGGATGTCCTGACTCCACCTGTTTCCCAGGACTCAGCCAAAGTCCCATCTCCTAATATCTGGCTGTTGTTACCCACAGAGGTAAGATCTAGGCTTAAGTACTGCCTTTGCTTCAATGTCTACTGAAGCAGCTGTAGCAACGATTTATAATATAAAATGTGACAAGGACAGTGAAAAAATTGGCAGAATGTTATTCCTTAGACTTAGAAATCTACCACCAAATTTTTCTTTTTTTTTTTGAGACAGGGTCTCACTGTCACTCAGGTTGGAGCTCAGTGGTGTGATCTTGGCTGACTGCAGCCTCCAACTCCCAGGCTCAAGTGATCCTCCTACCTCAGCCTCCCGACCAGCTGGGACTACAGGTGCATGCCACCAAATCCGGCTAATTTTTTATATTTTTTTAGTAGAGATGGGGTTTCGCCATGTTGCCCAGGCTGGTCTCGAACTCCTGAGCTCAGGCAATCCACCTGCTTTGGCTTCCCAACATGCTGGGATTACAGGCGTGAGCCACTGCACCTGGCCCCAAATTTCATTTTTAACATTACTATTTTGAACCTTGACATAGTAGGGTTATATATAATCATCATGCTTTATGTTCAAAATTCTCACCTAATTAATAATTTGTAGTTACCAGAAAGCAGAACCAAACCAAACCAAAACACACACCTGTTAAAACAGTTTACCATGGCACTTCCTGACAGACTCCCCGTTATACTGGCTCCAGCTAGTGCCATGGTGCTGGCCGTTTCACTCAGGTTGTCTCGGATGGCTCCTATTCGATCCATGTGGCTTCCACTTGCACTCAAACTGCCAGTCAGCCCACCAACACTTCCCTCCCCTATGCTTGGGTTGTGTCTTGCTTCTGCTACTGATGTTGTGTCTAAATGCAAATATTCCAAAGAAACTAAGTAAGTATGATTATCAATTTTCTCCTTCTTAAATTCCTCCATGATTTCAGAGAGGACATTATATAAGGTATAAAATATACGCAGACATGGAAAAATATTTTTTTCAGGCTAGTCCACTAGAAGCAGTGGGAATAGAGCCAACAATTTTAAATGGTCACTAGTTTCTTTTTTCAAAAACCCAGATTTAGGAATTCTATAAAGAATATGATTGTTAAAAAATATCGCTGACTTTAGAGGAAAATTATGTGACAGTTTTCATTAAGGGTGTCATTTAAAGAGCTTATTATTCTCTAGGTCAGTAAGAATAGGCTAAAAGTTGATTTCTAGATATATGCCACAGTTCTGTCTACAAGCTATTATTAAGATCTGATAACACTATGTTCCAATTTTACAGTACCTCTCACACATTTTGTATTAAGGAGTCACTTATTTGCACCAATATTTGAGTTCCTATTATATACCCAATCACACGGTGACAAATGCTATGAGGAAAAATACAAGAGAGTAAAGGGGAGGAGAGTGATGAAAAGTGCATGTACGTACATGTCTGTGAGCCATTTTATATGATGTGATGACAGAAGGCCTCTTTGATAAGGTAATACTTGTAGAGACAAATGAAGTAAAACAGTGAGTCATGAAATTTTCTAGGGAAAGAGTATTCCAGACAGAGAACTGCCAGTTTAAAAGCCTAGAAGTAGGATAATGCTTGGCACCCTCAAAAATCAAGCAAGAGTGGTATAAAATAAGAGGGTGACAAGAGATGAGCTCAGAGACATAGTTGGGGCAGATCATGTGGGGCCTTTTGGGCTATGATAAGGACTTTGGATTTTCTTCCCCAGTACAGTTAGAAGCCACTGGGGAAGTTTTGAGCATAAGAAAGTTATAATCTGACAGGGTTTAGACATGTGACTATGGCTGCACTATGGACTAGTGAATAGAAGCTGAGAAGTTGATACAGCAGTTAAGAGGCTATTACAATAGCCCAGGAAAGAGGATGGTAGCTTGGACTAAGGGAAGGACAACGAAGAGAGTAAGAAGTGGCTGGATTATGGCTAAATATTGAAGGAAGCAGCAGAATTTGCTGACAGATCAATCAGATGTAGGACAAGAGGGAAAAGAGGGAGGCATTGTTAAGTGAAGGTTTTTGGCCCAAGCAACAGGAGGAATGGAGAAGCTACTTATTGAGTTAAGGAGGATGAAGGGAAGAAGAGATTTTAGAGCCAAGAATTTGGCTGTAGACAAGTTAAGCTTGAAATTCTTGTTAGACACTCAAGTGCAGATTAAAGAGGAAAGTTACACATGCAAGTTTGAAGTTCAGGGGAGAGGTCGGTCTATGCATTATTTAATAGATGAGATTAGGGGAAAAGTGTAGATACATAAGAATTCTGAGAACTGAGCTCTGGGGAACAAACATTTAGAGGTCAGAAGAGGAAAATGAACCAGCAAAGATTAATGAGACGGACTGGCCAGGAAATATGGTAAGAAGTGGTTTCCCATAAGAAAAGTGAAGTATTTCAAGAAGGGTAGAGTCTCTACCATGTCGGATATACTGTTAAGATGAGGACCAAGACCTGACCACTGTATTAGGTTACGTGGAGGCCACTGGTGACTCTGCTTCAGTGAATAGCAGAAATAAAATTCTGGAGTGGTAGGGACAAAAATCTGATTGAGGCCAGTTCAAGAGAAAATAAGAGGTAAGAAAGTAGGCATTATCTTTACACATCTGCCTAATTATTTCCCTATGACAAATTTCTAAAACAAGAATTGCTAGAATATAGAACATGCACTTTTTAAAAAAGGTTTATTGACATACTCCTATAGGCAGTCTATGAAGGCTTTTTTATTCTTCTTAATCTTTGCTCGTTACTGTTCTAATTCACATTTCTTTGAATAACATTGAGTTGAAGATATTTTTGTATTATTGGTCATCCGTATTTCTTTTATTAACTGTATTCCTCTTCATATCCTTTACTTAGTTATTTATAATGTTTCAGGCAAAATTTAAGATGAAAAGTTTATGATTTCTAAGACATTATATTCCAATTAGAGGTCAGATACCCAGAATTACCCCCACCTCTTTCATCCATACACTCCTCCTTGGCAGTTTATTCACTTATGTACTTCTGAATGAATACTATTAGGCCTAGTAAAAGGATGGCAATGGAAATTCTGAGTTGCATGTTATCTCTGGCCTCCCCACTACTTACACTGTTAATAAGCACATTTTCTTCCTTTGCTTAAAGGACTTACCTACAGCTGTGTTAGTTCCACCAACATTTATATCATTTTCATCATCAAATTCAATCCTAACTCCTTTTCCATTGCCTGCTGAGACTCCACAACCTCCGCTTCGACAAAGAGAAATTGGAACTACGCCATAGACATAAGCTAACATAATAGGAACACCGATACCTAAAGAGAAATTAAATCAGTCATTACAAACAACAACAACAAAATAACTCACAGAAACATGAGTTTTAGAAAGTCTTTTCAAGAGAGTCATACAGAGAAAAGCGCCAGGGTTCTGAAGAGTTGGCTGGAACATTTGCCAAAAGTAGATTTACCCAGTTGTTAAGCAAATTCAAGGTTCCCAGCCTTTCAGGTAATGCACATAAGGGGAAAAAGAGAGAGATGCAAACTTTTTTCTTTTGAAGTGCCAGGCCTCCGAACTGTACTTGGGGTGGAGTGGGGAGGAAGGGTATCAGCCACTAACAATTTACCAACTACTTTAAGGCTAGGCTCTTGAATCTGTAATACTTTCAACCAAGACTTACTGCAGGCTCAATTTAAATTGTCCTCAAATTAAAAAACAATTAAAAAAAATCCTTCCACAAAACTTTAACTCCATAAAATTGTAGGTAATTAGTACTTTTCAGCATTTTCTTACCTACAGTCACTGCAGCTACTACTGGAGACACGATTACAGACAACGTTACACCACCTGCTATGGCCAAATTCCGTTTGTGCTTTGAAACATCCTTGCCTTCATAGCGATTGTGAATCTTGAATTAATAAAAATAGGGGTGGGGGATTAAAGAGAAAATACATTACAATTTAACTTAGTTGAAAAAGATCTATACTTGCTAAAGTGATTTTTCATAGAAGTTCGTAGCTGAGTATCTTAGTTCAAGGTAAACCTACTAGTGTCCTTAAACTATTATATATTCTCACAAATAATTTGCTCCTTATTAATTTGCTTAAGACAGTGATTTAATGGATTTTACTTTGTGCTTAAAAGTTCTGAGTAAAAGTCATCTTTATAATCTTAATCAAAAGTAGTGTAATTATGTATCGAGCAAAGAGGAAGAAATTAAGATTATTATTTTCAACACAGTTATGAGTTACATGGTTCACCAACAGGATACTTCCAGCATTCTAAAGGTTTCTTTCTAAAGAATATTCTCTAAATGGTAAAAATTGGCTTCTAGGGAAGGTTTCTTTTTAAAAATTGACCTTAAAAAGCAGTTCTAATAAACAAGTATGAATAAACAGTATTATTTTTTTCTCAGATCCTTTTTATGAAGACAATATTGACAAATGACTCAAATTCCAGGGCTCTCATTTATAGCTCAAAGTAAATGGCAGAGAAAGAAAAAAGATGATAAATAATGGCTACCAGAAGACAGGATTGAATTCACTCAGCAATCTCTGTACAGGACAGGTGTTAATAAGTAGAATTTGATATCATCATAGAAGCGGTGATTAAAAACTGGCTTGTGAAATTATATGAACTTTGAGATCTTTATTTTCATGGTTTGCAAGGGCTAATATGGCACATTTTCCCCCTCTGTTCCAAAACAAATTCAAAACAGCCTCAAAAGTATGGGGACTCTCTAAAATAAAATGACTTATAAACAATACTACAGATGGGACTTATAAAATAATCTATTATTACATGGTATAATAACACCTTTGGCCTTTGGAAGGCTGTAAAGTACGATGAGTGTTGTGGAAAACAGTAGAAAGGTTGGGGTGGGAGGTGGGTGATGCATGTATGGGACAAGAAACCTTTCTATTTCCTAGTCAGAATCCCATTTCCCAGCATTGACTAGAGGTTCCTTGTCAATGAGCCTCCTCACTTCCCTACACAGTCCATGCAGGCAGAGATGGTAGACCTTCCCAAGGTACCTTTCATTATCCTTCAGCACTGCAGCTAATTCCTGCTCCTCCCCACTCCCATTCCTGGGAAACTTAGCACTGAAGAAGAGAAAAGGCACAACTGATGGAGCAGACTTGCAAAGGCAGGCTGCCAAGAGAAAGGAGTCTTCTAGAAAATTTTTCAGCCTCAAGCACCAATGTTTGATTAGTGATCACATTATCCCACTATTTCTGGTTCAACTTAATTTTTCTGTTTACTATTTTTTGCCACATTCTCTACTTTTTATTGTTAAGTGAAGGCTCAGCTTTTGGGTACTTTATTGACTTAGCAGGTTTTCCTAGGCTGGTTGGGATCCCAAAGCACCACAGAATATTATTTCAATGGAAAACTAATTCATTCATTTACAACCCTTTGGGTACATGTTTGAAAAAAGGAGATCTGTAACTGTACCCTATGACCTGAACAATGAGGTAAATAATCTCTTCTCTATAAATGATTTATAGGTACATGTGGTACAACAGTCTCTCTTTCCCTTCTAAGTATCTGAATAGTTTTGTTTTCAGCAAAGCCTTGCTTTGAATAACTACATGAAAAATTACGATCAGCTAATATATTTTGAAATTTTTTATTTTTTCTCTCTTTTTTGGAAATAGGGTCTCTCTGTGTCGCTCAGACTAGAGTGCAGTGGCACGATCACAGCTCACTGTAGCCTCAACCTCACGGGCTCAATCAATCCTCCCATCCCAGCTTCCTTAATAGCGGGGGCTACAGGCATGCACCACCACTCCCAGCTGATTATTTAGTTTTTTGTAGAGACAAGGTGTCACACTGTGTTGCCCAGGCTGGTCTCAAACTCCTGGATTAATGCAATCCTCCCTCCTCACCCTCCCCAAGTGTTAGGATTACAGGCATGAGCCACCACACATGGCCCAACATTTTTTAAAGTCCAGGTTTACTCACTTAAAACCTTCAGAAATAAATATGTGACTTATAAATATGTTTGTCATCAGCCCCAAAACTAATTTTTAAGAAATAGTATATATTATTTTTCTGATTATAAAATGTATGTTGAATATAAAAAATTCAGCTGTTTTACAGAAGAAGATCAACCTTATTCCCAGTCGGGTCCCAGAAGTTAGAAACAGAAATAAAGGAAACAAAAGGAAACAGATCTGACTCAAACGTAACAATTTTGTAACAATTAGTAGCCATTTTACAACAGAATGGATTGCTTCATGAGTTGGTGGTTTCCCCATGACTGAGTTCCCAAATAGCTACTGAAACTTAATCATGGAACTTATATTAAGAATTCATGCATCTGAGTTCAAATCTCAGCTCTGCTTCTTTGTGTGTAACTGAAGATATATTACATAAACTTTCCTAAATCTCAATATTTTAACACACAGAGACCGAAATATCGAGGTTGCTGCAGGGTTAAAATAAGTAAAAGTACATACAACACCTATGACACAGTATGACAACCTTTAGATCCTTTTTTTATTTTAGAGATAGGATCTTGCTCTATCACCCAGGCTGGAGTGAAGTGGCACAATCACAGCTCACTGCAGCCTCCACTTGCCCATCTCAAGCAATCCTCCCACCTCAGCCTCCCAAGTAGCTGGGACTACAGGTGCATACTACCATACCCAGATAATTTTTAAATTTTTTTGAGAGATGGGGTCTCACTATGTTGTCCAGGCTGGTCTTGAACTCCCAGCCTCAAGTGATCCTTCTGCCTCAGCCTCCCAAAGTGCTACGATGACAGGAGTAAGCCACCATGCCCAGCTTGTTAGTTCTTTTTTTTTTTTTTTGAGATGGAGTTTTGCTCTTGTTGCCTAGGATGGAGTGCAATGGTGCAATCTCAGCTCACCGCAACCTCCACCTCCCAGGTTCAAGTGATTCTCCTGCTTCAGCCTCCCGAGTCTGGGATTACAGGCACCTGCCACCATGCCTGGCTAATTTTTTCTGTATTTTTAGTAGAGATGGGGTTTCACCATGTTGGCCAGGCTGGTCTTGAACTCCTGACCTCAGATGATCCACCAGCCTCAGCCTTCCAAAGTGCTAAGATTACAGGGGTGAGGCACCGCACCTGGCCTGTTAGTTCCCTTTTTGAAAATTGCTATCCTTTGTTCTGCTTGGGTACAAGGTTGGGATTAATTTCTTTTTATTTTTTAAAAAAAGTTTTAATTTTTTTGATCTTCTTGGATACCAAAGAAAATTTCTTTTTTTTTTCTTTTAGCTATATTCTACTGAAAGTTACTTCTCAATCCAGAGATTCTATTAATTTAGGCAACAACAGACTTCTTAGGACCTCATAAATTATCCCATTAACCCTTAACAAAAGAACTATTTGCTTAGCTAATGAAATATAATTCATCAATTAGAGGCCAGTGGTAGTCACTGGTGTTTGGACTTTCACAAGATTGTTATAATTTGCAAAATAGTGTATTTATTAAAAGCAGTAATCCAAAAAAAAAGCTTTGAACTACAGCAGAAATAATTCAAGAACTGGCTAATTATTCTTTGCCTGAGGGCATGTGTTATTTAGCTATTAACTTTCATTAAAAAGATCTCATAGACCTGACCTTACAAGGATATACCTATGAGAAAAATCTCAGGTGTGTATCCTTCAATATTTTATACTCAAAGTTTTATAATACAAACATACTAAAATTTTCAGATTCAGAACATTTTAAAGCAAGTCTGCTTTATACGTATTTATATATGCTTGCCAAACACTAAAAATTTATGAAAAAAGAGTAACTGTTTTATACTGAAGAAACTAAAGATACCCTTTGTCTAAAAAAAAAAAAAAAAAAAAACCCAAAAATCATCAATACTAAAAGAATACACCTAAAGATTTAGAATAAGATAATGGACTAACAAGAAGTATGCATTTTACCTTGCGGCCCACATACACAGGAATGCCAATAATCATTGCAGGAATAGCAATGCCAGCTATTAAAGCGATTCCGACAGGAGCACCAACCAGTGTTCCCAGTTGCCACAATATTTTCTTCTTTCGGCTCCAGGGTTTCTTCCCCCAAAAAGTACATCCTGATGGACTAACGGAAAAAATTATAATGTAAATAACTGCTGCAAAACACCACAATAACAAATTAGTGCACTATATTAAAACAATGACTATTTTTAAAAACTTCTCATAGTTAGGAGCTTTTTTCCCCTTTAAATTCTGAGTTCATTAAACTAAGGTAAGAACCACTATAAATTATATTAACAAGATATTGATATATCTTATTTTATATTATATTTTATTATTTAATCTATATTATATTAACAAGATACTGATAACTGAAATTCAGGTTAAAAATTTATCCCTAGTCTTCCATTACCCTCATACCCTTAAGTCAGTTTAATAGTAAATTAATGCAAAACATGCATATTTTTAGGCATCAATTATCTGATTATATCACAAACTCACTCTGTAGCCTAAACGATAAAATTTATGTATGGGAAAATTCAATGAAGTATAAGGTAAGAACCACTGTAAATTATATTAACAAGATACTGATAACTGAGATTCAGGTTAAAAATTTATCCCTAGTCCTCCATTATCCTCAAACCCTTAAGTCAGTTTTTTAATAGTAAACTAATGCAAAACATGCATATTTTTAGGCATCAATTATCTGATTATATCATAAACTCACTCTGTGCCTAAATGATAAAATTTATGTATGGGAAAATTAAATGAAAGTATTTATGGGTCTAGCATAATTACACAGGGTATTACATACTTACTAGCATTCTAGTTTAACAAAAACAAAAAAAGGAAATATCCATTTCCTATTTTGACTAGTTATTAATTCCAAATGACTAGCATAATAACTTGGTTTCTTTTAAATTTATTTAACTAGAATAAAACCAATCCCTTTAAGTATCTTATAAAACCCAAATTTAAGACAAGTTATTTTGTCTTACAATATAAAATTACATTTACATATAAATAGCTCCTTCTATAAGCTTACCTTAGATAATGCAAATCTGAGATTTCTTTCATACACAACCAACAAAACTCACAACCACAAACAGCACATGTCATGTGATTGCAGCTCCCATCATTCATCTTTATTATATAAGCAGCACATCGTGGACATGGCTTTATATCATCAGCTATTGGGAACACAGAGAAATCTATTAAGTACATAAAACTGGTCTAAAAATAACTTCTAGCAGTTTACCAATTGTAGCACTGTCAAAAAATCTTAAGATGTAGTTTGTTAACTTATAGCTTCAGCCTGCTGTTTTTAGTATATAAAGCATTTTTTCTTCCCTTCTAAGAAAACATACTTTACATTAAAATATCAAGTTATAAACATTTTTAAAACATAGTAGTAAAACAATGAGAACAAAGAATAAAAAAAGAATAAAAAGAGAAAGGAGAATCAAGGACAGCTCTAGGCAAATTGTGAACTACGTAAAGTTTGTCTTTGTCCTGGTCCCATAGAAGTCTTCTGAATGGTAGTTCCCGGTTCCAGAACTTTTCTAACCATCTTCCCTTAATTCAAATGTACACGTTCTGTACACTATTCCTTTAGTGAATGAACACTAACAGGAGGTGACAATTTGATATTAATCTGAGGTGCTATATCCAAAGCACTATGAATTTATTTCTTCTAATTACATCAGTTATAAGCACTATAAAAATAGCAAAACAGGTATCTTTAGAAAAGCAGCCTTTTCCCAGTATTTTACTTCACACAAAAGAGAGATGGACCTTGCAAAGAATCAGTACCCAAAATACAAGGAAGGAAGGAAGAGATTAAGGAAGGGTCATATGGCTATGAACGTTATAAACCATGGAAAACAGTTTCAGAATAAAAGCAATCATTGTTAGTTATGCTCATGACTTTTAAATTAGTTGTGTTTATCCTTTTTATTCATTTATTCACCCATTTACTCAACTGTTGTTGGTCTATGCTCCTTGTATAATAATATGGTTACAATGCACAATGGCGTCAAGTTAAAATCAAGTGTAACATAACTTTAGGAAAATTATACAACTACTTTGCATGTTGGCATCTGTTTAAATAGTAACTTGTAATTACTATTAGCCAGCTATATTTTCCAACTACTCACAGTTAAGAAAAGATATTTATAGTGCTAACCACTGAATTTAAGTATTTGTTCCAATGTCTTACATTATAAGCATTAAGCTATATTCCATTCTTTCTACAAGTTTTATGGTCAAACTTTACCTGTGCTTTATCAGTTAATTCAGGTTTCCTTAGCACTTCTTCTAGGACCAAAGATGCTTTTTTTTTTTTTTTAACTTAAGATCTGGTCAATGCTCACAATTAGTATTTGCTTTAATGATTCAAGCAATTTTGAGCAAACTGATACTCTAAGCAGCCAGACCAGGACAATTGATAATTACTAGAATATAAAAATTAAAAATATCCATGTCATGATTTAAATGATCAAAAGAACATGAAGTCTGCATTTAACAATTTTAAACATTGGGGTATGACTAAAAAAAGCTGGCTTTTATGCCTGATACAACACGTGGTATACTAAATTAAGGAAATGCTAATCCTATCTGCGTAAGCAGCATGTTAATCGATAAACTTTCTCATTCCAGAGTATGCTCAAGTAGTAGGTATCTCAACAAGACAGGGGAGTAAAAAGACTCAAGCTTTGGTAATGATGCATGCAATCTTTGGAACAAACTGAAAGGTAACATCCCCATTTATTCTTATGGTTCTAAAAACACAAAACAGCCTTTTAATATGCTAAAATCACACATGAGAATTAATACCACAAGCAATGTATTTTTGATAGGTCTCTATATACTTGTACCCATATCTTTCACTCTCTGTATACTTATTTATCTATGAAAGGCTGTTTAGTTTGCTTTGTGTCTTTCCTCAAAGCAACAAATTAGGAAAAACTTACTGTGCACATTATAGGATGATATATTTCTCTCCAAATACCCTCATGATGCAAAAATCCTAAATGAAATTGTTTATGGTTAGTTGATCCCCCATTCCCCAAGAATCAATTAAGCCACCGTTCCCCGATATGAAAAAGCTTCCCATTTCTATTTACAGTGTTTGGCTAAGCTTTCATCTTCTGTATCTTTTTGTTTACTGCTAAAATATGGGCCATTGTCATATTAAGAAAAAACAACAGGTTACAAAACACCATGTCCTCAAATGTTAACAATGATAATCTCTTAGGGTGGTAGCGGTAAGGGGACAGAGGCAGGAGTGGAGAGCCAATTAAATATTTTATTTGCATAAAATGGGAAAACTACATTAACAAAAATGAAAAATATGTGGTTCATTTAAAATTTAACTCCAAGTGCCTAAACCTCCTAGTAGCTATAAAAAAGAGCCTCAAGTGGATGCAGTGCTGTCACAATTTAAACACATATATAAACATTATACTATAAATATTGTATTATTTTATAAACACAAATATTAATGTACTTTATGTAACTAAGCACACATCTTCAGTGACTGGGGAAAAAAAACAACTAATTATTATACCAATTAATATTAAAAGTAAAACTAGTTTTTTAGACTATCATGATACAGAAAACAATACCAAAATATCTGGAATAATAATAAAACCATTTAGATGGTAGCTTCCTTTTTAACTTTCTACGAGTCTGCGAGAAGCCAAGTTCACTACACTTTTTTTTTTTTTTAAATTAATAGGGTCTTGTTCTGTCGCTCAGGCTAGCATGCAGTAGCACAATGGCAGCTCACTGCAACCTCCACCTCCTGGGGTCAAGCAATCCTCCACTTCAATCTCCCAAGTAGCTGGCACACACCACTAGAGATGCACACCACCACGCCTGGCTAATTTTTGTATTTTTAGTAGAGACGGGATTTCACCATGTTGCCCAGGCTGTTGAAGTTTTAGAACTTCTGAGCTCAAGCAATCTGGCCGCTTTGGCCTCCCAAAGTGCTGGAATTATAGGCATAAGCCACTGCGCCCAGCCCTCACTGCATTTCTAATTCTTCCTCTTGTTTTTGGAAACAGGGTCTCACTCTGTCACCCAGGCTGGAGTGCAGTGGCACAATCATATTTCATTGCAGCTTTGACTTCCTAGGCTCAAACGATCCTCCCACCTCAGCCTCCTGGCTTGCTGGGACCAGAGATGCCCATCACCACGCCCGGCTAATTTTTTAAATTTTTTGTAGAGAAGGAGTCTCGCCACATTGCCTAGGCTGGTCTCGAACTCCTGGGCTCAAGCGATCCTCCTGCCTTGGCCTCCCAAAGTGCTGGGATTACAGGTGTGAGCCATTGCGCCCAGCCAAGATTTTTAAACAAACATGGAACAAATTCCAAATGAAGTTTTTTTTTAAAACAATCGCCTTGAGACTATTTATTCCAACAATGTTATTGTTCGGCTAAAAGCATTTGGTAAGGTTTTCTTTCATAATTACCCTCAAAGCTCCTTTAGATAAAAGAAAAATCACTCATGATCATATAGTCACATCTTACTTTGCATCTATACCAAACCAATAATCCAACCTGGTATGATACTCTAGCTGCTAGACTTGGCTCTAAAGCAACTTTTAGTCATTCTCAGAAATCAAACTGATACTAAGCTGACATATCCTAAAAGTTATGCCAATGAGGCATTCCAGGGAAGCACTGCTGAAATAAACACAAAAACTCCCATGGTGACTACGTTGAGGAAGACCAATATTCATTTGGATAACTAAATCATGATTTATTTTAAAAAATAATAAAAGCCATTTCTGTCGTTTTTTAATTTAATGATAGCCCAGACATACTTAAATCTCTAGAAAGTGACTGTGGTTTCTCTAAGGTCCCCTACCTCATATAGCAAAAGCACTTACTATGAGCCAGGAACTATTTCAACTATATGGACATAAGCATTATTAGTATCTTTATTTTATTATTATCATCATTATTATTTTTTGAGATGGAGTCTCACTCTGTCATCCAGGCTGGAGGGCAGTGGCACAATCTCGGCTCACTGCAACCTCTGCCTCCTGGGTTCAAGTGATTCTCCTGCCTCACCTCCCGAGTAGCTGGGGATTACAGGCGCCCGCCACCACGCCCAGCTAATTTTTGTATTTTTTTAGTGGAGACAGGGTTTCACCATGTTGCCCAGGCTGGTCTTGAACCCCTGATCTCAAGTGATTCGCCTGCCTCAGACTCCCAGAGTGCTGGGATTACAGGCATGAGCCACCGTGACTGGCCAGTATCTTTATTTTAAAGATGAGACAAGTAACTTGCTCAGGATTGCTCACGGAGTAAGTAGAGAATGTGGGATTTGAATTCAGGCAGTCTGATTCCAGAGTCATTCTCTCTTGCTCTGTATGACTGTGTGTTCTGTGACCAATAAATACACACCCCCAACTTGGAGGAGAGGAATATCATTTCCAAGTGAACTACCCAATGGCTACTGCTGACTCTTCAGGGAACAGTTTAGGTATATTCAGGTCCTCTCTGAATTGCTTCTGGACCCATACCTACAAATTAACACTAATACTACTGAGTTCCACAAATCTTTAGGAAAGAGAAGCAAATCAATCAGCAAACAAGTATAAAAAAACATTTATGTTACAAAAGTATTAAATGTCGAACATTCTGTGTTAAAATTTCATGTGACTTTTTTTCTAGTAGCATAAAGTACATGATTATCTCAATACACTGCTGGCAGGAATATAAATTATTTTTAGTAGAGATGGGGTTTCACCACGTAGCCCAGGCCGTTCTCGAACTCCTGGCCTTAAGTGGTCGGCCCGCCTCAGCCTCCCAAAGTACTGGGATTACAGGAGTGAGCTACCATACCTGGACAGATACCTTTATAATCAACAGTTTCAGACTATCTTTGGCTATCAGTTATATAAATCATCACAACACTTCCTTTTTTCCTGGACAGTATAATCTTTCTAATTTCAGAACCACTTTCTTCCATAGGAAAGAATGAGTGCTTCTGGGATAGAAATGCACTTAAAAACACTTTCGGCAAGTGAAAGGAAAACAGGAATACTTAACTTTAAAAAGTTAAAATAACTAGTGTTTTGTGTCAAATATTTTATTAGAAAAAATTAGACATAAATACCTGCTGCTCCAGACTCTTGACTATAACTAATGGATGAAGAACGTATAGTTCTCAAACGTAAGCTCTGGGCTCTCTCTTGTCGAGCAGCATCACAGGTCTGGTTGGGGTGCCAAATCTGTTTACAGTGGTAGCAAAACTCTGTTCCACAGCCCTCTCGCCCACAAGTTAATTTTGGACAGCTGGCACATCCAAATGCTATCACAGCATATCTTGAAAGAACAAGAAAAATGATTTAAAATGTGACATAAAACAAGAGATACTCATTTCAAAAAGTATCCAACTAAAGATTATTCCTGAAAAACATTTTCTATTTATACATTAGCAAACAGTCATAAGCACAATCTCACCAATATAAAAATGGGGGAAAATGAAGTTTACAAATGAAGATATATAAATGGTGTAAAATATTTTAAAAGTTCAATTTTTAACTTTCAGGGTTTTTTTTTTAGGTTCAGGGTTTTTTTTTTAGATTCAGGGGGTACATGTGCAAGTTTGTTACATAGGTCTATTGCATGATGCTGAGGTTTGGGCTTCTAATGATTCTGTCGCCCAAACAGTGAACACAGTACCTGACAGGCAGTTTTTCAACTCTCGCCCCTCTCCCTCAACTTTTAAGTAGGATACCAAATTGCATTTAGCCTAATCTCAATTTTATAAAAAACCATATTAAATTAGTACAGTATTGTATGCACACAAAAAAAAGACTAGAAGGAAAAACACCAAAAATCTTAATAATGGTTTTCTTGGTATTGGGTTTTAATTTTCTTGTTTATATGTTTATACATTTCTGATTTTCTACAATTACTTGTTGAAGTGGAAAAAGTTAAAAGAAAAAAAGATTGCCTGTTTAAAAATGTAGTGACTATAGGTTAGTTTTAACTGTCAGGTAATGGCATACTGTGCCAATTTATAAATTTTGTGATAATTTTGTATGTATGCAGAAGTCACACATTTTTCTTCCTAAGATGCATGGCAAAAGTGGTCTTTGGTGCCAATCTCCTGCCAAAAAATAAAAAAAAACTGTTTTTTTTTCCTTCGGATTAAAGACTGAGAACTGTAGATTCATGACTAGCAGGAATACCTTTCTCCGAGTTAATATTTCTGACACTTTAAAAACTTATGACTTAACTTCTAGGCATTCTTTGGCATTTATCCCAAACAAATGAATATTTGTGCTCACACAAAAACTTGTACACTAATGTTCAAAGCAGCCTTATTCAGAATAACCAAAACTGGAATGAGCCCAGATGACCTTCAAAAGGTAAATGGTTAAATAAGCTATAGTGCATACACACTACCATCAATAAAGAAAGTATTGATGCAAGTAACACCTTAGGTGACTCTTCAGAGAATTACACCGAGTGAAAAAAGTCAATCTCAAAATGTTACATACTGTATGATTCCATTTATATATTTTTGAAATGTCAAATAGATTAGTGGTTGCCAAGGATTAGGAATGGGGACTGGGGAGGGGAAAGAGTGGGGGGAAGTACATGTGATTATAAGAGAGCAACACAGGCCAGGCATGGTGGCTCACACCTGTAATCCCAGCACTTTGTGGGGCCGAGGTGGGCAGATCACTTGAGGTCAGGAGTTCAAGACCAGCCTGGTCAACATGGCAAAACCCCATCTCTACAAAAAATATTTAAAAAATTAGCCGGGAGTGGTGGCACACACCTTTAATCCCAGCTACTTGGGTGGCTGAGGCAGAACTGCTTGAACTTGGGAGGCAGACGGAGGCTGCAGTGAGCCAAGATCACACCACTGTACCAAAAAAAAAAAAAAAAAAAAGAAAAAAAGGAGTAAAATGAGGGATCTTTGTTGTGATGGAACTGTTCAGTATCTTGACTGTGGTGGTGGATACACAAACTTAAACATGATAAAATACATATAACTAAATACACTGTGCAGAAATAACTAGAAGTAAATCAGGAAATTTGAGTGAGATTGGTAGATTGTGTCTATGCCAATATCCTGGTTCTGATATTGTTCTATAACTTGTGCAAAATGGCACCACCGAGACAAACAGTGAGAAAGGTACATACGATCTCTGAATTATTTCTTACAACTGCATGTGAATCTACCATTACCTCTATAAAACTTTCAATTTAAAAATTTCTAGAAGTTTCTAGTTTGCTTTGAAAGCAGCAACAATCAAGTTTTATCAATGCATGTCTTTTGTAAATACTAAACATTTCCTTTTGCCTGGAAATTTAGGGGAGTTTTCAGAGCTGTCAATAAAATTTAAGTAATAATTGTAACTGAGATTGCAATTAAGTTTTAAGATACTCTATAAAATTGTGCAGGATTTTAAGAGTCAGGGAGTTCCCTCCATTTTTGGACTTGTTGATCCCTTAGTATCACACTCTTTTTTTTTGAGACAGAGTCTCGCTTTGTTGCCCAGGTTAGAGTGCAGTGGCGCGATCTCGGCTCACTGCAATCTCCACCTCCTGGGTTCAAGCTATTCTCCTGCCTCAGACTCCCGAGTAGCTGGGACTACAGGCGCCCACTACCACGCCCAGCTAATTTTTTTGCATTTTTAGTAGAGACGGGGTTTCACCGTGTTAGCCAGGATGGTCTTGATTTCCTGACCTTGTGATCTGCCCGCCTCAGCCTCCCAAGTACCACGTACTCTTTAAACACATCTTAAATTCCACTTATTTCTGATAGACCAATTATCTAATTACCATTCTCTATCCAGATATGTTCAAACAGGACTGAATTAAAGGCAATTTATAATCAGCAATGGGTAATTTAACAAAGCTTCATTTCCCTGAGCTTTAAAATTTCCAAGACAGCTTATTCATCGCAGTCCCAGATAAAGAAAAAAGACCCTATTTTTTTTAATCAAAGTTTTAATCTAAAGTATCTATAAGCTAAAGTGTAGTCTTTGTTTTAAAACAATAACGTCAGTGAAAAGGATTCTCTTCCAAACTTTTTCTCTACCTACCTTTTATTGAAGGAAGGAAGAAGGAAAGAGGAGGGGCAGAATGGGGAAATCTGTGTATGCAGGAGACAATGCCAAAACTGTTTTCTGAAGTTGGTTACAATTTACAAAGGCAGCAAAGAAGTTTTAGCGTGGCCAGTTCAAATTCTACTTCCACCACTTAATACTTGTGTAATTTTAAGTAAATTACATTATCTCCCAACAACTAAGTTTTCCCATACATAAAACAGGCATTCACTTTAGTTTGGCTTAGCCTCAGTATTCAGCCAAAATAATCTTTGGCTTTGGCCTTGGCCTTTAGAATGCCAAATAAGCACATGGCTGCTTTGATAACATTTCTCATAGTTCTGCACTTGTGCTTGACTAATGACCATTTGATCATACAAGTGACTATCATTTCTACATAAGTAATATAAATAATGTGTTATTAGGATTGAATATTAATATCTGAATACTCAAAATAAATATTGGTTGGCATTTTAGACATAACAATAGAAATCTTTTATATGGTAACATTTTACTGGATAACTGAGTCACTTAAGTATAAATGTCCAGTATGTTGCAAGAGTAAAATGCTATAATCTTTGTGATGACTGTAAAAGCCAAATTTAGGTACATGCTTAACTTTCAAATAATTAAATAGGAAAACAATTTACAGCTAATATGAACACTGAGAGTGCTTTATCTATATAAATTTAGGAAGAATATATCGTTTCTAAGCAAATAAGTATTTATAAAAATATACAAGGCAGATTAATAGAAATTAGATTACATATAATTCTAACCTTTGTAGAAGGCTGTTCAATATACTAGTATTCATAGCACTACACTAACTTTAAAGAACTGACCTAATTTTTAATTAATGATTTAAGTAAAAAAAATTAATGAATTAAGTTTTAAAAAAAAGTACTTCTTCTTGACAAGAAGAATTAAAAGCAGAACATCAACCTCGCCGTTTAAAAATTTCATGACAAGTTCCAAAATCTGGTACAATTTCCATAAAAACATGAAGGGGTTTGGCAAGAAAACAGAGAAAACCGTGGACCTAAAGCATATTTTCTTCTCAAATTTTTCCTTGTATTTCTAACTCTGTTCAGATCTTCTCAATAATTAAATTTTAAAACAGCTTCATAAATTGCTTTCAGATGATAATTCCTTACAAGTTCTGAGTCTAGAGACTTAAACTCATGAAAATGGCTGCTTATAGAGAACAAGATTTTTGAGATTTATCCAAACTTTATACCAAATATAATGTTCCTCCTATAAAATATATTACTATAAAACTTTTTCCTGAATTATATCAATAGTGATATTAAAGTGAATATTTAGAATTTTTAAAATACACAGTATAAAATATACATATATACACACGGTATATTTATTAGGAGCAAACTAATAGCTGGTAGTGTAGGGGAAATTACTAATCCTGCATTACCACGTCAAACATTTAATATTTGATTGCCAGGTTTTGTTTTGTTTTGTTTTGTTTTTTTAAGCAGAATCTTACTCCGTCACCCAGGCTGGAGCACAGTGGTGCAATCTCGGCTTGCTGCAACCTCCACCTCCCAGGTTCAAGTGATTCTCACGCCTCAGCCTCCCAAGTAACTGAGATTACAAGCGTGAGCCACCAGACCTGGCCAATTTTTGTACTTTTATTTTTTATTTACTTTTGAGATGGAGTCTCACTCTGTTGCCCAGGCTGGAGTGCAGTGGCACAATCTTGGCTCGCTGCAACGTCCGCCTCCCAGGTTCAAGCTCAGATTACAGGGGCGCATCACCATGCTTGGCTAATTTTTTTTGTATCTTTAGTAGACACGGGGTTTTGCCATGTTGGCTAGGCTTGTCTCGAACTCCAGACCTCAAGTGATCCGCCCACCTCAGCCTCCCAAAGTGCTGGAATTACAAGTGTGAGCCACCACACCCAGCCTCAATTTTTTGTGTTTTTAGTAGGGATGGGGTTTTGCCATGTTAGTCAGGCTGGTCTCGAACTCCTGGCCTCATCTGCCCACCTTGGCCTCCCAAAGTGCTGGGATTACAGGTGTGAACCACCACTCCTGGCTTCATTTCTGATTTCTTTTAATTTTTCATAACTTCAATCTCTTAAGATAGCTATCTTAAAGCACTGTTATCTCTATACTCCCTATGATTACTTATAATCATAATTCCTCCACTTTGATAATGAAGCTGAAGTTAAAAGAAATACAGTGAATTGGCCAGTCATTAAGGGGCAGGACTGGATTTGAACAAATCTCCATTCAGTGCCCGGCCCTTGATTGCTAGTTTTTAAAAATTAACTAAAAATTTCCATTTATTCTTGTATCCCAGAAGTTCATCATACTATGACGGAGATACCTGACTTTGGCCACCTGGCATTTGGTCAAAATATATCCCCCAAACTAGCAAATAATAAAAAGACTTGTGAGATTAAAATAAGATTATACATATGTAGTGTTTGTGTGTCTGTGAAGAGAGATGAGGAGAGAGGAAGACAGAGGACAGGTAGGGTTACGGGGGTAGAGAGAAAAGGAGAGTTTAGTTCACGGCATGTTATATTTACTCAAATGTTAAAGTACCAACATTTTATGCTACTTCTCAGTATTTTTTAAATGGAAAAGGTAAGATGTCCTACCCCTAGAACTAAACATTCAAGTCTTACTGAATTTATACAAATTCCGAAGAAAAACATGTTTACTTTAATAATACTGACCAAATGTTTTCATAAATGTATAATCTGACAACAAAAGTTAGAGCAGTTTGTCTAGTAGTTTTTTCTCACACTAACACTTATTGAGTGCTTCCTATGTAGGTGTTTCACATTCATATGTATTCAATCCTAACCATAACAGTATTAGGCACGTTCTGTAATATATCAAGGAATTAAATGTACCTGGCATTCACACATTTTGAAAACAGATTGTCAGGCCTCTTGAAGATGACGTTCCTTTTGTGGGAGCTGTATTTACTTGCCATTGAAAAACAACTCTCAAATTATAATGGAAGCAAATGGTAAAAGTAAATTAAATACAAGACACTTGCTTTATAGAAAATTCCAGGAGTCTCTCTGCTCTGGTATAATAAGTGTTATTTGGAAAAAGAACAGGCTCAATAGAAGGTCATGGAAATAACTGAACATCTCTGACTCAAACAGCCCCCAGACCTTAGTTTAGTGGTTAGCTCCATTTCCTTCCATGGTCCATTATTTAATTCAAGCCTTACTTTCCTTCTCTATCCTTCAGCTGAAGGTCTCTAGGTACTGTACTTGAAATGCTTAACCTAGGAGTGGATGGACAGCAAGAAAGTGGGGAAGACAGGAAGGGGCTGAAACAGCAGTCTCTCCAGAAGTATCTTCTGTTCACTGCATTGTTAACAGGTGACCCACACTAAGAACTCAGTGGTCAAGTTAGGAAAATGCCAAGTAAAATTAAAGTGGTTTTTGTTTTCTATTATAGGATTTGCTAAAACAATTAACATACCAATGTTCAGTACATAGTCTGCAGTATTTTCTTAATTTACTTAAATTAAGTCATTTATAATATCTCCTGGGAGAATTTCATAGTACTATGTTTTATAAATTATACTATTGATAACATCAAGCAAGTAGGGATACCAGATAGGGTGATATATTCTACCTGGAGCAAATTCCTTGTGAGGAACAAGTAAGAAGAAAAAAACATACCTAACATGAAATGTAATCCTAAGAAAGACATGACAGTCTCAATAAATATTTTGATTACAAAATGACACTGTCTCTCATGTCACGTCGATTAAAAGAGAATGAAGAAAAAGTATCTGTAAGTCCAAAATAATTTTTTAAAGCATAAAGCTTTTAACATACCTTTAAATAACTTTCTTTGTTCTTTAAAGGTAAGAACAGAAAGAAAATATAATCAGAAATAGCAAAATTATTTGATCCAGTTAAGGGGAACAGTCAAGTTTTATATCAGAATCAAGAGGCTCATGTTTCTACTTTAACATTTTGATTATTCCAGTGAAAAAGGAATGACTTACTTAATATACTTGAGAGAAGGTCTAGACAAAGGGAGGTTCATCTCCTGGTTCCCTTTTTTAGGATTTGCAACCTGCAGACAGGATGCATTCTGGTTCTTTTTTCCACTATATGCTGCAGGAGAGGCCTTCAGTTGTTCTCAGGGCTACATGCCTGAGACTAGTTGGGGAAGTCTGTCCAATTTAGGGATGAAGTGTTAGCCAGCCATTTTGGCTGCATATCCAAAGCTACATTCTTTAGTCAACTAATTAGAGAAAGCTGACATGTCTCCTGTGTCATACATTAACATGGTTTTGAATGAGGGTGAAGGGGAAGAATGTTATTTTTATTGACTCATTAAAACACCACCAAAAATCTTAGTATCAACTAACAATGTTTGGTATAGGAGTAATATACAGATTGAGCATCCCTAGTCAAAAAATTCAAAATCTGAAATGCTTAAAGTTTATTACACTGTCAGAAGACATAGAAAATGTGATTTTTAAACTTCAAAGAACTACCCACATAGTATATTTAATTATTTAGTGTTAAAATATACCTGGGTTAATTTTATGGTTAGGAAGAATAAATTAAAAATAGCACTCTCAGTTCAAGCTATTAACTCTTATAATATGTTTATGTATGTGTGTTCTAACACATACAATTTATCACTAGTCATGAATTACAACTTCCCCTGAAATGTAGTTTATTCATTATGGCTCTTTATACCCTAAATCTGTTTTCTAAGTCCCATGTACTTGTTTTCTCTGGATAAAATCAAAGTAGGATCTGTGATCTCTGCAAAATTTGTAAAAGGTCTACAACAGCATTTCCAGCATGTCAAAAGATAGTCAAGGTATAGCTAAAACACATCTTTGCAGGATGAGAATGAGTTACACAGACATTAATTAGAATTCTAAAAATACATGTTATTTAGTCCCTAAGTCTATGGCCCTATTTTTTTTAATCCATTAAGAACAATATTCTCCACCAGAGTAAGTTATCATTGAAAACCATTTAAATGTCATAGCAAACCAGCTTGAAGCTTACACAAAGCCAATTATAGTTGATCACATTACCCAAATGTATATGAGTTATGTTAGTAGCATACAGTCAGGCTGGTTCATTGAACAATTTTTTATTGAGCATGAGGTTAGCCTGTGGTTCCAAAAACAAAAAGGAACTTTTCTGGAGGATCCTTGGGAGGCTCAGAGACAATAAATCATTAATTATGTCCCAGTATAATAAATGTTCTTGTATATTCAAAGCTCCCCAGCAAAGTCAGAAGAACTCACATGGGATGACAGGGATAATGTGCGCTGGTAGCAGGGTGGCCTTAGCCAACTGAAACAGGTGATAGAAACTAAAACAACAACTTTTTGCTCATCTGCCTAGACAATGTACAAACTAGGACTCCAAGGCAGAGGGTAATCAGATATTTTTATTCAAGGCAGCTTCTATGCTTCTCCTCCTTGCACACTGGGATCCCTCCCCCAATTTTTCTCCCTAACTATGGCTGGATTTTTCTCTGAACCTGTGAGGACTGGCATGTTCTAGAAGCTGTCTAGCTAGACTTACTCTGGTTAAATCACAGCACTCAAATTTGGTCCCCTGGGCCCCTCCTCAAGTGGGATTTTTAGAAATACCGTCCTTCAAACAAGTATGATCAGTCCTAGCCCTCAAAAGAGTGGAAAGAATATTAGGTCAGAAACCCCAAGAGATCTTAAATGGAAACCAGGTCAGGTAGAACTCTTTTCTACTCTGTGGTAAGGACAGTATTTCTCAAGGTGTGTTAAACTGTATGTTTAAGTAAAATTAATGTCAGATACAGAAAATGTTCATACCTATAAATAACAAATGCAAAAGAAAAAATTCATAATTTCACATCTAGCATTTCTGGAAAAGAACCTTTCAAGTGTGTTATATAATAAAAGGGTTAAATACTACCTATATGCCTATGGTCCTGACACCGTGGCTAACCATTTTTATAAAAATCAAATATTCAGAAATTTACCAATATTTCTTATGCCAGATTTAAATAAAAAATGGGGTTTTAATTTTTAAAAAGGGCGGTCCTCTGTGTGTTTCAAAGGCTTCAGTAAGCTTCAATAGGTCAGGGATTTTTGTCTTGTGTTCATTAATAAACCTCCAGTTCCTGGTACATAGGTGCATTAAATATTTGAATGATTATCTGATTTAAAAAAAAAAAGCAAAACTTTGGAAATACAGATGAAGAATAATAAGTAAGAGCAATGACAAGCTTACTGTGTGCTAGGAATTTTGCTAGTAATAGCATTAAAGATCTCACTTAATCCTTATAACAACAAGATAGGATAGGGACTCAAAATCAGGTATTTACAGCTCATAATAAGTAAAGCTAACTTTTAATGAGGGCTTGTGTAGTATCCTATGAAGTATACATACAAATTTTATATTATTGGGTGACATTTTCTTCAAAACACAATCATAAAACCTACATCACCAAGTATGTGAAATACGACCATAACAACTAACAGAGCAGTATAAGTCAAATATAAAATAAAATACACAAAAGTAATCTCTGTGACTTTTTTTCCTCTGTCCTTTGTGGGTAAGACTATGACAACCAATAACACCAAAAATTAATGTATGGCCAAATTAATCACGGACAATTATTTGTTAAATTTATATAATAATCACGTGGTTGTTTTCATAGTAACAGAGTCTAGTAAAGCAAGTGTTTCTATTATTTTATGATATTTTATATTTGAGTTAACATTTGAATTATCATCTCTAAAATATTAATACTGAGCCATTTTACTTTTTAACAATGAAGTCTCAATGAGAAGAAAATGTGCCAAAATATCCCAAAGTATGAGTTTCTGATTATTTTTATTAAGAAATATCACATATAAAAAAGGTTTATAAAGAATAGTAAAATAATACTCCTGTATCTACCACTGAAGTTAAGAAACATTATCAGCAGGATGATCATTAACTCACAATCTAAATTGGAACACTTGAGAAAGAAATGTAGTGCTATTAAAAATTGTATCAGTATACTAAGCATGAACTGGAAATCAGAACCTTTATTTACCAGTGGCTTTACAAGTAACTTGGTTACCCCCTGAAGTTCACATCCCCTCTTCCTACTCTCAAGAGGTAACCAATAAAACCAAATATATTTATCTATTCTACTGTTAATGAACATTTTTTTGTTGTTGTTATTGTGGAACATCCCTGTACAAATCTCCTGGTACACAAGTAAAGATTTTCTCTACAGTACTTACCTAGGAGTTGAAATTCTCAGTTGTAGAATAAATGTGTGTTCAATTTTAATACACAATGTGGCAGTAGGTTAATCATTCACCTATATTTTCTTTTAATTTTTTCCTTTTATTTATATAACCTACACCTCTGTAATCTGTTTTGATTTTAATATATTGGTGACAATCTAATGTTTTCCCCCTCAAATAACTAATTTTCGTAATTCTATATGTTGAATAATCAATTCTTTTCCAGTTGGTTTGGCATGTTTCCCCTAAAATCAAGTTCTTATACAAATTATAATTTGCTTTAGCCCTACCTATTGTGTTCAATTAGGTTGCTAGTATTAACTATATATTATGATGACATTACCAATCAATCTAGTACAAGATAATATACAGCAATTAAGTGACCAGAAGGTTTGTGTCCCTGAATTTACTGTCTTAATATCTCCTGGCCAAAGGCTGTGACAACTTAAGTCTCCTTTTCCTTTATCATTGTCAGAATTTTTTTTTTTTTTAAGACAGGGCTTTGCTCTGTTGCCCAGGCTGGAGTATAGTGGCGCAATCACGGCTCACTGCAGCCTCGACCTCATGGGTTCAAGTTACCTTCCCGTCTTGGCCTCTCAAAGTGCTGGGATTACAGGAATGAGCCACCACGCCCAGTTGTAGATTTTTTTTAAGCTATTAAAAATTTAGAGGAATGTATGAAGCACCTCTTGCACCCTGGGGTTCTATGAAGGATAGACAGAAAAATCACACTCTTTCTGTAGATGAAACATAACATAGACATATTCCTCAGTACCTGAACTCTTGCTATGGGAGTATTTGTTATAATGACTCACAAAAAGTTTTTTTAAAACTAAAATTTGCTATCCTACTTGAAATCTACTCTAATTTCAAGAGTATAACTTGCACATGTGCACCAGTGGAAATGCACACTTGCACCTGTGAAAACGTTATGCAGGGGTCAGTCCATGGGATCAAGGGCGATTCAATCGCATCTAAGCTGTTTTTCTGTCAGAATACTGTCTTCTGCTCAAGTTATTTAAAGCTACTATTCATTATTCCTATTTTCTTCCCACCTTTTTCTTGAAAATTTAGCCCTGCATACGTCCCAGAGTTTGCTTCTGCCATTACACCTGGAAACACAGCTAACCTTGGCCCAGTTTAGACAGCATCCATAACGTATTTTGTTGTTATCTATATTATAGTACAAGCTCCCTGCAGTATAGGACAGCATAATTCAAATCTAATAATGAATAATATCTGAATCCTACATACAACTAATTCATAAAATATTAATTAGGTAATTTTTGAATGTTGTATATTACATAGAAATCCTTGGTGGATGGTAAAGTGTTAGTGATACCTGGGAAAATTGGGATTTGCACAGGCAGGAAACACTACTTTTCTCATTTAAAATTATGGAATGTAGGTTAGATGCGATCTGAAAATTCACTACTCAAGAAACTTTTAAATAGTGGATTTGATTCAGGTAATGAGTCTTGAAGTTGTAATTTGATAAATGAAACTCACATCCCAGTCTTGCCTCTGAGATTATACCCAGATAATCTTGGAAGTTCTAGGTTTCCCCAAACCTTACTTATAATCTCTGGTTTACTAATAGTATGCTACGTATCACATTAATTGTTTGTGGCTTTTACTATTCCTGAATAGTATATGACTACTGTTTCCCTAATTCTGACAACTGTACACAATAAATACTCTATAAACAGGAGCTGCTCACCAACATAATAATCAAATATATAAGCAAAATTATTTTATTTTAAATGTTGAGAATATGGTATGTGTAATTCAAAAACTTGAGGCAAATCCAATATTACATAACCCCTAGAACTTGAGACTAGCAAATGCTTATGTATATCAACATGAACACATCATACTGTGGCACATGCTAAGGTAGGTACCTTTCAAAAGGGCCATTTATCTCATATGAGAAACATGTCAACAAAGAGAAAAAAAATAAAGAAGGTCATTTGAATTTATGACCACAAATAACCCCCTCATCATAAACAAACCTGATCATTTCATCTGTTATTCCAAAATAAAAATTCTCCAAATGGATGAGAAAACCAATTTTGTATACAACTAGATCCTGTACTCTACCACCTTACCCTTTCCTTCTAAAAGTGCTCAGTGAGTATGTAACGCAGAGACGATATAGAAATGAGTAAGATAGGATCACTGCCTTTAACACCTAGCATAGTGCCTGACATATGGTGTGCACTCAACATGTCTGTTGAATGAATTCTCCAGCATGTAAAAATTTTTCTTTTGAGTAATAGCAAATTATTTTATCCACAGAGAAAAAAATTAACTCAAGAAAAATCAAACATTATCTTCTTACCCACAGTCTGGAGCTGGACACCACCTACAATCAGGATCTGCAACAAGCCACCGTCTAAGCATAAATTCTTCGTATTTTTCCATCAAGACATCATCACTTAATATCAAGCGAATATCATGGGGATTAAACCGTTCAGTACATTCTGGGCAACTAATATTAACTCTGCTTTCAGAGATTTCTATCCTTAAATATTGTCGTAAGCAATCCACACAAGATCTGTGATGACAAGTCATTATATCAGGAAATCTGTCTTTAGAATGCCGCAAAAGGCACAAAGGGCACTCTATGAAGTCTCCAATTTGTTTGCTGATGGAAGTTAATCCATTGTCAGAAGAGGTATTTGTAGAGAAAATGGAGTTCTTATCAGTACACATTTCAGAATGTATACTTTCAATACTTGCAATTCCATCCACCCCGCCATTTAGCTCCCTTGATTTACGTTTGTTATCTTTTTTCCTCCGAAACAGGGAGCCTATTGAAATTCTTCTTTTTTTGGGTGCCTTTTTGACTGAAGGCAAGCTCACAGATGAAGCAGAGGACTGAAGATCTCGATCTGAACCCATTTGCCGATGTAAACTCATGTCTAAAATGCTTGTTAGAATTGAGACAGGGTCAGTGTTTACACACAGCCCTTCATTATATTTAGAGATAAAACCTATTTCTTGTTCTTGCATTCACATTAAGTCATGATGTAAGAATATCCTACTTGGTTCCTTCAGAGAATTCTTGAAAAGTTCGATTTACAGAAGACTGCTATCATGGATGTTCTGAAAAATAAAAAATAAAAAAATCAAGATCATTTAATTGTATTCTTAGTTTGTATATTTTTATAAATATGAAATTTCAAACAAGTATGTTTCTTAACCATTAGTAGTAGTTGTTTTTTTTAACAAGGCCAATTTATTAAATAGTCTATAAGAAACTACAAGACTAATGCTGAAATAACAACAAGGGCATTCTTTAATCTTAATAAAAGATTCTAGATTTGAGCTGACCAGAAAAAACTTCTGGTCATTATCACTCTGACTTCAATGATTTCTCACTGCCTTTAGCAGGTCTTTTTGTTGTTGTTTATAACTGACCATCAAGTATACATGCAAATACAAAGGGCTAAGAATAGCTTACACAATCTTGCAGAACAAAGTAGGGAAAGGGCTCTAACACCGCCAGATATAATGACTTCTTATAAAGTTACAGTAATTAACATAGTGTGCTATGCCACAAGGATGAATACAAAGACCAGTGGAACAAAAAGTAGTCAAGAAAAAGTCCCATATAGGCCAGGCGCGGTGGCTCACGCCTGTAATCCCAGCACTTTGGGAGGCCAGGATGGGCGGATCACAAGTTCAGGAGATTGACACCATCCTGGATAACACAGTGAAACCCTGTCTCTTTTAAAAATACAAAAAACTAGCCGGGTGTGGTGGCGGGCCCCTGTAGTCCCAGCTATTCGGGAGGCTGAGGCAGGAGAATGGCGTGAACCCGGGAAGTGGAGCTTGCAGTGAGCCGAGATTGCGCCGCTGCACTCCACCCTGAGCAACAGTGCGAGACTCCATCTCAAAAAAAAAAAAAAAAAAGTCATATATATGTATATGAGACTTGATTTCTGACAAAGGTGATGTTGCTGAGAACTGAGAATAAATGGCCTTTAAAAAAAGAAAAATACTATGTCTACTGGTTATCCACCTGAGAAAAGAAACTTGATGGATGGATGGCTCACCCATGTGTGAAAATCAATTACAGATGGTTTACAGATCTAAATATAAAGCTTCTAGGAGACAAAAGAGACTATTTCTATGAAAAAATTCTTAAACAGAACATACAAGAATACCAACCATAAAATAAAAGACTGATAAACTGGACTAGAATAAAATCAACAGACAGTATTAAGGGTATGGGAGGAGACTTTTGCCACATATAACTAATAAAGGCACAGTGCCCAGACTATGTAAAGAATGCTTACAAATCAATAAGAAAACATAGACAATCCAATAGAAAAACGGGCAGGGGACTTAACAGGCATTTCACAAAAGGATATGAAAAGTGCTCAACATCATCAGTCATCAGGAAAAAACACATTAATGCCACATTCAGAGACAACACACCTAATAGGATGGCTAAAATTAAAAGACTGACATTTCCAAGTGTTAGCAAGGATGTGGAAGAATAGGAACTCTCTTACACTACTCGTGGGAGTGTAAAATGGCACAATTACTTTGGAAAACTGTTTAACAATATCAAATTGGAACACAGAGATGCCCTATTACCCAACAATTTCACTCCTAGAAAGGAATGCATAAGAAAAATGAATGTACACATACATTAAAAGACATACTTAACAATGCTCACAATAGCATTAGTAATAATATTCAAAATATTGGAAACAACCCATAATTTTATCAACTGTAGAATGAATACATAATTTGTGGTATATTCACACTCTAAAGCAATGAAGCAATGAAAAGGAATAAAATACTGCTACACACAAGACAGGACTCTCATACAAAAGAGTATGTGGTATAATTCTATTTATAAAAAGTTCCAAACAGAGAGAATTAATGTACAATGTTAGGAGTCAGGATTGTGGCTACATTTTGTGGTGAGGCACAAAGGGAACTTTTTTTGTTTTTTTGAGACACAGTCTGTGTCTGTTGCCCAGGCTGGAGTGCAGTGAAGCAATCTCGGCTCACTGCAGCCTCCATCTTTTGGGTTCAAGCAATTCTCCTGCCTCAGCTGGGATTACAGGCATGCGCCACCATGCTGGCTAATTTTTGTATTTTTAGTAGAGACAAGGTTTCACCATGTTGGTCAGGCTGGCCTCGAACTCCTGACCTCAAGTGATCCGCCCGCCTTGGCCTCCCAAAGTGCTGGGATTATAGACGTCAGCCACAGTGCCCAGCCAAACTTTCTTAATATGTGCAGTATGCATAGTGGTTACAAAGGTATGTTCACTTTGTGATACATACACGACCCAGAAACTCATGATTAATGTGCCTTTTTCTATGTGTTTTTTTCCTCCTATGGCTGACCTCCTAATTAACATGTGTTCTCTGGAAAAACATTTCACTCAAACAAACTTCACCTCATGTCCCTCGGTTTATATTTCCCTTCACAAACACAGGATAGATAAGGAACAGTCAGAGAGCTCAATCTATACAAATACAGTTATGCATCACTTAATGATCAGGATACATTCTGAGAAATGTGTCATTAGGTGATTTTGTCGTGTGATCACAGAGCACACTTACACAAACCTAGATGTTATAGTCTATTACACACCTAGGGTATACTGTATAGATTATTGCTCCTAGGCTACAAACCTGTACAGTATGTTACTGTAGTGAATACTGGAGGCATTTGCAACACAATGATATCTGTGTACCTAAACACAGATGTTTCATTTCTTTGGCTCTCCGATATCCTGCCAGTGCCTCACACTGGGTAAATCCAACCAGAAGCCAACTGCCTCTAAGGCAGTCCTTAGAGGTCAACCTCCTGGGGCACAGAGCAGGGTAGAGAAGGCTGAATGAGAGTAGATCTGGACATGCAAACAAAAAACATCCAGTATTGTATGTATAAAGAAGAGAACTTGGGAGTCAAAAGACCTGGCTCAGCTATTTTTTGTTATCATATCCTAGGTAAGATATATTCCTGAATCAGTGATCAGGACCACAAAATATGGATGATACCACTCACCTCAAATAGATGTTCTAAGAATAATATGAAATTGACATGTGTTAAACCTGCCTAACAAACCCGGCACCGTACTAAATGTTAGCTGAAATGGAATGTAAGATAACCTAGTGCTTTACAAAATGTGTACCTTATAGCAAGTGCTTAGTATTAAATGAATGAATGATGCTTTTCAGTTGCTATTACTCTGTGATCCTTAAGCCATACGGCCTTACTACATCCAGTTTTTTAACTGTGGAAAGACAAGAACCTTTTACCTTCAGAAGTGCTTCAGGATTCGTAAAACATGTTAAGTATCCTGACACTACAACTTCAAGAATTATACATTTATAATATCCCACCAATAAACATCTAACCATAAACACTTCAGCAGCATCTAATAGCCACCTATCTGCCTAAATGATTTACACATCATTAGAAAGGTATTCTGGAAATGAAGAAGGCAGGGCAAAAAGTTTGCATACACAGAAAACACTTACTTCCCAAGAGGAAAACCTACTACATGGTCAAATAACAGTTTTTGCTTCTGTTATTCAGCTAAAATTAGGTTTCTTCTGTCACTTCTCAAACAGCTTAAAATATGGAGAAAATCCAGTAATTTTGTGCTGATGGTCAAAATACTAAATGTAAGAGCAGTGTACCTATGTCTTCTAATTTTAATTTGTTTTTTAGATGTCTGACATCCAGATGTATGGTACTTCTAAAATAAGCATGCAATAAAAACAGCATGTGACAATATTTACTAGCACTGTTGAACAGAAAGAGGACTAAGTCTTTTTTTTTTTTTTTTTTTTTTCAAGTAAAGATGGAATAGGTACAGATAATTCCCAGCAGAGTTTCTACTGATCACTAACTTGGTCACTACAGAAGCTTAAAGCTATTCTATACTCAAGTGAAACTGTCAATAAAGAAGACAAATAAAAAATACTATGTTAAATGCTGTATTCTGTATTACAAAAGAATAACAAGCTATTAAACTTCAGCACATGCTTATGTTGAGAAGATAATAAAGAATAAAAAAAACAAATTTAACTTTAATGGCTATGTATTTGCATGTGAGATTGGGAATCCACGAGGAACATTTGCTTTGATAGCAAAGATATTTTTAGTATTGTCTCACTACAAGTCATTTACATTTCACTTTCTGTGCACTAGGCACATGTTTATATCCTGCTGCAGCACTTTTCCTTACTGATGTGTAAGACATAGTTCTATTTAATAAAGAGGCTTGCTATCATATGGGTGTGTGTGTGTGTGTGTGTGTGTGTGTGTGTGTACGTATAAATTGTATTTGACTATATGGCAATTTTCCAATGTAGAAATTTCAAAAGTTTTTAACGTGCTCAAATTCACATATCTTTCTGACTTTTGACTTCTACACCAGCCTTAGAAAGCCTTGCCCACTCTAAGATTATATTTTTAAAATCCCTTCACATGTTTTCTACTGGTAATTTGATAGTTTATGAATAAGTAGAGATCAAAATTTGTTTTCTAAATGGCTAGCCAGTTACCTCAACACCAGTTACTGAATAATGATCTTTCCTCCATGCCCCACCCCCTACATACATACTGATTTAATTTTTTAATTTCTTATTTTTGAGACATTTATTTATTTATTTATAAATTATTCCATTGCTCTATAAGCTTACCAAGTCTTCTTTTGGAGGATGAAACCTAATTGTTACATATTTACTTTCTGGTACTTTTCAATCTTTCTTGTGCAGCGGTGCCCAAACTTTTTGGTACCAGGACCAATTTCATAGAAGACAATTTTTCCACAGATGGAGGTGGGGGGTGGGAGCAAGGATGGTTTCATCAGGCATTATATTCTCATATGGAGTGTGCCATCTAGATCCCTCGAGTGCAGTTCGCAATACTCCTATGAGAAATCATTGTTGCCACTGATCTGACAGGAGGTGGAGCTCAGGCAATAATGCTCACGGCTGCTCGCCTCCTGCTGCGTGGCCCAGTTCCTAACAGGCCACACACTGTGGCCCAAGGGTTGGGGAGCCCTGTTCTTGTGGATCCACTTTTCATCTGGTGTCATGTATCTTCAGCCTCAAGAACTTCCATTAGCATTTTTTGATATGCAGGTCTCCTAGCAATGAATTCTTTCAACTTTTATCTGGGGAAAAAAAATGTTATTTCACCTTCACGTTTTATGGATATTTTTGCTGAATACAGAACTCCAGGTTGATATCTTTATCCTTTCAGGACTTAAAATAGGTTATTACACTGTCTTCTGGCCTCCATCGTTTCTGACAAGTCATCTTTCCTGATATTTTAATTCCCCTGTACATAATGTGTCTTTTTTTCCTTTGCTTGCATTCAACATTGTTTTCTATCTTGGATGTTCAGCAGTTTGATAAAGATGTGCCTAGATGTGGTTTTCCTTGTCTCTATCCTGCTTGGGGTTCACTGAACTTCTTGAATTTGAAGTTGATTTAAACCAAATACAGGAATTCGGGGAAAATTATTTCTTTAAGTATTTTTTACCACACTGTCTCTCTCTCTCTTCCCACTCCTGGAATTCTAATTATTTGTATGTCAGTTTGATTTTTGTCCCAGGGGCAACTGAGGCACTGTTCTTTTTTGTAATCTTTTTTTCTTCGTTCAGTAGACTGGCAAATTTCTATTGATTTATCTTCAATTTAATCAACTTTTTCTTCTGCCATCTCCAATCTGCTGTTAAATCCATCCAGTGAAATTTTCATTTTAGATATTGTACTTTTCAGTTCTATAACATCTATTGTTCTTTTTCATAGTTTCCATTTCTCTGATGAGACTACCCACATGTTCGGTCATTATGATATTTCCCCCTTTAAGTCCTTAAAAACTGCAGTTGCTATAAAGTCTGTCTGCTAATTCTGCTAATTGCAGAGTCTGCTACCTATTTTTGAGGGAGTCTTGACATGGAATGAAGCATATTTTCCTGCTTTTTTACATGCCTTGTAACTGCTTATTATAAACTGGATATTGTGGATATCTTATAGAGGCTCTGTAGTCTCTTGTCTTCTCCTGAAGAGTGAGGACTTTTATTATACTGGGCAATTAAGTCACTGGCTAGTCAACTTGAACTTCTGAAAGCTTGGTTTTATGCTCTTTTAGAGTAGATCTGTGGAAAGCACCCATGTTTACCAATCCCTTCTATCTTGCTGGGAATCAAACACCAAATTCTGTCACCCCTGCAGAAGCCATTAGCTAAAATCTCTATTTAGATTTTTCTGCCTGCCAGCTGTTGTTTTCCACTGAACTCCTTGGAATCTCCCAAGCACAGTTCTAGGGGACATCTAGATATCTGAAGGGAGTTTACCCACAGATTTTTGGAAGTTACTTACCATAACTCCCTCCTTTCTGCGATTTATCCTATTTCTGGCCACTTAACTTCCATCCCCTGATACTTCAAGCCAGTAAGACTCTTGATTTTCTGCTTGACTTTCAGCTGCCCTACACTACATAGACTTTTCTTTAGGGGGAAAGATGTATAAATTTTTTAAGGAAAACATCTTGCAGTTTTCCAAAGGATATCTTCATCTAGGCTTTGAGATACAGTATTCTTGAATCTGTACAGGATGCTGTCACAGGAAATTTTAGCCTACTTATGCATCCACGATCTCCACAATATAACTGCTTACTAGACTGCTTTTTTAAAACGATCCTTTAAAAGATTTTCTTGCATTATTCAATACCTGGAACTGTAAGGTCTTCAACGAATGACTAAATGTGTTAAACTTTTTGCCTTACTTGCTCCAAGTAACCTGTATAAGTATTAATTCATTTATTCTTTCAACAAATATGTTCAGTGCCTATCATGTGCCAGATACTCTTGTAAGTGCTGGATAGTGAACAAAATAGACAAGGTCCCTATTCTGTGGAACTTTCATTCCAGTACATTTAAGCATTGAACAGATACTTCAGATGATATCTTCTCCAAAGAGTAACATGAATGACTTTGCAAGGATCTAAATTTTAATAAGTAACTCCCTCTTTTCTAAGCATAATTTTAAAGAAAAAAATTGATTTTTATTTGGACATACATATATGGTAGTCCCATAACTGAAACTAGTATTTATCAAAATCCATTTTAAAGCTTTCTTCCTAGTAGACTTTAGATACTTTTGACAGCACTCTATTTTTCGTAGTTACAATGGTTTTCTAATACCCAAACATTTTGGTAGACAATTTAAGTTGCACAAAAGAAATCACTATTTATCTAACCAAATTATCTAGTATACAGAATATTCATTTTGCTCACTGGGCATAACTTTAGGAACCAATATTAGCAGATAAAAGGTGGGGAAATCCTCAACCCTAGACTCACTATTTTGGATCTGCTCAGCCTCTGGTGCTACATAAACGTTCCTAAGGCAATGAAAAAAGGGAAATATCTGTCTTTGTGCAGCATTTACTATATGTAGTGTTGCAAACACCATCTCATCAAATTTAAATATGGCTATGTACAATTTAATGTAGTAGCTGACTACCAAAAAATAGATAATTATCATAAGCCATCCTTTGATCAGACTATAACTTAAAGTGATCTACTAGAAATGATGTATTTCTACCCAAGCTAATTTTGGCCCAAAGTAAACAGAGTTTTTATAAATCTGAATCATATCATTAAGAGAAGTTTGAGGCATTAAACTAGATTATCATATATCACTTTCTCTTAACAGAGAGAAATCACTGAAGTTCATTATAATAAAGTTTGCTATTACTAAAAAATCACATTTAAATGTTATTTTTAAGTTATGCCATTCATGATCTATGCTTACTTATAAGACTTGCTTATGAACCTCAAATTTAGAAATGTCATTATTTTCCTCTAATAAATTGATTCCCCAACATAACTACCAAATTCGGATACCAAGCAGCAATGCATTCTCTGGGCATTATTCTTTTTTTTCTTTTTTTCCTTTTTTTCTTTTTTGAGACGGAGTCTCAATCTGTTGCTAGGCTAGAGTGCAGTGGCATAATCTCAGCTCACTGCAACCTCTGCCTCCTGAGTTCAAGCGATTCTTGTGCCTCAGCCTCCCTAGTAGCTGTGACTACAGGCACGTGCCACCATGCCTGGCTAATTTTTGTATTTTTAGTAGAGACGGGGTTTCACCATGTTGGCCAGGCTGGTCTTGAACTCCTGGCCTCAAGTGATTTTCCTGCCTCTGCCTCCCCAAGTGCTGGGATTACAGGCGTAAGCCACCACGACCAGCCTCCGGGCATTATTCTTACTGCCCAGGTAATAGTATTTATTAAACATCTCTTTCTACAGCCTAGTAAAGTAAAAATATAACAAGCACATTTTTAGAAAAAAATAAAAATGCTTAAAATAACAGCTAATGCATGGACTGGCTTCAGAGAAATCCATGAAATCTCAAAAGTGTATGTTAATTTGTGAATATATATATATTCTAGGCACAGGATAGATCCACAGCTTTCAACACATTCTCCAAGGAGTCTAAAGTACAATGAAAGGTTAACTGTTAATGCTGAGATGTCAGATTTAACTTGCCAGTAAAAGTTAACAGTTTCTGTAAATCATTCCTACTCTCGCTATTTACATTATTAGTACAGCATTCACAGCTGTACCAATTATAACCTCAGTTAGAAAATAATTCTATTCCATTAGAAGTATTCCAGTTGAAGGTGCAACTCTTTCCACAAGAGTTAAGTTTTTGGGAAGGTTAAAAAACAACTTTCATGGCTAAACAAAGTCTCCGATTCATCACACAAGAATAAACATTATGTGGATAGATGGCCGGCCCACAGTAACCCATCACATGTATTGAAAACAAAAATCATACAAACAAAGGTTAATCAATATTGTATATTCAAAAGACAGGTGACCATAAATATGTCCATAAAGATATTATAATGCTATTGTGTCATCTTTACTTAAAATGGCAATTACCACTGAAAAAATTTTAAAGTTGATTATTCCTTATGAGGTAAGTCAATTAATAATCTATTTAAAGTCTATTAATAACAGACATGAAGAGATGAAGACATTTAATGCCCAATGTGAAAGAAAGCAATGTTACTAGATGTACAATCTAAATACCTTTCAATTACTTCAATGTGTCCTTAGACGCGTGAGCACATAATACGCAGATCTAAGGTAACCTAGGTTCTATGATCTCTACCAAGTAGTTTTATGCCTTTTGTTCAGAAAGGACCTCTCTGTATCATCTGTAAAATGGGGAAAATACTATTGTGGCAGAGATGCTGTTACATGCTCATCTGCTTCATTTTCCTTCTGAGCACAAAGCAGGACTACATTTTCCCATTCCACTTATGGCTAAGTGTGGCCACATTATTAGTCCTGGCCAATGCAATCTGACTATAATAATGTATGCCCTTTCAAGGACTGACCTCTAAATCATCCCTGAAAAAAACCTTCAAGCTCTCTTTCTCTTCACACAATGACTGGCTGAATGGAGTAATTCTAGTGAGGCAGAACTTAGAGGACAGAGGAGTCACAAGATGGAAAGAATCTGGATACCTGAGTACTACACATGGTTCTTTGTGTGAGTGAGAAATAAATTGTTATTGTGTTCCACCATGAGATTTTGGGTTTTCTGTTACAGATACAATTATCTATCTTACTCACCTTAAAGCTGGAAAATATAATAAGATGAGGTAACAAAATTTAGCTTAGCTTGGGGGGAAAGGTTTTTTAAATGCTATATAAATATGGGGTAGTGATAGAGTATATTTTGTTGAGTGAGTAAAGCATGCACTTTGGAGTCAGGATATCTTGAGTTCAAGTTCAGCCTCTGAAACTTACATTAACTATGTGACATTGGGTTAAATTACTAAGACTCAGTTTCTTCAATTATAAAATGTGAATTACAGTACCTACAGTCCATAGATTATAAAGATTAAATAAAATAACACATCAAGAATTCAGTGAAGGGTATGGTACATATAATCACTTAAGTATTACCTGTAAGTATACTCATCTGAGAAGATAGCACAAATGTACCTAAATTTACCATGTATTGGGTTAAAAAAAAAAAAAACACTTATTACACATTAGGTTAGAAATAAAAACAAATGCTTGGCTCTGAAATGGCTTCCCTAATGAACAGGCACTTGGAAGTTTGGAATACATTATTAAAGTACACGAATTTCTCAAAGGTAAATTATATAAATAATGTACAGCTAGTACAAACCTACCTCAAGTGGTCTAATATTAAAAATGGAATGAATATTTTTAATTCAACTACTTATAAATGAGGGAGATGGGGATAATTCAACATATCATTAGTGTAGGTGAGTATCAGTTTCCAACAAGTTCTTTAGAAAGTAAATGCTTACCAAGACCCAGATATACTCTCTTGGGTTCTAGCCTTAAGATAGTTTCTATAATCTCTCAGAAACAGAAACTCAAAGTTCAGAATAAGCTATTCCCATAAGCCACAAAGCCTCCCAAAAGAGGTATTTCTTAAACAGCTTCACAAACACGCACCTGCCACATCTACCTGTTTAAGTCCATATTTGATTGGGAGAAGAACAAAATGGTGCTTTGTGGTTTTAATAATACTCATTACAAGTAATATTCACTACTCAAGTTATTACAAAAAGTAAGCTGCTGCAGAAAGGAATAAAGCATTACTCATTCAATTTCTCCAATAAAAAACATTTTGGTTAGCTTATTCCAGGCCCTCTTCGACAAGAAGCACAAACAATACACCATTAGGAAAACCACAGGGAAAGCAGAGCGCAAAATGCCAGGTATGATCAAGTGCCCAGAGACATGTAAGTTTTTAAATAGGTTTAAAAAAGATACCTAGCTGTCAAAAATTTCCTTCAACTGGTTAAAACACACATTGCTGAAGAGAGACTAATTTGAATGCTGCATATCCAAAGGAAAACAGACACATTTTGCTTACTGTGTCCCTTGGTTCTCAACAGAAGGGAAACACTAACCTAGTATTAGATCTTAACCAAGTTTACCTATGTTTTTGAATTTTAATTTCCATATTCGAAAACTAAGGTGATTAAGACCAGATGATGTCTAGGGTCCCTTAGTTCCAAAAGACTATGATAATAATATACAAATATATAGGCAGTTTTAATATACAGAATACTCTAGGTTAAGTAGATGATTACAATTTTCTAGGATAAACAAATAATTGTTGTTTCTGTTCTTTACAAAATGTCTCCAAATTCTCCCAAGTATTAGTATACTCTTCTTAGTAAATTCAGTGTCAAAGTGAATTTTACCAAGTCTCATGATTAATGTGATTCTACTATTTGGACAATTAGAAGTATTAAGTGTTTGGACCGGGTGCGGTGGCTCACGCCTGTAATCCCGGCGCTTTGGGAGACCAAGGTGGGCAGATCACCTGAGGTCAGTAGTTCAAGACCAGCCTGGCCAACATGGTGAAACACTGTCTCTACTAGAAATACAAAATTAGCTGGGTGTGGTGGCACATGCCTTTAATCCCAGCTACTCGGGAAGCTGAGGCAGAAGAATTGCTTGAACCCAGGAGGTGGAGGTTGAGTAAGCCAAGATTGTGCCATTGCACTCCAGCCCGGGTGACAAGAGCAAAACTCTGTCTCAAAATAAAAAAAAGAAAAAAAAAAGTATTAAGTGTTTGGACTAATCTTATCCTAACCACTTTCTCTGGAAATCCCTCAACTCCATACAAATTATTGATAACAGTAGCATCCCACCTCTCCAATTTTGGAAGCTCATTTGTCTCTTTCTCCTAAAGGACACCATGAGTAAGGGGGAGGGAAGACCTCTGGTTAGCTAAATCATTGTGTGTGCATGTAATTGAATGATATATGTACATAGGAGATAAGAGTGCAATCTGTAAGAGGTGTTTGGTAGAGATCCTAGAACTTAGTTTTAAAATTTTCTTCAAACTATAAGGTAATTCTCAGATGGAATAATATCTCTTGGGAACCAAGAGGCACAATAAGCAAAATGTGTCTGTTTCCCTTTGGGTATGTAGTATTCAAATTAGCTTCTCTTTACACAAGTCTCCCGAAAATGAGATTAAAAACTCACGTACAAAGGAAATATTATTAACTGTATAAGGAAAGAAAAGGGAGTATTTTCTAAAGACAGAAAAATCTAGGTAATAATTACACAGCAGGTAAACAATCATAAAGGTTTATCTCTGTTACGGTTTTCTTACTGAGAATTCAAAAGCAACAAAATCAGCTGGGCATGGTATGGTGGCTCATGCTTGCAATCCCAGCGCTTTGGGAGGACAAGGCAGGCAGATTACTCGAAATTAGGAGTTCAAGAGCAGCCTGGGCATCAAGGTGAAACCCATCTCTACAAAAACTACACAAATTAGCTGGGTGTGGTGGTGCACACCTGTAGTCCTAGCTACTTGGAAGGCTGAGGTGGCAGGGTTGCTTGAGCCCAGGAATTCCAGGCTGCAGTGAGCTATGATCACACCACTGTATTCCACCCTGGGTGACACAGTGAGGCCCTGTCTCTGAAAAAAATGAAATAGAAAAAAATTAAAAAATAAAAAAACAAAAGCAACATAATCAGTTTAACTACAATTCTAAAACAGACTATTAAATTAGATGTATCAGATATTTAACTAGTCAACTCCTGGGAGACAGTAATCCAAAGACTAATTTGAAAAAGCAGCCATCAAAAAACAGAGTGAGTCTTTTAAGTAAGTCAAGAAGATACAAAGAGTGAAAAGGCTACAAATTCTGGACCTATTTCACACAGACAAAAAAACTAGTCATGTAAAGGTCCCTGTGCTCATGTACTTACTTGCTCTTCTCAAGAGGCTGCACCAACTTTATGTGGCTGTGAAACCTATCCTTCTAGTGACTCTAGCATTCTAATCTAACCTATTTTTGTAAGTGAGAAAACTGAATTTAGAGCTAGTAGGTTCGATGTATCACCACTAGTCCCATGAGGCTATTTAAATTAAAATTAAATTTTAGTTCCTCAGTTGTGCTAGTCACATTTCAAATGCTCTACAACCATAGGTTGCTATTGGCTACCATATTGGACTGAACAGGTCTAGAACATTTCCTTCACCACAGAAAGTTCTATTGCACAGCACTGGTCTAGAGATGTGACTTACCCACACAGCTAACGTGGCAGAGCTAAAGGCTCAGCATTCTTTCTACTATCTTACTGCCTAGACTAGGCCTTCATTAATCACCTGGTATCCAAATTACCACATTATCCTCTTTGTTAAAGTCTGCTTACAAATTTCCACTGGTTTCCCCGAGATGAAGAATAAATTTCAAGTTTCCTGTGGCATTAAAAGCCCTCCACAGTGCAACCTCAGTTTCTCACTGTTCTACATAAAAACCCCACACTTTAGCCAACTGACCTATTTGTTAAATATCTTAACAAAACATATATAGTTTCAACTCTATGAATTTTCCTACGCCTTTGTCTCTGCCTGGAGTATTCTTTTCCATCTTCACTGCTAGTCCTACTCCTCTTTCAAGGCCCAACTCCTATCTTATCTCCACAATCATTCTAGGTCAGTAACTATAAATAAGCATTACTAAAAGTTACTCCATGCTCTTATATACAAGTTTACAATTTTCTAAATATCGTCTAAATATTTTAATATTATTCTTTACTAGAAGGTGGGGAAAAAAGTTAGGCAGAGCAAAGGAGATCAGTGTATGTGTGGTGTTGATTACTATTTTAAACAGGGTGATCACAGTCTCATTGAAAGGGTGGCATTTAGCAGAGACCTGAAGGAGGTAAAGGAGGTGTTAGCTATGTGGAAATCTGGGGAAAGAGCATCCAAGGCACAGAACAGCCACTGCAAAGCCCCTAAGGGAGGAATGTGTCTGGTATGCTCAAGGAATAGCCAGGAGGCCCTAATATGGCTGAAAATTAATGAGCAAGGCAAAGACTATCTGAGATACATGAGAATGCCAGGTTGTGTGGGGTTAAGGCCACTGTAAGTACTTTGGCTTTTATTCTAAGTGAGACAGGGAAACTTGGGTTTCTAAAGTGACAGAGATAGTTTAAAATCTAAGTTTAAAAGGATCATTCAAGTGTTGTGAACAGATGGGGAGGTATTAAGGATGGTAGCACAGAGAACAGTTTAAAGACTACTGAAGTAATCTATGAGAAAGATGACGATGGCACATCAGTGAAGGTGTTGAGGACATGTTTTGAAGGTAAAACTGTAAGGATTTCCTGATGGATTACAAGAGGATTTGGCCTGATTAATCAGAAGGCTGAAACTGCTATCAACTGAAATGGGGAAGGCTATGAAACACAAGTTTTAAGAGTGAGCCAAGACCAGAAGTTCATTTTTAGACATTTATACTTGAGATATCTCTTATACCTAGGTGGAGATGTATATCCAAACACCCGTTTGACAAGCCCAGAGATTAGGAAAAAAGTAAAGCCTAGAGATGTAAATTTTGGAGTTGCTGTTATTTGGATGGTATGTAAAATCGTGAACACAGATGAAATCACCAAAAAGTAAATATTAAAGAGTAGGGAATGAGGTCTGTAGCATCCCAACATTAAGATGTAGGGGAGAAGAGGCGAATCCAGTAAAGGAGACAGAAAAGGTGGAAGGGGGATCATGGAGGAATTACACTTTAAAGAAGACAAAACCTGTTGGTCTATCCTACTAGTGTTTTACTCATTCCCCTCCCCCATGTCAACTACATCTTAAAAAGTATACAAAGAGCAAAGAAGGAGCAAGTTAGGAGAAGAAAGAAACGATACAAGCAAAATAACAAAATGTATCTTATAAGATATAATCGATTCCTGTTGAGACTGGAGGGTATTAAAACACTTCCTCTGATATTTCTCAGAATTAGAATTCTAACGAAAGAGCTGTTTAGTCTCTGATCATCATAGCACATGATATAAAACAACGATAATTAGAGATTTTTGGTTTACTGAAGACTTTTGACTGCATAGTAGTTTCCTGGGGCTGCTGTAACAAACTACCACAAACTGGTTGGCTTAAGACAATGGACATTTCTCTTACAGTTCTGGAGGCCAGAAGTCCAAAATCCAGCTGGGCCGTGCTCCCACTGGGGCTTGAGGGGAGAATGTGTCCTTTGACTCTTCCAGCTTCTGGTGACTATAAGCATTCCTCGGCTTGCGGTTACATCACTCCAATCTCCGCCTCCATGAGCACACTGCTTCCTCCTTTTCTGCGCGTCGTCTTCTCTGTAATGGGTCTACTTGTCCCTTACAAAGACACTTGTCACTTGATTTTGAGGCTACCTGGATAATCCAGGATGATCTTATCTCAAGATTCTTAACTTAATTACATCTGCAAAACCCCTTTTTCCAAATAACATTTGCAGATTCTGGGGATTAGGACATGAACATATCTTTTGTGGGGTTACCATGCAACACACTAAAATATGGTTCTGGAAATTTTTGCTAAGGACATCAGTAAGGTATGCTAAATTATGCAAAAATCTAAAGGATATTTAACGTTTGTGCATAATTTTAAAAATGGGCCAGGTGCAGTGGCTCACGCCTGTAATCCCAGCACTTTGGAAGGCTGACGTGGGCGGATCACTTGAGTCCAGGAGTTCGAAATCAGCCTGGCCAACATGGCAAAACCTCGCCGCTTGTAAAAAAAAAAAAAAAAAAAAAAAATGATTAGCTGGGTGTGGTGGCAGGTGCCTGTAATCCCAGCTACTGGCAGGCTGAGGAATGAGAATCGTTTCAGCCTGGGAGGCGGAGGGTGCAGTAAGCCAAGATTGCGTCACTGCACTCCAGCCTGGGTGACAGAGTGAAACTCTGTCTCCAAAAAAAAGTTTTTATTTATTTATTTATTTTTATTTTTGAGACACAGATTTGCTTGTCACCCTGCCTGGAGTGCAATGTCGCAATCTCGGCTCACTATAACCTCCACCTCTCAGGTTGGAGCAATTCTCCTGCCTCAGCCTCCCAAGTAGCTGGAACTGCAGGTGCCCACCACCATACCTAGGTAAATTTTTTTTTGTATTTTTAGTAGAGACAGGGTTTCACCATGTTGGCCAGGCTGGTCTCGAACTCCTAACCTCAGGTGATTTGCCCACCTTGGCCTCCCAAAGTGCTGGAATTACAAGCATGAGTCACCATGCCTGACAAAAGTTGGTTTTATATTAAAGGGTATGGCTATAAGGAGAAATCTATTTGATATGGCTATGTATACAACCAGAAGTCACAACTGCCTACCAGGTAACCACTGCCACCCTTGCTTTGGATAAAAGAATTACAGTCATTGTACTATATACATCATATACCCTAAGATAACAGGCTTTTCTAAATGGTTACTTTATTTTCCCCACTTACGCACTCACACTACTTACCAGTTCCCACCCCCACTTACGCACTCACATTACTTACCAGTTCCCACCTCCACTTTCCAAATGACCTTATTTCATGATTTTATTTAAGGATGCCTATATAAAAAGTCCCATTTATTCCATACAAAAACTGAAAAACAGATTTGTTCAGGCAATATTAAATAGATGAGAGGTTTAAAATCTGGTGCTCAAACCAACCTAGTCGCCTCTCCTGATTCTATTTAAGAGCATCTTGTATTGATTTATTGTTACTGATTCCAATGTGGGAGGTAACAGTACATTCTATATGCACCAGTCTCATGGGAACTTCTATCCTGTTTTTTACACTGAGCCTTGCTCTGACTAGTTACTAATAATTAGAGGATCTCTTTTATAACAGTCTTGTCTGAGTAGCCCAGAGTGTTTCAAAGGCATAATTAACTTATACTAATCCAATGAAAAAGATGATGAATATCCTTCCTTATTTTATTTTAGAGATGGTGTCTTGCTCTGTTGCTCAGGCTGGAGTACAGTGGCACAATCTCAGCTCACTGCAACCTCTACCTCCCAAGTTCAAGCAATTCTCCTGCCTCAGCCTCCCTAGTAGCTGGCATGACAGGTGCCTGCCACCAAGCCCAGCAAATTTTTGTATTTTTTAGTAGAGGCAGGGTTTCACCATGTTGGTCAGGCTAGTCTTGCCCGACCTCAAATGATCTGCCTGCCTCAGCTCCCCATACTGCTGGGATTACAGGATTATACATTGGGAAAGACAGTAACGCGCAAAGTCATTTTGTGCGGAGATGTAAAACTGAGAGAAGACAGGTAGCCTGACTTTCAATCCAACTCAATAACTCCAATTCGAAGGTGTATGCAATTCTGTATTTGGCCTCAAAAGACACATCAATCAGTTAGAAAAAGACTACAAAAAGACAAGTTCTGCAGAAAGAAACATGTCATACAAAACGCCCCTAGAGCTACGCTGTCCAATATGAATAAAAGTACGTAAAGTCACTCATGATAATCTTTCAGATCTATTGGCTTAAATGCATTATGAAAACTAATTTTGCCTGTTTCCTTTTACTTCTTTAATGTGGCACTAGAAAATTTTAAATTATATTTGTGGCTCACATTGTATTTCTATTGGACAACACTGCTGAAGAGATAGTTATAAAATAAATACCTTAGATTGTAGATACTTTAATTCTATTAGCAAATACTTATTCGACATCTTTTATTGTCAGGCTTATGCTAAGTGCTAAGACTTAAAGAGTGAACAAAGAAAATGGTCCCTGCCATCACAGAGCTTGCATTAGCTCCTATACTTCTGCACATTTCACATAGTCTCATTTGTGATTATGCATTAGAATAACTTAATTTAGGATACCTTACCATTTTCAGGGGCAAATACCAATACGTGACTTAGAAATCACAAAATATAAATCAACAGATTCATGATAATGAGCTTATTTTTGTGATACAATATTTATATTAATACGTTATATAATATTTATCTGGAAACCTAACATCATCACATTCCCAAAAGCTTCTCCTGGTTTCTTGCTCCTTCCCTCTAACAACTCTGGCTCCCTCCTTATGGCTCACTTCTACCAAAGTCTCTTCAATTGGCAACCTGCCTGCTATTCAAATCATAAGGACTATTTTTATCCTCAGGGGTCTCCCCAACAGGACAGAAGTTAAAAATGCTAAGTATACATAATTTCATGGGGCCAACTCCAGTTTTTTGAACCAAAGACTCAGTTTCGAAGTTTCTTTTGGGCGTAAACAAGCTAAGGTGATTTCTGAGCAGGATTTTTGCTTCAGAATTCAATGCACAAACTTATTTCAGAGTTAAAACAACTGAACACTTCTGTCATATTGAGAGTTTCATGTAACAAAACCTTTCCTAATAGGACTTCTAAAACAAATTAACAGTAATTCTTTAGTAAATGATTTATAAAATAAAATACTAGATAACATCAATAGGATAAGACTACATAATGGTTTTAAGGCTAATGGCATAGCTTTTTAAAAAAGTTATCAATAAAAATAATTCTTCAGGTGTTAATGACAGTGATAAAGAGAGCAATGCAAGCAAAACCTCCTTTATCAAGAAGTGTTACTTTTTCCACTTTGATATAGAAAGTATCACTGACATATGATAACTTTTGAGAAACAAATGAAGTACACAAGTTTTAAACACCCAAAGTGATTTCACTGCCTGTTTGGTTGAAGCCTACCACCATCTGAAATACAGGTATGTTCAGCAAGGAAATATTATCCCTTAGTCTTTAGCTGTGCAGGTACGGTTAAGTAAATGAGTTGTTTCAATGTTAGACATCTTCTATCTACTAACAGAGAACTGGCATGGCTTAAAAAAAGAAAATTCATAATTACTCCTAGTTGGAGAAAAAAAATTCCTAAGTAAAGAAAAATTTAGCTATTCTCCGTAAGTAGTAAGATGAATATTTTGATAAATAGCTTTTAAGCTGAAGTACTACTCCATATATAATCATGGGTCCTTTCAGACAATCTAAATTCAACTACCATTTTGCTATGATGTGCTAGTTTGCCAAATACAATGCAATATGCAATGAAATGTAAATTTAGAAATTCAACTTTACTTTGGGCTTTTGCCCAAGGTGGCCTAATTTTTATCTTGGCAAAGAATGTTAAAAGATCATAAGCTTATTAGTTCAGTACAAAACCAGCCTGCATTTGACAGTCAGTTTTCACTTATTAATGACATTAGAAAAACGAATAACAATTCCCTAAGATTTCCTATATAACCCGAGTAGAGAAGATATAAGTGAGCAATTCAGATGTAAATATTAATATAACAAAATTTATCTCCAGCTTACTCTGCGCCCAGCACTTGACTAGGGACTTTTACATGTTATCACAAATATTTTGCCTTCTTTTCCCTACTTGGAAATTACAGAAAACTACATATCTCAACCATCTGTGCCCTGTAGATTAAAAACGACAACAACAACAAACTATATGTGTTGGAGAAGGGGGAGAAATAATCTGAAACCAAAAAATTTCTATATAAATCTAAATAAGTGTTCAAGATACAAACTGCCGCAACAAAAAAAAAACCGTGGTGGGGAGGGGGTGTCAGAATCTTCCATAATATACAAGTGATTATTTCAAATAGTTAAAACAAAAAGTTTGCTTTTAATTACCCATATTTAATTCTAAACAACCCCATAACAAATAGTATCCTTCAATCCAACCCCAATAAAATAGAGGTGACCCAAGTGTCTTACATCCTCAACTGCAAACATACTGCTTTACGACTTCACTTACATTCAAATTTGGGAAGTGCATTTACTTTCCACCAAGATGCTAAGTATTTTATTTATTCATCCATTTTCTTGAATGAAGTATCTTTAAAAATAGGAATCTTAGCACCTCTCGTGTGTTAGGCAGAAAATAAGTTTCAGTCAAGCAAAATACATCAAAAACTCAAGAAATCACCAAAATTTGTTTAAAAATCCCAACACTGTCTGGTTGACAGTATGGACAGTTCTTTATATTAAGTCTACTGATCAACTGAGGCATCCCCTAAATGAGAAAACAAAATTTCCAGTGGCCACTATTTGGTACTAAGAATTGGGTTGTGCTTCAACTCCTAAAATGATGCTGCAGTTTTAAAAATTAATCTTACTGGAATCTCCTGGAAGCTAAGATAGTGAAAAAAATACACTAACATTAGTTGCCAACTGTAATTTTTTCCTCAAAGACACCTTGCGATGACATTAAAATATTTTCCATGGACACGTAAAATTTAAACTTCAGTTAAATTTTATACAGTAATTTAAAAAAAGAGAACATTAAGCAGGGCATTAAACTAACAAATTTTAAAAGTGTTTTTTTAGCATAATTTGGTTTATTAAGTCCCAAGACTTAATTCTAAATTTTTACCATGAAACTGTAACAAGGAAAGAACATTTGAAAATACGATCATCGCCATTTTCTAAATAGAGAAGTATTTACATTTTAACTCAATTCAGATAGTTCAGTCAGTGTTAAAGAAGCAAAAACAGGCAAACAGGGTAATGGCTTGCATTATAAACAGAAGTGGTAAAATGTGTATTAAGACGGGTAATGGCAAAACTGAAAATAAAACTTAAGGCAAACCGTCAGACTTCAAACAACCAAAACTCAATGAATCTAGGTTAAAATAAGAAAAGATATTTTAAAAAAATGAAAAGAACCATGTTCTTTAAAAAAAAAAAATGTGGAATGTAAAGATCACAATTTAAGACAACCGATCAAAGGAAAGGGCTGCTTTAAGCCTCTACTGTTTACTAACACTTAAAATTAGCATTTCTAGCCAACATCTAGGTTTGAAAATTGCAACGGCACTTAAACGCCGTCTTTTCTAACGTCACCCCAACAGAACATTCTGCAACACTGTGGACAGTAAACATTAAGCAGAGTAAAGCATCGTTCGTGTATTTATATCTCCAAGGGTCAATGGGAAAAAATTAAACGTTTCTCTCTCCCATATATAGCCTTAACCACTCTCTTCCCTCTTTTTATTTACTGCCCTTGTCGCGGGGTTAATGAACCCTAAACTTCTTTTTCTTCTTCCCATTAATGGAAATGGGAAAAAAAGAGCAACTGCAGAGTGGAACCCAGATAAGAAAAACTGAAAATTCAAAGTAGTAGTATTACTTGCCGGGCGAGGGCTGGGAACACCCTAAAGGCTTAGCACGGGGAGACAATCCCGGAAGACCCCCGTTAACACATACTTCACCCCAAGGCTACACCATTTTGGTGTGATGTGTAATTTTTGCTTTTGAAGGAGGTGGTAGCAGTCCCGGACTAACCTTCCTCCGAACACAGCTCCCCTCCCTAAGGCCCCAGGCAGCACGGCTTGCGGGGCGATGTCCCGGCTCCAAATTTGCAGCGAGGCCCGGAAATCGGTCCCGTTAGAGCCGATTTCACCCGTCAGGAATGCGTTCCGCCCCCGCCGCCTCCCCGCGGCAACCGCCCTTGGGTCTCCCCCGCTTTAGGGGCAGGAGACAGCTCGAGGGGAGCGCCGCCTCGGCCCGTCATAATATCGCCGGGCCGGCCGCCGGCCGCACAGGCACCAGGAGGACAGGGCTTGGGGCGGATCCCACGCTCCACCTCGGCCCCCGCGGCCCGGGAGACGCCCGCGCCTGGGCCGGGTAGGGGACCCGGAGCTGACCGAGGCCTGACCCCCTAAGCCGGCCACGGCCCCGAGCCCACGCTGGACACTGGAGGAGACGCCTTTCCCACCGGACTTCCGAATCCATTTCTGTCCCGGGCAGGGGCGCTAGGGCTGCGGCCCGGCCAGAGCTCCCTGGGTCGTAAGCGAGAGCCGCCCCTTCTCTCCCGCTCCGGGGCGCAAGCTCCTCCGGGTGCCCGCCCGTACCTTTAACTCCTCAGAGCGGCGGCAGCGCAGGGTGGCGGGCGAGTAGGCCCATCTCCCAGCAGCGGCGACAGCAGCCTGAGGAAGCGCGGGGGAGGGTCCCTCCGATGCGCCGAGGCGCCTCTCAACCGGGGCGGAGACGACGGAGGGGAGGAGTCCCGACGGCCGCTTTCCCGAACTCCTCCTCCGCAGTTGTGGCTCGACGGCTGCTCCCGGGAACCAGCGCCGCAACTACCACCTCCCCCTCCCGCAGCCCCCGCTTTCCCCTCCTCCTCCTCCCACTTCTTCCTCCCGCCCCCGGCCGCCCCGCCCCAGCGCGCCGCCCGCGTGCTGTGCGTCATGGCGTCACGCCCACCGGGCCCGCTGCGGGCGGCTCTGGACGCGGCTGTTCCCTTGCGCACGTTCGTTCCGCGCCCGCGCAGGAGCCGCCCCGCTGCACCCGGGTGGCCCCGACTGCGGCCCCCACGCCTGTCCCTGGCGGAGGGGACTTCGCCTCGAGCGCGCCGGGCAGTGGGGCCGGTGTCTCCCTGGCCGGTTCTCCGTGGCCCAGAGAGCGTCTCCTCCAAGGACAGGTCGGGGTGGCTGGAGCTGCGCCCGGTTGAAGGGAGTTGCCAGACTCGGCGACTCTGGCTCTTGGCAGTTTGCCCGGCATTATTCATTCCTTTGTGTTCTCAGGGTTCACCTGCTAGATTGGCAGGCCGAGGGAGAGAAGTGCCGGGATGTTGCAGCTCTCGGCGAGGAAATGTCCTTTCCCAGAGGACGGCAGCACCCTGTGCGTCTGCAGCCGCCCTCTTAGTGCACCTGTCTTTGCAGAGGCTGTTAGGAACAGTACTTAGCCACAATAGCAAGCCTACGTGAGGGTTTGGAGAGTATCTTCCATTCATCTCTTTTATTTCATTTTTTTTTTACTATTTTGCAGTCAAGTAATCAGAATTCCTATTTCATCTCTAATACATTCCTAATTACTTTAATCCAGCTTTATTTGTTCCTTCGTCTCATATCTTTTCAGCCAGTCATATCCCCTTTGAATGTTTCAATCTACACTAGTCTTGGTATTCTTAGTTGAATAAACAAATTCCGTCTGGGCCTGGTGCATTTCCTCCTGGTTTATTCTCTTCAAGATTTAGATCACTCTAACATAGAATACTGAGAAACGAATGTGATAGAGGCTGGACAGAATGTCCATTTGCCATCTGTTACTTAACTAAATATATCACTCTCCCAGTCCTTGTTTAGTGTGTCTGTGTAATTTAAATTAGAAACAAACCAAGGAGCCATGGTCTTTCCGAATGTACTTGGTATCTTTGGTAACCCAGTAAATGTTTACCAATTAGAAAATTGAACAAGCTAGGCAGTTTAGGTTTAAGTGTCTTTGGCCTCGAATCTTAAAGGAAGTAATTATGGGTATGTTTATTTTCATTTATGGGAAGTTTTAAAGCTGTTATACCTTTAAATGCTACTTGAAGGCTGCCAGCGACTTTACATATGGGATGCTTTAAGCCTACAGATAGCACAAGAATAGTAAGTTAAGTACCCATATATAATATCCTTCTTGAAAATATATCAATATGTTGGCCGGAATTGGTGGCTCACGCCTGTAATCCTAGCACTTTGGGAGGCCGAGGCGGGCGGATCACGAGGTCAGGAGATCGAGACCATCCTGGCTAACATAGTGAAACCCCGTCTCTACTAAAAATACAAAAAATTAGCTGGGCGTGGTGGCGGGCGCCTGTAGTCCCAGCTACTCGGGAGGCTGAGGCAGGAGGATGGCGTGAACCCGGGCGGCGGAGCTTGTAGTGAGCAGAGATCTCGCCACTGCACTCCAGCCTGGGCGACAGAGCGAGACTCCGTCTCAAAAAAAAAAAAAAAAAAAAAAGAAAAGAAAATAGATCAACATGTTAAACAACATTTCAGCACAGATGGGGCACTGGCTTGAAAGGGGATTTTGAATAAAGAAGCTGTGCGGAATGAAAATGGTCTTACACTCTGTACAACGGTAATATTTTCCAGAGATGCTGCTTCTGGCTTTCTTGTCTTCCTAAAAATTAGAAGGACTTTCTATTCTTCACTAGGCCAAATAAATCTATTAAAAAACAAATACCTATTGAACATCCCCAACTTGAATTCCTAGAGGCACCTCAGATTCAGGCTGTCCAAGATGTAGTTTGTTCTTTCCTCAAAGCATGCTTCTTTCATTCACCCAGACACAAGCCAGAAACCTAGGATTGTTCCCAGGCCCCATTCTTTTTGTCCCTTCCAATTCATAACTAACCACCAAGTCCTGTTTATTATACCCCGGAAATATCCCTGTGCTCTCTGTTCTATATCTCCCTCTGCTTTTAGAGCAGTGTTTTCAAATTTGGCTGCATATTCTTATGTCCACGTTGCACCCAACAATTAAATCAGAATCACTGAGGGTGGTGCTCAGGCATCAGTAGTTTTTAAAACTCCCCAAGTGTGCTGGGCACGGTGGCACACACCTGTAGTCCTAGCACTTTGAGAAGCAGAGGTGGTTGGATCACTTGAGTCCAGGAGTTCAAGACCAGCCTGAGCAAGATGGCGAAAATACAAAAATTAGCCTGGCATGGTGGCCCACGTCTGCAGTCCCAGCTACTCCAGGGGGCTGAGGCAGGAGGATCATCTCCATAGCCTTAGGAGGTCAAGGCAGCAGTGAGCCCTGGTCACACCACTGGCCTCCAGCCTGGGCGACAGAGTGAGACCCTGTCTCAAGAAAGAATGAAAGAAGGGAAGGAGGGAGGGAGAGAAAGAAAGAAAGAAAACCGGGCGCAGTGGCTCACGCCTGTAATCCCGGCACTTTGGGAGGCTTAGGTGAGTGGATCACTTGAGGCCAGGAGTTTGATACCAGCCGGGACAACATGATGAAACCTCATCTCTATAAAAAATACAAAAATTGGCTGGGCATGGTGGCACACTCCTGTAATCCCAGCTCCTCAGGAGACTGAGGCATGAGTCGCTTGAACCTGGGAGGCAGAGGTTGCAGCGAGCTGAGATTGTGCCACTGCACTCCAGCCTGGGCAATAGAGCGAGACTCTGTCTCAAACAAAACAAAACAACAACAACAACAAAAATAAATACATAACCTCTTTCCAGGTAATTGCAATGCATGACCAAGGTTGGAAACCACTGCCAGGGCCTCATCATTTCCCACTGGAATACTGCAAAAGCCTAATTGGCCCCAGGTGCCTTAATTTTTGGCAGTATTCTCTTTTGTTTCCCTCCTCTCTTCTAATTCATTTAACATCAATTCGATAAACATTTGAATGCTTACTATATTGGGGATGGGGTGTTTGCCATTACAGGCACTGAGACTATAGCAATGAAAAAGCCTACATATCCGTTTGCATGGTGCTTACATTGGGGGATGAGGAATAAAGAAGGAAAAATAATGAAAAGGAAATACACTTACCAGAGTAACAGAAACCAAAGAGGCTGTAACTTAGTTTGGTCTCTCAAACTAACGTCAATTCTTCTGACATTTGAGCTGGATTCTATAAGACAAGAAGAAGGCAAACTAGTTAGGAGGTGGGGAAGACGGAGGAACAGCAGACGCAAAGGTCTTAGCCAGAAACACTTGTCAAATTCAAGGCAGCTAGAGGCTGAACATAGCAAAAGGGAGGGGAGTATGACGTGGGCCAGGGGACGGGGGGTGGTCAGAAAAGTAGGAGGCAGCTGGATGATTTAATACCTTTTTAGGTATGGTAAGGAGAATTCTAAATGATTGGTATGAAGTGTGATGAGACAATAGATGTTTAAGCAGCGTGACATCTGATTTGTCTTTGAAAAGGATCACTCAGGCTGTTCTGTGGATCAGATTAAGGCAGAGCAAGAGTGGAAGTAGGGAGACCAGTTAAGAGGCTATTCCAGGAATCCAATAAAGATGTCATAGTTCTTTGAACCAAGGTGGAGACTGTGGAGACAGAAGTGGATGGTTTTGGTTTTGGTTTTGGTTTTAGAGGTATAATCAGTCATACTTGCATGGAATGGAATAAAAGTGGCAAGTAAAGAGAAAGAGAACTACTTTTTTTTTGAGACAGAGTCTTACTCTGTCACCCAGTGGCTCAATATTGGCTCATTGCAACCTCCACCTCCTGGGCTTAAACAATCTTCCCCCCTCAGCCTCATGAGTAGCTGGGACTTCAGGCACATGCCACCATGCCTGGCTAATTTTTGTATTTTTTGTAGAGACGAGGTTTTGCCATGTCGCTCAGGTGGGTCTTGAACTCCTGGGCTTAAGTAATCTGCCCAGCTCAGCCTTACAAAGTGCTGGGATTGCAGGCATGAGCCACGTGCCCAGCCGAGAACTACTCTTTATTGCATACATACTATATATACTATATATAGTACACTATATGTTCACTTTATTGAGTACACATACTATATATACTTTTTATTGAGTACATATACTATATGACAGGCACTATTCTGATTGCTTTATAAGTATTAAGCCACTTAGTTTATCATCAAGAATCCCTAAAGCTCCCAAATTAGGATCTGAGGCACAAGAGTTTAAGTAATTTGCTGAAAGTTACGTAGCTAAGTGGCAGAGCTGGGATTTGGACCATCCGGCAGGCTGGCTCCAGAGCTCATGCTCTTCTCTTAAACCTACCCCTGGCCCCTTCCCTGGTGTCACAGCCTAAGTGAACATTTCTTTAGCCACAGTAAGGTACTAGCAGTACCACAAATCCCCCCATCCTTTCCTGTCTTCCTTCTCTTCTCTTTCTCACACACCCTGCTAACTTTCTTTCTCTTTGTAGGTACTACCTAGCTTTGCAGATGCTACTATGCCTAAAATGCCCCCTCCCCTCTCCTCTGCCTGGCTCATTTCTATCAACTCTCACTGGTCCTGACAGGCTAAATCAAGCTCACATTCCCTAGCTCCACAACAACCATGCTTACCTCTATAATTTTTCTGTATAAAGTACTTCATTGTCATTATTTGTAGGCCTTTCCCACTAAACTTTGAAGGTAGAGAACTTAATGCCTGACACCTAGTGAGAGAAAGAGGAAGCAGGCACAGAAGCTTAGCTATGCACATGACATGCCTTCCCTAGGTGCTGCGAGACACCAATATGGTAAAGTATCGTCCCTCCCCTTGAGCAGCTTGTAAACTTGCCAGGGAAACTGACATCGAGAAAATCACTCTAGGCCAGTGTGCTGGCACATGCCTGTAATCCCAGCACTTTGGGAGGCTGAGGCAAGCAGATGATTTGGGCCTAGGCAACATGACAAAACCCATCTCTAGGAGTTTTGTCGTGTGCCCAGGCATGGTGGCACACACCTGTAGTCCGAGCTACTCAGGAGGCTAAGGTGAAAGGATCACTTAAGCCTGGGAGTTGTAGGGTGCAGTGAGCCAAGATCACACCACTGCACTCCAGCCTGGATGATCTATGTATACTCACTCTAATATAAGAGCCAATAAAGTACATATGATATAGACACAGGACAAGGTACCATTAATTGTGCTTCAGGACATCAAAGGCAAGAAGCTTGGCCTTATGTTTGTTTCACTGGGGGGGAAAAATGCAACCAGGAATGAATGGGAGCTTGGGGGCTTTAGTCTCCACCATCATTTCACCTGGCTTAGGGAGGCAGTCTGGGGCCTTGTCCAGGGAGAAAGAGATTCTCTTTCAGCACAATTGATCATTGGAATGTGCTACTTCTTGACTCTCCTCCTTACCTGTCCTTATGTGACTAAATATACTGATTTCCAAATTGATTCAGTTTCTTTCCCAGCAGGGTCATGGAAATTTTTCTTCTTCGTCGTCTTGTTGTTGTTGTTGTTGTTGAGACAAGGTCTCACTCTGTTGTCCAGGTGGGAGTGCAGTGGTGCAGTGCGATCACCTTGACCTCTTGGACTCAAGCGATCCTCCCACCTCAGCCTCCTGAGTAGCTGGGACTACAGGTGTGTGGCACCATGCCTGGCTAATCTTGCTTGTTAAAATAGATTTCTGAGTTTCATATCAGACTAACAGACTCATTTTCTATGGGGTTGGGGTGCTAGAATCTAGTTTTCCACAAGCTCTCCAGGTAATTCATATCACATGTTTGAGAACCACAGCATAAGTGTGGCTGGAATTGGTGGGTTCTTGGTCTCACTGACTTCAAGAATGAAGCCGTGGACCCTTGCGGTGAGTGTTACAGCTTTTAAGGTGGCGCATCTGGAGTTTGTCCCTTCTGATGGTCAGATGTGTTCGGAGTTTCTTCTTTCTGGTGGGTTCGTGGTCTCGCTGGCTCAGGAGTAAAGCTGCAGACCTTCGCGGTGAGTGTTACAGCTCTTAAGACGGCGTGTCTGGAGTTGTTCCTTCCTCCCAGTGGGCTTGTGGTCTCGCTGGCTCAGGAGTGAAGCAGCAGACCTTCGCGGTGAGTGTTACAGCTCATAAAAGCAGCGTGGACCCAAAGGGTGAGCAGTAGCAAGATTTACTGCAAAGAGCGAAAGAACGAAGCTTCCACAGTGTGGAAGGGGACCCCAGTGGGTTGCCACTGCTGTCCCGGGCAGCCTGCTTTTAGTCTCTTATCTGGCCCCACCCACATCCTGCTGATTGGTAGAGCCAAGTGGTCTGTTTTGACAGGGTGCTGATTGGTGCCTTTACAATCCCTGAGCTAGATATAAAGGTTCTCCATGTCCCCATCAGATTAGTTAGATACAGAGTATCAACACAAAGGTTCTCCAAGGCCCCACCAGAGCAGCTAGATACAGAGCGTCGATTGGTGCACTCACAAACCCTGAGCTAGACACAGGGTGCTGATTGGTATGTTTACAATCCCTGAGCTAGACATAAAGACTCTCCACGTCCCCACCAGACTCAGGAGCCCAGCTGGCTTCACCTAGTGGATCCCGCACCAGGGCTGCAGTTGGAGCTGCCTGCCAGTCCCGCACCGTGCGCTCTCGCACTCCTCAGCCCTTGGGTGGTCTGTGGGATTGGCTGCCGTGGAGCAGGGGGTGGTGCTCCTGGGGGAGGCTCAGGCCGCACAGCAACTCATGGAGTGGGTGGGAGGCTCAGGCATGGCGGGCTGCAGGTCCGGAGCCCTGCCCCGCGGGAAGGCAGCTAAGGGTCGGTGAGAAATCGAGCGCAGCGCCGGTGGGCTGGCACTGCTGGGGGACCCAGTACACTCTCCGCAGCCGCTGGCCCGGGTGCTAAGTCCCTCATTGCCCGGGACCAGCAGCGCTGCCCGGCTACTCTGAGTGCGGGGCCTGCCAAGCCCACGCCCACGCCCACCCGGAACTCCAGCTGGCCCGCAAGCGCCGCACGCAGCCCAGCCCGGGTTCCCGCTCGCGCCTCTCCCTCCGCACCTCCCTGCAAGCTGAGGGAGTGGGCTCCAGCCTTGGCCAGCCCAGAAAGGGGCTCTCACAGTGCAGTGGTGGGCTGAAGGGCTCCTCAAATGCCGCCAAAGTGGGAGCCCAGGCAGAGGAGGTGCCGAGAGCAAGCGAGGGCTCTGAGGACTGCCAGCACGCTGTCACCTCTCATAAGTGTTTCAGTCATTATGATAATATCCCAACTTCAGGAAGTTTTCTTCCACTAGATCTCTCACTGGGCCCTTCAGAGAGTGCCAGGGGAAAGGAAATTGTTTCTTCCTCTTCATGGGACCCATGCAATTACTTAGAATCTTCTTTATTTCCCCTCCCACCCATTCTTCTGACATATCCCCAAAGGTCTTCTTGATGGATTCTCAGGCGACTGTTCCCATTTGCCTACTCCAGTCTTTCTTGGTTCCCTTCCCTGTTTGACTGACTCACAGGCAAGCCCACACTGTGCTGGTGACCTGGACCAGAATCCTCCAGAGGCTTCTACAAATTGAGCTGGTTAGACAAACTCCATGTTTGACAGGATGAGGTTGGCTCACGAGGTCTAGAGTGGCAGGATGCACTGGGGCAGGATGTCAGCAGGTGATGAGCAATGACTTAGAGTGACCATATGTGGCAGCTTGCTCAGGACACTCATGGCTTACACCTATTGTGGGGACCTGATTATTAACAGTACCCTCTTTCATTCTCAAAGTGTCCTGAGTTAGACAATAAATTACATGGTCACCCTGGTAATGAGCCTCAATGTCAAGGCCAACTGTTGTGACATTTTTGCCCCTGGATAGGGCCTAGAACACCCCCTCCCCACCCTCTCCAGCCCCTGACCCCATGCCATGGCTCCTTCCTCCCCTCAGATTTCCTTAAAGAATCCCCTGTGGTATAATACTTCGGGCCTACATTAAGGGATTTATAGGAGCCATGAAACTTGTTGCTATATTTACTCTCTCTGACAATATCTAGAAAATATTTTTCTTTGGTTTTAGCACCTGGTATAGTTGTGTTTCCCTTGTTTATTATCCCCATTTGTTTTTGCCTTCTGGAAACCTAATTGTGGAACTGACAGTATTTCCCTTGGCTGTGAGAAAGCTTAAAGCCTTATATGTGGTCTCCTTCCGGTCTGTGTATAAGATTTAAAAGGATGTATTTTATATACTTAACTCACTCTTGGCTTAAATTCTCTGTTCCCATTTCTTCACTGCCTTCAGATTGAATTTTTCTCGTGCTATATTTTATGTATATTTGTAGCCCTTTTATCAATTTTGAAACAAGGCAAATAAAAAATGTGTATGAATACATGCACACAAAAAAATGGGTGCTAATTGTTATATAACTGAAAAGGATTATATTTAAATGTATACACAGAATAATTTCCACACTTATGAAATATAACTGTAAGCAATGAGTAGCACTTCAAATAATGCTGGCTTCAGCATTCCTCAACTACATTATTATCTAGCGAGTGAAATGATTCCAAACAAAAGCAAACAAACAAGAGATTAAATTAATTTTCAAGCTGGAACACTCTTAGATATGACCCAGAAGCTTGATACCAAATAATGCAACAAAGAACACTCACTACCGGATTTACATAGCCCAATTTGATAGCATGCATGGTTTCACCCTCAGAGTGAAATCCTGTGCTGTTGGAAACGAAGAAAGGGAGAGGAAGAATGGTGGTTGGGGGAATCAGATTTGGGAATGCACAGTCCAGATGATAACAGTGACCCACAAGAAGGAATTATGGCCAGAAGCACATGGCCCAGAGCAATCCCCAGGCAACTGTTCTTCCTGTTGCCCTGGATAATGCTGTGAGAGGTTGTAGGGACTGGCACCCTGTGGTTTGCAGCTAATGTAAAGCTGAATAAAGAAATTCACCGTAATCAAATTACTGAGGAATATATTTTACAACTAGTTCATTTTGGAGGATACATGGAGTTTCCAAGACTCAAAGATGGACATTCTATGGATGGTTTACTAAGTTATTTTATGGATAAATTGAGCTTGTAGTTAAACCTGCTTCAAAAAAATTTGTAAGCTAAAATTTTAGTGATATTATGTTTTATATGGTGATTCCTGCTCTTTTCCAGCAAGAATATAAATTTTTCTTAGGATGAAAGTTTTTTTCTTTTTTAACACAAAAGCTTTCAGAAAATAAGGTAATAAATTCATGTAGACCCTGTAAGAATAAATGTTAACTTTTCTCATATTTGTATTATTATTTAAAACAAGATAAATGAAACATAGAAATGGAGTTGAGGCCTACTTTGCACCTTCCCCTAGTGCACCATTCCTTTCTTCCCTCAAGTAACTGCTATCCTGAAGTTTTACCTATCTGGTTCACTTTTTTTTTTTTTTTTTTTGAGACAGAGTCTCACTCTGTCATCCAGGCTGGAGTGTAATGGCACAATCTCGGCTCATTGCAACCTCCCGCTCCCAGGTTCAAGTGATTCTCCTGCCTCAGCCTCCTGAGTAGCTGGGATTACAGGCACACACCACCATGCCCGGCTAATTTTTGTATTTTTAGTAGAGATGAGGTTTCACCATGTTGGCCAGGCTGGTCTCCATCTCCTGACCTCAGGTGGCCCAACTACCTCAGCCTCCCAAAGTGCTGGGATTACAGGCGTGAGCCACCGCGTCCAGGCTTTTTTTTTCTTTTTTTTTTTTCGAGATGGAATTTTGCTCTTGTTGCCCAGGACAGAGTGCAATGGTAGGGTCTTGGCTCACTGCAACCTCTGCCTCCCGGGTTCAAGCAATTCTCCTCCCTCAGCCTCCCAAGTAGCTGGGATTACAGGTGCCCGCCACCATGCCTGGCTAATTTTTGTATTTTTAGTAGAGATGGAGTTTCACCATGTTGGCCAGGCTGGTCTCGAACTCCTGACCTCAGGTGACCCAACTGCCTCAGCCTCCCAAAGTGCTGGGATTACAGGCGTGAGCCACTGTGCCTAGTCTATCTGGTTCACATTTTTATACTTCTACAACATAAGTACAAATTCACAAATAACATATTCTATTGTTTTATATTTTAAATAGTTTTTACTAAGCAAAATTTTACATAAATGATTTTATACTGAATGTATCATTTTATAGCCTTTATTTTTTAAAAAACAACAACAACAACAAAACACTATTTTCAAGATCTACCCATGTTGATACATGGAAATTTAGTTTATTCATTTTGACTGCAATGTAAATACACATTTTCATACATGTATCTTCTTGCTCATGCAGGAGAGTTTCTCTAGGTTATATGCCTAGAAGCAGAATTACTGAAGAAAACCTTTTAAAAGTTGAAAAATGCTATAACCAACCTCTATCCCCATACTGATTATACTTGTAGGTGCTAATATTCACTGGGTGGAAAAATAACAGGTGCATTTGGATTCTCAGAGCCCTTCCAGTACAAGGTCTAAAATGACTATATCAGGGTGATGAATGCCCATACATCAAGGTCCTTTAGGCCTGTTTTCTCATTTTTATAATGAAGGTAATAAAAATACCTTCTTCATAGGGTTTCTATGTGGATTAGATAAAATAATACACGTAAAGCATTTAGCACAGTGTCTGGCACTTAGTAATAGCTCAAGGCATACCTTGAAGATATTGTGGGTTCAGTTCCAGACCACCAAAATAAAATAAATATTGCAATAAAACGAGACACACAAATTTATGGTTTCCTATTATATAAAAGTTATATTTACATTATATTGTGGGCTATTAAGTGTGCAATAGCATCACGTGTAAAAATGTATATACCTTAATTTAAAAATACTTCATTGCTAAAAAATACTAATGATCATCTGAGCCTTCAGCAAGTCAAAGACATAATCTTTTTGCTGGTGGAGAGTCTTGCCTCGATGTTGATGGTGGCTGAATGATCAGGGTGGTGGTTGCTGAGAGTTAGGGTAGCTGTGGCGGTTTCTTAAAATAAGATAACAATGAAGTTTGCCACATCAATTGACTCTTCCTTCCACAAAAGATTTCTCTGTAGCATGCACTGCTGCTTGGCAGCATTTTACCCACAGTAGAAGTTCTTTCAAAATTGGAATCAATCCTCTCAAACTCTGCTGCTGCTTTATCAACTAAGTTTATGAAATCTTCTGAATCCTTTGTTGCCATTTCAACAATGTTTCCAGCATCTTCTCCAAGAGTAGATTCCATCTAAAGAAACTACTTTCTTTCCTCTTCCATAAGGGATCAACTACTCACCTGTTCAAGTTTTATCATGAGACTACAGCAATTCAGTCACATCTTAGGCTCCACTTCCAATTCTAGTTCTCTTGCTATTTCTACCACATCTGTGGTTCCTCCCCTGAAGTCTTGAACCCCTCAAAGTCATGCATGAGAGTTGGAGTCAACTTCTTTCAAGCTGCTGTTAATGTTGATATTTTGAACGCTTCCCATGAATGACAAATAGCTTCCAGCTTGGTGCATTTTTACAGAAAGTTTTCAATTCACCCAGATCCATCAGAGGAATCACTATCTATGGAAGCTATAGCCTTACAAAATGTATTTCTTAAATAATAAGACTTGAAAGTTGAAATTACTCTTTCATCCATGGGCTGCAGATGGATGTTGGGTTAACAGGTATGAAAACAATATTAATCTCCTTATACATCAGAGTTCTTGGGTGACTAGGTGAATTGTCAGTGAGACATAATATTTTGAAAGACATCTTTTTTCTGAGCAGTAGTTCTTAACAGTGGCTTAAAATATTCAGTAAACCATGCTGTGAACAGATATGTGATCATACAGGCTTTGTTGTTCCGTTTCTAGAGCACGTGTAAAGGAGGTTTAGCAAAATTCTTTTTTTTTTCTTTATCAATACCCTGACATAATTTAGCTTAATTCTTAAAAGCCCTAGCATTTGTGGAATGGTAAATGAACACTGGCTTCAACATAAAGTCACCCCTGCATTAGCCCCTAAGGAGAGAGTCAGCCTCTCCTTTGAAGCTTTGAAGCCAAGCATTGACTTCTCCTCTCTATGAAGTCCAAATGGCATCTTCTTCCTATATGAGTCTGTTTAGTCTATATTGAAAATCTGTTGTTTAGTATAGTCCCTTTTATTAATGATCTTAGCTAGATCTTCTGGATAATTTGCTGCCGCTTCTACATCAGCACTTCCTGCTTCACCTTGTACTTTCATGGCACAAAACAAACTCTTTCCTTATACCTCATGATCCAACCTCTGCTAGCTTCAAACTTTTCTTCTGAAGCTTCCTTACCTCTCAGCTTTCATAAAATTGAAGGGAGTTAGGGCCTTGCCCTGGATTAGGCTTTGGCTTAAGGTTTAATCTTCTATTCAGACCATTTAAACTTTCTCCAAATTAGCAATAAGGCTGTTTCATTTATGAGTTCACTGGAGTAGCAATTTTAACATCCTTCAAGAACTTTTCCTTTGCATTTACAACTTGGCTAACTGGCATAAGAGGCCTAGCTTTCAGCCTATCTCAGCTTTTGGCCTGCCTTCCTCATTAAGCTTAATCATTTCTTGTTTTTTGGTTTCAAGTGAGAGGCATGCAACTCTTCCTTTCACCTGAACACTTAGATGTCATTGTAGGGTTACTAACTGGCCTAATTTCAAGATTGTGTTTCCAAGAATAGGGAGGCCCAAGAAGAGGAAGAGATGGGGGAATGGCTGGTCAGTGGAGTAGTCAGAACACACACACACATTTATTAAGTTCACTGTCTTCAGTGGGAGTGGTTCATGGCACTTCAAAACAATTGCAATATTAACATCAAAGATCACTGATTACAGATCACCATAACAGATATAATAATAACTTAAAAGTTTGAAATATTGTGAGAACTACCAAAATACGACACAGAGGCATGAAATGAGCACAGGCTGCCGAAAAATGTTGCCAATAGACTCGCTGGTTGCAGGGTTGCCACAAACCTTCCATTTGTAAACAAAAACAAAAAAACAAAAAAAACTGTGAAGTGCAATAAAGCAAAGCACAATAAAATGAGGTAAGCCCATAAATATTAGCTGTTACCCAGAGTGTTATTTTAAGATGATGGGATATAGGACTCAATGGTTTTTATTTGAAGGTAGTATTTCATAGAAAGTTTTTAAGGAAGAAAGAAAACTTTATTCTTCTCTGTAATATCATTTTTGGAAGTTTTATCTGAATATTTTCCTTTTCCTTTCACATTGTATTTAATTCATATTCTTGGCAGAATCTCAGCACTGAAACAGTAAGAAGAAAACAGTAGAGAAAGGCAACTAAGTAGAAAATAACTCCTGCTGGACAGCCTGTTTTTGCAGGATGACCACGTTTCACCCTTCTTTTCTGCCATCCATTCTTAGAATTGTCACATTAACTGCACGTATGCTAGCCAAGAAACTCATCAGCAATTACCAAAAACAATTCTGTTTCTAGTACGGCTCCAGTTTTTAAAATTTCATCTACCTTTGCCAGGGGAATCCCATTAGAAATGTGTTAGAGGAAGACATATTTAAATAGTAATTTCCTAGCAAATGTGGTCAGAACCCAAAATGGCTAATTGAAAGTTTGTGTGATATGAAAAGATAGGCAAGAGATGACATATAATAACTTGAACATATCAGCTGATATTTAGGGCTGGAAGGGAAAATTTAGGGCCCTGTGTTAACTTGTTGAAATTCATACTTGGGAGTTTTCAATAAACATCACAAGTTGTTTGTAAAATGACTGTGCCAAACCAACATTCCTGTCAACGATCAAAGAAAGTAAGATTTTTAAATGGTTGGATAACTCAGCAAGGGAGAAAAATTTATCTGAGGTCTCGGGGCCAGAGATCTGTATTCAATTTCAAATTGTTTCTAAGGGTTTAGTATCCTGTGATAAAAGCAAAACTTTGTACAATGTATCCCAAGGACATGAGGGAAAAACTGAACAATTACTACAGAGCTGTGATTTTGAGATGACTTTGTTCAAAGAAAATTCCCACACACTGAAGCTGCTACTATAATTTATTTTTTACAGCGGAGGAAGCCCAATCTAGATTTATAAAGTTAGTTCCATAGATCACATGAGCCCTTTTAAATGATCTTCTCTGTATTTCAGTGTTGAATAGAACAGGAATAATTTAGTGGCAAGCATTTTGGGGTATAGAAACAATACTTGAGACTATTTTCAGAAGTACAATCTGCAGCACAATCAAGTTCAAGAGTTTGGATGACTAAAGTTGATGATTAATCACAAAGAAGTATTTCTTTTGTTTCCACCTTAATATTTACTGATTTATAGACCCAACAGGAAAACAAGTGTGGAATTCTTGTTTTTCTTTAAAACAAACAATGGATTCCCTTGAAATACTACATTTTAAAGGCTAAGGAAATCTGGAGGAGAGTGGAAGTTCCTTTCATTCTCTCCTCTGTCCAAACCCTACTCCCACTTTACCCCCATCTAGTAATGAATCACTGTTTTCTTTTAATTAGGCTTCTAACATACATTTGCATTGATTTTTCACAAACGAAGAATTTCCAACCTGAGAAACCTAAATATGAATCTACGCGTTTGCTTCAAGAAAATTCAAAATAAATAAACAGAACTTCATGACAAGACATTTTAACAAGAGATGATAGGAAAATTGATTAAAGGCATTGATCTATCTTTTTTCTTTCTTTCTCTTTCTTCTTCCTTCCTTCCTTCCTTCCTCCTTCTTCCTCCCTCCCTCCCTCCTTCCTTTCTCTCTTTCTCTTTTTTTTCTTTCTTTCTCTCTCTCTCTTTCTCTCTTTCTTTCTTTCTTTTCTTGATAGAGTCTCACTCTGTCACCCAGGCTGGAGTGCAATGGCACAACCTCAGCTTACTGCAAACTCCACCTCCCAGGTTCAACCCATTCTCCTGCCTCAGCCTCTCGAGTAGCTGGAATTACAGGTGCCTACCACCACAACCGGCTAATTTTTTGTATTTTTAGTAGAGATGGGGTTTCACCATGTTGGTCAGGCTGGTCTCGAACTCCTGACCTCAGGTGATCCACCTGCCCTGGCCTCCCAAAGTCCTGGGATTATAGGCATGAGCCACTGCGCCCAGCTTAAAAGCATCGATTTTTAATAGAAAATCCTAGAAGAAGAAACATGTTTGATACTGAAGGCAGAGAACTTAAGAGCCTGAAGGGTTTTTGCAGAGAGTTTGGTTTCTGAGTCTTCCAAAAAGTAGTTACAATGTAACTGTGTAAATTTATAAATTATAAAATTACAAAGTAATTCTGGATCTGCCTCTATGGTGTCTGCTAATTTGCCCCTCTGTTTAACCTGGCCAGTTTCATGATCTCTGATGCTGGTGAGACCACACCTTGTCACCTCTAGGTCCTCCCTTTTCAGTAAGTGACCTCTGAACAAGACGTTTCAACTTTATATGTACCCAGGAATTTGGATCTAGTTCTCTGCCCTCAGCAGCACCACACCTCTAGCCTACGCCCTGGGTCCTCAAGCCCAGCCTATATTTGCCATATCTTGGCCCCATCCCACAGTAGGGAAGATTGAACACAACTTAACAGACCGATTATCTAGTCATTGTTATCAACCTCAATATTGCAGAAAATATCTGTGGATGTTTATGGATGGTATATGTATTTATGTGTGAGTATGTATTACACACACACACACACATTTATATCCATAAAATCTAAGCTCATAATTTCAATAGATATAACACGTCAAGCAAGACTTTAACTCATTTTCTTCCTTCTCTCCTCTTTTTAAAATTTATTTAATTAACAAACTGAGCTACTAGAGAAAACATATCAGACACAGTCCATGTCTGAACACTCACAGAATTCAGGGTATATATTTGAGTTGGACACTTATCCTATTACAAATCTATGTGCTACAAAGCTATATGCTATCTGCTATCCGGGTGTTTTATGCTCTTTGTCTAAAGCCTTCAGAAGTGCCTGTAATCTCATGACCTTGTCAGTCTATTGCCGTTTTCAGTCTGTCTCCACCCTTGACCTCATTTCCAGCCTGGCTTTCATCACCCTCACATGCATACGAAACTCTCTTACCCTGTTTCTATTCCACTCTGCTGGTCATGCCAATTCCCATCTGCTTGCTTTTTCTGTTCTTTCTTCTGAACTTCAGAAAAATGCTGATTCAATTCTCTTTAAATGCATACCACCTAACCTCAGTTTAGCAACCTCATTATTCATTTCTTGTTGATTCCAGAGCACAGTTCCTAACACAGCGATTCCCAGCATTTTCCATTCTTCTAAGTCCCTAATGCCCACATTCTTTCATTCCTTTTATTTAGCAAATTCTAACTGAGAATCAAAAATATGCTGTATACTGTGCTGGGCAGAGGGTATTATACTAGAGACAGAACAGAGCCAGTCCCTGCCCTAACAGATCTTGCAGTCTAGTGAGGGAAACTGAGGTAACCCCTCCCCCTTTCCTGCTTTACTGATACCATTCAATAAAGGGGAAAGCACTTGACCCCCTTATCCACCTTTGTCCCATGCCATCTCTCCCTGCCTTCCCTTCAAGTTTCTCTATCTTATTTCCTTCCCATGAGCTCTTGAATTCATTCCCTTCTTCCCTCTTCCAAGACCTTACTCCTTATGGGCCTTAATATTTTTTATTTTGAAATAAGTGATACTTATCTTAAACACTTTAAACAGTCTGTATCAAACACAAAACTGTATTTGACTCTCTTTGATGAAAGAAGTGCTGAGCATATTTGCTAATAGTTTCTAACTCAGAATTGGCAAGGTTTATTTAAGTGTTATCTTATACTTCTTTTCCTTTTGAAATTTGGTTCTGTCCCAAAATAATCAGCAGAGGAGCCAATGGGTTGACATCCTTGGATCTGGTCTAAACGTTCTGATTAACAGTTCCTCAGCAGATGTGTCAGCATTACTTCTCTTGAAATGATTCTATGTGGATTGTCTTCCAGGTACTTTTTATTTTGCTATGAAAAAAGTCCCACACATCTTTGGTTTGGTTTTTCTGTTTTTAATCTTAGCCTCGCTAACAAATGTAAAGAAAAATTATTCTCATCTTCTGGCTAATTTTGGATTGGTAAGGAAGAGTGTTTGAGTATCTAGGAATTCTTATAAAATTCAGCAATTACTTCTTTTTTTTTTTTTTTTTTTTTTTTGAGACAGAGTCTCACTCTGTCGCCCAGGCTGGGGTGCAGTGGCATGATCTTGGCTCACTGCAACCTCTACCTCCTGGGTTCAAGTGATTCTCATGCCTCAGCCTCCCGAGTAGCTGGAATTACAGGCGTGTGCCACCATGCCCAGCTAATTTTTGTATTTTTAGTAGAGATGGGGTTTCACCATGTTGGCTAGGCTGGTCTCAAACTCCCGACTCAAGTGATGTTCCCGCCTCGGCCTCCCAAACTGCTGGGATTACAGGCGTGAGCCACTGTGCCTGGCCACAATTACTTCTTATATGCTACTTACTGCATCAGTTCTTGAAAAACTCTCTCCTATAGGTGATGTCATCCATGACTTTATTGTGGTCATAACCTGGGAAATCCTGAGTGGATGGTCCCTCAGTTCCAGTGTCTTATTTTTCAGAAAGAGGATGCTAGAAATTTCCCTTTAGGAAAACATCCGGTTCCTCTTTTGAAAATAACACAAAAAGGGCATCACACAAAACAAGTTTGGAAAGGTGATGAGAGCACCATGGATGGTTCTGCTTCACCATTGTTCTTCAAGGCACCATTTCTTCTCCAGGGACTCAGAATATGTGATCAAGAAGCACAAATATATCATTTCTTTATTACTGTTGACACAATCTGACAGCTATTGCAGAGATTTGTGAGAAAACTGGTAAATAAATCCTAGAAAACAGGTAGGCTCTTCAAGTGTTTGAGGTAAGAGTCTCGCATCATGATGAGTCTGAGAACTCAGTTCTTTTATAAGAATGGCTGTCTTTGCTCTTGAATGCATGCATTATGGGAGGCGAGATGAAAGGGCAGGTGGTATCTACATCCCCCCACTCTCCACCCACTCCTCACACAATGCACCTCCCTTTCTTTGAGTCAGGGAAGACTCCACCTTCTGCCACACCCTCAGTGTCCCAGTTGCCCATTCTCCTTAATCATCGTAATTGGCACTTTCCCAGACCCTCAAGGTACTTAGGACCTCGTGGCAGTGTTGGGGCTGAGACTCATTGAGTCAAAAGATCTAGCCTCTGCCAGGGAGAGGTCAGCAGTGGAAATTATCAAATCCAAGAGACAAAGTGAACTTTAGTTCATTATGTTGTCTGTCAACATGCACAGGTTCTAGTCTAAGGGGCCTGGGACAGAGAATAGGAGAGGACTTCTAGGCATTAATGTTTTTGTTTTTTGTTTGTTTGCTTTTTTTTTTTGAGACAGAGTCTCGCTCTGTCACCTAGGCTGGAGTGCAGTGGCACAATCTCGGCTCCCTGCAACCTCCACCTCCCGGGTTCAGGCGATTCTCTTGCCTCAGCTCCCTGTGTAGCTGGGATTACAGGCACGCGCCACCACACCCAGCTAATTTTTGCATTTTCAGTAGAGACGGGGTTTCACCATGTTGGTCAGGCTAGTCTCAAACTCCTGACCTCGTGATTCACCCCCATCAGCCTCCCAAAGTGCTGGCATTACAGGCGTGAGACACCGCACCTGGTCTGCGTTAATGTTTTAAGACAGCAATGGTTGTGCAAATCTTAGATCAGGGAGATCTTTCCAAATAGAAGAAGCAGGTTATAGACTTGTGCAAAGGGTCTTCTATAAACCAGGTGAGCAGGTCATAAGGGAATAGGACCCCCAGATGACACAGCTAGAGCACGAAGGGCTTCAGTTCCACTAAGGATACCGAGGTGGATCTAGGAATCTGGGTCTTGCGCAGGTTTATCAGTTTGGCTACATGGTGATGACTCTTCTCCAAAGCACAGGCCAGATGTGACTAATTCCAGGTGCCTCCAGATCTGTCCTGGCTGCTACCCTTTAATTTGATATAGGAGAGGGAGAGGGGTGGTGTAGCTTACAGACACCAAAGTGTTCGTTCATCCAGAACTGCTGGCACAAAGCAAAAGTGGGTGCAAAGGTTGGCAGTGGCTGACTTGAAACCACAGGTCAAAGCTCATCTCACACATGCACATATACATATACACACATACACGTACACAAACACACACATTAGGACGTTCTATTCTTTTGGATCAAAAAATGCCACCTACATAGTTACAAAAGGCCTGACTTGGCAGCCATTCATGAGGGAAAAAAAAAAGACTTGGGATTTTAATGTTCACAAGCTCAAAATGAGTGAGTTGTGATACAGTGCTGCAAAAACAAAACAAAACAAAACAAACAAACAAACAAAAAAAGTCAGTGAATCTTAGGTTGCATTAGCAAAGCATGTATAGTGTCCAGATAAAGGAAGTCAATGGTCCCACTGAACTCAGCAATGGTCAGGCCTCATCTGGAGGCTTATATTTAAGCACATTTTAAAGAGAGACACATGCAAACTAGCATGAATCCAAAGACAGACAACTAGGTTAAGAGAAGTCTGGAAACCATGTCACCTGATATGTGGTCAAAAGAACTGGTTGTACTTGGCTAAGAGAGAAAAGACTAGAGCAGAAATGAAGTGTCTTCCAACACTTAAAGGATCGTCTGATGAAAGAAGAAGTAGCTTCATGGTTTGTTAATCCAGAGGGCAAACTGAGTACTAGATTTCAGCTCAATGAAAAGCAGACATTTTAAAGAATCAGACCCACATGACAATAAAATTAAATATTTTCTCATGTATCCCATACATTTGCACAAATGAAAAATTTAAATACTTTCCAAAATCATGAACTATCTATTACTGAATATGTTCAAGTAGAGCTTAGATGGTCATGTAAGGGATCCTAATTTGTTTTTTTGTGGGGGAGGCAGTGGGAGGAGGCTTATAGGAGAGGTGGGGGAAGTTGGATTAGAGGGCTGCCAGGATCCTTCTTGGCTCTTAGAGTTCATAATTATTCTCTACCGACGTTTCCATCCAAACACCATCCCTTCCACTTCTTCCAGAGTTTGCTCCCACAATCTCCCCAACCTTCTCTAGCATCTTAACTTTTTCTCTCTCCAAAGCCTCTTTCTAATTTTTGTTAAGGAAGGGAACAACTGTCGTTTGATCTTGTTTTTGACCATAGTGGACTGTTATTATTTTTATTATTTTCAACTGTTCAGCATCTTTGTGTTTGGAAACAGCATCCTGATTTATTTGGAGACCCATCCCTCCCTCATTCTTGGTTCATAATATTAAAGTCATGACCTGTAAGGGTTATGATCTTTGCCTGGCATAGTGACTATTTTAGGGATGGACATTTGACACAGTAGTCCAATATGAATTAGTGATGAGATTTTTACTGGAACTATTAGGAACTGTTGGGGACACTTATGTGTTAATTGCAAAGCTGGAGTTGCCAGAAGCCAACATGTGGAAAGAGTCTGCAAGAGAATAAAGCCAACACAGAAAAGTGGGTGTTGGGGAGGGTGGAGAAAGAGAACGAATATCCTGATGATATTGTTGAGTCTCTGGACTTTCCAGTTACCCAAGGCAATAAATTACCTGTTTTATTTAGCTCTCCATCTCTTGAAGCCAAAGTAGTCTGAACAATATGTTTGTCCTTTCAGTTTCTAACTTCTCTCCTTCTCTCTCCTTCCCATGGCTTCTAAGGCCCAAGAAAACTTGGCCCTGCCCACCTCTCCAACTTCATCTCTCTCCACAACCCTCTTGAGACTCTTGCTGTGTATACAGCATTAATGCGAAAAGTGCAGACTGGCTCCAAGGCTCTGAGCTGGTCTTTCTGAAATCTGACTCCCTTGTAACATTTTTGCAGGGAATCTTCTTTTCACTTCTAAATGCTTTTTGTTTCTGAGTCTTCCTTTCACATTGATACGTCCATTTCTATCTATGGCTCCTCCACTTTTCTACCCTTTAGGTTAGAATCCTAATCTCCTATCTAACACATTTATTAAGCACATCCCATATGGGTCAGGTGCTGGGCAATTCAATAAGAAAGACAACATTCACAGCCTGATCATCTTGGGTTTAAAGGAAAGAACACTTGACACAGCTGTATCTGAATCTCAGTTTGGAGAGAATCCAAGTGGCCGTCCTTTTGAACCTTGATTTCACATAATGTAGAAAAGCCATCGTCCTCTTGAGATATTCCCATTGCAACTCCTTTCAAGACATCTTATTTAGAACAGAAAAACAGATATAGGCCAGGTATGGTGGCTCATGCCTGTAATCCCAGTACTTTGGGAGGTCAAGGTGGGAGGACTGCTTGAGCCCAGGAGTTTGGGACCAGCCTGGACAACATGGTGAAACTCCATCTCTACAAAATATTTTAAAAAGTAGCTGGGCATGGTGGCATGCACCAGCAGTCCCAGCTACTCGGGAGGCTGAGGCAGGAGGATTGCTTGAGCCCAGGATGTCAAAGCTGCAGTGAGTCATGACTGTGCCACTGCACTCCAGCCTGGGTAACAGAGAGAGACAAACAAACAAAACAAAACAAAAACCAGATATACGGCGCAAAATTTGAAAGGAATAAAAGGGTAGAGTGAAAGTCTCTTTTTAAATTCTATTCTTTAATTTCCACCTCTTCAGTGCCTCTCCTGCAGACAACTATTATCCGTTTCATATGTATTGATCAAAAGCAAGTCTGTGCACATACAAATAAATCTATATATATCCTCCCCAGCCCTACCTACCTCTCTTACACAGTACTAACCTTTGCACCCTGCTTTTTTACTCAAGAATATATCTTGGAGAATTACTATTAATATATCAGTACCTACAAACTCACACAGTTCTTTTTAATGGCTGCATGATATTTAACTTTACAGATACACCATATATTAACTAAATAATTTCCTATTGGTATACCTTATGTTGTTTCCAATATTATGCTCCTACAAACATATTTGTAAGAATTATCTGGGTTATATATTATTTTACACATATTGTGAATTACCTGTAGGATAAATTCCTAAAAGTGGAATTGCTGGTTTAAAGGATATGTCCACTTTCCATACTGATATCTGATTTGGTTTGGCTCTGTGTCCCCATGTAAATCTTATCTTGAATTGTAATCCCCATAATCCCCAAGTGTCGAGGGAGGGATGTGGTGGGAAGTGATTGGGTCATGGTGGTAATTTCCCCCATGTTGTTCTCATGATAGTGAGTGAGTTCTCACGTGATCTGATGGTTTTATAAGTGTCTGGCATTTCCCTTGTTTGCACTTCTTTCTCTCCTGCCGCCTTGTGAAGAAGGTGCCTGCTTCTCGTTCCACCATGATTGTAAGTTTTCTGAGGCCTCCTTGGCCATGCAGAACTGTGAGTCAATTAAATCTCTTTCCTTTATAAATTACTCAGTTTCAGGGAAGTTCTTTATAGCAGTGTGAAAACAGACTAATACAATATCTATTGTCCAATTATCCTACAAGTGATCACATAAATCACCTTGATAAGACAAATGGTCTTATCAGCAATGTATGCATTGCCTATTTTCCAACATCCTCTTTAACAAAGTGTATTATTAAACATTTTGGTCTTTGCAAATTTGTTAAAATGTTATCTCATTTTCATTTTAACTTGCACACTTAATTGTGAGTGAAGTGGATTATCTTTTGTTTTTAAAACCCATTTGTATTTCCTTTTCTAGAACCATTTGTTCATGTCCTTTGCCCATTTTCCTATTAGGATGTTGACCATTATTGATTGGTACAAGCTGTTTATATTTTGTGGAAATTAGCCTCTTTTCTATCATATGTGTTTCAATTTTTTTCTATATTGCTGTTTAATCTTTCATTTTGTCTATGGGTTCTCTTTTTGCTTTGTCTTATTTACATTTGCCAAGAACATGACAACTTTGACTCTTTTCTCTTTTTCACCCTCAGTATATTGCTAACTCTTAAAATTTGTTCCTTCTTACCATTTCTAGTATGGAAAAAAAAAAGAACAAACCTAGGTTCTGCCTTCATAAATGGGGTGGGTTAACATGGGAGTGGGTTTGTCACAAAAGTGTGTTTGGTCCTGTCTTGCTCTTCCTCTTGTCCATGTGATGCTTTCTGCCATGTAATGATGTAGCAAGATGGCCCTCATCAGATGTGCCCACTCAACCTTGGACTTCCCAGATCCAGAACAATGAGCCAAATACACTTCTATTGTTTAACAATTACCCAGTCTGAGGTATTATATTATAGCAGCACAAAATGGACTAAGACAGCTGTTGTCTTATAAGTAAATCACAGTGCATCTATACCAAGGAAGTTCACATAGCTACAAAAACAAAGCTTAAAGCTATTAATGACAAGAGAAAATGCTCACACTATTATATTAGAGGCAAGATTCAAGATTGCTTATACAGCGAGATCAGTACCATATAAAAGTATATCAAAATCAGAAAGAAATATGTCAAAGCAGCAGTTACCTGTGTTTAGAGATTATGCATAATATTTTTCTGGTTCCTTTTACTTTTCTGTGTGTTGCCTGGGCAACATAGCAAGAGCCCATCTCTAAAAATTTTTTTAAAACAATAGCTGGGCATGGTGGTGTCTCCTGTAGTCCTAGCTACTTAGGAGGCTGAGGTGGGAGGATCACTTGAGCCCAGGAGTTCAATGGTGTAGCCAGCTATGATTATGCCACTGCACTCCAGCCTGGGCAATAGAGTGACACCCTGTCTGTAAACAATAACAACAAAAACCGAAAACACATTGTCTATCTTTATTTACGACCCCATAATGACTCCCTGTTCCCTACAGCATGATGTTTAAATTATTCAGTCTAGTACCCCGATATTCTAACTTTGGCCCCACTCTACTGAAATTATCCAAGTGTATTTACTACTACTGCCCAATAAACATCCTCCACCCTAGTTGGACTGGTCTGTCACTGTTTGTGCCTACACCATGCCTTTTCTTGATTTTGCTCATTCTGTTCACTGTGCTTGTAATGCACTTCCTCAGGCTCCCTTTGTGCCCAAATCCTTCTCATCTTCAGGAGGTTCCACCTTCTCCATCTTGACTTTCACCTTGCCCTTTGCCAAACTCTCGGAGCATGTTCTTTTCATCATAGCCACAACATAATGCTTCACGGTTCTGCCACCATTTCTTGTGTGCTAATTTTGACTTTTCAACTATTTTGAAAGCTCTGTGAAGGCAGGCAGTATTAATCATTATCTTCTTTTCACCCTCTGCTCTGTTTCCACACAGTGCTGAGCAGAGGGTAAGGCTCGATAAACTGCTGACAAGGCTGATATGATGACCAAGTTCTTGGGCAATGTCTTCTTTCCTCCTTTCCTCTGTTCTTACCTGCTAGCCTCTCTTCTGAGTAGTGCTCAGTAGCAGAGGCAAATTAGTTGAAGCCCCAGAACATTGGGGTTCTGAGCCCTGGCTGCACATTATAAGTATCTGGGGAGCTTTAAAAAATATGGCTGCTCACCTTCTCCCTTTCTTGTGCCCCACCTCCGAGCTCCAGAATTTTATTGGTCTAAGATGGGACCAGCATTGGTATGTTTTCTAAAGCTCCCTTGTTGATTCTAACGGTTTCATTGAGTCCCACTCCTTTCAAGACCCAGCCCCGCTGGCGTGCACCCATTCAGCACTTTCCTGTCTGGTTTCCAGGCAGGAAGTCATCCTAGAACTGGCCAGAGACTCCAAAGAGACGGTCTTTAGATAAGTCCTTTGACATCAGCTATAGCCTTTGTTGTATTTCAAAGGTGTTTACCTTCAAATTGACAACTGTCTGCACTGGGGCCTGCTCTGAAGGTTGCCTTTCAGTCTAGGCACCAAGATAAGCTAATGGGTAGATAGACCAGCACTAGGGTTAAAATAAGCTCAGATCTCCCCAAACAATACCCTGTTGTTATACAGTTAAGCAATCTGATTGAAGCAATTTGTTTTAATTGGAAATGCAATACACAATTTTTATGACAGAGCTAGAACACTGTGTCAAGGAAAAGTAATTACGTATATACAAATAGGAAAACCTCAACTATTATCAACCATTATAAAAACTCTACTAATATGTTAGTACATAGCTCCCCTATTTATATAAGAACAACAAAACAACAACAACAGCAATAATACTAATAGTTAACAATTTTTAACACTTACTGTAAACCAGGTACCCATCCTAAATGTTTAATTTGGATTTTTCTCATTTAAAGTGGCAGCCCTGTGAAAGATGTACTATTATTATCCTCATTTTATCTATGAGGAAATTGAGGCACTGTATTACAAAAGATTTGCTAGCTGGGAAGTGGCAGAGCCAAGATTAGAAAATGTTCAGAGATATCTACTCAACAACTTCCTAGTTTCTATTTCAAAGGAAAATGAGATTGAATTGAGAAAAAAAGAAACCCAAGCTGTCCCAAATATGAGTACATATTAAATACTTTTTACTATTTTTACTTTAATAATTTTTAATGGAAATTACTCCAAAGTCTACTGTACACATCACTGCTTCCTTAAATAGAAGAAACTGAACACAATTTAACCTTTTCTTAAAGACTTCATGTTACTGTCATAGACTTTATCTGGGGAGGCTAGATGGAGCCTGATTCTCTGGGGCTTTTTATGGTTTGAAGAGTTGGGTCACTCTTACCCAGTGCACTGGACAGTGACGGTGGCCGCCTGTCCCTAGGTGCTTTCTAAGGTAACTGCTCTGCCCACAGTCCCTGCGGAGGTGCGGGCCTAGACAGCAGTGCTCTGGTCTAAGTGGGCCAGGCTGCCCCTCAGCCACGGCTGATTGGGCAAAGAGCCCACACGTGACCCAAAGCAGCTATCCTATAGGTTGGCCGCTTTCTATACTATGAACCAACGGGACAAGTTTAGCCAAAAATGGGTGAGATGGTCCAGATTCTCCCTTTGGAGAATTTGAATGACTGGTTAGCAGTGGGAGCTAAAGGGATATACAGTACAGACAGAGTCCATGGGATAGAACAAGCAAAACTGATAAGAAACCAGATATTACCATGAGCAGAAGCTGTGGGGTAGCGAAGAAATGCAGGGCATGGGTCCCACACTCAAATGCCCTCGGCAGTAGACAGGCAGTGCCAATGAGAGAAGAGGGCGCGGCGAAGGTGATCCCGCACGTAAAGATTCCGGACTGCCAAGCTCATGCCACGCCCAGAGACTTCGGAATTCTCAACAATGCAAAGGCGTCCTGCTGGCCAAACACAATGAGTCTGCAGGCTGAAATAGGTCAGGAGCTGCCAGTTTGCAAATTCCAAAGAAAGGACGAGGAAGTCAGTTAGGGGCAAGCCCAGAAACCGAACGACACTGACAAGCACAGAGGCAAGGGAGAGCAGATTCACAAAAATAACTCATCGCTGAGGTGAACTCCCGATGCTGAAGTCCTGAGGTAACCTTGGATTCCCGATGACGTCCTGGCTCCAGTCTTCATGAGACTTCTCGCTCTTGAAGCTCCTGTTCTTCCAGAGGCTTGGTGATTTGGCCTCTCCTGGGTTCCCACGAGGCCTTTTGGGGCTGAGATCCCTGTTTTCTTCATTCCTTATAACTCCTTCCCCTAATATTATATGTAACTTGAGCTGTTCCTCGGAACCAAAAGAGCCTGACGAAAACACTCTAAATGGCCCCAGATTGTTTTTTTTTTTTTTTCTTCTTTGGAATTATTGTACTCCTATTTATAGTTTTTCTGTTTCCTCCTTTGCTGCTAGGCCGTCAACTGTCACTTTTTATTGCTGTAGTGTGCTTGCTTCTCCTGGCCATTCTCTCTGTTAATAAAGCTACTCATAGACTTGGACACTAGATCTGGAAGCCTGATGGAATTAAAAAGTTGAAAGTAAACAAGCAATGAAACAAGGGTGAATTTTATAGGATGTAAGTTAAATCTTAATACAGTTGTTATACAAATTTAAAAAGTAATAAAGGATTTTTAGTATCACAAGATCTTTTGTATATAGTATTTTGAAAATGCAATTTGGCTATTCAGATGCATTTCTTGTTTACTTTTTTACTTTTGGCTCTAGTCCAGTTGGTGCATATCTTACTAAAGTAATCTCTGGTTCTGAGGAATCAAAACATACTGGAGCCAGCACAAGTAATGGGAAGGAGATTTATTTTAAGTTATCATACAGAACCCAACTGAAGAAAGCATGTGTGATCAGGCAGCTTCTCTCCCTCTTTCTGTTCCTCCCTTTGCTTGGTTTTCCAATCTCTTTGTCCTTGTTTCACATCTGCTCCATTTTCCTTTTGGCAGACTAGTTATTCTGCATCTCTGTAAGTTTTTTTGGTTACTTTACCCTCATAACACTGGCTTGCATATGGTTTTGAGCTGTCATGCTGCCAGTTTTGGCAACAAGTCTTCATGACCTCGCATCATCAGTGTCAACACTATCCACTTCAGCTTCTGTGTCTCTCAGAATATGATTTACTCAGTTTGGGCCAAGTGACTGCCCCTAGTCAAATTAGCTGGTCAGAGAGCAGAGCACAGCCCCTATTATTTAAGGAATGTCCTTCCAGTCTGCAGGCAGATAGGCTCTCCAAGGAGATTTTGGCAGGGGTGAAATGACTGGCATTTTGACCTGAGCGAAATTTCTGAATTTCCGAGCTGTGATAGGTAATGTATTATTACATATTTACTTTTCCTCTTCTTTTTTGCTCTTTATTCAGCACTTAAAGTCCTACTAACAATAAAATTGTTTGTTGGTGATATTACCTATCAGCACCTGGAGTTAGATTATCTAGTCTAGTAAATAATTGCTATTTTAGTTTTTATTTATGTAAAACTACAAAAATGTTAAAGACATTTCTTCCCTTCAGCTCTTTTCTGTCATTTCTCAGGACTCTACTACTAAACTATCATTGTAAAACTAGTCTTGTGGTTTGGTTTGTTTCTTTGAGACAGAATATCACTCTGTCACCCAGGCTGTAGTGCAGTAGCACGATCTTGGCTCACTGCAACCTCCGCCTCCTGGGTTCAAGCAATTCTCCTGCCTCAGCCTCCCAAGTAGCTGGGACTACAGGCACCCACTACCACGCCCAGATAATTTTTGTATTTTTAGTAGAGATGAGGCTTCTCCATGTTGGCCAGGCTGGTCTCGAACTCCTGGCCTTAAGTGATCCCCCGAACCTCGGCCTCTCAAAGTGCTGGGATTACAGGCGTGAGCCACCGTGCCCAACTGTAAAACTAATTCTTGTTCAGACAAAACATAGTGGAGATTTAATTTTTAACAATGTAACTAAAAGTTTTTGATGTTTTTGTAAAATCAACTTAAACTCCACATTTCATCTACACAGGGATGCTTTCCTGACCAAAAAGTCTTCAGGAATGTAGGGGTGATTTGAGAATTTGTCTAAAATCACTACTTTCTATCATACTTCCTTCTCTTCACAGAAGTATGAAATAATTACAAGTCAATCACAGGTGAAAGAGTTTTTAGTAGTTTTTCAAAAGGTGCCAGGTGTTAGAGAAAACATTTCCTCTAAGCCAAAACCAGAACAGTTCTATTTAAAAAACAACAAAATACAAAGTAAATGTTTCCCCATTTTTATTCTAGCTTTTAAATGGTACTAAACAGTTTACAAAACATTTTCTTGCGCATGATTAAAGTTAATAATCAAAATAATGTTCTGGCCAGGTGCAGTGACTCATGCCTATAATTCCACCACTTTGGGAGACCGAGACAGGAGGATCACTTGAGCTCAGGAGTTTGAGACCAGCCTGGCCAACATGGTGAAATCCTGTCTCTTAAAAAGAAAAAAAAATAGCCTGTTGTGGTGGCATGTGCCTGTAGTCCTAGCTACTCAGGAGGCTAAGGTGGGAGAATCACTTGAGCCCAGAAGGTTGAGGCTGCAGTGAGCTGTGATCGCACCACCGCCCTCCAGCCTGAGCAACAGAGCAAGACCCTGTCTCAAAATAATAATAATTAATAATAATAATGTTCTGAGGCTGGTAATATCATTTTGTAGCTGGAAAACAGGCTTAGAGAGGTTATGTGACTTGTTCAGGGTCACAGTGCCATGTGCACCGGGTAAAAACTAAAGTGGTCTTACTATAAATCTTATGGGGTTTGAATGGCACTTACTCTCCCTTTTTTTTATCCTTAAAATAAATTTGAGAGGTGGAGGTAGGGCATTAGTTAAGTGCTGTATCTTAGGGTTATCAAAGCCTGCAAATTCTCAGTACAAACTTTCAGTATAATCTTGCTTTGTTTCTCTAAACTCAAGACTCATACATATTATGATATAACAAATGACTGCCTAATTATTTATAATAAATTGAGTGACAAATTGAGGGTCACCACAGCCTAAGGCAATGTTTGAATCTGCCCCTTGCAGTTGAAATCATATACACTATTTTAATTCAGTGTATCCCTTTCTAAATTTGTCAGGCATATAACTCTATGGAGATTAAAATAATGTAAAATGTAAATCGCTAACGAAACCATTCTTGGAAGGAATAACTTTTACTGCTATCTAAAGAAAGCAAATTAGTCCCCTAAGTGAGACTGTGATTGTGTGGTTGTGGTGGTTAGGATGTTAGCCTACTTAAAAGCAAAGGAGATAGATGCATTTGCTATTTATATGTAAATAGATACAGCTAACTACCCAAAGTGTTATTCCATCACTAAAGTAGGCAACTAGAGCTTCTACTTAGAAACTCCTTCTTACTAGTTCAAGTTACTGTATGTTTCCAAAAGGAATACAATGATTTAGCGTTTTTTAAAATTATTATTATACTTTCAGTTCTGGGATACATGTGTAGAACATGCAGGTTTGTTACATAGGTATACACGTGCCATGGTGGTTTGCTGCACCCATCAACCCGTCATCTACATTAGGTATTTCTCCTAATGCTATCCCTCCCCTAGCTCCCCACCCCCGCTGACAGGCCCCAGTATGTGATGTTCCCCTCCCTGTGTCCATGTGTTCTCATTGTTCAACTCCCACTTACAAGTGAGAACATGCAGTGTTTGTTTTCTGTTTCTGTTAGTTTGCTGGGAATGATGGTTTCCAGCTTCATCCATGCCCGTGCAAAGGACATGAACTCATCCTTTTTTACGGGTGCATAGTATTCCATGGTGTATATGTGCCATATTTTCTTTATCCAATATATAATTTATGGGCTTTTGGGTTAGTTCCAAGTCTTTGCTATTTTGAATAGTCCTGCAGTAAACATATGTGTGCATGTGTCTTTATAGTAGAATGGTTTATAATCCTTTGGGTATATACCCAGTAATGGGATTGCTGGGTCAAATGGTATTTCTGGTTCTAGATCCTTGAGGAATCTCCACACTGTCTTCCACAATGGTTGATCTAATTTACACTCCCACCAACAGTGTAAAAGTGTTCCTATTTCTCCACATCTTCTTGAGCATCGGTTGTTTCCTGACATTTTTAATGATCGCCATTCTAATTGGCGTGAGATGATATCTCATTTTGGTTTTGATTTGCATTTCTCTAACGACCAGTAATGATGAGCTTTTTTTCATGTTTGTTGGCCATATAAATGTCTTCTTTTGAGAAGTGTCTGTTCATATCTTTTGCCCACTTTTTGATGGGGTCGTTTTTTTCTTTTTCCTTTTTTTTTTTTTTTTTTTTGAGACGGAGTCTCCCTCTGTCACCCAGGCTGGAGTGCAGTGGCACAATCTTGGCTCACTGCAAGCTCCGCCTCCCAGGTTCACGCCATTCTCCTGCCTCAGCCTCCAGAGTAGCTGGGACTACAGGTGCCCGCCACCACACCCGGCTAATTTTTTTGTATTTTTAGTAGAGACGGGGTTTCACTGTGTTAGCCAGGATGGTCTCGATCTCCTGACCTCATGATCCGCCTGCCTTTAAGTTCCTTGTAGATTCTGGATATTAGCCCTTTGTCAGATGGATAGATTGCAAAAATTTTCTCCCGTTCTCTAGGTTGCCTGTTCCCTCTGATGATAGTTTCTTTTGCTGTGCAGAAGCTCTTTAGTTTAATTAGATCCCATTTGTCAATTTTGGCTTTTGTTGCCAATACTTTTGGTGTTTTAGTCATGAAGTCTTTGCCCATGCCTATGTTCTGAATGGTATTGCCTAGGTTTTCTTTAGGGTTTTTATGGTTTTAGGTCTTAAACATTTAAGTCTTTAATCCGTCTTGAGTTAATTTTTGTATAAGGTTTAAGGAAGGAGTTCAGTTTCAGTTTTCTGCATATGGCTAGCCAGTTTTCCCAACACCATTTATTAAATAGGGAATCCTTTCCCCATTGCTTGTTTTTGAATGATTTGGTTTTTTAAAGTCTCTAATTCAGACTTTTCACAACTTTAGAGTTTTCTCTCTACTACGTGTAAATGAGTAGGATTTTGCTGTGTTTATTATGATGTGAAAGACCGACATTGGATTGGAATTTAGGTCTTCTGTGTGCACTGTTCACTACATTTTGTTTGTTAGAGTTATTTAGTGCTTATAACAGAATAGTCACAGCTGTGATGAGCAGAGGAATAGTTCTTATGGCCTAGAGAGGATGAGCAAGAAATAATCTACATGCAATAACATACTAAGAAACAGAGGGCACTCATCAACAGATGAGTTGTTTTAATTTCTAATTCTTTATGTTGACTATATTTCTAATCCCTTTGCCTAAAGGCATTTAGAATCACTCTGGGAAGAAAAATAATCAAGATGTTTGGCCAACAATGTAGGGATAAGGAAAAAGAGTATGACTCCAATGAAAAGGGCTGAGAGGGGAGAGCTGCGGTTCAGCACAGAGACGAAAAGTCAGAGGTAAACATAAGAGGAACAGCAATATTAGATTTCTGTTAAGAGTAAAAGGATTGGTGCGGGTATTGGGAAGGAATGGGAGAAGTTGATTCAACAAAATCACAGGACTGGAGAATTTTGAATATAAAGAAAGGAAGACAGTCCCCTTTTCATACACGAGTTTGTGAAAATGTGGATTTAAATCAAATGTGTCAAAGCTGAACAATAGAATTATATGTTACAAGGAGGATTTTAGTCCAGAGTATAAATAATTGTATATACCTATATGAAACTTTAGAATAACCTTTGCAATATGGTTCTAGCATTTAACTCATATTATCAATTTTGTATTTTTCCATTACAACTGAACAAAAATTAATCAGTTTATGTCTAAAAAAGTATCTGAGGAGGCTGAGGATTCCCATGTTTCTGATTGTCACGATTGTTCATAAGACCAATGCTTCTAATTCCCATTCTTAACAATTTCATTTTATATTTTATACTTTTAGTAAAACGAAGGTAAAATGCAATAACTATTCAAATAATTGTTGAAACACTGAGGCAGAGAAAGATGGCAATATATTTGAAATCAACCTGTTGCCTACCAGGTAGCTCCCTCTACCTACCTCAAATATCCGTTTGTTAGCTTAAACACAAAAGATCCAAGTTCAGCATATGAAGACACTTTAGTGGCATTATCTAATATGTGACTGTGGACTAACATCAAAGAAGTCAGGTAAATGGAAAGCCTAAGGCTGAAATTAATTAATTAATTAATTAATTTTTAAGCCCGTCAAATTTACCAGTGGGGGGTTGTATACCAACCAATGGGAACGGAGAGAAATCTAGGGGGGCAAGACTTCTGGGAAAATTTTCCTCCATGTGAAAAGACAGACCATGAGTATAAACCCTTTTCCCCCTTCTTACCTATGAAATATGGCCATGACAAGAGAAGAAGCAGGAAAACCAATTAGGAGGCTCTTGGAGTGGTCCAGGTGAGAGATGATGGTACCTGCACTAGAGTAACACCAATGGAGATGGAGGGCAGGACACCGTCAGGGTATATTTTGGAGATAAACAAAACAAAACAAAACAGAAACAGTGGAACATGCTGATGGATTAGATGTGTGGGACCAGGGAAAGAAGTCAAGGATGAGTTCCAGCACGGAATGTCCAGAATAACCCAGGAGGAGGGATGTAGGTGGTGGTGGAAGATAAGCAAGTTTGCCCATAGTTGATCACTGTTAAAGCTGAGTGATGAGTACATGGGGTTCACTTTGCTATTTTGTCACTTTTCTTTATGCTTTAAACTGTCCACCATAAAAGCGTCTTAAATGCCAAAAAAAAAAAAAAAAAAAAAAAAACAATAAAAATAAAAAGAGAAAGGAATATGGCCATGAAAAGATGTAAGGCTTGGTGTTCTGGTGGCCATTTTGTAATTATGAGAGCAAACCAGGCCAATAGCAGAGAGATTGCCCCAGAGTCCTGACACTGTCATGCCACTCATTTCACCATTCCCAGAGCTTCCTACTTTCAGGCTTCTTGTTATGGAAGAGAAACAAAATGGAGAAAAAACAAAACTAAAACAAACCTGTGTTGTTTACATCACTTTTATCTGGTTAAACTAAATTTTTTTTACTTGCAGCCAAATACATCCTGATGTATAGATCAAATATGTAATTTGATCCCATGAGGCAAAAAGCACAGAATAACCACTGGATTTGGAGTTTGCTCTGCAGCCTCACCTAGACCTCTCATTCCTGCAGTCACTTCTTATAGTCTCCTCCTGTCTGTTTCTCTTGGACTAATTTCCTCTTCCGTCCAAACAGGAGTGTCACCTCTCGTCAGTCTCAGTGAATTCACTCCCTTGTCCTCTGCCAAGCCTCTCCTGCATTGGCCTCATCACTCGTATGCTGATCATGTTCAGCAATACAACCAGCAATACAACCAAGGACAATTGCCTAACAAAAGCAATTGCAATTTCAAGGTTCCGAGACTCACCTGGGCCCTTACCATCATTTAGCTTCCCTTCTATTTTTTAGTGGTTACCTCTCTTCCCCATTCTCCATGGTATCTATGCCAGATCTTAGTTACTCTTCTCCAACATACTGTTCTCTAGCCTTGTCTCCCTTCTTTTATCAGATGATCTTGTCTCCTTCCAGAGAAAATGGAGACCAAGAGGTGATACCATTTAACACCCCCAACCCCACCCACTTACAAATTTTGCTTTAATTTCTTTCCTTTTTGTTTTAGTGGGAAAAGGGATTCATTTGTGTCCTCGTGAACTCCTGTTCCAATCTGCTTTTGACTCTTTTGTAATTTTTTATATTATATATCTTCAATCGCTCTTTTTCTCTAATGGTACCTATGTTCAAATCTCTTATTTTCTCCACATACAAAACCTAACTCAAAATGGATTATAGACCTAAAATCTACACTGTGAACTGTTTAGAAGAAAACACAGGACTTTGAATTAGACAAAGATTTCTGAGATAGAACACGAAAGTATGAACCATGAAAACTTGATAAATTGGATTTCATCAAAAATTTAAACATCTGCTTTTCAAAAAACATTGTTAAGAAAGTGGAAAAACAAGCCACAGACTTGGAGAAAATGTTTGAAAAACACCTATTTGATAAAGGATTTGAAGTCAGAGTATGTAAAGACTTTCACAACTCAATAATAAGAAAACAGACAACCCAATAATTAAAATGAGCAACAGATTTGAATTCACCAAGGAAGAGGTACAAATGACAAATAAACACATGAAGAGATATTCAACATAATTAACAGAGTGCAAATGCAGTAGGAAATGGAAATTAAAACCACAATGAGATATCACTGTACATGCATTAAAACAGCCAAACTTTTAAAAACTGACAATATCAAGTTCTGAGGAAGATGCAAAGCAACAGGAACTCATACATTGTTGGCATGCAAAATGGTATAATCACTTGGGAAAAGTTTGGCAGTTTTCTTAAAAAGCTAATTTATACTCAGTAACCCTCTCCCAAGGACCAAGAGAAATGAAGATGTGCGCCCACACAAAGACCTGTATGCAAAGGTTTATAGCATTTTTATTTATAATTGGCCCAAATTGGAAGCAATTCAAATGTTCATCAACTGAGAGAAACAGACAAATCCTGATAGCACTCACTAATCAAAAGGAATGAACTACACAAGCAACAACATGGATGAATCTTAAAAGCATTATACTAAATGAAATAAACCAGATGCAAAGGCTCTGGTTTGATTATCTAGTAAACAAATAGACTCCTGTTTGAATGCCATTTACATGACATTCTGAAACAGTCAAAACTATGGGGACAGAAATTAGATCAGTGGTTGCCACAGACTAGGGTGTGTGGGTGAGGGACATGAGGGAATTTGGGGGGTGAGGGTGATAGAAATAATCAATAATTTGTCATGGTTGTTGTATGACTGCATTTGTTTGTCAAAACTCATAGAGCTGTATGCATAATATCATAAACTTGAAAAACCAGTATCTTTTATCCTGATAAAAACCCTCAACCATTCATCCTACCCCATTTATTTATTTACTTACTTGAGTGTGAGTTCTCTAAGGGAGGAGCCTTTTTCTGTCTAGTTTGTATTCAGCTAATATTTATTCATTGTTTACTACATGCAAGCATACATCTTGACTGGAAAGTCAAGATGGAACAAGATAGTATTTTTCCTCTCAATATACAGTCTGAGGGTTAGTTTTTGCCTGATCCTATTCCTTTCCTTTTGAAGCAAATTTTGTGGAAGAAACATCTAAACTTAATGCTAATATTTTGTTTTTCGTTTGGTCCTTAACTTGCTGCAGTCCAGGTTTCCCATCCATTTTAATAAAATTCCTCTTATTAGGCTATCAAAGACCTCCAAATGGCTGAATTCAATAGAGACTTTTCAGTCCTTTTTTCGTTTGACCTCCTTATGATATTTGAACTGTTCATTCTACTCTGCTTAAACATCTTCCTTCCCTTGATTCTGGAGGCACCACTCAGTTCTGATGTTTGATTTTTCCAGACCTCTACACAGGTTACTCTTTTTCTTTTTTTTAGTTACCCAGCAACTTTGTGTCCCTCAGGGCCCTAATATTTTGCTCTTTTCTCTTCTTACACCATGTTCTTCCTAGGAAGGAGGAGGAAGACACCAGTCCCCACTTCTACCTCACCCTTGCACTTTTAAGAAGACTTCTTGGAAGTCCCACAGAACACTTGTTAGGATTTAGTTAATAAACCATGACCAAACTGTGGCATGTGGTCCTTTCTTTCAGGTAGTAATGTGTCTGGTTAAAAATGGAAGTTCTGGTGTACGGTATGGAAGATTTGGAAAATTGCAATTTTGCAAACATCATGGTAAAGATTGATTTGGACAAGAATCATCAGAGAATGCTAAATCTAGGCAAGAAAGTTTGTTGAAGAGCAGAATATTTCTGTGGTCTTAAAGTATTTTTCCACTAATCACAAATTGGTAACAAGAAGGAAAATAGTAACTATACAGTGGGAAAACCAGACAATATCCTGACCAGATGATCAAGATTGACATAACCAATGAAGAGCAAGTGGACATCATGTGGTCTCCAGATGTGACCGTCAGAAGGACACAACATTGCTTACGTGGTATTCCCACTGGAAATGCATAACTCAAATCAAATCTTGAGAAAACATCAGACAAACAAAAATTAAGAAACAAGCTATGAAATAACTGACCCGTACTTTTCAAACATGTCAGTGTCATGAAAGATAATGAAAAGCTGATGAACTGTTTCAGATTAAAGGAGACTAAAGAGACACAACAATTAAACACAATATGTGACCCTGGACAAGATCCTGGACTGGAGGAAAACAAAATGCCATAAAGGACATTATTGAGACACTTGACTAAATTGGTAAAGAAATTTCAGAGAGAGAATGGACAGGACCTGACTATTGACTGTTTTCTTCTTTCTATCCCCAAAACCACTGTCTTAGTCTTTTGCATTTCTCTCCTTAGTGTATTTCTAGAGCTTGCCAAGTGATAGTGCGAAGTCCATTGTCTTTCTCTTCCAGTCTGTCCTCCATATGATCACTACTGTGACTTTTTGATCTGATCATGCCCTACTCCTAATTAGAAAACATTTTTGGCTTGCTACTGCTCAATCCTAGTCCGGCAAACCAGAAGTAGCTTCAGAATTCCTTTTATTTGTCTGTCTGTCTGTGTGTTTGTTTGTTTGTTTGTTTTGAGACAGGGTCTTGCTCTGTTGCCCAGCCTAGAATGCAGTGGTGTGATCATGACTCACTGCAGCCTAAACTTCCTGGGCTCAAACAATCCTCCCACCTTAGCCTCCCAAGTAGCTGGGCTCATAGGCATGCACCACCGTGCCCAGCTAATTAAAAAAAAATTGTAGAGATAGGGGTCTCACTGTGTTGCCCAGGCTGGTCTTGAACTCCTGGGCTCAAGAGATCCTCCCACCTCAGCCTCCCAGGGTGCTGGGATTACAGGCATGAGCCACCACACTGAGTCTCAGAGTTCTTTAGTGGCCATTTCCCTTCTGCATTCACATCCCAAATTGCTCTAGTTATTGATCGGTCCCTCCACCCTCAGTAGTTGTGACATAACACCCAGTGTGACATCACAAGGACAGGGATGAATGAAAGATGAAGGATGGAATGAAATAAGCCAGGAAGATAGGTAGTACTTTTAAAGCTTTGTACCTAGTTTGAGATATAGGCTGTTCTATCAAGTGAAATGACCCCGTTAATATATGTATATATATTTTTTGATACGGAGTCTCACTCTGTAGCCCAGGCTGGAATGCAGTGGTGTGATCTCGGCTCACTGCAACCTCTGCCTCCTGGGTTCAAGCAATTCTCCTGCCTCAACCCCCTGAGTAGCTGGGATGACAGGTGCGTGCCACCATGCCCAGGTAATTTTTGCATTTTTTGTAGAGACGGGGTTTCACCATGTTGGTCAGGCTGGTCTTGAACTACTGACCTTGTGATTCACCCACCTCGGCCTCCCAAAGTGCTGGGACTACAGGCATGAGCCACCGTGCCCGGCTCATTTTTTTTAATAATTTATTTTTTAGAGAAATAAGTGTCCACTGTTTGTGCCAAATTAAAGTAAAAGGCAAACGAAAATGGCTTTCTTGGCTGACTTCCATCCTGAGATGTCCTGTGAAGCTATTAGATGCAGGTAGCTAAGGATCTCATTATCTGGGTCAGGATTATTCTATCAACAGCCCTTTTTCCCTGTCACAGCTGGAGCTGAGAACCATGTGTCATAAGACTCCCTCTGCCCCAAAGTGTAGAACCCTTGCTGAATGGAAAATAAATCACTGTTGTTGAATCAAATGACCTATTGGGGTTCCCAGGAGAATTTGCCTTTATATTTTAGTTATGTGGTGAAAACTCATGATTTTTATTACCCATGTGGCTTTTCTCCCATTTCCCATCTGCTTACTCCCCATAATTTTGCCAAAATGTGATTCCATCATTCTCTTCAATAAACAAATAGTGTTTCCTTACTTGCTCTCAGGAATAAAGCCTTACAGGAATTGCATTTAGTGATGAATTGATACAATTCATTTACTCTGGACTTATCAAATAAGATTACCAGCAAACAAAAACTTATCTAGAATTCAAGGCAGAAGATTCAGCTATTATATGTTAATATCTATTCCATAAATTCATAAAGTCATGGCTACATTAATATAATGAACAATGAAAGAAGATTGTGAGTATAATTTGGGAATATAATGGTGAATTGCCAGAGTAAAGGTTATTCATTCTGCACCATGTATTCTGCAAAGTCAAGTGGAATTAGAATCTGTGACCAAATAACCATACTCATTTCTATGTAGGAGCAATGGTCAATTTAGCTCCTTATAGCTTTGTGTCTCGCAGGGATGTTGCTATGTCAATTTATACCTAATCCATATTTTTGCTATGTTTCTATTTCTACTTTACTCTGTGAATCACAAAAGCCACTTACCTTATATTTTTGGAATAAGTGAAGTAATGTATTATTTGTAATAGCAAGCATTTCTAAGCTACACATCTATTAATATTATACTTAGACTCTAAAGTTATCCAAGTTTTACAGTTAGATTCCAGTAAATTGATGAATAAAATCTAAGTTACCCCCTTACCTTCTCAGAGAATGCTCCTGGTTCATAAATATCTATGTAAGTTTCCAGAGAATTGTCAAAATTGTTATGTGTTAGACACTCCCAAATAAAATAAATTAGTAATTGCTCTTTTAATGGGGCTGATAATATCTGTTCTACTCACTTCACAAGCTTGTAGGAAGCTTATGAAATACTTACAGGAAAATGAATAAAGTGTTATTCTAATATTAGGTATTATTAAAAATAATATATAATAATAGATATAATAAAAGAAATATAAATCTTGGGAAGACATATAATATTACTCTTTGATAACAAGGAGACATATATTCTGTTCACAGACCAGGAAGAGTGAATTCTACAGCCCTAATCTCATTATTCATTGTCTAAGTGAAATCAACCAAGTTTAGGCATCCGCCTTGAGGTGAGCCTTTAAGGGCCTAGACTTATTACCTGAATTGCCCCACCCCCACTGCCTTATTTAAAATATCTGGGATGTGTGTGCATAAATCTTCTACTAAGCCTTTATTTTACCCATTCTCAGAAATAAGAGTCAACAACTGCAACAGACTCAGCACTGGAGGGAGGCGAGGTGGGAGGACTCCCCTGTCCAGTAGAGACTGTGCTAGTTGTTTAAGGCTGACATCCATTCTTTTTGATCAGAGTCTATGTTAGACAGTTCTATGAGGTGGGTATTTTTATTAATATCATCTCTATTTTAAAATTAGAAAATTGAGAGTTTAAATAACTCTCAAGGTCACATACTCAAGGTCACATAGCTAGCAAGTACTAGAGTCAGTATTTGAACTCAATCTGTCCCCAGGCTCTGTGCTCATAACCTTGACACTATTGTCAAGTAACTGAGTGCAAGGGTCTATGGAAAAGACTCCTAACCAGGACATGAAGCGGAATCAGATGAGTGGAGAGGGTACAAAGGGGAGACGGCAGAACTCCAAAGGCAATTCTGTCTGTCCTACCCCTGGAGAGGCCTAGATGGAATATTTGTAACTGAATATTATGCATTCAAGGAGTATTTGAGCAGGCCAGGACTTGGAAAAAATAGACGGATGCTGTGATGGCTAATTTTATGTGTCACCTTGACTGGGCAAAGGGATGCCCAGATACCTGGTAAAAATGTTATTTCTGGATGTGTCCATGACGGTGTTTTCAGAAGAGATTAGCATTTGGATTGATAGAGTGAATAAAGAAGATCCACCCTCACCGATGTGAGTGGACATCATCCAATCCACTGAGGGCTTGAATAGAACAAAAAACAGTGGAAAGGCAAATTGTCCCTTTCTCTTCTTGAGCTGGGATATCCGTCTTCTCCTACCCTCAGACACTGGAGCTTCTGGCTCTTGGGACTCTAGCAGAACCCCACCTGCTCACCCGCAGGCCTCAGGCCTTCAGATTAGGACTGAATTCCACCACTGGCTTTCCGGGTTCTCCAGCTTGCAGATGGCAGATGATGAGACTTCTCAGCCTCCATAATCATGTGAGCCAATTCCCATAATAAATCTCTCTCTCTCTATCTCTGTCTTACTCTCTCTTGATTCTGTTTCTCTGAAGAACCCTAACTAATACAGATACCTTCATTTTACAAATGAATAAAGTGCAGTGCCAGAGAAGTTCTGTGAATTGTCTAGGGTCATACACTCCTTCATTTATTTAATTGTGCATTAAGTCAACTAGTATTCTAGGTACCAAGGAAGTCAACATACTAGACCACATTGCCTGTCTTCAAGAAAGTTATGTTTTGGTTAGAAAAGCATATAGGACCTCGGCCTCCACCTCAGCCTCCGCCTCCACCTCCGCCTCCACCTCCACCTCGTCTCCCACTTTCCACAGTCTCCCTCTGATGCCGAGCGGAGGCTGGACTATACTGCCACCATCTCGGCTCACTGCAACCTCCCTGCCTGATTCTCCTGCCTCAGCCTGCCGAGTGCCTGGGATTGCAGGCGCGCACCGCCACGCCTGACTGGTTTTTGTATTTTTTGGTGGAGACTGGGTTTCGCCGTGTTGGCGCGGCTGGTCTCCAGCTCCTGACCGCGAGTGATGTGCCCGCCTGGGCCTCCTGAGGTGCCGGGATTGCAGACGGAGTGTCGCTCACCCAGGTCTCAATCTTGCCCAGGCTGGAGTGCAGTGGCGTGATCTCGGCTCGCTACAACCTCCACCTCGCAGCCACCTGCCTTGGCCTCCCAAAGTGCTGAGATTGCAGCCTCTGCCCCGCCGCCACCCCGTCTGGGAAGTGAGGAGCATCTCTGCCTGGCCGCCCATCGTCTGGGATGTGAGGAGCCCCTCTGCCCGGCCGCCCAGTCTGGGAAGTGAGGAGCGCCTCTTCCCGGCCGCCATCCCGTCTAGGAAGTGAGGAGCGTCTCTGCCCGGCCGCCCATCGTCTGAGATGTGGGGAGCGCCTCTGCCGGGCCGCGACCCCTTCTGGGATCTGAGGAGTGTCTCTGCCTGCCCGACCGCCACCCCGTCTGAGAAGTGAGGAGCCCCTCCGCCCGGCAGCCGCCTGGTCTGGGAAGTGAGGAGCGTTTCCGCCCGGCAGCCGCCCCATCCAGGAGGTGGGGGGCAGCCCCCGCCCCGCCAGCCGCCCCATCCGGGAGGGAGGTGGGGGGCAGCCAGCCGCCCCGTTCGGGAGGTGGGGGGCGCCTCTGCCCGGCCGCCCTGTCTGGGAAGTGAGGAGACCCTCTGCCCGGCCGCCACCCTGTCTGGGAGGTGTACCCAACAGCTCATTGAGAACGGTCCATGATGACGATGGCGGTTTTGTTGAATAGAAAAGGGGGAAATGTGGGGAAAAGAAAGAGATCAGATTGTTACTGTGTCTGTGTAGAAAGAAGTAGATATAGGAGACTCCATTTTGTTCTGTACTAAGAAAAATTCTTCTGCCTTGGGATGCTGTTAATCTATAACCTTACCCCCAACCCCGTGCTCTCTGAAACATGTGCTGTGTCCACTCAGGGTTAAATGGATTAAGGGCGGTGCAAGATGTGCTTTGTTAAACAGATGCTTGAAGGCAGCATGCGCCTTAAGAGTCATCACCACTCCCTAATCTCAAGTACCCAGGGACACAAACGCTGCGGAAGGCGGCAGGGACCTCTGCCTAGGAAAACCAGAGACCTTTGTTCACATGTTTATCTGCTGACCTTCCCTCCACTATTGTCCTATGACCCTGCCAAATCCCCTTCTCTGAGAAACACCCAAGAATGATCAATAAATACTAAAAAAAAAAAAAAAAAAAGAGGACAATAAATTATTGTTGACAAAAAAAAAAACAACTAAAATTCATCCATCAACAGTCTTTGGTGAGATGATGGATATTTTAATTTGCTTGACTATAGTAACCATTTCACTATGTGTAAGTATATCAAAACATCATGTTGTACACTTTAAATATATACAATTTGACATTTTTTAAATTAAAATATTGGGAGATAAAAAAAAAGAAAACTTTCTTGATCAATTGAGATTTGGTCCATTTTTTTCCCCTCTCTTTCACTACACAAATCTCAGGAAAAAATAAACGGTATATTTGTTTGGACTATGGAAAGGTGCGATAGAATGATATTTGTTCTCTTCCATGTCAATGAGAATTACCAAAAGAGTTAACTTTGTTCATTACAGGTAAAAATAAACTGATAACAAAATAAAATTAGCCAAAAGCTTCTGTCTGGGATTTATCATGTCACTTCTCTGCTCATATTCCTTCAACAGCTCTTCATTGCCTACCCAATAAATTCTAGATTTTTTTAACATGAAAAAAAAAAAAAAGAAAAGCATATAGGAAAACCAAAATTATGAAACAGCAAAAATACTTTAAAAGAGATATGAGCAAAATGTATGAGAACCCAGAGATTTTCCTGGGGGTAGTCCTTGAAGGTTTCTCAGGGGAGGCAGCATTTAAGCTGATTCTTAAAAGATGAGTAGGAGTTTGCCAGATAGAGAATGGAAGATCATTCTAGGCAGTACAGCTGGTTGGTGGCTGGGTACAAAGTAAAACCCCTGTATCCTGCCTCAGTCCAGTACCCATCGCTTTATAACTGCCTCCCAGGTTCACGCCATTCTCCTGCCTCAGCCTCCTGAGTAGCTGGGACTACAGGTGCCTGCCACCACGCCTAGCTAATTTTTTGTATTTTTAGTAGAGATGGGGTTTCACCATGTTAGCCAGGATGGTCTCGATCTCCTGACCTCGTGATCCACCCACCTCAGCCTCCCAAAGTGCTGGGATTACAGGCGTGAGCCACTGCGCCTGGCCGATTGGTGGCAAAAATTTCTATAAAACTCATGGACTTTGTAATTTTTAAATTAAATGACATTTTTCCTCCAAGTTTTTTCTTCAAGACTAAAATAGTAACTAGGTTAATTACCGTGCTCTGGGTATATGTGTTAAGGTTATGCCCAGCACAGGGCTCCCAGGCAAGGGTATGAATTGGGAGTGGAGTCCAGCCTGAACTTTCTCAGTCTCAGAAAAGGAAGCCTTTTCCTGGTGACACTTAGATGCTAACTGGGCTAGCTGCAGTCCTTTAGGTTACCCAAACATGGGTTTGGTCTTCTGTGGGAACTCGGTAAAACTTAGAAAACCAATTCCAGTTCAAGTTTGGGCTTTTACAAGAAGGATTATTACTCAGTGCTGGTGTGTTAGGCCATTCTTGGAGTGCTATAAAGGAATACCTCAGACTGGGTAATTTATAATGAAAGTAAGTTTCATTGGCTTACAGTTCTGTTGGCTGTACAAGGAAGCATGGTGCTGGCATCTACTCGGCTCCGGGGGAGGCCTCAGGGAGCTTTAACTTATGATGGAAGGTGAAACAGGAGTAGGGGTCTCACATGATGAGAACAGGAGCAAAAGGAAGAGGGTGCCACACACTTGTAAAGAACTAGATCTCACGAGAACTCACTCACTATTGTGAAGGTGGCCCAAGGGGAAGGTGCTAAACCATTCGTGAGAAACCTGCCCCCGTGATCCAATCACCTCCCACCAGGCCCCACCTCCAACACTGGGGATTACATTTCTACATGAGATGTGGGGGAACAAATATCCAAACTATATCAGCTGGGTTCTAGTTACACCATTAGATTAGCTTTGATGCCATGGTAGAGGCAGAATTTGACTTTGGACAGTCTGACTCCAGAGCCCTTGCTCCTAACCACCAAGGTGTGTTGGCTCCCATTGTGCAATTCTGCCTCTCTAGTCTAAGCATACAAGTCAAATCATGGAATAGCATTTGTGCCTGGAAGGTCCTGTGCTTGCAGTTCTGCCACTCCATCAACCTCCTGCCCCTGACCAAGTAAAGAAAACTTCTTCCTGGGCTATTTCTGGGAATTCTCCAGGGAGCAGGCGAGGAGATGGAAGTGCTCACACACCTGCCTGTTGGCAGCACCCAGCCTGTTTCTCTCTTCTATTCTCATTCCCTTCATCAATATCCACGGTTTGGGAAGCTGCTCCAAGGGCCCTCAAGATCACCATGGACAGTGATATCCTTCCAAACAGTGTTACAGTAAAGAGCAAATACTTGTAAAGCACAGGCACTGCTCTAAGGGCTTTGCACGTAGAACTCATTTGATCCTTTAAACAGCCCTGTGAGGTAGATACTGCATTATCCTTCTGTTTTAGGGATGAGGAAGCTGAGGCACAGAGAGGCTAAGTAATTGCTCAAGGTCAAGTAGCAAGTAATAACGAAAGTAGCGATGTCAGAGTTGATGGTCTTCAGCACAATGCTGACTGCTAGTGTTCCAAGATATGCTCCTGATGCTTCCAATAGATGAGATGAAAAAATGGTACTGGGTTCCTTTCGTATGTAAGAAAAAGGGCTTTTTCGCACCTTGGGGCTGCTCTTGGTCCTCTTGACTCCAGGGAACCATCTGTGCTCAGATTCTCTCAAAACCTTCAATGTAAAATCTCCTTAAGTTCTTGAATAAATGCTTTCTAAAGGGTATTCATGGCTGGGTGCAGTGGCTCATGCCTGTAATCCCAGTGCTTTGGGAGGCTAAGCGGGGAGGATCACTTGAGCACAGGAGTTCAAGGCTGCACTGAGCTATAATTGCACCACTGCACTCCAGCCTGGGCAACAGAGACTCTGTTTCTAGAAAAGAAGAAAAAAAAGAGTATTCATGTTTCCATAAGCGCAGGCAATAGTTTATCTGCATTTATTTACAGGCCAGTTTCCTACGTAGAAAAATTGAAATCAAACATTGAGCACCTACTCTAGGCCCTGGCAATTCAGTGCTAAGTCAAACAGTACAAATCCCTGTTCTCATGAGAGTCAAATTCTTAAACGAACAGTTTAGATCTTTGGAGTCATGCCTCCAACATTGGGTCTGTGCTCAGTATTTGAGTGGTTAAGTGGCCCTAAGGTGGGCTTCATGGTCTTACAACCTGGGATGTTCCACAGGGCCCTGTGCTTAGAAAGGGTATTTGTTTTAATGCTCCACTGCCATCATTTTGGAATTCTTATGAATTTATGAAGAACAGTTCTAGGTTTTCACTTTGTACTGGGTCCTGCAAATTATGTAGCTGGTCCTAACTGGCCCTTTAGATCTCCTTGTTTGTAAGGCTGAAACTGTTTGTGGTCTTAAAATGGCTATTTTTTAATCAAGATTTCAGAGATCGTTGGTCCAAGTTCCTATAAAAAAAAATCATTCAAGGTCCCAAGGTGATGGCTGCAGGGTTACTTCCTCCTTCCCCTTCTCGCTCTAGGAATTGAGTGTTTTTGCTGTGCATCAATGGGTTCTTGTATCTCTGACAGTAAAGATCACTGAAGTCATGAATTTGCATTGATCATTGACTAATAATAAAATATAGCTACACTCGAGGAATAGAAACCTCCCCAAACCATTGACTTGATCTCTTTTGGCATGCTTTGGCTCCTGACTTGTGATCCATCTACTTTTTCTTTCTCCCATTTCTCAGGTAGTGATGGGAGTGGTGAGCTGTTTGTCCCTTAGATACCACATGAGGCAGAGGGAATACGGCAGAAATGGAAATAGGAACACCTATGACCCTGCTTTTGGCTAGATTGCGATGTAGGCAACTGGACTCTTAAATTTTTCCATGACCTTTATATCCTACTCATTGTCTGAGACTCATTTTTTTCTTTCTCAACAATTGCTCTGTGGAAAGTGAAAAAGAGAAATAGTCAACTACTTTTTATAAAAATGCAAATGACCAATCAGACTTAATGTGGGCCATGGTGGCTCACGCCTGTAATCCCAGCATTTTGGGAGGCCAAGGTGGGTAGAATGCCTGAGACCAGGAGTTTGATACCAGCCTGGGCAACAGAGCGAGGCCCCATCTCTAAAAGGGAAGGTCAGAAGGAAGGAAGAGAGGAAGGGAGGGAGGGAGGGAGGGAGGAAGGAATGAAGGAAGGAAAGAAGGAGGGAAGGAAGGAAGGAAGGAAAATGTGTATTTCTTTTTGTGATATTTTCATTTTAACTTAGTGCCAAAACCATTTGATTATGCTTCAGGATGACGAGCTGATAGGAGAATTCCAGGCCAGTCAGTAGGGGCTAGAGGTTGTGTGAGGAGGGTTAAGGAGGGTAGTGGGGGGCAGGAAAGGAGAAGTCTTTCCACTGCTCCGGATTCTCGTTCAGGAGTAGTCCTGAAAGACCACTTCTACCTGGAATAAAATAGAACAGCTTTGTCCTTTTGAATGTGGAGGCGGTAGCCTAGGTAGAAAAGGTAAACTAAAAACTAGGTCATAGACCTCAAAGCCCCCCCAAAATAAGAAAATGTTTTAAATGGGAACTGGGGCATAAGCATCTTTGTGAATTAGTATGGAAGGAGACTCATCCTGTCGCTGTCCTAGTTTGTGCTGTTGTGATTGTCTGTTCTGACGCAGACAGTTCTTGAAGTGGGGGCAAGTCTATCCACAGGCCTTGCTTCTTCTTGATTTTTTTTCTTTCCTTTTTTTTGAGATGGCGTTTCACTCTTGTTGCCCAGGCTGGAGTTCAGTGGTGCAATCTCAGCTCACTGCAACCTCCGCCCCCCAGGTTCAGGCGATTCTCCTGCTTCAGCCTCCCAAGTAGCTGGGATTACAGGCACCTGCCAGTATGCCTGGCTAATTTTTATATTTTTAGTAAAGACAGGGTTTTGCCATGTTGGCCAGGCTGGTCTTGAACTCCTGACCTCAGGTGATCCACCTGCCTCGGCCTCCCAAAGTGCTGGGATTACAGGCGTGAGCCACCTCACCTGGCTTCTTCCTGAATTTTCATACTCCCTTTCTATGAACCCCCTTTGGCGCTGGGTAGTAAATTATGTCTCAACGTTGTTGGTGGTCTTTAGCCGCTATGCCTGCAATTTTAAATAAAAAGCTAGCACAAGGGTGTTGACTGTGAGGGAGCAATAATCTAAGAATGTACATCACAGAGAGACAGCCGTTCTCAGTCAATTCAACAGACTCAGCTTGCTGGAGCGAACTCCTGGCAGCACGTGAATTAGAGATTGGAGTATCTTGGCATTTTTTTGGCCAAGATTTTGTTGTGTGACTTTAGGCAAAGGACAACTGTGATTAGAGACTGTAAAAGGTTGGGGAGTGAATGTACCGGAGCTGAGTCTGTTCACTGAGTTTGGGAAGATTCTCTGCACTCTGGGGGAACAGAGGAAGCAGCTGCAAGGAGAGAAGGGAGCGGCAGATGGTAGAGTCTTGGAGTTGATTCTGAGGTGCGGGTGGGGGTCAAGCTTCTCCCTTTGAGGGGAGAAAAGGCAGGGTGCACAGGACCAAATACTACGGCTGTGAGAGGAAGCCTCCCCTCAGCTCAAGCGGGGCTGTAAGTTGTGGCCCGGACTTCCCCAGAAGAATGGCATGGCATTCTGAGGTCAGTGTGGGGCGTCAGGGTTGAGGGGAATAGAGAGAGGATTACATCATCTGTTGGACACACGATTTAGTAATAAAAAGAAAGTCCTATGATTTGCCTTTTAGGGTTATAAGATAGATAAATGTTAAAGTATGAATAGCCTCAAAAGATTCAAAACGACCATATCGAAACATCATGTACTTTTAGGGGGCATCGTAGGCTCTAGTCCCTGAGTGGAACTACAGGCATGAACCTTCTCACAGGGCAGAAGGCAAGGGCTTGGCATTGGTGACAACTGAAAAGTGTTCCAGCAATGCAGCAGAGAAAATCAGGTCACGCACAGCAGAAAATTAAGAAAGGATTCACTGGGGTTGGTGTGTTCATGAGGCAGGGGCATTATGGTAGAAGGGGTAGGAAGGGAGGTGAGGCATCAATTGTCAAGGAAGGTACTGGATCCCTAGGCACTTAGAAGTAAAGTAGATCCCATCTGCAAGTCCTGGGCATCTGGAACCTCATGTTGACGCAAGCGCCAATTTGGATAGGGCAGAAGTTTGCAAACTTAGAAAAACTGTGCCAGTAATGTTTTTGGGAAACCGTATCATTCCCAGTTTGTTGATCTGAAAAACACTTATTATATAATCTTTTACTGTATCTTTGTACTACCAAATAAGAATAATAAACTCAAACCTTCCTCCTAAGACAGTATGTACAAAATGCTTAGCAGAAATATGTTACTTAGAAAAAATTTCCATAAAGGGCCAAGCCAGGTGGCTCATGCCTGTAATTTCAGTGCTTTGGAAGGTTGAGACAGGAGGATTGCTTGAGGCCAGAAGTTTGAGACCAGCCTGGGAAACATACCGAGATCCTGTCTCTATACAAAAAATTAAAAAGTTAACCCGGTGTTGTGGTGCACACCTGTGGTCCCAGCTACTTAGGAGGCTGAGGTGGGAGGATTGCTTGAGCCCAAGAGTTTGAGGCTGCAGTGAGCTATGGTCGTGCCATGGCACTCCAGGCTGGACAACAGATTGAGACCTTACCTCCAGAAAAAATAAAGAAAGAAAGAAAGACAAGAAAAGGAGAAGAAAAAAATAAAGAAAAATTTTTGGCCTGGCGTGGTGGCTCATGCCTGTAACCCCAGCACTTTGGGAGGTGAGGTGGTCGGATCACTTGAGGCCAGGAGTTCGAGACCAGCCTGACCAACATGGTGAAACCTCGTCTCTACCAAAAATAAAAAAATCAGCCGGGTATGCCGGGCACAGTGGCTCACATCTGTAATCCCAGCACTTTGGGAGGCCAAGGTGGGCGGATCACCTGAGGTTGGGAGTTCAAAACCAGTCTGACCAACATGGAGAAACCCTCTCTCTACTAAAAATACAAAATTAGCTGGGCGTGGTGGCACATGCCTATAATCCCAGCTACTTGGAAGGCTGAGGCAGGAGAATCGCTTGAACCTGGGAAGTGCAGGTTGCAATGACCTGGGATCGCACCACTGCACTCCAGCCTGGACAACAGAGTGAGACTCCGTTTCAAAAAAAAAAAAGAAAGAAAAATTTTTTATAATTTGAAAAGCTATTGTGTAACTAAACAACAAATGAAAACTTGTATTCTCCCCCTTTTATCAATAAGGAAAGCCCACTAGGGATGCAAGATAGATGCAGGGCTATTATTACAGTTCTCCATGAAGTCACAAGGACTTGGACAAGATGTTGCAAAAGAGAACTACTGGAATTGGGTAACTAACTACGTATGGGGGTTGAGGGAGGGAGAAAGCAGGAAGAAGAGCCATTTAGGGGAGAAAAATAAGGTTTGTGTTAGACATGACACAGTCAAGCTGATGCTAGCTCATATATGTGGGAGCACCCAGCAGACCTGGGGAGACATGGAGACTGAGCTGCATATGAGGGTCATTCTGCTTAGAAACTGGTCACTGAAGTTGTGAGGGTCAGTGAGACCATGAGGGGTACTGGGGCAGGCAAGAGGAGAATGTAGGTGAGAAGATCAGAGAATACCACAGTTAGGAGGTGGAAGAAGGAAGGAGGGTAGGCAAAGGGTGATGAGGAAGTGGGCCTGAGAAGTGGGAGAAAAATCACACTATTGCTATATTACAGAAGTGGAGGGAGAAAAATGCCTCCCATGACCAGTAGGCTGGCGAGAGAAAAAAGTCCTTGGACTTGGCAAATTGAGTTCACAGGTGATCTTTCAGGATAATACAGCTTCATTAGACTTCTGAGAACAGAAGCCGGATTGCAGGGGGTTGAGGTATGACTGATTGCATAGAAAGTCAGTGATTATTTTCTTTTGTAAAGTTTGACTTAAAATTGTAGTGCCAAAAGGCAAAGATTAAAGTCCGAGTCATTGATGTGGAATTAGTTTTAGGAAGGCTCTTTGGGGATTTTTGCAAAGTGACAAGTGAACTAGAGAAAGGCAGAAGAGCCTCCTCAATTTTTTTGTAAGCCTTTGTAGTTTGTTTTGTTTTGTTTTGTTTTTTTTCTGGACAGAGTCTCGCTCTGTTGCCCAGGCTGAAGGGCAGTGGTGCAGTCTTGGCTCACAGCAACCTCCACCTCCCGGGTTGAAGCGATTCTCCTGCCTCAGCTTCCCGAGTAACTGGGATTACAGGCACTCACCACCACTCCCACCTAATTTTTGTATTTTCAGTAGAGACGGGGTTTCACCATGTTAGCCAGGCTGGTCTCGAACTTCTAACTTCAGGTGATCTGCTCACCTCAATGCACTTTCTTATACAGTCCCTTATTTCATCCTCACAAGAGACTTCTGAAGGCACCAGCATTTCCATATTACAGATGAGGACATTAAACCTCCAAGAAGTTATGACTTGTTCAGCATGTCATAGCTGATCTGTGGCAGCATTGGGACTCAAATCCTGTCTCCTTGTCCACCATTCTGAAATTTCATTTCAGCTCACAGTTGATAAGCAGCCTTTTAGGCAATGCACTAGAATTTGGGGTCTGAGGGTTCCTGCTTTTGGCCAAAATTGAATGGGATATGTGGTTACTTCTTGGAGATAAATATTCCATATCTGTTTTGGTGAGGAGGTTGAAGGAGGGGGGAGGATGAGCCAAAAGTCAGTTGGATTCATGTGGCTCAGAAATGTGAGACAAAGGACATTCACTTTCTCTTACCATGGACTGTAGCTAGAATAGTCATTCTTGGCAGCAGCTCAGTCTCTCAGTAGGTTAACAAGAATTTACTGAGTATCAGTTGTATGCCTGAGTCCAGAGTGCTTAAGGTACAAAGATCAGGAAAGTCCCATTGAGTAACAGAACAGAGAGTGAGGCAGAGTTATGATACAAATATACACAATCACTATTGTCATTATAAAAGTGCTTGGAGGAAATCAACAGTCATTTAAAGGTTGTTTTTAATGTAGTTTTTCCTCTAAATGAGTGGATGCTAGTTGAATAAGATTATTAAATGAATGAAAGACAGTTAATGGAAATATCCTGGAATTAAGCGGGTTTGGTGGGGAGTTAAATAAAAGGCCTAGAATATATATGTTGGGAGTGGTGATGGAGAGGGAGGCAGGGTTCAGCAGAAAAAGGAAGGTGTCTCCAGGAATGTGGACAACATGGACCAACGCTCAGAGGTGGTGGAGTGTAGAACAGATGTAGGAAGGCATCAGAAGGCAGTGTGGTGGAAATGAGGCCTGGGGCTGGGGTAAGTGAGACATGGAAGAGAGTGAGGAGAGATCAGTAACCAGCTAGTTACCACTTTTCTTCTTTTCCACATCTCTGACAGACACACACCTTGTTCAGGACTAAGATTGTGATGACTGTTGTTTGCAATTGTACCTAAATTCTAATTCAGGTACACCTCCAAGCCAATTAACCTAGCTCCCCTGATGAATTTTTACTCCAATTCCCTGCCCTCTTATCCCATGAAAATCTTGCCGCAGGGTGAGAGAGATGAGAATGTGTCCTTGCATGTAGGAAAATTTTAGAGTCAACATCAACATCATTTTTTGAAAATATAGTACTTTGTGCAGCCAGTAAGTCACAAAACATTAGGTTTTTGAATGTCAGTCAAGCAGGACCCTGTAGTTTAATTTTAAAACAAAAGAGCAAAGAAATGTCACTTCTATTATAAAGCACTAATTGTTACCATCTTATCCTTTTGCAATCTGTTTAACAGATATTTGTTGCCTTTTATTTTGTGAAGAAAAGAAATGCTTTTGAAATCTTCTCTAACCTGTCATACATACTTCAATTTTCCCCATCAGATTAGCTTAATGGCACTAGTAACAAAAGAAAAAGGTAAATTTTTAGAAAATGACATAGGAATTCTAATGGCATACACATCAAAGTAGGTGATGAAGATATTTATATTTCTTCTTGATGTCAAATCACTGTTTATCCTACAGAAGTCAATGTTATGGCCTGTGTAGTATCTGGTCTTTTCTGGTTGCATTGTTTTGCTTATGGATAAAATTTTGAAAGGGCATAAAACAGACAAACAAATGTCTATTGGACTTGGGTAGGACGGGGCTTTAATCTGTGACGACTTGTTCTGTTTTATCACTTCTCATATTTTGGCAAACCAGGCTTTGACAGTAGGCTGACTCTTCTTGGTTATAATGTTTAGTTCTGCCAAAATATACAGCTATTTAAAAGTAAAATATCAAGTTCCTTTTGCACCATAATTCTTTGCTTAAAATACCTTGTAGTATTTTAATTGGGTTTCCAGATTGTTGTGTTCTAGTAATGGACACCATATGTTTAAAGAAGCAGTATGTTATAGTGTAGTGGTTAAGAGAACAAATAGTGAGTGGTTAAGACATACGAGCTGGGAGTTAGATAGCCTGAGTTCAGATCCCAATTCTGCCGTTTACTATTATGTGATCACGGGCATGTCAGTTTCTTTATAAACAGGGACAAGGATACTTATCTTATAGGGTCTTGTAAGGATCAAATGAGTTAATACATATAAAATACTTAGAGAAAGTATGGTCCTTAATAAGCACTCAGTAAATGTAAATTCTTGTTGAAGGGCTTGGTTTTACTTAATGATCCTGGGGCAGATCCACCACGTGATTCTCTGAAGTCTTTCTTGGTATAACGCGTCTATTGAGATACAATTTACATGCCACAAAATGCATCTTCTTAAAGCGCACAATTCAGTGGTTTTTAGTGTAGTCACAGAGTTCTGCAACTATCATTACGATCTAATTTTAAAACATTTTCATTGTCCCCAAAGAAACTAGAAATCTGGACCCATTAGTAATGGCTGAATTATTTTATATTCCCACCAGCAATGAATGAGGATTCCATTTTCTCCAGATGCTGGTTAACACTTGTTACTATTCGTCTTTCTTATTTTAGCCATCCTACTTGGTGTAAAGTAGTATCTCCTTGAGGTTTTGATTTAAATTTCTCTAATGACTAGTAACGTTGAGCATTTTTTCATGTGTTCATTGGCCATTTGTGTATCTTCTTTGAAGAAATATCTAATAAATCCTTTGCACATTTTAAAATTGGGTCTAACTTCTTTTAATCCACTGAATTTCTGCTATAATTCTTTTTTTTTTTTTTTTTTTTTGAGATGGAGTCTCACTCTGTTGCCCAGGTTGAAGTGCAGTGTCGCGATCTCGGCTCACTGAAACCTCCGCCTCTCAGGTTCAAGCGATTCTTTTGCCTCAGCTTCCTGAGTCCAGGATTACAGGCGCACACCACCACGCACAGCTAATTTTTGTATTTTTAGTAGAGACAGGGTTTCATCATGTTGGCCGGGCTGGTCTCAAACTCCTGACCTCAGGTGATCCGCCCGCCTCAGCCTCCCAAAGTGCTGGGATTACAGGCGTGAGCCACCTCACCCAGCCTCCACTACAATTCTTTATACATTTCCTTATAATTTGTCCATTATAACTCTATTTCTAGGTAAAAATATAATATTCCAAGAAATTGGTGCACATAATTTAACCATTCATCTGTGGATGATTATCTCTATTTTTCCTGCAATTATAAATAATGCTACAACAAATATTATAGTACATATATTCTCAAGTGTTTGTGCTTTTCTATAGGATAGATTTCTAGCAGCATAATTGTACAGTTGAAAGATATGTATCTAGAAATATTTTTATAGATATGCCAAATTGCCCTCCAAAAAGCTTACACCAATATATACTCCCACTAACAGGGTATGAGGGTACATCTTTCCTTATACTCTTAGATAGACAAGTTTTTAATGGGGTCATGGGTGAACTAATTTATTTTTCTCATTTCATGTTGTATCTGCAGGAAACCCTATCAACATCGTCTTTACATATTTAGACTGCTTTAAGCATAAGCTTTGCATTCAGGAAAAGAGGGAATAATGTCAGCATTATTATGAAGAAGCTTCCCATATCCACTAAGAAAAGGACAATTCTTTAATAATTTTAATATAATTTATAAGAACTTTTGCCGTCTGGTTTTATGTTATGGGTATTTTATTTTTCAAATTTTAATGTCTGCATTCTATGGGATGCTATGATTTATGTTGTATATATGATTGCTACTATTGCTGGGAGGATATAATGGAAATTAAGCAATGTGAACAATTTCCTGAATTATAAAAAAATAAGTAACCAGTTTGAAAAATGTTAACCTGAATTTTTAAGAAATCAAACTCCTTGCCTCTTAGGAGTTAGTTTACAGAGAGACTTACCTTTCCATGTAAGCTGGATCCCCTGAACATTTTAAACATTTACATTTTGGACATTTACCTTATACATTTGGAGTATTTAGTATCATTGATAATCAGTATTTCAAATGCCAGCTGTCCTTTAGTAGTTCAGGAGAAAATAGTGATGCTGTCTTTAAGTCCTTTTTTTTTCTTTGAGACAGTCTCACTTTGTCACCCAGGCTTGGGTGCAATGGTGCCATCTCGGCTCACGGCAACCTCTGCCCCACCAGATTCAAGTGATTCTCATGCCTCAGCCACTCAAGTAGCTGGGATTACAGGCATGAGCCGTCATGCCCAGCTAATTTTTGTACTTTCAGTAGAGATAGGGTTTCGCCATGTTGGCCAGGCTGGTCTCAAACTCCTGGCTTCAAGTGATCCATTCACCTTGGCCTCCTGAAGTGCTGGGATTACAGGTGGTGAGCCAACATGCCCAGCCTAAGTTCTTTTTCTTCTTTTTAGAGATAGGATCTCACTGTCTTGCCCAGGCTGGACTTGAAGCAATGCTTCTGCCTCAGCCTCCCAAGTAGCTGGGACTACAGATGTACACTGTCATGCCTGTCTCCTAAGTTCTTAATTTGTGGTAGGCAGAATAATACCTCCCCCAGGAAAGCCCATGTCCTAATGCCCAGAACCAGTGAATGCGGTACGTACGTGGCAAAGGAAAATTAAGATAGAAGATGAAATAAAGGTTGCTAATCGGCTGACTTCAAGATTGGGAAATTATACTGGATACTCCTTGTGGGCTCAATGTAATCACGAGGGTCCTTAAAGGTGAAAGAAGGAGGCAGAAGACAAGTCACAAAGAAAGAGATATGAGAACTGCAGTGAGGTCAGAGTGATAGGATGTGAGGACTAGACCTACTGTTGCTGGTTTTGAAGCTGGGGAAAGGGACCATGAACCAAGGAATGTGAGCAGCCTCTAGGAGCTGGAAAAGGCAAGGAAATAGATCCTTTCCTAGAGCCTCCAGAAGGAATGCAGGCCTGCCAACACCTTGATTTCCACCCAGTAAGACCCATTTTGGACGTCCAGAACTGTAAGATAATACATTTGTATTGTTTAAGACGCTATGTTTGTGGTAGTTTGTTACGGCTGCAAATAGAAAACTAATAAGATTTGAAATGTTGGCACAATGCTACTGAGTAGCCCAGTTTCCTCATTTGATACCATTGTAGCTGTTTGAATGTGGATGTCTTACTAAGCTGATGAATCTATATTCTGTCCCAGAACTACAGCTGCCAATCCTTCTGATATTTATTTCTTCACCTGTCCAAATCCAGTCAATTGAGAGCTTTTCTCCAGTGTCTAATGTGGCTTTAAACATTGGCAAGTCTGTGTAAACTGCACAAGGACACTGGATATTAAATTATTTTAAATTTATTTGCCAAGTGCCTCTTGGTTCACAATGACTGTGTTCTCTAGGGATGTTTCTTGGTCTCTTGTTAACATGGAAGCAAAGAATGTCATCTCATGTGTTGGTGAGAGAGACCTCCCTTTGTCTTTTTTCTGGGCTAAACTCCTTCTACTCCTATCATGTGACACTAATGAGTACTCAGTCTTCTCATGGCTACTGGTCTTGGCACTGCTGTTTGGCACAGGGATAGGCAATAATCCAGCTCTTTCCTGGTACTTCTGAACCTGGGGTATGACAGCGAGTGTTTCAGTCTCTCTCTGGTGGTGAAACAGTGAAACACCAGATGTAGGCAGCTAGCTGGTGGCTCAGTTGAGAGAATAAAACTGAAGGGTCAAGAGAGAAAACTCACAGAGTTCGAGTTCTTGGCACCAGTTATATTTGAGGCACAGCTGCATAGAAGCCCTTCCCAAAGTTTACTTTTACGAGCAAATAAGTTCTTTTTTAAAAAATAAATCAGTTTTAATTGTTCCCGTGAATTTAATTCACCCGCAAGGAAAATAATCTTGATTAATACATTTGGTAAAGGAGTGTTAGAGGTCTATAAGATTTAAATTTGATTGCTCTTACTTGCAACCATGGGTTAGCAGTGTCCCTATCTCCTAGAAGTGCACCAAATAATTGATAAGTCACTGTTACACGTTCACTGAAATTGTATAAATTCTTTCTATATATCAATCTCATCCTGATGTCTTATATTCAGTAATTCTCAAAGACTGTTTTACAGAACCATATTTACTTCAAATGACCTATGAAAAAAATTAGGTTACAAAGATAAAAGACTGGGAAATGCTGAATGCTGTCTCTTGGAGTGCCATATATAGACAAACATATTAAAGGCTCTGAGAAGTCCAGTGTCAAGTAAAATTAATCAGATAGTTGATAAAAGTAACAAATAGCTTTAAAAGTTCAACTTTGCTTATAATTAAGTAAGTGCAAATTTAAACAACACTATTTTAACCAATTAGATTGGCAAATATCAAAAAGTATGTTACTACACTGTTTGGGGTAGGTTATCAGGAAACAGGAATTTGCATGCATTATTGAAGGCAGTGTAAATTGCTATATTGTCTTTGGAGGACAACTGACACTATTTATAAAAGATAAAAATGCACACACAGTTTGATACCCCCTCCGCATTCCACTTACAGATGTTATCTCGCATTCGCACAATGGTATTTATTTCAGCTTTTGTTTTTTTCCTAGTAAAGGACTTGAAGTAACCTAAATGACCATCAATATTATACTGGTTGTATAAATTATGATTAATCTATACAGTGAAATGACTGGATAGTCCTTTAAAAGTGACTAGACAGAAATCAGAGTTTCTTAACAGTGCCATTTGGGGCCTAATAAATCTTTATTGTGGGGGCTGTCCTGTGCATTGTAGGATGTTATGCAGCATCCCTAAACTCTACCCATTATTTGAAGGGTATTTAATGGATAGGGAGTTTGCGATGCTGCTAAATTCTGCCCACTAGTTGCCAGGAGCAACCTGCTCTGTCACTCTCCCAGTTGTGACAGTTAAAAAATCTGTAGACTAATTATCCCAGGTTGAGAACCACTAATCTATTTTTTTGTTATCTTTAATGTATCCAACTGAGAGAATCACTGATCTAAATGAACTGATATTTTCCCAAGGTATATTAAGTGAACAAAGGAAGATGCAGAAATATTTATAGTTTGCTACCATTTTGTAATGTATTTATCCATATCTAGCTATACATTGATTAACTAAAATGTTTACATGGTCTTCAAAAAGTTCTTGGAAAATGCATATTATGAAAAAAACTATGCATAGATTTAAAAAATTTTTGTACCAAAATTAACTTGCACTAACTCTATAACATGTCTGAACAGAATCTAGTTTGAGGCAGTAGGAAGAATACGACATCAGTTTGAATAGAACCCCTTTTAGAGCAACATGAATTCTGCTAAAATAGAAGCAAGAACAGACATGAAATTTAGGATGAAGTCTGGGTGGAAGAATGGTGAAACCACTGACGTTTTATGAAAAATTTATGGGAACAATGTTCCAAAGAAATTTGTAGTTTATAAATGGATAACTCATTTTAAGAAAAGACAAGATGATGTGCTAGATATATCCCACAGTGGCAGACTTTCCACATCAATTTTTGAGAGAAAAATTAACCATCTTGTCCATGCTGTAATTGAAGAGGACCGATGAGTAACAGCAGAAATAATAGCCAACACCATAGACATTTCAATTGGTTCTGCTTACACAATGCTGACTGAGAAATTACAGTTGAACAAATTTTCCCCTTCATGAGTGCTAAAACCATTAAGCCAGATCAATGCAGACAAGAGCAGAGCTTTCGGTGGAAATTTTAAACAAGTGAGATCAATATCCTGAAGCATTTCTTTGAAAAATTGTAGCAAGAGATGGAACATGGTTTCACCACTACAATCCTGAAGACAAAGCATAATCAAAGCAATGGCTACCAAGAGGTGTAAGTGGTCCAGTCAAAGCAAAAAGGGACTGGTTAAGAGCAAAGGTCATGGGAACAGCTTTTTGGGGATGCACAAGGCATTTTGCTGGTTGACTTTCTGGGGGGCCAAAGAATGATAACATCTGCTTATTTTGAGAGTGTTTTGAGAAAGTTAGCCAAAGCTTTAGCAGAAAAATGCCTAGGAAAGCTTCACCAGAGAGTCCTTCTTCATCATGACAATGCTCCTGTTAGTTCCCCTCATCAAACAAAGGCAATATTGTGAGGGTTTCCATGGAATATCATTAAGAATCCACCTTTCAGTCCTGATTTGGCTCCTTCTGACTTCTTTTTGTTTCCTAATCTAAAAAAAAGCTATAAAAGGCATATAAAACTTTATATATATATATATATATATATATATATATACAAAGTTTTGTGTGTATATATATATGAAACTACATGACATGGTTATTCCCAGAACTCTCAGTTCTCTAGAGATAAACTAAATGGTTTGTATCATCACTTACAAAAGTATCTAGACCTTGATAGAGCTTATTCTGAAAAATAAAGTTTATGTTTTTACTTTTATCTTTTAATTTCATTTTTTTCATAAACTTTTTGAGGTCTCCTCATATATACATGCAATGGTTCTGGAAGGATATACAAGAAACTAGTAACAATTGCTGATTCTGTGAAGAACTGGAGGATAGAAGCTGAAGTGAGCAGAAATCTTACTTTTCATCCAATGTTCTTCCCTAAATTTTTATCAAGTATATGCATTACTTTAGGAAAAAAGCCTAGAAACTGGTTTAACTTTGTTTAACCCATCAGCTCTTATATTATATAATTCCATACTTTTTTTTTTCTGAATAACACCCAGAATATACTTTGGAAAACATTTCCTTGGTTCACTTTCATTGTTTCATTACTGAAGATCCAATAGTTTTCTTGCTTTAGTCTAGGAATGTACTAGTTTTAGGAGACTTTGCTCTGGAGATTACAGGTTAGCCCATCTTATAAACTTGACTGAAGCAGAACCACTGTAACTGAGTTCGATTTTGTCAAATAGCCAAAAGTTTACTAGTCTTGCTTCCCTTCCAAAAAACTCTTCTGATACAAATAAAGTTGTTCTTTCCATACAGCCTTCACTTTAGTTGGCCTGCATTTCTTTTTTAACCTGGCTTTCAGTTATTTTGTGTTTGTGTTCCAATATTTTCTTGCATCCTTGCCAAACAAACTCTGCTGTTTAAGATGGGTGATGGTACTTTCTTATTATAATAACTGTTTACTGAGATATACTAGTATTATGTTAGTACTAGTACTATGTTATCTGTGTCTTGTACTGTTGAAGGCACACTTTGCATACACTAACCTATTACTTACAACGGCCTTGCAAAGGAGATGAGAGTATCCCTATTTTACTGATGAGGAAGCTGAGTTTCCAAAAGTGACTTGCCCAAGATTACTCAGCTTTCAAAGGAAGGATTTGGATTCAAACCAACATCTGTCACACTCCAAAAAGCCTGTACTTTTTCTGCTAAGTTCTGATTCCTTACTCTATTCTGCTGTCTTAGGTCTTCTGTTTCCTCGACAATTATTTTTCTGCTACTTTAAATGCATCCCAAGTAAGAATTTTTCAACTCTTCAAGGACTATGCTAAAAGCAGTCACAGGATGATAAAAATGCTACTACTGTGTCCCATAACAAAGCTGTGTTGTCAAGATTCAAGTTTTATCCCTATCATCTGCTATATTTTGAAACAAATTTGCAAAAGAACACTGCCTGGTCTGAACCTATTTTTATTTTAATTTCAGCTGAAGAGATACAACTGCCCAAACTGATTAAATTAAAATGCAGTTTAGACTTGAGAAAGTTGCATGTGGAAAGGAAGAAAATATACAATTTATCATATATGGGTTCTAAATATTCCAGCTGTGCAAGATACATTTGGGTGTCTGCAGTTATTTGCAAACTGAATTGTCTTTGTTTTTCAGGATAACGAGGATTTATTCATTGCCGTATTAACTAATCTCGACCAAATATTCGTTGTCCACCCCCAAATTTGTGTAACTTTTCAAAAGGCTGAGATACAAATGCCTTTTGTTTAGGGTGAAGACTTCAACTGAGCCTAATGTTAATAGTTTCCCCATCCAGTTACATATAACAAGATACACAGTCCATTTGGCTCTTGTTCCAGGCTGTGGGCATCATATGAGAAGTTTTCAGAAATTAGTTTGGCGAAATTTCTTGCTTTTGAGATCTCTGAAGCAACCAGTTAAAAATCAGTAATGGCTAATTAGATTGTTTTCATTGTGTTTCTTTTAACTTTACTGTATCAGGCTCTTCTTTTAGCAGTTTTCAGCATCTTAGTCCTCTTTTCAGGCTGCATAAATTAGTGGTTTCCAAAGTATCTTTGGGGGAAGCTTGTCCCAAGAGGTGTTCTGCAATGAATGAGTTTTATAATCAAATAAATTTGGGAAATGCTACATTGCACAGTTCAATGTAGTTGCAATGTGCAAAAGCATAATAAGGGCTCTGAGGGATGCAGTAGTAAAGACATATGTTTAATTTGTTTTAATCTAATTTTTCTAAAATTTTTTAAAATCAAAGACCACCCTCTCTTTTTTTTTGTTGTTTCTTTTTTTTCTTTTAAATTAACACCTGTTAAATCTCACAGTAAGTTTCACTTTGGAAAACACTGACCTAGGCCATTGCAAGGTCAAGGGGACACTTTGTTCCCATAGCCTATCTGTAGTGCGCCACTGGCTAGTTTTGACAGGCAAACTCACCAAAACTCCAGATTTCAAGTGAGACTCCTGGCACAGTGGTTGATGGATATGTAGGCACTCATGAAATGTTCACTGAGTAAATAATTTTTTCTTTTAAGTTTTTTTAATTAAAAAAGTTCTTGATTTTTGTTGCACATATTTAAAGTGTATGACATGATATTTTGATATACATATGCATAGTGAAATGATTACTACAGTCAAACAGACTAACATATCCATCTCCTTACATACTTTTCTTTTTTTTGGTGGTGGTGGTGGTAAAAGCACCTGAAATCTACTCTCTTAGCAAATTTCCAGTATGCAATACAATATTATTAACTCCAGTCTTCATGCTGTACATTAGAGCTGTAGAGCTATTTATCCTACAGAGCTGCAACTTTGACCAACATCTCCCCATTTCCCCCTTTCTCTTTGGAATAGTTTTAAATTTACAGAAAAGCTATAAAGTTAGTACAGAGTTCTTATATTACCACCCTCTGCTCTTCCAGTTTCCCCTGCGTTAGCATCTTTTGTTAGTAATGGTAGATTTGTCACAATTAATCAATATTGACACATTATTATTAACCAAGGTCAATGTTTTATTCGGATCTCTTTAGTGTTTACCTAATATCCTTTTCCTGTCCCAGGATCCCATCCAAGATCCCACATTACATTTCATCATCATGTCTCCTTAGACTCCTCTTGGCTGTGATTGTTTCTCAGACTTGCTTTGTTTTTTGTGATCTTGACAGTTTTGAGGACTACTGGTTAGAATGATTCCTTTTAATTTTTTCCTTTTGCCCCTTTTGTTATTTGATTTGCGGCAGTTAATAATTGACAATAAACCACTGGGATATGCTTCTCAGATTGTGAGTAGACTTGTAAACAAACTCCTACAAATGTGAAATTTAGAACCCCTGGATTGGGAGAGCCAAGAGCATAAGCCAATTCTAAATGGACCAGAGTGTGGACAGCGTTACAAGTGCTTTACTCTTTTTGTTTGTTGGTTTTTTTTGTTGTTGTTGTTTTTTGAGACAGGATCTCACTCCATCGCCCCGGCTAGTGTGCAGTGGCGCAATCTCGGCTCACTGCAACCTCCACCTCCTGGATTCAAGCGATTCTCATGCTTCAGCCTCCCAACTAGCTAGCATTACAGGCATATGCCACCATGCCCAGCTAATTTGTGTGTGTATGTGTGTGTGTGTGTATTTTTAGTAGAGGCAGGGTTTCACTACATTGGCCAGACTGGTCTTGAGCTCCTGGCCTCAAGTGATCTGCCCACCTCGGCCTCCCAAAGTGCTGGGATTACAGGTGTGATCCACCATGCCTGGCTTTACTCTTCTTTTTGCTTGTACTGCTTTGCTTTTTGCTTTTGTGATTTTTCTCTTTTACCTTGGGAAATGAGATTTTTCAGCTTCTTACATCCCCCTGTGAGTCCTGTTTAGATTCAATCTCCCCTCTGTATCAAAGCCCAGTGGGACCTGACTTTGGCAAACACTTGTGCTCTTGGGGTCTTCATCTCTGCTCTGTCTTAAAATGGAGAAATGCTTTGCTAGGCTTATTCTGGTCTTTTAGCAATCCCTATTTCTGAGCTTCGAATCTTGCTATGAGGTCCTTAGGTACCAAGGTTTTGCAGCTCTTCTCTGGTATTAACATTACAAAGGCTTGTCTTTCTGTTGATCAAATAAGACATGTTAATCAAGTGAAGATGCAGGCTTTTAAAAATATTTAAATAATGTCCTTGGCTTTTTCTACCAGGGCTGTCCTTGTTGATTTTTATAGTCTTTCAACATTACAATTGTAATGCTAAAAAAAATTGCTGTTTCTTTCTTTTTTAAGGGATTCAATGACTTCTTTTAGATAATTCTAACTCTGTAGCTTTGTTTGCCAGACAGTCAAATCTTGCCAAGAGTTTTGAGCTCATCCCTGTCAACTGGTTAGTTCCTAAACTGAGTAAATATTAAACTTTTTCAACAATAGTTGCTTGATCAATCCTCTTCCCTAGCTGGCGTTATTGCCTCTTGCTGCCATCTTGTCAAAACTGTTAAAGCTTTCTTGAGGAGGAGATGATATGCTTATGTCAGTTGCAGAAAAAGCAGGAGTATTTATAAATTTCTGTTAAATGTTTCCCTTTCTGGCTTTTGATGGATTCTCCTGTCTGGAACAAACTTCTTTATGACGTTGCTTAGCCTTAGCCTTTTCACTGCCTCCCTCATTCTCTTTGGCTCTTTTTTTTTTTTTTTTTTTGAGACTGAATCTTCTCTGTTGCTCAGGCTGGAGTGCAGTGGCACAATCTTGGCTCACTGCAATCTCCGCCTCCCGGGTTCAAGCGATTCTCCTGCCTCAGTCTCCTGAGTAGCTGGGATTACAGCCACTCGCCACCATGCCCAGCTAACGTATTTTTAGTAGAGACGGGGTTTCACCATGTTGGCCAGACTGGTCTTGAATTCCTGACCTCAAGTGATCCTCCTGCCTCAGCCTCCCAAAGTGTTGGGATCACAGGCGTGAGCCACTGTGCCTGGCCTTCTTTGGTTCTTTCTTTCCCCTTCCTCACCTAGTTCCACCTTCTCCTTACTTGCTCTTCCATGCTGGGATAAGGTGTGATTAAATCAAATAAAATGAAAGTGTGGAGACCACTGTGCACTTGGAAACTTTCCAGGGAGTATTGGCTGTTTGTTAATTAAAAGAATTTCCAACCTGGGACTACATTTGGGAAAAGAGTGAAGAAGGGGAAGGGCAGGGGTTTGGTTGAGTATTTCTTTTCTTTTTCTTTTTTTTTTTTTTAAGACAGACTCTCGCTCTGTCGCCCAGGCTGGAGTGCAGTGGCGCTATCTCGGCTCACTGCAATCTCCTCCTCCCAGGTTCAAGCAATTCTCCTGCCTCAGACTCCCGAGTAGCTGGGATTACAGGCGCCCGCCACCACGCCCAGCTAATTTTTTGTATTTTTAGTAGAGACGGAGTTTCACCGTGTTAGCCAGGATTGTCTCAACCTTCTGACCTCGTGATCCTCCCGTCTTGGCTTCCCAAAGTGCTGGGATTACAGGCGTGAGCCACCACGCCTGGCCTGGTTGAGTATTCCTAAGTGAGGAGGCTTCTGCTGTGATTTGCTTATACCAGGGGCTGGCAAACTTATTCCGTGAAGGGCCAGATGGGAACTATTTTAGGCTGGCGGGCCATACGGTCTCTGTTGCAACTACTCAGCATGGCCATTGTAACAGGAAAGCAGCCATAGACACTATGTAAATAAATGAGCATGGTTGTGTTCCAATAAAACTTTATTTATGGACACTGAAGTTTGAATTTCATACAGTTTTTTGTGTGTCATGAAATAATATTCTTCCTTTGATTTTTTTTTTCAAAAATGTAAACGCCATTCTTATTTCATGAACCACACAAAACCAGGGGGAGGGATGAACGTGGCTGGCCTGTAGGTTCTAGTTTGTGGACCCCTGGCCTGTGCCAAGAGTTCAAGATCTTTCTTATACCAACCAGTCAACCAACTACCAAACTAACAACAAACAAACCATGCGGCAGGGTTAAAGTGGTTAAAGGAGTTCAGGGAGGGTGTCTTATAGAGGATTTTGTCACTTGGGTAGATAAAGATTCCCTCTCCGGTCGGAGGGAACCCTGGCATGAAGGGACAGAGCTGTGCCACATGCCTTGGGCCTGGTAAGGCTAGAGGGTGTTAGCTGGGGCCACTGACACAGGAACACAGCACCTCATGGGCACCCTTCTATTAAAAACACTACCTTTGGCCGGGCACGGTGGCTCACGCCTGTAATCCCAACACTGGGAGGCCGAGGCGGGCAGATCACCAGGTCAGGAGTTCAAGACCAGCCTGGCCAACATCGTGAAACCCTCTCTCTACTAAAAATACAAAAATTAGCTGGGTGTGGTGGTACGTGCCTGTAGTCCCAGCTACTCAGCAGGTTGAGGTGAGAGGATTGCTTGAATCTGGGAGGTGGAGGTTGCAGTGAGCCGAGACTGCACCATTGCACTCCAGCCTGGGTGACAGAGTGAAACTCTGTCTCAAAAATAAAAATAAAAATAAATAAATTAAAACACTATCTTTTATGAAGCATTCACTGTGTGCTAGCTACTTTCCTTGAAATTTCTGATTTACTCTTCACTCTCCTATCCAGTAAGTGTGATTGTCCATCTATAAGGGATATAGAGCTGTTGAATGCCTTGCCAGAGTCACATAGCCACTAAGTGGCAAAAGTAGGATTTGAACCCTGGCCTAGCATACCCCCTAGTTGCCTTCCTTTCCCTGCTCCATATTGCTATTTCTAGGAAAGATCACAGAAAATCAAGGCAGTTACTGTCTCTATAATCTCATTCTGTCAGGACCACCCAAAAGTAAGCTTCACCATTCCAAATAGGAAACAGCTTTTCAAGGTTGCCCAGTAGCTGTAAGGATCAGCAGTCCTTCTAAGTTGCTGACTTCCTTCACGTGTTACTTTAAGGAAGGAGGCAAAAGACAGAATGGGAAAGAGCACTTGAGCTTGACTCCTGGCTCCTGTTTACCACCTGTGGGACCTTGACCTTGGGTGATGCATTTAACTCCATGAGGCTGTTTCCTTATCTGAAAAATGAAGAATAACAGTAACTGCCCAGCTGGGTTGTGAGAATTAAATGAAATGTGGGTGCAAGCCACCTGCATGGTGCTTGTCACAAAGGAGGTACTCAATCAATACTGACACCCTTCAAGCAGTCATTGTTTTCTCATTCATGCTATTAGCATCTGTTGAGTGGCTATTATGTGCCAGGCACCTTGAGATAAACAGATGAGTCATAGTTCCTGCCTCCAAGGAGCTGACAGTCTAGCAGAGTAACAGGCATATATACAACCAAGCTTGACAAAGTGCCACAGGAATATGTGGGGGTCACAGTGAAAGCACAAAGGAAGGACTGGATATTTCTCAGTGGATGGATGAGAGGCACAGAATAGGCTTCAGTGAGGAGGTAACAGAGTTTATATCTGGGTAACTCAAGCTGATCCTGCACGATTTCTGTGGCTGATCACTCACCAACATAAATCTTGTCTCATGGAAAAAACACAAAGAACAACAACAAAAAAAAACAATACAAAAAAACTTTTCCTAAAAGGACTTAAAAAATTCTATGAAAATTTTGGAAAGCAAAACAGGAAACCCAGTTATAGGCAAGGGCAAACACTCCTTGCTTCTCAAGTCTCTTTTGCTTGTTGCAGGCAATGTTTCCTGCCAGGATGTTGATCAAAGAGAGGAACAGCCTGAACGAGAGTCATTTGTTCCTTGTGAGCTTCTTTAAAAAGAATCTGATTTCATTTTTTGCACATTCTCTGTGGCTTTAGGAAACACCTCCTATAAAAATAGAAATACGCAAAAGAGGTTCGGGAAGAAGTGATTCCTTCTGGGACTAAACTGTCCGTATGTGACATTGGCATACTGCCTTGAGTTTGCAGAGTAGATAACACATTACAGTGCAAGGGTGCTGGGGGCAGGCTGCCTGGGTTTGAGTTCTGGTTCTACCATTTACTAGTTATGTGACCTTATGGTTTTTGGGAGAGACGAGATGATACATGTAAAGTGATTACCATGTATCACGATAATCTGGCCCAAGAATTGTTAACATTTTCCTGTCAGTTCTAGTTTGGAGAGACTGTCTTGGATTCCCCCATCCCAACCCACAGAATTCTGCAGTTGAGTGGGAAGGTCAGGAAGAAGGGGTCAGACATGGTGCCACCTCAGGCTAAGTTCATAGAAGGAGACTTTGTAATAGAACTCAAAATCAAAAAGAAGAGGGAAACTTTTATAGGGTAGTAGGTATAGGTAACCCAGAGTTAGTTTAACAGGAAAGACATATGACCTGGTGAGTGCTAATGGCAGACGACTGATCAGAAAAATGACACCTTCAGTGAAAGCCACTAGAGGAAAGGAAATACTGTGGAGATGGCCCAATTAGAGAAGTAGTAATGTTGACTCCTGGGTGGATTTCCCCTCCCAGGGGAGAGCTACAGACACCCTCTGAGTCAAAGATGAGTAAAGCCCGGGAAGTGTGAGGGGTGGGGAAACAAAGCAAATACAACTTTCACAGGTTTATTTACTTATTTATTTATTTTATTTTATTTTTTGTAAGACACAGGGTCTTGCTCTGTCACCTGGGCTGGAGTGCAGTGACATGATCATAGCTCACTGAAGATTCAACCTCCCAGTGATCCTCCCACCTCAGCCTCCTAAGTAGCTGCGAATACAAGCACTAGCTACCATGCCTGGCTAATGAGATGGATCTTGAAAGATGTAGAGAACACTGACAGGCAGAAGTGGGGACAGCTTCCTTTTTAAGGAGAAGGGCAGTCCCAACCAAGCAGAGGGAGTAGTAGAGAGAAGGCTGGGGAGGCAGGGTGGGTGCGGCTCATGGAGACCTTCTATACTGGGCCAAGGAAGTGTCACTTGGTTTGAGGGAAATGGGAAGGCATTGAAGATTCGCAAACATGGGTGGCAGGGTGTGGGTGACATGATTCAGCTGGGACTTTCAGAGATCATTTATCAACTACATGTGGGACAAATTGTGAGGAAGAAAGAATGAGTAAGGAGAAGTTACAAAACATTTTTAATAGGGTAGGTGAGAGATCATACTATAGAATATAATTTTATTTTTTGTATTACTGAGGATGAGTTTGTCTGCAAGTAATGGAAAACATCCCAAAGAGAAGCCTACACAAAATATGGCATTATTTCTGTCTCATGTGAAGGACTGGCATGGCAGATTTGCCAGGTCCCCCACCCCACTACCCCACCGCCATCCTTAGGAGAGCCTGCTTCCCATGTCCCGGGAGGCCATATCAGCAAGATGGAAGAGAGCAAAGAGCAGACACAGGGTGTCTTTAAAGGAAGGTTCCCAGAAACTTCCATGTGATACTTCTGCCCCCATGTCATTAGTCAGAAGGTAGCAACAGGTCAGGTGCGGTGGCTCATGCCTGTAATCCCAGCAGTTTGGGAGGCCAAGGCAGGCGGATCACTTGAGGTCAGGAGTTTGAGAGCAGCTTAGCCAATATGGTGAAACGCTGTCTCTACTAAAAATATAAAAATTAGCTGGGCATGGTGGTGCACGCCTATAATTCCAGCTACTTGGGAGGCTGAGACATGAGAATTGCTTGAACCCAGGAGCTGGAGGTTGCAGTGAGCCAAGATTGTGCCACTGTACTTCAGCCTGGGTGGCAGAGTGAGACTCTGTCTCAAAAAAAAAAAAAAAAAAAGAAGAAGTAGTTAGCAATAGGGCCACACCTAGCTAGCAAGGGAATCTGGAAAATGAGATTTGCTGTCTGGATTTCCACATTCCCAGCTGATAAACCAGGGATTCTGCTATGAGGGAGAAAGGAAGAATGGATATAAGGGATTTGCTGGCATTTTCTGCCATAATGTTATAAAAATCAAAGAAACAAAGATAAGAGACTATAATTTCATAATCACTGAAAATTATTCTTTGGATCTTAATGAAAAGAAAATTTTAAGTGAAGGTTGTTTCCTAGAATCTTGCCTTAAAGCTGATTACCCTTGAGACAAAATAATCCCTCACTCCCAGATAACACTGGATTTGACTCAAGTGGCCAAGGCTATCCAAGGCGGTGAGAGGGTCAGTTTGTCCAGGTCTTCATGACCCTGCCTTAGTAATCCTCTCTGAGTTGTTTCAATAGGAAAGTAAATTCCATTATCATCAAGCATTGCTAAATTCAGGGAATTGTAAACCAACAATGTGTAAGCATTGTGAAAGCTCTGTCCTTAACAGAAGTCCAGCTTTGCAGTAATGTCCACACTCCATTTCCTTGGCTCTGAAGTCAAGCAGCCAGCTTCCTTGGTGCACATCTCATCATAGGCAGCCTGGTGCATCTCTCTCCTCTACTTTCTTCCCTGACCGCCACTGCCTGCAGAATCTTCTTAAGGCACGATTGACAACATCTGACTGTGCTCCACATGTTCTCATGGTTCTCAAATGCTCACTACCTTAAAACAACTCCTTGGCCTGGCCTCCCAGATCCTCCAAAATCTTACCCACCCTCCCAATTCAACCAGATGTTCCTCTGAGATATGGCGATTGCATTCTGGGATTTTGGGGAAAATGGGAAGGCATTTTGTACTCTTCCTCCTTCACTCTGTGCCCTTTGCCTCTTGTTGCTATCACTAGTTGATTGGTGGTCCATTCACTTAAGTGACATATGGAGCTTTGTGCTTAACATAGAGATGGATTTCCAACTGGAATGCTAAGAACCCCAGAGAAGAAACATGCCTGTGTTTAAATGTATGAAATTATATTTATAATGATAAGTATATACTCACTACTAGCATGAGGAAATAAATCAATGTCCCAACCAGAAAAATTTAAAATTTTAAGTATAAACAAACCATTATTTCTTTCTTAACTTTATTAAGGATAAAGCTATCTTGATTCTGTCTTATTCCAATTGATTCTCACTTATTTTAATCCAGGAAGGCTTTGGGATTTGATTGTCATGTTCTCACTGCTCTTCCATTGCTGTTATGATTCATAACCCACTCATTCATTCATTTATTCAACAAATACTTATTCAGTGTCACTTATGGGTTGCTGAAGATACGTTAGAAAATGTTCCAGCTTTCATGGCATTTACATTCTAGAGCAGTGGGTCTTATCCACAGACGATTTTGTCACCCCTGGGGGCTGGGGGGAAATGTGGCAATTTCTGGAGATAGTTTTGATTTTCATGAGTTGGGGAGGGGCATTACTGTCATCTAGATGGTAGAGTCCTGTGATGCTGTCAATGTAGCCCCACTTTTCCACACCCCATACTGGAGCACTGTATCCCCACCCCCACACCTCAGAACTTGATATAAGCTGCTCCTGTCCTTCACCGGGTTCACAGTTAAGATGATTATCACATGATAGGCACCAAGACGCCAGGTGTCTATTCCACCTGTTCTTCAAGAGCATCCACTTCCCCAAGGGCCTCTCTGTTCCTTCTCCTGTCCCTTTGTCCCTTGGTGGTGGGGACACTGGCCTTATTTAGTGTCTGTTCTGCTCTCTATCTCAGCACCAAGTGGCCAGACATCTCCATTATGGTGTAGCCTCTCCATTGTCCTCTTACGTCTTCTTATGTGCACCCTCTGTCCACACAGGGCCCTGCTACCCATCTTGAATCTCTGTCAGACCCATATCCTGTTGCTGGGCCCTACCCCTGCTCCTCTTTGCCCTGTTTTAGACAGAAATCCAGGAATGACCCTGATTCTGCCCATTAGTCTCACTACCTCTTTCCCATATGACTCGACAGCTTACCTCTGGGAGGAAGTAGACTTCCAAGCAAGTCCCTTCCTCTGGGGACTGCAGCTCAGGTTCCGGTTTCTTAGCTCCTCTTGGCTTCTTGCTCTTTGTTGCCCCCCTACCCCTGGCCCTTACACTTAAAATGTGTTTTAGGCCTTCAAGCTTAGTCTATAAACCTGGTTATTTTATTTGTAAATATAGTGATTTTTATATAAAAATGAGAACAATTGCTTTTCTTGTTTGATTAGTGTTCAATCAACTTACAAACTTAAAAACATTAAATTTCTTCAAACTGACCATCTTTATACATGTAAAAAGATTTCCTAAAATATTTTTAACTATCTTTACAAATTTAATAACTTTGACTTTCTCAAACACTTCAAATGCCTGATGGGGCAACATTTACAAACAAAGCAAGAAAAATCCTTCAATATCTCAATGAACTCTTGTAATAATACTAGTTTATACATGTAGTAAATTAGATTCTTCTGAATATTCAAACACTTTTAAAGAACATATTCAATTATTCTGCAACTTTCAAGTGAAAATTACAAATTGAGTATTAGTTTATCATTCCAAAATAAAATCGTAAGGCTAATATGTCAGATTATCTTAATCATTTTAAGCTGCTTAAATAACAAAAACAAGCTGATTGCAATGATTACAAAACTTACTCCTAAAGCTTAACACAAAGTATTGATACTATGAGTTTGATTGGCTTCAACGTCCATTTTCTACACCTTTTCCATTGAAACAAAGTTATTTTTACAAGTCAAGGGGAGCAAGAAGGTATTTCATGCAGGCTGGAGTTATTTGTATAACTGAGATACTGATGATCAGTTAGATTGTAAAACTGGGAGTTTTTCCAGGATGGTTTTATCCGAGCAACAGATTAAACACACTGAGCTTCCTTTTATAGTTGGCTTGGTTCTGCCTACTGTGTCACCAGGGAAGGAGTGTGCTATGTGTCCCCAGAGCATTTTTCAAATTTCACCCTCATCCTATTTTTATCATAACTTCTTTCACAATTTAACACATAATTTGGGTAGGTAGAATTCTGCAGACTACCTTGGCATGTAGTCTATCTTTTTGTTAACTGAATTTTCTCTCCCTCCTCAGGTTGTAAAATTCTTTTTCTTTTGCCTTCTTATCTGTTTCATTGTTGCAGAGATTGACTAAGTCTTCATCAAATCTGTTTTTCTTTGCTTCTTGGGCACAGAGCTAGACTCCATTTCCCAGCTTCCCTTGCAGTGAGTGTGGCCATGTGACTGAATTTGGGCCAATGAAATATGAGTGGCCTGACCCCCTATCCTCTTTTGCAGGCTTGATGCAGGGCAGCAGGGCAATCTTGGAAGCTCCATATTGAAGATGGTGGAGGCACAGTTTGAAAGGAGTCTGGGTTGGAGGAGAGCTACAGGCAGATCAGGAACACCCATCTTGGATTTGACCTGAGTGAAAAATAAACTGCAATCATTATGTTAAAACACTTACATATTTGGGGGGATTTTTTGTTTATCTTGTGAAAATGCTCATTAACCTCTATTGTCATAATAAAAATCCTTAAAGTTGGTGCTAAAAATAAATGCAATTTTGAAAATTCATGTGATGTTAGTTACTACTGCATATCCTGAGTCAACGCTAGAAAACATCAAGTGAAGCAGAGGGTGTATTATGGGACAGAGTCACTCTTGGATGTTACATAAAAATCTGACTGAATTAACTCAATCTTTTTTAATAGGAACTAATGTCATGTGACTTGTGTACCTTTTTAAATAACTTTTTTAAAAAGCAACCAAGAAAACAAAAATAAGCAGCCCATTGACAATTAAATCACCTACAATATTCATGAGATTAAAATAAACCTGTTGCTCAGTTACAAATATTTGGGCTCCCATGAGCAGACAGAAATTTTCCCCCAAGGGTCCTAATAAACAGGAAATTACATGATACAATAGACTCATATCCTTAGTAGACAAAACAATGTCAACTACCCAGACTCTCCTAAAGAAACCACACACACATGTTCAAGGGAGTAATTAAAAAAATTTAAAAACATAGGTTTCTTTTTTCTTCTAAAAAGTATACTTTTCTTTAAAATGGTAAGGGTGTATTAGTGCGATGAAGATCAATAAGGCCTCCATTTTTTTTTCTAGTTTGGTTATTTCACACTCTGCTTTTGGCATTTGAGGTTGCTAAGGTTATGGGTTTCTAAAAGTATTGTCCTTATGCACAAACGGACCTGTCATCAAACAGCTTTTGACCCTATGCAGTCAGAGTTTCCCTTTCCTTCTCCCACACCAACTAATTCTGCCATGTGTGGGTTGCAAGTGCACCAGGCAACAGTTTAATCTAAATGAAGTGATCACACATTAGATTTTGAAAATGAAACTTACTCATAAATATATTTCTTTCAAAATGAATTTTGTAAATCTTTTCCTTCCAAATTTAAAACTTAAACCTCTACTAAGTTTCCATGAAAAGAACCCATGGGAACTTAGTAGAGGTTTAAGTTTTAAATTTGAAGGGAAAAGAGTTATAAAATTCATTTTGAAAGAAATATATTTATGAGTAAGTTTCATTTTCAAAATCTAATGGTGCATGCCTGTAATCCCAGCTACTCAGGAGGCTGAGGCAGGAGAATTGCTTGAACCTGGGAGGTGGAGGTTGCAGTGAGCCGAGATCACGCCACTGCACTCCAGCCTGGGAGACAGAGTGAGACTCCATCTCAGAAAAAAAAATAAAAATGAAAAACCATGGGAACAATAAATACAGACTTTAGGCAGTGCTGAAATATACGGGAGAGAGACAAAGAGGACATGGTGGATATTTAGGTAGACGTATTAGAGTAAATACTAGTAAAGCAAAATTCTTTCCATGAACTATATCTGTTAGCAAAACTCTGACTAAAAGTAAATTCCACAAATAGGGGTTTATGTTTCTCAAACAACATGAAGGTTAAAAGTACAACAATGGTGCTGATTCATCAGCTCAGTGATGTGATGCCAGAGCTAACAATTTGACAGTTCTCTTGGCCTTTCCTTATCATAACAAGATGACTGCCTCAAGAAGGCTGCTGTGGCTCCAGGCATCACACCACTTTCAAGGAAGAGGAGAAGAAGGGGGTCACACTGGGAATATTTCCCCCTTTTATCAGAAAAGTAAAAGCTTTGTATGTGTAACTATGTCATATGTTTTTCCTAGCTGCAAGAGAGGCTGAAAAAAGCATTTTAGAATTGGAGGTAGGCAAGTGGCAATGAGAAGGTATATCAGCCCAACAACAGTGGGTGCCACTGAGTGCATGGCTGGCAGTACTCATGCTTTGTTGATCTCATTATAATGAATTCTTGAAGCCAGATAATGTACACAACACAGCATGCTTTCTCAGCCCACGTTCATATAAGAATCATGTAGAACTTCATGTTTTAGAGGAAAATAATGCTGAACATTCCCATTAATTATGTCTTGCCATCAAGTAAGTAGTGACTATCCTTCAGGCCATCTCCTCCCTCCCTATCTCAAACACTCAAATATTCACAATTAAATTCTACTTAAACTCTCCAAGAAAACCCACCAAATTACCCATGAACTTGGACGAGGAAAATCCTCCTGGTTCCTGAACATCACATCTATTCCAAAGAAGAATCTTCAAAGTCAGCTAGCAAAGAAATTGTAGAAAGTAACACATATAAAAAAGAAAATTGATCAGGCACAGTGTCTCACTCCTGTAATTCCAATGCTGGTGGAGGCCAAGGTGGGAGGATCACTTGAGGCCAGGAGTTCCAGACCAGCCTGGGCAACATAATGAGATCCTGTCACTGTGAACATTTTTTTGAAAAACCAAAACTTAGCTGTGCATGGTGACATGCCCTGGTAGTCCTAGCTACTTGGGAGGCTGAGGTAAGAGGATCAATTGGGCCCAGGAGTTTGAGGTTACAGTGAGCTATGATTGTGCCACAGCACTTCAGCCTGGGTGACAGAGAGAGACCCTATATCTAAAAAAAAAAAAAAAAAAAAAAAAAAGCAAGAAATAAAATTACACAAAAATTTTGAATGCCCAGTGTAACTTCCTAAAAGAGATCAGTGCTTTGAAACATGAAGTGATCTTTCTTACCCCTTTATACGGTGATAAATCATAGCATATCTAGAATGAGTCCAGCTGGATCACTGCTTTACCCATTATAAAGCCTCCATATTTGGGGACATTTTATAAAACAAGGAAAGCACAGCAACTTCCTGCTGAAATAGAGCAGTGGCCCACCCTCCCCACATGACCCACCGCCAGGCTTCCCCAGGCTCTGCAGCAAGGCAGCACATTATATTTAGCCATAGCTTAAATGGGTCTGGTTTACCTCTGATTCCAAGCGGCATGTGCAACAGGGTATGCTCCAAAGTGAACCGTGCTTCAGAAGAGTGGGTTTGGTTATCACAGGCTACATTCAGTTGCAATTAGCAGAATGTCTAGCAGAATTTCTCCTCTGTGATACGTGTTTATATTTAAGCAAAAGCACCAGTTACAGAGTGGCCACTGGTACCATGACATCTCTGAGTTATATCACTATTAAAGACCTGACCAGGGGTCATAGTATCCCAGCTGAGTCTGAAAGCAGGGCCCCCTGTTATGGGGCCTCTCCCACTAAAGAGGGAAAAGGGAGCCTGTACGGGGCAAAACATTTGGGCCACGTGGTGAGTTCGTACAATGAAGCCTCCTAGACCTGTGTGCTCCCCAGCTCAGATATGCCTAAGCTCTACTTCCAGGAGGAAACCTTAGGAGGGAAAGACTCTTATCTCTCAGCCTGGAATCTACTTTAAAAAGCCCACATATGTCACCATAAAAGGGGATGAAGTACTGATATATGCTACAATATGGATGAATGTTGAAAACACTATGCTAAGTGATAGAAGCCAGACACACAAGGTCATGTTATTGTATGATACCATTTGTATGAAATGTCCTCAGTAAGGAGATCTAACAGAAAGTGGATTAGTGGCTGCCAGGAACTGGAGGAAGGTGAGAATGGAGAATAACTGCTAATAGCTATGGGCTCCTTTTTTTTTCTTAATACTTGGTGTATTTTGAATGTTTACATTTAACAAATGAAAACTATTAGCAAAAATGATTCAATAATATTTTACTATTTACAAGGTACCTACAGGGATTCCTTTCCCAATTTTTTTCATTGTGGTATTTACCAAAATTATTTTTATTGTGGTAAAATACACATAACATACAATTTACTAACTTAACCATTTAAGTAGACACTTCAGTGGTATTAAATACCTTTATAATGTATGTAGCCATCTCCACCTGCCATCTCCGTGTCTCTTTTCTTCTTAGAAATTGAAATTCTGTGTCCATTAAACAGTAACTCCCCATTCTTCCCTCCCCACAGCCCCTGGCAACCACAATTCAACTTTCTGTCTCACTGACTTTGACAACTCCCCTCATATAAGGAGAATCCTACGGTATATATTTATCCTTTTGTGGCTGGCTTATTTCACTTAGCATACTGGTTTCTTTTTGGAGTGAAGAAAATGTTCTGGAATTAGAAAGTGGTAATAGTTGTACAATATAGTGAATGTTCTAAAACCCACTGAAGTGTACACTTTAACGTGGTGGATTTTACACCATATGACATACCTCTCAATAAAAATGCTTTCAAAATACTCATATATGGGAGGATAATCATTGAAAAATAAATAATAAATATACAAATCCGCAAATGAGATAGATTAGCACATATTTAGTGAGGCTGAATAGGGTGGGAGAAAAACTAGTGGACTGGAAACAGGAACCTAATGACTTAAAAAGTCAGTTTAGCCTCTCCTACCTCATTACAGAAACCGAAAGGTAACCTAAGGGTTTCTGTAAAGAAACACTAAGTTTCCATGTTCACAAAGAAGGAAACAACAGACTCCGGGATTTCCTTGAGGGTGGAAGGTGGGAGGAGGGAGAGGAGCAGAAAAAAAAACTATTGGGTACGAGACTTAGTACCTGGGTGACAAAATAATCTGTACAACAAACCTCCATGACATGAGTTTACCTATATAACAAGGCTGCACATGTACCCCATACCTAGAATGAAAGTTTAAAAAAAAAAAGAAACACTAAGTTTCCTTCCACTTTCTGTATCTGATGATTTCAATATTTCCCTCTAGGGCCTCCTCTCCCCTGCCCGCAATGCCATGCGAGCTGACCTTGGACCTGCGACCCTTGCCTTCATCTGTGCCGAGACCTACACAAACAGTGATGAAGCATCGCAGCCGGAGGTGGGAGAGCCTCCACCAGGACAGTGCTAGCATTGGAACTGGTGCTCCTTTAAGCGTTTACTGCAGTGGAAACTTGGTCTGTACCCAGAAAGGCCCAAGATGTTGCTTCTTGAGGGCATACAGCTTTTAATGACAATTGGACAAATGCTACATTATTTAGCATTGAGACAAATGGAAATAAATCAGCCTCTGTAAGGGGGTGAAAATGGCTGACATTTTTGCTTATAATCTTGAACTTATTTGGGTAAACTACCTACTAATGTTTTACAGTTTTAGCTTTATCTTACTAGAAGGTCTAAAGGGTTTTTGGTTATAAGTGGAAAAATGTAGAATGTCTAAAAAAAACAAAAAAGAAGGGGAAATAAGAATTTATTTTTCACTCTTAGATTGTGTGTGTGTGTGTCTGTGTGTTTTATTTTGTACTTTCTTCCACTTGAGTACTGCATTAGTGATCATTACGTGGGTCCAACATTAAAAAGCCCCAAAAACAAGAAGGTATTAAATACCTTCATAACGTTGTGTAGCCATCTCTACCATCCATCTCCATATCTCTTTTCTTCTTATAAAATTAAAGCTCTGTACCCATTAAACAATAACTCCCCATTCTTCCCTCCCCCCAGGCCCTGGCAACCACAATTCAACTTTCTGTCTCACTGACTTTGACTTTTTAGGCTGAAAGTCTAAAGAACTGGGCTTTAGATTTGCATTCGACATGGGCTCTTAAATTCGTCTGTTATGTAATTCATTTGCTCATATGTTAGAAAAATTTACCATTCAGAGGCCTTTGTGAATATGTAAGAATATAATTGAAACAGAGCAAGCAACAAAGGAAAGTATGCTTAATACCCATCTGGCTACTATTCTCATTATTCACATTATTTTTTAAAGACTCTTCAAACCTTCACAACAATCCTCAAGGGCTTCCCGTCGCCTACACAGCAAAGCCCAGACTCCTTGGCATGCTATTAAGGATCATCAAGAATGAGTCTCCAGGGCGAGTGTGGGGGCTCACACCTGTAATTCCAACACTTTGGGAGGCTGAGGTTGGAGGACTGCTTGAGGCCAGGAGTTCAAGACCAGCCTGGGCAACATAGTGAAATCCCAGCTCTACAAAATTTTTTTTAAAATTAGCCAGCTGTGGAGGCATGCACCTGTAGTCCCAGCTACTTGGGAGGCTGAGGTGTGAGGATCACTTAAGCCCCACAGGTCGAGGCTGCAGTGAGCCATGATCATGCCACTGCGCTCCAGTCTGGGCTACAGAACAAGAACTTGTCTCAAAAAAAATAAGGCTCTACTAGCCCCTATTGTGTCTCTGTGTAAATTTGAAAAGATGCCCCTTTCTCTGGGTGGTTGGAGCATGGCTGATGAGCTGAGGGAGGGTTGAGTTTCACTCCCCCACAGACTGTGTGGCAGGATTCCTTGGAGCCAGTTATAAACTGTAGTTGAGATGGTCCCAAGCCCACTTTCTGGTCTTACCTTCTGCTGTGTCCTTCTACCACTCTTCTCTGTACACGCTAGGGTTTGCCTACTTCTAGGGCTTTCCTTACACATGGAGCACCCTCCTCCATTCTCCATCAAATTCCTTCCATTCTTCAAGGCTCACTTAAACCTTCTCTCCAAAGCCTAATCATCCCTGCAGCCACATGTCCCCTATCATGATGTTCATCCCACTTTTAAATGGTCATATTCTGGTTTTTACTATAGGATGTTTGCACATCTTTCTTTCTCACCGATTATGAAGTCAGTGGTTTGAAGATTTACATTTAATTCACATCTCTAATTCTTACAAGGCCTAATAGAGAAGTGGCCCATAGCAGGTGCTTCATGTGTGTTAACTGAATAGAAATGAAGGGATAAGTGAGTATCTCATGGTAAAGCATGGAGAACCGCCTGAAACATTGAAGAAAATCTGAGACTTCTCTCCCCACTTCTAGGCAGGTGCTCTCAGCATCTTTTGCTGAGATTATAGATACATGATTCCAACAAGGTGCAGCTGTATCATGCCAGGTGTGACTACTAAAAAGACTGCCTTTTCTCCAACAATGATTGAAAAAGAGGACTTCCACATGTGGGCACTGGCAGTGTTGACGGAATAAGGGAGTAACAGTCACGCATTTGATCCTTGGGCCTAGGAGAAAGAAATGTCATGTTCTTTTAATTTTCAAAATCAAGTGAAATCTGATTCCTCTCCCATCTACTAGTGTTGGCAGGTGTGCTGAACTGACTGAAGCCACTTTGGGTATTCACAATGATTGGTTCTTACTGGTAGCTATTGTGGGGGAAAGGGATAAATTCTCCTTCGCCTCCTTGATCTTTGGCTGGGTCTAAGAATTAAATTGACCCAAGACAGATTAACAGGAGAAAAGCATATACATTTCGTTAATTTTTACATGTACATGAGGGCTCTCACAAGACAGTGAAGACCTGAAGAAATGGACAAAACAGAAAGATTTTATGCCTTTTAGATAAAAACAAAAACAAAATTGATACATTCATGAAGAAATGAGAAAGGGCAGTGAATCATGGGGAATTGTTAGCAGATATATTTTAGGGGGGAGTATAAAACATTGGAAGATAGCTATTTTAGTAAGTTTATTTCTACAGATCCATCTCAGTGTCAATTCCCAGTCTCTGGTGCTAAGGGTTATTTTTTTTGTCCTGGTACAGGGAAAGCATCTTTCACAAAGGAGTTTTTATGGCTAGCTACCTATAGGAAAGGGCAAGTCTGTAGCCTTTTCTGCAACTACTGTTTCTCAAGTGCTTTCAGCTCGAAGTAATCAATACGCCAAATGATACGGTTAGGCTTTGTGTTCCCACCCAAATCTCATCTTGAATTGTAATCCCCAGGTGTTGAGGGAGAGACCTGGTGGGAGAACCTCATTTTTCTCTCAGTTTATCAGATGACAAGTACATCACTGCCTGGGCCAGGCACATCTTTGTAGGACTGCTATTATTTGAACACATAAATTCATGGCTGAGTGCAGTGACTCACGCCTATAACCCCAGCACTTTGGGAGGCAGAGGCAAGAGGATCATTTGAGGCTGGGAGTTCAAGACCAGCCCAGGAAACATAGCGAGACCCTATCTCTACAAAATAAGTTAATTAATTAAAACACATAAGTGACAGTTTAATTAAAGAAAAAATTAATTATTACTTAGTAATAACACTGCAGTCTCGAGAAAAACATTACTCAGGCTGATCGCTGCCTTCACTGAGCCATCCGACTTGGCTCCAAATGACTTCTGATCATTCCAAGGAATCAAATTTACTTTCAAAAACAATGATTTGAAATAATTTGCCATTACTGAGGATCTTCAAAGTAATGCAATGCATTTTATAATGCAATCTTCAATTTAAGTATAAATGGCTAACATAAAATTACAATAACTTTAATTCAATGAGCTTGGTTGGATCAGGAAAGCATTTGTATTACTATGGCAAGAATAATACAATTATTTTTATTTTTCATCAGTTTCTTGTTTCCCAAACAAGTTTGTAAACACAGACATATTTTAGTATATAAGTTTGATCCTTATGAATGTAACTTTTATGCTTTTATTAATTTTGAAATATGTGTGTTCAATTCAGTTAAATAATTATTAAATTTAAAGAGAAGAAATGTGAAAAAATAACTTGAAAATATTTCAAGCAAATGTAACATTGTTAGAATAAATATATAATTTTGCAAGATGACCAGCTTGAAAGGGACAATAAATACTTGTTTTAATGTGTGAATTCCAAGTCACTTATAAATGTATCAGTTTATAAGCACAGCATCTAAATTCCATAAAAAATTCAGTTGAAAGAATGAATTAATGACTTCCTACAAAAATAGATTCAACAATGCCTCTGATTTTCACAATATAGTTTTCACAATGCTTTCATGTAGATTGTGTCATTTATTTGGCCACCTCTGGGGTAGGCTTTATTTTTCTCTAGTAGATGTGAGAGTCAGATTCAAAGAGACCCAAAGCCACTCTGATTTCAAGTGCCAGGGTTTGGGAGGTGCTAACCTTATTTCTTCACTAACCTAAAAATATTTTTTTAATATCGCCAAATTGATCTACAGGTTCAATGCAATCCCTATCTAAATCCTAGCTGCCTTTTTGCAGATATGAACAAGCTGGTCCTAAAATTCACACGATAATTCAAGGGACCCAGAATGGCCAATATGATCTTGGAAAAGAACAGGGTTGAAGGATTCCCACTTTCCTATTTCATAACTCACTACAAAACTGTAGTACTCATGACAGTGTGGTATTGGCCTAAGAACAGATGCACAGATCATTAGAATAGACCCGAGAGCCTAGAAATAAACTGTGACATTCACAGTCAATTGATTTTTGACAAGGGTGCCATGACAATTCACTGGGAGAAAAACGGTCTTTTCTACCAATAGCTCTGGGACAACTGGATAACCACATGCAAAAGAGTGAGGTTGGTTGGACTCCTACCTTATACCATATACAAAACTTAACTAAAAAAAATGAATCAGACCCCTAAATGTATAATCTAAAATTATAAAAGTCTTTGAAGAAAACATAGGCATAAATCCCCTTAACCTTGGATTGCCAATGGGTTCTTAGATCTGTCACCTAGAGCATAAGGAACAAAAGACAAAATAGAAGAAACTGTTTAGGAGCATTTCTTCAACAGTATTAATTTGCCTGTTCATTATTTCCACCTTAAATACCAGTTCAGGTGTGTTAAAGCAATGCTTTAGTTAGCATCTATAGGGCATAGGGACCTATGAGGTCAATATCACCCAGTGAGCCATGTTGCTTCTCTGGCCATGCCAAACCCAGGTGCCCTACAGAGACCAAGCCCTGGCAGGCCTGTTTCTGATGGTGGTGTCATAGTGTCCTGTCTGATGGGTCTTCTAGGTATCACCCTTCTGGGCTCCAGCAATAACCCTCCCACCGCATTGGGCGAAGCTTCTGAAGGACTTGGCCAACATTTGGTGGATGAAAAAATGATCAGTGTCAGCCAGGACTACATTTCTTATGAACTAAAACTTTACAGCATTGTGCTATTTCCACACTAGTTCTTGTTTGTTTGTTTGGTTTTTTCTAATTAGTGTTTTTCCGACGCCTGTTCTTCCTTCACTCTGTTGTGTGAGCAAGAAGCTGAGTCGGGCAACCTGAAGGAAGGCCTTCTTCCTGTCTCAAGTGCTGGCAGGGAGGAAAGACTTGTTCCCAGTTCCTGAGTGCTGTGGGGTCCCCAAAGGAGAGGCTGTGTGAAAAACACTGCCTGGTAATTGATCTCCCAGATGCTCCTCTGGCTCAGGAAAGAAGGCTGCTCAGGGCCTCATCACTCTGCTGAGAGGCAGCTGTACGTTTGCTGGTCCTTCCTGTCTGGTGAAGGGAGAAAGAAGGAAGGAAGGAAGGAGCAACTGTTCTCTTTCCCTCCAATAGCACCAAAGCCCATGACACGCAGGACTTTCACCTGAAGTCCAGAGTGACTCAACTTCAGGTGTCAAATGCATTGATCTAATGGTGTTTGTTAATTTCAAATGCTTTAGACAAATGATGATGGAGAGAGGAATAATTTTCTCATAATAAAATTGATTAGAAATGTAATAGTCTAAAACACAATGCAAGTGTTTATAAAATAGCAGCCATTGAGAGCTTGGGACACCAGTGGTGTTTGCTATCGTGCTGGAGCAGACACATCTGGATTTGATACCTTGCAGTTGGACCACTTATTTCCATACAACTGAGCAATTTTCTTAACCTTGCTGAGCCTCAATGTCTTTGTCGGTAAAATGGAAATAATATTGCCGCCTCCTAAGTTTGCTATTATATTATAAAGATTAACCAAAACTTTTTATGAAAGCACCTTACATGGGGTCTGGCACACATTAGGTACTCAATAAATAACAACTCACACATAGTGCCACCTATAGACTTAGCCCTTCACATATATCAATTTATTTAATTCTCATGAGAACTCAGTAAGGAAGGTAAGGTTATGATCCCCATTGTACGGATGAGGAAACTAAGCCACAAAAGGGTTAAAGAAGTATGCTCAAGGTCACGCTGCCTTCAGTGGAAGTCAGGATTTGAGTCCATGCCAACTGGCCCAAGACTTTGTGTTCCTAATCATTTGTACTTGTATTCCTCTAATACATATTTTCTTTCTAACGTTCATCTGTGCCCCAGTGACTACAAAATGCAAATAATGCAAATTTTCAGGCCCCTTCAAGAAATAAAAAGCAGATGCTTGCTCAGGGAGCATGACTTTTCTCTCACATGTTCTATAAACCCAACAACATGTCACAGCATATTGCAACAGCAGGGGCACCAGGACTAGTGGTTATTCTGGTCGGCGTGTATCTGGCAAAGTCAGATGGCCAAGATCAAGATGACATATACCTCTTGTTTTCCTGTTCCGGAGCTCCAGACTCTGCCTTTTTCCCTGCCCCTCCCTGCCTCCATCCCTGTTCCAGGCAGCTGTCTCACAAAACATATCCCTTAGTTGCAAAAGATATGGTAGCATGTGCATGGCTCCATTCAGACTCATCAGCAATAGAGACATTATTATGGACAAAGAATACCATGTTATTATTATTATTATTCTTATTGAGACAAGGTCTTGCTCTGGCACCCAAGCTGGAGTGCAGTGGTGCGATCTTGGCTCACTGCAACCTTGACTTCCCAGGCTCAAGCAATCCTCCTACCTCAGCCTCCTGAGTAGCTGGGACCAAAGGCATACGCTGCCGCGCCTGGCTAATTTTTGTAGTTTTTGTAGAGATGGGGTTTCACCATGTTGCCCAGGCTGGTCTTGAATTCCTGGGCTCAAGAGATCTGTCCACCTCGACCTCCCAAAGTGCTGAGATTACAGCCGTGAGCCACAGCACCCGGCCAAGAATACCATTATTATAGTAATAAATGGACCTCCCTTTCCTGACCTTCACCCCTGCTTAGGAAGAAGGGTTTCAGTAAGATCTGCTCCACCACATCATCTTCTGGTTCTCTGTAATTTTATTTTTCTGTGCGTGCCACTCTATCATAATTTTTGTTTTTGTAACTTGGCATTTGTGTCTGTGATTTATGAAGTGCAAAGGAAGATGCTGGTGCTTATTCCAAGGTTACTTAATAACCATTACAATCCAGTGGAGTTAAACCAGGAATGGGTTTAGGAACTCAAAAGATAGCACATTTGAGTATCCCTGCCTCTGTTTCCCAAATTATGTGTTATGAACAAACTTCCTCCTGCATAAAATGTCATTATAGCAAATTATCCTAATAAAGAAATCTGCTGGGCAGGTGAGGGTGGTTCTGAAGCAAGATATATCAAAATTCGGCAGGGCTGAATTGTTATCAGCAACAATAAACTCCTAAAATTTTATTGTGAAAATAATTCCACAGTCTGAAATTTAATGGTATAAAATAATAACTCACAGTTCACATAACAACTGGTAATAGCTAAGCATTTCAAATATTGTATATAAAAGAAAGTAACTGTAATGAAAAATTCTGATTAATGCCAATTTTGAGTCTAATAAAGTTCCTTTGCCAGATGCCTATGTTATTAAATCTTAACTCATGAGCCTTTGGCTTTGAATTTTTTTTCCCCTATTTATACTCTTATAAGGGCATTATGAGAGCAGGGAAGCTCCATCACTGCTGCCTAAAATCTTTTAGCTCCCCAGTCTTGGTTTGGTTTCTGGGGCTGTGCCTCTGTGATTGTTTGCCCAACCTCCTTGTAGGCTCTTTGTTGTATTGCAGTATGATTTACTCTGCACCATCATGACGGGACCAGATTTACTAAAGTGCCAAAATCCATCTTCTCTGAAATGCCCTAATGGATATCAGTGGGAATTTCTCCATTTCTTTAAAATGCATTAAAAAGCACTTGCAGCCGGGCACGGTGGCTCACGCCTGTAATCCCAGCACTTTGGGAGGCCGAGGCAGGACAGATCACCTGAGGTCAGGAGTTTGAGACCAGCCTGGCCAACATAGTGATACTTTGTCTCTACTAAAAATACAAAAATTTGCTGGGTGTGGTGGTGTGCGCCTGTAGTCCCAGCTACTCGGGAGGCTGAGGCAGGAGAATTGTTTGAACCCTGGCGGAAGAGGTTGCAGTGAGCTGAGATTGCACCACTGCACTCCAGCCTGGCAACAGAGTGAGACTCTGTCTCAAAGAAAAAGAAAAAAAAAAAAAAAGCCCTTGCAGGATCCAGCAGAACTCCTCATGATAGTGTCCCAAATTGATTCCAATGCATTGGTCACTAAGCGTGAGGTGAGCATTTGCTTTTATGTAGAGCAACACACAGGGCTCTACAGATAAGGTAAGCATCAGATCCAAAGTTTAAAATATCCTTCATGTGTTGCTGATCTCATGCCAAAAGTGAATTGTCATAAATCATTTTAGGACTAGAAAATAAAAGAATATATTTTTACTTTTGAATCATGTTTGTGGATTCTTTTCAAAGAACTTTTTCCCAGTAAATAGTTGTTGACTTCACTCACAAAGGGATTCTCCATTCAAATGTAATTTGAGCTAGACTTGGTCTTTCTTCTACTTGGACTTAACAAACCTATTTCTTCATTTCTAGAGCTGAGAATCAAGAGAAACTTTTTTTTCCTGTTATCCTTAAAGCTGGAGCTCAAAGATTATCTTCTGTCTATAAGATCCTAAACCCTGATGGCAAGGTGCGGTGATGTGTTGGGGAGACTGAGGTAGGAGGACCAATGACCACATAGGTCCAAGTTGTCCAATAGGCGTGTCTGAACTGAACTATGGTTTTCAGGAAGCACTACTGGGAGTCAATGAGATTTACTTACATCTTGGAGGAAACTCACTGTTTCTCTGCTTCATGTAGGGGGGTAAAAATCCCCTGAGCAAGTCCCAGGGAGATTGCCTATGAATAAAATATTCTCACTTTAGTATGTAAAGTCAATGCTGTGTCCTTTAGCTGCCCTTTAAAGGATTTCCTGGTTCTTGGCACTACTCCAGGTCATTCAAACTACTGTGTAAGTGCTGCACATGTAGCCTTTGGTGCTGGTTAGATAAAGGTTCAACTGCTTTTCAGACTTTGCTGACTGTGTGAGTTGGAGCAAGTTTTTTCACATCAGCAATTTCAGTGTCCTCTTCTGTGCACTCAGAATGATGAGTTTGTACCTACAAGCCTCACAGGTTAGTTGTGTGGATCCATGAGACACTGTGTGAGGGACACACACCACCTGTCAGTCTTGTAGCCCACCTTATTCCACCTGAAAGTATGTTATGTTTGGAGTCCAGATGGAATAACGCTGATTCACCAAAGGGTTAAGCTGGCATTAATAACACCCATGCCAGTACTCAGTGAATTCCCTGCTTTTGCTAAGTTTACAACAGAGGCAAAAGCCAGGCAGAATGTCCCTTTCTGAACTACAAGAGGTTACGGATGGTTCATAACTGTATTCCCCTCTGCCCCAGCCTCTCTTTCCCACCCAGGCTGAGCACGGTTGGAAAAGCAGTTCAGAATTCTGAGAGGTGTCCACTTCATCCTTCGCCTAACCTGTTTGGGTGGCTGTGTTGAGTCATCAGAGCCTGCCTCTTCATTTCCACATCCTCCTTCCTGCAGAGTGGAGCTGGTGCCGGTTCAGGCTCTGTGGAGGAAGCTGATGGGACAGAGCTGCAGGAAGGGGAGCCCTGGGTTTGTTCCCCAGAACCTCGGGAGTGCTCACTGTGCCCCGCATGCTTGGCTAAGGGCTTGCTGACCTTATCTCAAGTCATTCTCTCAAGAACCCTATGAGGAAGGCGGGGTCATTCCCCTGTGACTCAGAAAGCTTTGGTAATTCTTTTACTGTCTATGGCAAATAATGGCAGAACTAGGTTCCAGGCCTGAGCCAGCTGCTTCCAGGAGTCAGCACTCAACTGAACAGCTGGAGGAATCCAACAGGGAATCCTGTCCCCAGGGTTTCCCTCTGCTGCACTCTTTGCTGTAGTCCTCAGCTTGTGTCTCTCGAAGTACTCTGCATGTTGTATTTTTATTATTTGTTGTATTTTGTCTCAAAACCATCTTATTGATCTTTGGACAACCAGAATCTAGGCACATTATCAGAGTTATTTAGAGAGCTTATACAAATAAATTTTTCCTTTGAGTTAAAAGAATAAGGCTGGAGAACAAAATCATGCAGCCCCATTCCCCTCCCTGCAGATGCACTGAGAAACAGCATCGTTGAAGGTCCTGCCCAGACAACTAGAAAATAAATCTTCTGGGCCCAGGGTTCCAGAGTCACAGTCCTCGGTCTTTCCTCTTCCCACCCTGCAAATGGATGCCCAGGGTGGCAACTTTTGACGTTGACTCAGCGGAAGAAGAGAAATAGACCAAAGTGTTAGCAATGGTCATCCCTTTGATACTAAGCATAGTTTGTAACCAACTAAACATAAACATTTATAAAAATAAAATTAAAAAAATTAAGTTATTAAGTTGGGCTCCCATCAGCTGTTTCCATTAATTAGTGGGGACATCTGAGCACTTGAAAATTTTGCCAGTGTTTCCTAAGTTGCCTCCACAATTGAAGTGAGGTAGGAGGTTGATCAAATTTTCTGTATAACAGGAATATGGAGGCTAAGAACCTCTTCTAGAATGTTCAGTGAAGAGTCTAGGTTTTGGAGCCTGAGATCTCTAGAGTAAAAACTCTATATTGATTATGGCATGATAACCACACACACACACACACACACACACACACACACACACACACACATTCTTTGTTTCCCTACTGTAAGAGCAATAGCTGTTCATTGCAAAATTTTGGAAAATATAGAATTAGGAAGAAAAAGAAATCATCCAGATTTTTACCATCCTGAGACAGATACTGTTATCAGTTAAGGAATTTCCTTTCAGTGTTTGCATATATATTAAAATGAAATATGGATTATACTGTAGACATTGCCTTGCAGTCAGATGACACAATATTTCAAGGATGCTGCTCTGGGAAACTAAAGCTCATCTGCAGCAGACATAATACAGATGTGCTACAGTATTAGCTGGGGAGCTTGATCCTTGGGCACTTGGACAAAGAGAAGGGAAAGCTTAAGCATGCAGTCAAGGGCTTTAATTCCAGTCTAAACAAGAGCTTTCCTGGGTGACTTCACATTTATGGTGTAACTCAAGCTCCCTGACAATGATTTCAAGCTACTGTCAGAAGGGCAGGAGCTGACCCGGCAAAGCATAGAGAACTCCAGGGAATATATAATGACAAACATTTTAGCTAATACTGATCCACTGGAAAATCAGATTCCTTCCTGCCAGACGCTCAAATAAAGGCTGCAAATGCTCTTCTGAGAGACAGATTTAGTCTTTTAGCACTCAGGGCTGTTTTGAGAAAAATTAAATGTTATGTGGTTTGGAACTTGTGTCTATAAAATGCACACTGTTGACAATGGTTTCTCCCCACAGTCTACAGAATTAAATTTGTACAAAGAAGTAGCTGGTCTAGTTTATTAAGTGTAAGATTGGAAGCCAGAAGCTCAAATCAGCCTGAGAATCAGGCTGACATATTATCAAGTCTCACCTGGTCATTTCTCAATACCCTTCCCAGGAAAGCTGTAAGGGTTGCTAAAGTGACCAATTGTGGGTGGTTTGGCTTTAGGAAGGTGAAGTTTAGGGGCTCCATCTCTTATTGCATGAATTCTTCAAGACTGTTTCCAGATGGTATGTGGTTTTGCACTAACACAAGAGCTTGACAGATGAAGTTCATGGCTGGGCAATATGGAGGTGGTTTTGGCCAAGGCATAAGTCATAAGACTGTTATGGTTTAGCTCAGCAATGCTCAGCTTTCTGGAGCCTTTCTTTGAGAAATGTGTACTTAGTGTTATCTCAGCGAGGGTTTGTATCAACAAAAAGCCTTTTTTAGCAATAGCCCAAAAGCAGTTGCTACAAGAAAAGGAGAGGAATTTGCTTCTGTCCTGCCATCTCCTTCAGACACCGGCCAAAGGAGACTTCAGATCTTCCTTTCCCGACAAGTGCTCACAGCAATTTCCACAAATGAGCAAAGAAAATCTTCTGCCCTGAGCCAGCATTTCTGTCTGCTACAAATGATGGAAAATGTACTTGAGGTTTAATGTTGGGGAAATGTGTTTTTGTTCACTCAGCTCCTATTATAACCACATCTGTTATCAGTAGGCCAGGCTATGTATTAACAGGCATGACTTTCATAAACCTGGAGTTCTCTTCCATGATGTTTTGGCTGAAAGCATTAAACAGAAAAGGCCAAGAAAAGCCAACTCTTTGAGCCTGGTGATACTGCCCCTTGGATTCTTCTGGGAGGCCTGACTCTGGGTGTAAGCTCATTTAAATTCTCTCCATTTTAGGAACCTAGTCTAAAAGTGAATCAGAATAAAGAGCTACTCCATCTTTTGTTCCTGACTTCAGATATGCACCAAGTTTGATCACTTCAAAATCTCCCCCTTTTTCCACAATCTCTCTCCACAGATGGCACTAAGTTTTCTTTGATATTTCCTGAACTAGTATTCTACAGCCAAATGGCTTCCAAGAACAGCATCATCCAATGTCAGATCTGGAATTGACCTCAGAGATCCTCTAGACCACTAACTGTCAGACTTGGTTCTTTGGAGGAGGTGACTCTGGGATAACCAGAGGAGGGCAACATGAGAATGAACCAAGAGTGTGCCCCTGGCCGGGTGCAGTGGCTCATGCCTGTAATCTCAGCAATTTGGGAGGCTGAGGCGGGTAGATCACTTGAGTCCAGGAGTTTGAGACCAGCCTGGGCAACATGGCAAAACCCTGTCTCTACAGAAAATACAAAAGTTAGCCAGTCATGGCAGCATGTGCCTGTAATCCCAGTTACTTGGGAGGCTGAGGCAGAAGAATCGCTTGAACCCCAGAGGCGGAGGTTGCAGTGAGCTGAGATTATGCCACTGCACTCCAGCCTGGGTAACAGAGTGGAACCCTGTACTAAACAAACAAAACAAAAAGAATGCACCCCTGACACAACACACAAACACACACACACACACACACACACACACACACACACGTACCTCCACTTAGCTCCATCCTATCTGTCGAGACTCCAAGTAACAACTCATTTGAACAAAGGGTGATGTGGCTAAATAAAGTTTGAAACCCCCAATAAATCCTACCCTTAATTTCACTGGTAAAGAAATAAAATCCCAGGGAGGTTAACTGACCTACCTAGGCATTCTGTGATAGAGCCAAGTCTAGAGCCCAAGTGTTCTCACTCGTTTTGTTTGTTCATTCATTTATCCACAAATATTTCCTGTTCCAGCAAAGCGCTAATTGCTGTATCCAAAAAGACTTACTTAACAACTTAAAAAGTCACATCAGCTTAAAAAGATATTTTCCACTAACCTGAGCATCAGGTACATAATAACTTATCTTTCACTGGCTTATTTAAAGGACTTTCCTCATTAAATATCACATTTCTTCTGACTGCAACTGAGGAATTTGTGGTAAAGTCATATTACCATTTAAAATATGGGGAATATATTAACATTTGCAAATTCCGTTCATTTTTAAAACTTCTTTGCAGTTTATGTTAGTGGGGTCATAGTTGGCCTTCATCTAACTATAATGCCACTCAGTATTAAGTTTCTTTCAATGAAGGCAACATTTTCAAAAGAAATCATGTTTTTCTGGGCTTTATCTTCCTGGCTTCATACTTTGTACCCATCCTGTTGCATGAATGTACGTTGTAGAGTCATGATATGCGGTGTATAGCTCTGTCAGTATACTGACCACATTATTTCACAACTATCTTTTTCCATGTCTTTTTCTCCTTGCAGAATATGAACTGCTTGAGGGCAGCGATAGTGTCTTATTCATCTCTGCATCTCTGAACAGCTCAGAACAGGTTTTCAATAAATATTGGGGATTGGGGAGAATGGGGTGGGAGATGGAAAAGGAATCATGTACAACACCTCTACAGATCCCCTTCTTTCCTTCCTTCTTTCCTTCCTTCCTTCCTTCCTTGTCTCTCCTTCTCTCTCGGCTCACTGCAGCCTCAACCTCCCAGGCTCAAGCGATCCTCCTGCCTCAGCTTAGTAAGTAGCTGGAATTACAGGTGCGCGCCAGCATGCTCGGCTAATTTTTTGAAGAAACAGGATTTTACCATGTTGCTCAGGCTAGTCTTGAACTATTGAGCTCAAGTAATCCATCCTCCTCGGCCTCCCAGAGTGCTAGGATTACAAGTGTGAGCCACTGTGCCCGGCCTACAGATTTTTTTCTAACAAGGAAAACTTTATGAAAGATTGAAGTTCTCTGTTGAAACCAACCCTTTTAAAGCACAACACAGCTTGCTGTTCTTGAACAAAGAAGTCTTGCAATTTGCTTTCTTAGATTGAGATCAGTCTTCTGAATGAAATCTGTTTTGCTTAGAGGGGAGGTGGAAGAAGCCTCAAGAGAGTTCTTCTCCATCTTCTCTCCACCCTCCAGGTATTCTGACTATAAAAAGAAAACTCAGCAGCTGGTTCTCCTCTTTAAACATTTACCTATCTCTAAGGAAATGATGATATACATATAAAAATTTTTATGATGGACATATTCAAACATGCATAGTAGAGACAACAGAATAATAAATCCTCTATATTTATCAAGCAACTTCAACCATTATGAACATTATGACACTCTTGCATCATCTCTCTCCCCTTCCATGCTTTAAAACTATGCTAATGTGGTAGAATATCAAGTGGATATTAAAAACTACAAATATGTGAATTATGACCAAATATGGCAATGTTTATTGGAAGTAACATTTAATTACAACCACTGAAAAACCAAGTATACATTGATTAAATCTATGTAAAATGATACATTTAACATGTGGGAAGAAAATTTAGAATATTACAAATTGTTCAGGGTTTAATATTTTGTTTTGTTTTTTGAGACAGGGTCTTACTCTGTTGCCCGGCTGGAGCACAGTGGTGCGATCACTGCTCACAGCAGTCTTGAACTTCTGGGCTGAAGCAATCCTTTTACCTCAGCCTCTTGGGTAGCTAGGACTGTAGGCATGCACCAGCATGCCCAGCTAATTTATTTTTTTTCCAGTAGAGATGAGGCCTCATTATGTTGCCCAAACTGGTCTTGAACTCCTGGGCTCAAGCGATCCTCCTGCCTCGGCCTCCCAAAGTGCTGGGATTACAGGCATGAGCCACTGAGCCCAGCCGAGGGTTTAATGTTTATTTGCTCATGTCTGGTATCTTTGTTCAGTTTTGTTTTAAAATCCTACTTATAAAAACATTCTGATAGGTTCCAAGATGGCCAAATAGGAACAGCTCCAGTCTACAGCTCCCAGCATGAGCGACGCAGAAGATGGGTGATTTCTGCATTTCCAACTGAGGTACCGGATTCATCTCGCTGGGGATTGTTGGACAGTGGGTGCAGGACAGTGCATGCAGTGCACCAAGCATGAGCCGAAGCAGGGCGAGGCATTGCCTCACCCAGGAAGCACAAGGGGTCAGGGAATTCCCTTTCCTAGCCAAGGGAAGGGGGGACAAACGGCACCTGGAAAATCAGGTCACTCCCACGCTAATACTGTGCTTTTCCGATGGTCTTAGCAAACAGCACACCAGGAGATAATATCCCGTGCCTGGCTTGGAGGGTCCCATGCCCACGGAACCATGCTGATTGCTAGCACAGCAGTCTGAGATGGAACTGCAACGCAGCAGCGAGGTTGGGGGAGGGGCGCCTGCCATTGCTGAGGCTTGAGTAGGTAAACAAAGCAGCCAGGAGGCTCGAATTAGGTGGAGCCCACCATAGCTCAAGGAGGCCTGCCTGCCTCTGTAGACTCCACCTCTGGGGGCAGGGCATAGCCAAACAAAAGGCAGCAGAAACCTCTGCAGACTTAAATGTCCCTGTCTGACAGCTTGGAAGAGAGTAGTGGTTCTCCCAGCACAGAGTTTGAGATCTGAGAACAGACAGACTGCCTCCTCAAGTGCGTCCCTGACCCCCGAGTAGCCTAACTGGGAGGCACCATCCGGTAGGGGCAGACTGACACCTCACATGGCCGGGTACCCCTCTGAAACAAAACTTACAGAGGAACGATCAGGCAGCAACATTTGCTGTTCACCAATATTTGCTGTTCTGCAGCCTCCACTGCTGATACCCAGGAAAACAGGGTCTGGAGTGGACCTCCAGCAAACTCCAACAGACCTGCAGCTGAGGGTCCTGACTGTTAGAAGGAAAACTAACAAACAGAAAGGACACCCACACCAAAACCCCATCTGTACGTCACCATCATCAAAGACCAAAGGTAGATAAAACCACAAAGATGGGGAAAAAACAGAGCAGAAAAACTGAAAATTCTAAAAATCAGAGCACCTCTCCTTCTCCAAAGGAACACAGCTCCTCACCAGCAATGGAACAAAACTGGATGGAGAATGACTTTGAAGAGTTGAGAGAAGAAGGCTTCAGATGATCAAACTTCTCCAAGCTAAAGGAGGAAGTTTGAACCCAATGCAAAGAATTTAAAAACCTTGAAAAAAGATTACACAAATGGCTAACTAGAATAACCATGCACAGAAGTCCTTAAAGGAACGGATGGAGCTGAAAACCATGGCACGAGAACTACGTGACGAATACACAAGCTTCAGTAGCCGATTCGATCAACTGGAAGAAAGGGTATCAGTGATGGAAGATCAAATGAGTGAAATGAAGCAAGAAGAGAAGTTTAGAGAAAAAAAGAATAAAAAGAAATGAACAAAGCCTCCAAGAAATATGGGACTATGTGAAAAGACCAAATCGACGTCTGATTGGTGTACCTGAAAGTGACGGGGAGAATGGAACCGAGTTGGAAAACTCTCTGCAGGATATTATCCAGGAGAACTTCCCCAACCTAAGCAGGCAGGCCAAACATTCAAATTCAGGAAATACAGAGAACACCACAAAGATACTCCTCGAGAAGAGCAACTCCAAGACACATAATTGTCAGATTCACCAAAGTTGAGATGAAGGAAAAAATGTTAAGGGCAGCCAGAGAGAAAGGTCATGTTACCCACAAAGGGAAGCCCATCAGACTAACAGCTGATCTCTCGGCAGAAACTCTACAAGCCAGAAGAGAGTGGGGGCCAATATTCAACATTCTTAAGGAAAAGAATTTTCAAACCAGAATTTCATATCCAGCCAAACTAATCTTCATAAGTGAAGGAGAAATAAAATCCTTTACAGACAAGCAAATGCTGAGAGATTTTGTCACCACCAGGCCTGCCCTAAAAGAGCTCCTGAAGGAAGCACTAAACATGGAAAGGAACAACCGGTACCAGCCACTGCAAAAACATGCCAATTGTAAAGACCATCGAGGCTAGGAAGAAACTGCATCAACTAACAAGCAAAATAACCAGCTAACATCATAATGACAGGATCAAATTCACACATAACAATATTAACCTTAAATGTAAATGGGCTAAATGCTCCAATTAAAAGACACAGACTGGCAAATTGGATAAAGAGTCAAGACCCATCAGTGTGCTGTATTCAGGAAACCCATCTCATGTGCAGAGACACACATAGACTCAAAATAAAAGGATGGAGGAAGATCTACCAAGCAAATGGAAAACAAAAAAAAGGCAGGGGTTGCAATCCTAGTCTCTGATAAAACAGACTTTGAACCAACAAAGATCAAAAGAGACAAAGAAAGCCATTACATAATGATAAAGGGATCAATTCAACAAGAAGAGCTATCTTAAATATATATGCACCCAATACAGGAGCACCCAGATTCATAAAGCAAGTCCTTAGAGACCTACAAAGAGACTTAGACTCCCACACAATAATAATGGGAGACTTTAACACCCCACTGTCAACATTAGACACATCAACAAGACAGAAAGTTAACAAGGATATCCAGGAATTGAACTCAGCTCTGCACCAAGCGGACCTAATAGACATCTACAGAACTCTCCACCCCAAATCAACAGAATATACATTCTTCTCAGCACCACATCGCACTTACTCCAAAATTGACCACATAGTTGGAAGTAAAGCACTCCTCAGCAAATGTAAAAGAATAGAAATTATAACAAACTGTCTCTCAGACCACAGTGCAATCAAACTAGAACTCAGGATTAAGAAACTCCCTCAAAACCGCTCAACTACATGGAAACTGAACAACCTGCTCCTGAATGACTACTGGGTACATAACAAAATGAAGGCAGAAATAAAGATGTTCTTTGAAACCAACGAGAACAAAGACACAACATACCAGAATCTCTGGGACTTATTTAAAGCAGTGTGTAGAGGGAAATTTATAGCACTAAATGCCCACAAGAGAAAGCAGGAAAGATCTAAAATCGACACCCTAACATCACAATTAAAAGAACTAGAGAAGCAAGAGCAAACACATTCAAAAGCTAGCAGAAGGCAAGAAATAACTAAGATCAGAGCAGAACTGAAGGAGATAGAGACACAAAAAACCCTTCAAAAAATCAGTGAATCCAGGAGCTGGTTTTTTGAAAAGATCAACAAAATTGACAGACCATTAGCAAGACTAACAAAGAAGAAAAGAGAGAAGAAACAAATAGACGCAATAAAAAATGATAAAGGGGATATCACCACCGATCCCACAGAAATACAAACTACCATCAGAGAATGCTATAAACACCTCTACGCAAATAAACTAGAAAATCTAGAAGAAATGGATAAATTCCTCGACACATACACTCTCCCAAGACTAAACCAGGAAGAAGTTGAATCTCTGAATAGACCAATAACAGGCTCTGAAATTGAGGCAATAATTAATAGCTTACCAATCAAAAAAAGTCCAGGACCAGATGGATTCACAGAGGTACCAGAGGTACAAGGAGGAGCTGGTACCATTCCTTCTGAAACTACTCCAATAAATAGAAAAAGAGGGAATCCTCCGTAACTCATTTTATGAGGCCAGCATCATCCTAATACCAAAAGCTGGCAGAGACACAACAAAAAAAGAGAATTTTAGACCAATATCCCTGATGAACATTGATGCAACAATCCTCAGAAAAATACTGACAAACCGAATCCAGCAGCACATCAAAAAGCTTACCCACCATGATCAAGTGGCCTTCATCCCTGGGATGCAAGGCTGGTTCAACATACACAAATCAATACATGTAATCCAGCATATAAACAGAACCAAAGACAAAAACCACATGATTATCTCAATAGATGCAGAAAAGGACTTTGACAAAATTCAGCAGCCCTTCATGCTAAAAACTCTCAATAAATTAGGTATTGATGGGACGTATCTCAAAATAATAAGAGCTGTTTATGACAAACCCACAGCCAATATCATACTGAATGGGCAAAAACTGGAAGCATTCCCTTTGAAAACTGGCACAAGACAGGGGTGCCCTCTCTCACCACTCCTATTCAACATAGTGTTGGAAGTTCTGGCCAGGGCAATCAGGCAGGAGAAGGAAATAAAGGGTATTCAATTAGGAAAAGAGCAAGTCAAATTGTCCCTGTTTACAGATGACATGATTGTATATCTAGAAAACCCTACCGTCTCAGCCCGAAATCTCCTTAAGCTGATAAGCAACTTCAGCAAAGTCTCAGGATACAAAATCAGTGTACAAAAATCACAAGCATTCTTATACACCAATAACAGACAAACAGAGAGCCAAATCATGAGTGAATTCCCATTCACAATTGCTTCAAAGAGAATAAAATACCTAGGAATCCAACTTACAAGGGATCTGAAGGACCTCTTCAAGGAGAACTATAAACTACTGCTCAATGAAATAAAAGAGGATACAAAAAAATGGAAGAATGTTCCATGCTCATGGATAGGAAGAATCAATATCGTGAAAATGGCCATACTGCCCAGGGTAATTTATAGATTCAATGCCATCCCCATCAAGCTACCAATGACTTTCTTCACAGAATTGGAAAAAACTACTTTAAAGTTCATATGGGACCAAAAAAGAGCCTGCATTGCCAAGTCAATCCTAAGCCAAAAGAACAAAGCAGGAGGCATCACGCTACCTGAACTCAAACTATACTACGAGGCTATAGTAACCAAAACAGCATGGTACTGGTACCAAAACAGATATATAGACCAATGGAACCGAACAGAGCCCTCAGAAATAATACCACACATCTACAACTATCTGATCTTTGACAAACCTGACAAAAACAAAAAATGGGGAAAGGATTCCCTATTTAATAAATGGTGCTGGGAAAACTGGCTAGCCATACATAGAAAGCTGAAACTGGATCCCTTCCTTACACCTTATAAAAAAATTAATTCAAGATAGATTCAAGACTTACATGTTAGACCTAAAACCATAAAAACCCTAGAAGAAAACCTAGGCAATACCATTCAGGACATAGGCATCAGCAAGGACTTCATGTCTAAAACACAAAAAGCAATGGCAACAAAAGCCAAAATTGACAAGTGGGATCTAACTAAACTAAAGAGCTCCTGCACAGCAAAAGAAACTACCATCAGAGTGAAGAGGCAACCTACAGAATGGGAGAAAATTTTTGCAATCTACTCATCTGGCAAAGGGCTAATATCCAGAATCTACAAAGAACTCAAACAAATTTACAAGAAAAAAACAACCCAATCAAAAAGTGGGCAAAGGATATGAACAGACACTTCTCAAAAGAAGACATTTATGCAGCCAACAGACCCTTAAAAAAATGCTCTTCATCTCTGGCCATCAGAGAAATGCAAATCAAAACCACAATGAGATACCATCTCACATCAGTTAGAATGGCGATCATTAAAAAGTCAGGAAACAACAGGTGCTGGAGAGGATGTGGAGAAATAGGAACACTTTTACACTGTTGGTGGGATGTAAACTGGTTAAACCATTGTGGAAGACAGTGTGGCGATTCCTCAGGGATCTAGAATTAGAAATACCATTTGACCTAGCCATCCCATTAATGGGTATATACCCAAAGGATTATAAATCATGCTGCTATAAAGACACATGCACACGTATGTTTATTGCGGCACTATTCTCAATAGCAAAGACCTGGAACCAACCCAAACGTCCAACAATGATGGACTGGATTAAGAAAATGTGGCACATATACACCATGGAATACTATGTAGCCATAAAAAGTGATGAGTTCATGTCCTTTGTAGGGACATGGATGAAGCTGGAAACCATCATTCTCAGCAAACTATCGCAAGGACAAAAAACCAAACACTGCATGGTCTCACTCATAGGTGGGAACTGAACAATGAGAACACATGGACACAGGAAGGGGGACATCACACACCAAGGCCTGTTGTGGGGTGGGGAGAGGCGGGAGGGAAAGCATTAGGAGATATACCTAATGTAAATGACGAATTAATGGGTGCAGCACACCAACATGGCACATGTCTACATATGTAACAAACCTGCACATTGTGCACACGTACCCTAGAACTTAAAGTATAATGAAAAAAATAATTAAATTAAATTAAATTAAAAAATAAAAACATTCCAATGTTTCACTGTCATTATATCATTAAAAGTTTTCCAGTTGTCCGTGGCTCCAAGATTCCTACTTGCACCTAATATCCATTCTTTCTTTCTTACTGATAGAACTCCCAATTTTCAACTGGGCAAAAGGCCACCTGTAATAAAAATTACTTTCCCCTGCTTTTTTTTCTGATATATGTGGCCATGTGATTAAGTTCTGGCCAATGAAATATAATATGTTATGTATAAATTTAAGAAAATGTCCTTGAAGGGCATGAGCATGCTCTTTGACCCATTCTTCCTTCCTATTGGCTATAATGCAGATATGATGGCTGGAGCTCAAGCAGCTATAGTGGACCATGAGGTAAAATATGCCAAGAATGAAAGGGCAGTTAGAAGGCTGGGTTCCTGATGACTGTGAAGACACTCCATCAGCTCTGGGCTACCTCCCTCCAGACTTCTTTTACATGAGAGAGAAAGAAGCTTCTATCTTATTTCTTAGGACTTTAGCCTTTCAACTTTTTCTCATATAAAGAAAAATATTAATTAGGCCACTGATTAATGGTTCATTTCTCCATTTAGTTCTGCTCATAGAATCTTTGTAGGATTGTAGCAATCCCTAGTTTTCCATACTGAGAAAACTACATGGTCCCAGCCTCCCAAGTAGCTGGGACCATGGGTGTGCACCTCCACACCTGGCTAATTTATTTTTAAAAATATTTTGTAGAGACCGGGGCTGGGGGTGGGGAGGTCTCCCTATGTTACTCAGGCTGGTCTTGAACTCCTGGCCTCAGGTGATTCTCTTGCCTTGGCCTCCCAAAGTGCTGGGATTACAGGTGTGAGCCCTTGCGCCCCTGGCCTGGAATGAATCTTAAAAGTTTTGTGGGAGGCTTTGGACAAACAACTTTTCATTTTTTACCATCTCAGAATCTTAGAACAGGAGACTGGAAAACTGCAACTATCTTGCCACCACAAGGACAGAACTTTATCTAAGAATGGAGCCAACTCACGGAGGCTGACCTAGAAGGTAGAGAAAGAGGATTTCCTGTTCTTCGTGACATCATTTAGGCCCCAGTGTCAGGTGTGCTGCAGCCAGTCCAGCCTTTAGATATCTCAGGTGTCTACATCAGTTAAGTTCTAGTTCCTTATTGTTATTGTTGTATGACTTGTCACTCGGTTTACCGGATAAAACACAGGACACCCAGTCAAATTTGAAATTCAAAGAAACAATAACTAATTTTTATTATACATATGTTCCAGATATTGCATGGGACATACAGTAAAATTTTATTCATTACTCATCTGAAATTGAAATTTAACAGGGTGTCCTGTATTTTTATTTGCTAAGTCCAGCAACCCTTCTTGTAACCAAAATGTGTTAGTGTTGGATGGCAACACAGTGTTCACAAGAGCATCTGTTGTTTGGGTGAATGGGAGAGAGAGTCCTTGGCGGGCCCAGATGCTGCAGAACCACAAAGCCTGAAGAGGTTGCTTCCAGCATTGTTTCCAAAACAGGGTGTCACACATTCATGTTGACAGTGCTGAGGACTAGGGTGGGTGAGGGGCAGGCATGCAGGGGCCTGAGCTGAGCCAAGAATGAGCAGGAGGCTCAGACCTAGACATGCAGAGGAAGACAAAGATCAAGACATATAAAACACACTTAATTTACTTTGTATTCAGTAGTATAGTCAAGGAAGGGGGAGACAGAGAGAGAGAGAGAGAAAATAACAATAGAAATAATGCAGGTGATGATGACACCAGCCATAAGCAGAGTGGTCCTGGAAAGAATTTAGAGGGTGCCATATATGTGTGACTGGTCCCTTATCTGGCCTCTCACAGTATGAGCTTCTCTCTGGGCTGAATGTGATTCAACGGTCACGGGGATGATAGTCAAAATGTTGAACAACCAGCACTGTCAGACTCATTTGCACTCATCAAATATCAGCTCAGGCTTTCTGTCTGAGCGATTTCCCATGAACCATTGACTTGAGCCCCTAACTTCTGCAGAAGAGGTCACACTTCTTTAGAATGTGAGAAATGAAGTAACAGAAACCAGGCATCTACAGAGCCCAGAGGTCTCAGTGCAGAGCCACGTGAGGGCTGGCAGGTCGGTAATCAAAGGACAAGGCAAAGCACGTTTGTGGGGCTGGAGCAGCTGGAGCTCTTTGGCAGGATGTGCCAACCTCCCACTCTTGCCTTTCTTGTCACAACCCTGCGTCATCCTCTGAGGGAGTTCCTGGGAACCTGGGGGTGGCCCCTTGCTTGATTCCTATCTTGGAGTCTCTTCTGAGCGTCACCAGCCACAGCCCTGATTCCTGAGTATCTCTGGCTCTTGTCTGGCATCAGGTGGTTTCACCTGCCCTCCGAGCCTAACCCTCCTAGGACCCACGTCAGCACTGTTCACACCAGTGTGTGACGCCTGCTTCGGAAACAACCAGCTTTGATAAACCCTTTTATTACAGTCATGGATTTCCCAGACCAGAAACCTTTCCAAACCCTCCATGTCATGCTGTGTGAGAAAATCTATCTCACTCTTCAAAAATAAACTGAGAACTTGGAAAAAAAAAATCAACCATACTATTTGTACCCAAAATACAGCCGTTGTATGGATCTCTGTTGCCTACTCACCATGAAATCGTAGATGGTTGTAAGTAATGAACTGTAATGATGACGCATGGAATGGGGCAGGCTGGGCTATGAGGCTCCCAGGGCAGAGGGGGTCATATCAGTGAATACACATGTGAGGGCTGAGGGACAGGGAGGGGACTACTCACCAAGCTGTGTTTGTGTCACTCATTAGATATGCATGGACTGAAAAAGATCAGGGAACATGCTTTGAATTGCAGATAATAAGGCAAAAACATATTTTTCTATTTTTGCTCTGTAACTCAAATATCCCCAGACCTTGCTAGCCTGTGGGTACCAAAGAGGTCATAGTCACATGAGACTTTGAACATTGGTAGGCTCTGGGAGAGAGTGGCTGGGAGGTGGAGAGCGTTGGCTACACTGAGCCAGTCTTCCAAGGATATACTGATGCTGGTACATTGAATACTGGTATCAGACCACACTAAAGTACTGGTACTTAGCAAAGGCTTATACAAGAGGGATCCTACAGGGTTACTTGATGAGATGCTCATGTTACTGCTTCAGCAGCTGTGGCTCCTTCCCCATTAGCTTTACCAGGTCCAAGGCATTATTCCTGGAGCACCTACTTCACCTGGCTAACTCTCCTCCTCCTCCAGACTGCAGAGTCTTTGGGCAGCCTTCCCCAGAGTATGACCCAACTGTAGTGCAGGTGTGCATGTGAAGAGGATGGTGTGTGTGTGTGTGTGTGTGTGTGTGTGTGTTGCATAGGGTTTCCTGTATAAGAAAGGAACAACAGTAGATGTTTCATTCACAAATATCCACTACCACTGCCTGGCTTCCTCCAGCCCTGTACACCCACAGTCACCTGTTTGAGATTCATCATTAGAAATTCTTTAGGGCTAACAAGCTGCACTTTATTTAGAGTGTAAATACACTTCCTGGGTGAAGGGTTAAGTCAACAAACCTTTCTGTATATTTCTATCTCATTTGCTCTCATCACACCTTAGCTGCCACAGAGGAGGAAGACAGGAAGTAGCAGAGCTAGAGAAAGAAGAGGAGGAAGAGGAGAAGGAGGAGGAAAAGAGGGACAGAGGATGCAGTAGGATCAGGGAGGAGCTACACACCACTCTGAGTGAGACCAGCTTCTCTTTCAAGACGTTCTCTTTCCCTTCCACCTCTAGCTTCTTTGCATTTAAGATGGATTCCAGAAAAATACCCACTCACAGGGTCTCTCTCTGATGGCACATATATGAAAAGAAAGTTTTCTGGTTTGAGGTTTAGTGCAAACTTTTGCCACCAGCTCTGGTTTTTGTTTCCAGCCTTCGGTGGTTTCCTCCCCCAGGCCAGTCTCTCAGGCTCTCTTTTTCTCTGGGCAGCCTCTATTGCCAAGGCAATGGGGTTTCTCCTACAGCTTCCCAGCCACAGCCTGGAAGCATTTGGGATCTAGACCACGTTCCTCCCCAGTCCTACTGCTCTTCTCTCCTTGGGCCGCTCACTTACTGAATCCTGGGTCAGGGCACACAACTCAAGACAATGGTCAAGAGAGACTCCCTGTGCTCTTCAACCCAGTGCCTCCTGTCCTCTATGGAACTGATGTCAACTGTCCCCTCTTCCTGCTCTTTGAGCTCCCCCAGAAAAGAATCCACTTGACAAATGCGATAATGAATATGGTACACTTTCTGTGTAGGTCGAAGAGGCAAGGAAGAGAGAATCTAGGTCATGTAACTCCAGAGAAATGACTTGAAATGCATCTTTCAAGACCATTTTCAGTGCTGCTTCTCCCCTTCCTGATGCCCTCCGCCTACCAACATGCGAAGAAATTCAGTTTTGTCGAAGCTCTCTTTATTAAATGGTTCTTCAACCCTACTGTCAATGCTCCAGAAGACAAAGTCCCATCTGTTACGTTTCAGATGCACTGGAGAGTAGTGGTTGGTTAAAAGCAAAGGTTCTGGGCCCAGATTGCCTGGATCAGATCCTAGCTCAAATATTGTATGAATTTTTGACAACTGATGGAACTTCTCTGGTTCCTCATCTGTAAAATGAAGATAATAGTATCTACTGTACTACTCAGGAGGCTGAGGCAGGAGGTTCACATGAGCCCGGGAGTTGGAGGCTGCAGTGAGCTATGATTGCACCACTACACTCCTCCAGCCTGGGTGACACAGTGAGACCCAGTCTCAAACTTAAAAAATAATTATTACCTTAGAGTATTGTTATGAAGTCAAATGAGGTGATATATAAAACTTAAAGCAGGGCCTGGCACACTGTAAGTGTCATACACAAGTAATACAGTGCTTACTTTAAGGATTTGTTCTTAGGAGACAGCTTATCAACCACCTTTGTCCACTGAACACCTTCTTTGGGATCTAACCCCCACCCCCAGCACACACCTTTTAAGGATGGTCAGTGCTCTCAACCAGAAGATTTATGGTGAATGAAATTTGCTTCATTGCAATATCTTTAAGCCAACCCTCTTTCATTCATTCATTCATTTAGGCCCAGAGAAATTCCTCCTCACGGCTTTTTTTTTTTTTAGCTTACTGACTCCTAATCAGTGAATGTATTCCTGCCCCAAAGCTCTTCACCATGCATTAAATCACACCACTTCATTCCAAAGTTTTCCGTACAACTTCCCCATGTCTTTTTAGTACACCCCCCAAATCAATTCATGCATCTTTGCCCCAGTTCCTGGCTCACACTGGATTCCCTCCTGACAAACGATTATGACATCGGCACACCACAAAAGCACATTTACAATTTTAAAAGAATCTACAGGAAAATAGGGGCAATACAAGCCATAATAAACTGTGATGCCAAATTTTGCTAAAGATAGCTATCAACCTATGCCTCAAAGCCCAACTACAGTTGTGGATTTCAGCAGGCTTTTATGTTCCCATGGTAACCAACATACGTGCAAAGCTTATAAACATATCTTAAGAAAGACTGTGAGTGGAAAACATGCTGCACTGAGCTGGGAAGAGCCAGGTCTAGCCCCAGCTCTGTGGCTGATCAGCTGGGTGGGCTAGGGTAGCTATTTATAACTGACCCACTGTCTCAGACTCTACCAGTGTTTTTCAAAATGTGTGCTCAGGTCACCTACATCAAAATTGATAGTTATGCTTTTGTAAAATACATATTCTTGGGCTCCATCAGAACTACTGAATCAGAATTTCTGGGTTGGGGAACCAAGAATCACATTTTTAACACGATCCCCAGGTGATTCTTATGCTTATTTTTTTTTTGTCTTTTTTTTTTTCTTCCTTTTCGTGGAGAATGGGGTCTCGCTATATTGCCCAGGCAGGTCTCGAACTCCCAGGCTCAAGCTATTCTCCTGCCACTGCCTCCGAGAGTTGGGATTACAGGCGTGAGCCACCGCGCCTGGCCAGGTGATTCTTAAATGTGCTAAAATCTGAGAATCACAGGGCTCTCTAATCCTTCTTCCAGTATGTTAGCATTCCCTGCTTATTCATGAAAGTCAGAAGCTGATTGCTGGGACCCAAAGAATCATTACAAAAATCCCTAAACCACAACCAGGCAGAATATGTTTGTCAGAATACTCTATCATTCAACAAATATTTACCCAGTACTTTCTACATGTCAGGCACTATCCTCGGGATACATCAGTCAAAAGCATGACAAATGCCTGCCCTCGTGGAGCTCCCATTCTAGTTTATGGAAACAGAGGTAATAAATAAGCTGTTAATTAACATAAAGATGGATGAACTATGTAGCATGTAAATAGAGTAAGGAAGGGGGGTCAGGATGGAGGGTTGTTAAAATGTCTCCTAAATTATATGCATCCACAAAAATCAACTTACATGTTTACTGCAAAGGCTTGACAGGCAGGCCCAATTGCATCTTGAAGTAAACCTCGGGAATGTGGTAGATTCTTCTGGTGCACTGCCCAATCCCCTTTAGGGCTGATACAACTCTGATATAACTTCACTTCCAACCTCTCTCCTCACCCTGCTCCTTTCACATCCTGTCAATGACTCAATGACTGAGACTGATGGGCCCCTGCCTCAAGGTGGGGCCAACCTGGTGGTGTAGTTTCACTCCCTGAGCATTCTCCTTGCTAGTTTTCCCCTACCTTATCCTGCTGTCCTCGCTCTCATTGTCCTGGAAGCACTCTTTGATAAATCACTTGCATGAGAATCCCTGTCTCCAGTTCTGCTATTAACAGAATTCAGCCTAAGACAGGGTCCCCAAGCAATAAGAAAAGATACTTATGGTAGGGTCCTACAGACTAGGAGGCCTGAGGATTGCTAGGGTTCACTCTCCCCTAAATCTTTATTGTTCCGTTTTCATCCTCAATTTATATGTAAATATTCAGGGTCTCTGGGTGCTTGACATGACCCTGTGGAGGAAAGCAGTGAGGCACTCTGAGATGCACTGCCTGCTATCTGGCCCTCTGTTCTTCTGATTCCTTCACTCCTTCAGCCACAGACACTTTCCAAGTGCCTACAATGTGGCAGGAACTGTGCTGGGCTTGGGAATACAGCACAAACATAATAAGCTCCTCAATATCACACTTGATGTTTTGTCAAATTCTGTTAATACTTGAAAATGGCCCCAGCTTGTGAGTAATTAGCTGGCTCAAAGATCACGTTCACATAGCTTTCTCATCAGCAATTTTTTAAAACCAATTTTGACACATCTTTGCTCAAATAAATGAACATTCCTATCTTGAAGGCCTTCTTGAAGCAGAAAGAGAAGGGCAGATGGGGGCAGAAGGGATGGGGGCCAGAGCATGTTCTAATGTAACATGAGAAAACATGTGCACGCCAGCGTTGTTTATTACGAAAAGCCCTGCTTTTCCTTCGTACACTGTTTTGCACACTCCCCACATCAGAGATTGATTTCTTTTTTCAGTGACGCTGACGGATGTCCAAGGAGACATTCTTTACACTCTTGACAACACAGACATTCTTGAAATATTTGCAAGGTTAAGAAAATGCTTAGGAGGTTTTCTTTCAAATAAATTTTGTAATATAACCTTTCTTTGCTCCTGGTATCTTGCAGTGGTGGGGGAGGGGCTGGAAACACGAAAAAAAATTAAATAGGGTTTATCTGTAGGAGTTTACCAGGGACCTCAGTGGTGAAGGCCAACCTGCCTGCTAGCCCCAGATAGCTGAGAATAAGGCCTGGGCCAGACAAGAGGGTGGGGGTGAGGGTCTTGAACCGGCAGAGCTCCTCCCAAGGGGCTGAGCCCCTCTCACTTTGATGCAGTCAGAAGCTCCAGGAATACTTGATGGACATGATTTCCTACAGGCAAAAGGAAATAAACAGCTCTGCATACGTAAAGGGCTGAGGTCATTGCCCCTTGGTGTTTCTCACCTGGCAGGAGAGAGGAGGGGCTGTAGAATTTAGCAGGGAGACAATGATGGTGACTCAGTGCTGAAAGTTTCCCGCAAGCAGACACAGGCCACTTTCCCTGTGTCTACTCACAAGCTCACCCAAGAAAGAGCCTATGCCTTCGGGGCTCATCTCCTCCCTGTCATCTCTCTCCTCACAACTAAAAGGAAGGCCTAGAACAGCTCCACTCAGGGAATGAGTGCAGGAGAATCACCAGGACATGGTGGGCCAATGCAGATTTGGATTCAGTAGCTCCTGGGTGGTAGGACCTCACAGTCTGCATCTCTACTAAACTCCAGGTAATCCCAATGCCCACGCAGTCACCGAACCACACTTGGATAGGAGTGGCCTAGCTGGTTCCAAACCATCTACCTCATGCTGTGGTGGAGAGGAGGAGTTGGCTCATGTGGTTAGATTGATAAACGTGGTGTTTTTCTGATGACAGCAGATCTCCAATTTTAGCCCTGGAGACTATTCCAGAGGTGGAGTGCTGCTGCTATTGCTGTCTCTTACCGCCCTTCTTTCTCTGTCACACAGTCCAGCCTGACTGGTGCTCCGGCCAGCTGCCTGCCTCCTGTACTTGAGTGCAGGGTAGACCCCCTGGAAGAGAACATTCAGAAGACACAAAAGCCTAAAATGAAATTTTGCATCCACCAGGCGATTCTCTGCTCAGTCACCCCGCCTCCAACTGCTTTAGGAGCAGCAGCGAGCGGCTGCTCAGCAAGGCAGCCTTTCCTCTGCTGCAGGAAGGCGTGCACTTCTAGCTGGAGCCCACTCCCCCTCTGCAGCAGAGTGTGCTTTTCATTAAACGGCCACTCCAGATGAAAGGGCTATTGCTTCCAAATTGCATAAATTGCTATTTCTTTATTGCTCTCCTAACAAGGGCTGCCCTAAAATTGGCGTGAAGGGCTTCCAGTTTGCATTTTCCCTGTTTTCCAAGCCTTGCTCATTTTTCACATCTCTTGAACTCTCTCAATTCCAGCCTGCTTGAGTGGGTGGCAGAGCAGAGGGTGGGGCGGGGGTGGAGGGGGCTAATTAACCCAGGCTAAGAGCAGCCTTGGCAAGAAGCCAGGGGAGGGAGGCCTTGCTAGGTGGAGCTGGCACCTGGCTTGTTGTGTGGATAATGACTCAGGGACCACAAGAGAACCTGGGTAAGGTGCAGTTTGGGCAGCAGCAAATATCTGGCTTGAATCATGGCTGGATGTTTACTGTATTATTTAGAAGGAAAGCTGGAGCTGTGATGATTCCTAAATAGAATAAGACAGGCTGACACAGACATGAAGACTGGCAAGTCAGAATAAGGTATGCCTGTCAGCTTTGTCTCTAGGATGTTGTGTTCTTTGATTTGTCACAGAGGATGGAGCAGTTCTGAACAGCAGATCACTGTTCAGAAGCAGCCTAGCATTAAGTGAATCAGAGAGTGCCCTCCTAGGTGGAGAGGGGAAGGGCGAATTGCTTCAGGGAGAGGTGATGACATTGTCTCCTTCTTGGAGGCCATCTCAGCTCACCAAGAGGTCCCTGAAACTGTGTACCTTGGCACTGGCTTCTTCAATGCCAAGGCAAGACCGGGCTGGACTGACAGGTCCTTCAAGAAACTGGGGTAAACACAACTTTCTTGCCTGGACCGTCTTGGATCTCTTGGGGACATTCTCAGAGGGCATGGGTTTGGGCTGGGCTCTGTGCTGGGAAAAGGGCCCTTGAAGCAGACAGGAGAGTTAATATGTTTAAAGAGCTTAGATCATTGTCCAGCACATCATAAGCCCTAAATAAATAATAGCTTTTTATTTTATTTTATTTTTTTGAGACAACGTCTTGCTCTGTCACCCAGGCTGGAGTGCAGTGGCGCAATCTTGGCTCACTGCAACCTCAACCTCCCTGGTTCAAGCAATTCCCCTGCCTCAGCATCCTGAGTTTACAGGCGCATCCACCAAGCCTGGCTAATTTTTTTGTACTTTTAGTAGAGACGGGGTTTTACCATGTTGGCCAGACTGGTCTCGAATTCCCGACCTCGGGCAATCTGCCCACCTTGGCCTCCCAAAGTGCTGGTAACACAGGCATGAACCACCACCCCTGGCCTAATAGCTATTTTTATTTGGCAATCTGATTCATTCCAGAGGTGCCCCAAACCCACCTGGAACTGAATAACACTAGCTGGTCAGAAGTAATCATCCTGCCTGAGTTTCCTTAAATCAGTCTCCAACCAGCCTGTCATGATCAATGTAATGTATGTTGCAGCAAGTTCTTTACTGATCAAAAAGAGTAAACATTTTCCATAGATTTATGTCTTTAACAAAATAATTGAATTAGCGTGGGTTTAAAGTTGCTTTCTGAGTAGTAGGGAAAATTAGTTAGTTATAGCTGACTCTCAGGGAATGACGCAATAATCCCCCACATTTGCCAGCTGTGCTGTAGCAGAGCTGAACACTGAAGCCACGCTGCCTGGGTTTTACTCCTGGCTCAGCTGGTCACTAGCTGTGTGGCCTTGGGCAAGCAACTTTACCTTCTCTACCTCAGTTTCCTCATCTGTAGATGGGAATGGTAAGAGAACCTGCCTCAGGGAGTTGTGGTGAGGACCGAGTGGGTTCATGTGTGTAGAGCATTTAGCATAGTGCCTGGCATGTAACTAGTGCTACTATACTGTCACCCCTTTGGAGGTACTGTGTCATTTGTCATGCATCTACCAGTAGAAAGAAGGCCAGGAACCACCACACTGGATTGTCTATGGGTCATTCCATCAGTAAATTGGTTGGTAAGTTGGTTGAGTAGTACTTCTCCTCATGTACTAGACTGTATATGAAGGCAGTGAATTTCATCTGTTTTATCAATGACTGAATCCCCAGCACCTATAACAGGGCCTGGCCCATTGAACAATGTAGGTCCTTGATAAACATCTGTGAAATGTTGAATCAATGAATTAACATCAATTGAAAGGATTTTGGCCAGGCACAGTGGCTCACACCTGTAATCCCAGCACTTTGGGAGGCCGAGGTGGGCAGATCACGCTGGTCAGGAGTTCGAGACCAGCCTGGCCAACATGGTGAAACCCCATGTCCACTAAAAAGTACAAAAATTAGCTAGGCACAGTGGCGCGTGCCTGTAGTCCCAGCTACTTGGGAGGCTGAGACAAGAGAGTCACTTGAACCCGGGAGGCAGAGGTTGCAGTGAGCCAAGATTGCGCCACTGCACTACAGCCTGGGCAACAGAGCAAGACTCCGTCTCAAAAAATAAAATAAAAGAAATTGAAAGGACTTCATGAGTATCTGCTAGGCTGACAATATTTTTCCAGGGTAAGAACTGTTATCTGGCTCACTCTGCCCCATCCTATGGTCCATCCTCAAGTGTCTAAATTTTGTCTAGGGATTAAGCATCAGGGGAGTTTGGCTTGCAGAGAAACTGCTCTGTGTTCTGATTATCTTCTGGCCCACAGAGAGCCTGACACCCCACTGTGCATCTGTGCACAGAGAAATTTGGGGGAGACTCCAAAGTATTCTAGCTGCTGCTCTATAGGAGTCTGAGGAAGTAGAGTGTAAGTGAAGCTTTGGAGAAGTGAAAATGTGGTTAGGAGGGAAAAAAGAAAAGAGCAAAATAAGAGCGTATCTGTAGGGGACACTTGTCATGTTTCCCGGCTGCACAGCAGCTGTTGAAAAGCCTTCCACTATTTGGAGAAAGTCCTGCCTTATGAGCTCATCTGAAAACGTGTTCCTAGGCTCCCTTGCAGCTAATGCCCTGGCATGTGATCTGGGCTCCACCCACCAGACATGATGCTTGTGTGATACTTGAGACTTCTCTTTGCAAGTGGACAATGTAAGAATGCCAGTGCCATGCAGGATCCATTTTCTGGTGAAGATGGTGGAGGGGATGTTTTGTAGTGGCAGTGGCTGAAAAGTCAAATTCCTGGTTCAGAAGTGCTACTAATGGTGTTGAGGGCAGCAGCAGCTGCAGTAAAGTAAGATCCTGGTTTAAGTAGCGACACTGTGAACCGTAGCATCCAGCGCCTGGTGGTAGTGGTGACAGAGCAGTTCTGTGAATGTTATTTCTCAAAACACAGCCTCAAGCCTGTATCTCCAGTCTTCCTGACAATTCTGTGAGCTACCTAATACCCTTTGTGTAAACGCCTTTTCTACCTAACCAAAGAAATGTAAGTGAAAAGGTGCAGACTGCTGAACCACAAAACACATGTTTAAAGCATATCCCAGGAAAGAAAATGAAAAAAATTTTTTGTGTGGTTAAATACACATAACACAAAATTGACCATTTTAACCATTTTTGTGTACAATTTAGTAGCATTAAGTACATTCAGAATATAGTGAAGCCATCACCACTATCCATTTCCAGAACTATGAAAATAAAAAATTTTAACATAGATTATGTCTTTGAATATTCCACATTTCTAGGTCAGTTTTAATTCAAGTTAACATTTAATCGTTTAGTTTCTACAACGTAAGCTCTACAGCTCTGTTGTTTATTGCTGTATTACCAACATCTTGTAGATGCGGGGAAAATATTTGTTTGATATTAGTGATCAAATGGGATATTCTTGAGTCTAGTGCTCGTGCGGTGCCTGGGCATCTGGATGGGGGTGTAGACAAGTGTATACACACAGTGCGTGGGGGTAGACGCTCTGTTAGTGGGAAGAAGTGATCTTATCGAAGGCATGAAGCAGCGATTCCCAGCCAGGGCACATCTGTGCCCTGGGTTGTAGGGGGCTGGAGAGGCTAATGTAAATTACACTTCTACCTGGAATGAAGCTAACAAGGTCAACTAAAAGGCTCCCATGGCTGGGATTATAACAAGTTAGTGAGGCTACATCAGTTAGTTTCTGCTTCTCAGAAGCTTAGACTGGCTTTCAGTGATGTCATAAGGATTTCTTAAGATTTTTTGGGGAAAAATTAATAATAAAACAATATTTGGTGGTGCAAGAGTTGAGGGACCATTTGGTCATTTATTCAATATTATTTATTGAGCATCTGCTTTGCACCAAGTTCTTTTCTGAGAACTGAGGTCTCTGCAGCAAACAAAACAGACATGTGCCTGATATTGAGACTTTACATACTAATGGAAGAGACAGAAAATAAACAAACACCAGATATGTCCGGTGGGGAAAGTGCTGGAAAGGAAAATAAGGCCGGGTAAGGGTGGAGAGAGTGACTGGAGGTATATGTGATTTTTGGTAGCGTCGTCATGGAGGATCTCTGAGAAGGTGATATTTGAGCGAGGACCTAAGGGAAGGGAGGGAAGTTGCTGCAGAGACATCTAGAGTGTTCCAGACACACAGAACAGGAGGTACAGAGCTCTGCGGAAGGGTCATGCTTGGCAAATCCCTGGAACGCAAGGAAGTCCGTGTGACCAGAGTGGAGCATGGGGAGAGCTGTAGGCGAGAAGGTCAAAGAGGCAGCAGAGAAAACATTTTGCTCTAGAAGATCCTGAACGAATATTGCTAAGCATGGCAGACACACCTCCTTGGTCTCAAATGAAGTGTTTCTCTGAAGCGTTCACCGCCCTACAGGAGGAGGATGAAGGGACCACTGGCTCTTTCCTCCCAGCCTTTCTGATAGCTCTGTCTTGAGTCCTAGTTATCATGGTGAATTGCCGTTTTCATTCTCTGGCTTCCTGGGCACAAGCTGGCTTTTCTGCAGTGAGAGGGGAGCTGTTGGCCTGCTTTCAGCAAGTCCCAGGCAGAGTGTCACCTCAGTGCCTGGCATGGGGCTGGCCATGTTGCCAGCGAGTGGGGTGTGATCCTTATCATTAAGGAAAAGGTGCAGGTGTGAGAGGAAAAGCAGAGATTGAACGTGGAAGGACAAAAGGAGAAGAGAGAACTAGAATGAAGGGGCCTATGAAAATGCGAGTCCCCACCTCCCCAAAAGTGTTGGCTTGGGTCTCTTGAAGATGATTGCTTTGACTTCTGCTGCATAGTTTCTCTTTAATTTTCCTGATATTAAGAGAAAAGAGTGCTGGGGCTGAGCAGAGAGTCTAATAAACACAGCAGGGGCCCTGTGTTCCTTCCTGGGGCGCTTGCAACGTGGAATGTGTCAGATTTGGAGCTGGCATGAGGGTGCCAGCCACAGCCCTGCCAAACCCCTGCACCATTAAACATCTGATTAAATACACAGGGAATGATGCTGTTTTCTTTCAGCCTGTTCTTCGCTGACACCAACTATCCTTTGATATAAAACGGAATCTATCAGAATCAGCAGTTCCTTGTTGGGAAGGGCTATGTTGTATTTCTCTCCATCTGATATGTAATCTCAGTGACCCTGAGTTCCTAGCCTTCTGCAAGCTCATTTTCTTTAACACTAGATAGTGATAGCCTGAATCCTTGCTCTGTGTGACTGCAGGATACTAGGGCTGTCCAGATAGTACTGAAGATATTTGCCAAGTGCCTGCGTGTCCTGGATGTTGCCGGTCACTTACCCCCTACCTCCCATCCCATGACACCTTCCACCTCTCCGCTGTAGCTGGCCCTCCAGTTTCTCATACTATTGTCTCTTTCTGCTCTGCTTCTACGTGGTTGTGGACACAGTCTTCCCCTATATTCTCTACCTCACCTACCAAACCAGGCTGGTATGTGTGTGGAGGCAGGGCTGAGTCAGAATTTTTTTTTTTTTCTGAAGTAGGGTCTTACTCCAATGTCCAGGTAGAGTGCAGTGGTGTGATCTTGGCTCACTGCAGCCTTCACCCCCACAGGCTCAAGCCATCCTTCCACCTCAGCCTCCTGAGTAGCTGGGACTACAGGCACATGCCACCGCGCCCAGCTAATTGTTTTTTGTAATTTTAGTAGAGACAGGCTTTTGCCATGTTGCCCAGGCTGGTCTTGAACTCCTGGCATCAAGCAATCTGCCCACCTTGGCCTCCCAAAGTGCTGGGATTACAGGCGTGAGCCATGAGAGTCAGAATATTTAACAACTGCTGTGGCCCAGAGTATGGCCAATCCATCCTAAAGGATCCTTGTGGTATCAGGCATAACCCTTTAGGGTTATGGATCACGGGGTGGCTAAGGGGGCTTGGGGTGGGCTGGGGTGCTCAAGGTAACAGTGTCCTAGGGGATAACTGGGAGAGAAAGCCTCAGGACAGCGGCCATCTACCAACCAGTATGAAATATTTTAATATTTTAACACCTAGTACAGCTATACAGTTGGTGCTCACTCAGTAGTTTTGTGTACCCAATTTGCTGAGGGGTAGAGCACATTGCTTGGGCAACTGAAAATTAGATCTTAAACATCACTGTAGGTCTATCATCATCCCCCATTAGAAGGAGCCCCTCACTGACAGTCTCTCTTTTTGGCTACCAGTTGGCCTCCATGATTGTGGGGTCTCTTCCCTCAGAACCAAGCTCCTTCTCAAATCTGCTTTCATGCTCAAGCCTAGAATTCTTCCCCAGCTCAGCTCAAACCAGAATTTCTGTATTTTACATTTGTCAGGGACAAACCAACAACGCCTTCACAAAAACAACCAAAAATACTGCCCAAGGAAATCATTGTCGATTTTACTTTACTTATGAAGAACAACCTCGGTCCACCTTCCCCTCATTTTTCACAGCCAAGTGCCATGAAATATTTTCTTACACAGTAGAGCAGTTTCATCTCTAGGATGAATTCTGTCCCTATCCCCTAGAGCAAGGGTGACAACTTGCAGCCATATTTTAAAATAGCATTTTGGGGTGTCTGTATTAGACATGAAAATCACCTAGCTTTCCATGTCTAAGATAGATCATAGAGGCTGAATAAATGCTATCAAGAGACTCAATAAATGATATTTTCTTCATCACTCCTTAGCCACACCTCCTACTAGTTCTCAATAATTTTATTGAAGAATTTGATTGATTGATTGACCAGCCCATTTATTCATCTGTTCAACAAATTGGTATTTAGAGCCTACTATGTGTCACCTCTTAGTAGGTTCTCAATAATTTTATTGAAGAAATCGATTGATTGTTTCATTCATTCATTCATTCATTCACCTGTTCCACAAATATATATTTAGAGCCTACTGTGTGTCAGGCACTGTGCTCTTTGGAAAAACAGGGGAAAACAAAAAGGACAAAGATCCCTGCTCTCACAGAGCTTACATTTTAGTGGGGGAGACAGCAATCACAAATAAATATTTAAAACATAGAGTATTAAAATAGTAATAAGTGCTAAGGAGCTAAAAAGCAGGAAAGATGCATAGGCAGTGTGGAGGGAGGGGAGTGTGTGGTTTTAGGTAGAGAACTAGGGAGGGCACTGAGGAAAAGGTGATGTCTGAGTGAAGGCCTGAAGGAGGAGAAAGTGAACTGTGCTGATATCTGGGGGAGGATGAGGGGCAGAAAACCCATTGGCACATGGTGAGCAAAACCAACGACACTGAGAAAGCCCAGTTTGTAACATGATCAAATTGAAATACAGACAGGTGCTTTCGGTGGTCTTTGGTTTTCTCCTTCATTGAATAAGGATTAGTGTTTGTTTGTTTGTTTGTTTGTTTTTTGAGATGGAGTTTTGCTCTTGCTGCCCAGGCTGGAGTGCAGTGGTGCGATCTCAGCTCACTGCAACCTCCGCCTCCCGGGTTCAAGTGATTCTTCTGCCTCAGCCTTCCAAGTAGCTGAGATTACAGGCATCTGCCATCACACCCAGCTAATTTTTTGTATTGTTAGTAGAGTCGGGGCTTTACCATGTTGGCCAGGCTGGTCTCCTGACCTCAGGTGATCCACATGCCTCAGCCTCCCAAAGTGCTAAGGTTATAGGCGTGAGCCACCACGCCCGGCCTCGATTTTGTGTGTGTGTGTGTGTGTGTGTGTGTGTGTATGTGTGTGTGTTTTAATGAAGAAACTACTTTGTCTCCCTGGTCAGTGCTTTTGGCAATCATCACATTTTTCCCTCCACCTCATTCATTACAGGGGGATGAATATCCCTGGCACAGTTGTGTCAGACTACTAAACTTATGGTACTTATGATTTGTTTAGGGCAGAAAATAAAAACAAATGTGACATTTACTTTCCTGTTGTTCTGCATTTTCCCCAGTAAATCAATCATGATAGTTAATTAATTGTGGGTACATTTATGTGCCTGAACCAAGTACAGCTGTTCCAAATAAGTTCACATTGAAATGACCCAATAATAACTGTTTGCTATCATGTTTCCAGAAGCACATTTGCCCTGGGCAGTTTTGTTCACTCACAAACTCTGTTGCCTATGGCAACAAATGTTTACATTTAGGCTGATAGGAACCTGTAAGAAGTGATCAATTTTTAGAGGATTTCAAGATTGAAAAACAGTTCTGGCTGGGCGCGGTGGCTCACACCTATAATCCCAGCACTTTGGGAGGCCGAGGTGGGCGGATCACCTGAGGTGGGGAGTTCAAGACCAGCCTGACCAACATGGAGAAACCCCATCTCTACTAAAAATATAAAAAATTAGCCGGGCATGGTGGTGCATGCCTGTAATCCCAGCTACTTGGGAAGCTGAGACAGGAGAATCACTTGAACCTGGGAGGCAGAGGTTGCGGTGAGCCAGGATCATGCCATTGCACTCCAGCCTGGACAACAAGAGCAACACTTTGTCTCAAAAAAAAAAGAAAAAAAGAAAAAGAAAAACAGTTCTGTCTTCTAGCAACTCACATGCCCATCACATCTTGTGCCTCTTTTTTTTTTTTTTTTTTTTTTTTTTTGAGACAGAGTCTTGCTCTATTGTCCAGGCTAGAGTGCAGTGGCGTGATCTTTGCTCACTGCAACCTCCACCTCCCAGGTTCAAGCAATTCTCCTGCCTCAGCCTCCCAAGTAGCTGGGACTACAGGTGCATGCCACCATGTCTGGCTAATTTTTGTATTTTTAGTAGAGACGGGGTTTCACCATGTTGGTCAGGCTGGTCTCGAACTCCTGATCTCAAATGACCCACCTGCCTCCGCCTCCTAAAGTGCTGGGATTACAGGCATGAGCCACCGTGCCCAGCCCTGAGGTAGCATTCTTAATAATGAGGTTCACATGGCAAAGCAGCCCAGTGGTTTTTAGCTCTTTCCTGCTTTTTAGCTCCTTAGCATTTAGCCTTGTTTCACAGGCCGCTGTTACACATGAAGAATGCTGCTGTGTGGAGTGCCCTTCCTTGTATTACATGTCCTTCAGGAGGGGCATCTCTGGAAGGAGTGGCCAGCCTATTCCCAATAACCCAGGTGCATGGGCACCTGGCCAGGCCAGCCAGCCCGCCTCCCTTCTTATTCAGCCATGCCCTTCAATAGTTTGATTAAATTACCCATCAGAGGAAAGTATTGTCTGCATGGTTATTTCTGGAAAAAACAAGTCAGTAAAATTCACATACTTAGATAAAATGGGTTCTAATTACGGCTTCTTTGTTTATTTGGGTGAGTCATTTCACCTCTCTGAGCCATAGTTTCCTCATTTGTAAAATGGGAAGAACAATCATACCAATCTTATAGGGCTATGGTATCAAATAAATAAAACATCTCACATGATGCCTAGCATGGCAAGAAATCCTGGCCACTATTATTCGAGTTATTTTGAAGATCAAATTAGATCATAGCTGTGGAAGTACTTTGTCCTTTGCAAAGAATCACCACCACTATCACCACCACCACCAATTACCACCACCAATTACCACCACTACCTTCACCATCACTGTCATTACCACCACCACCATCACCACCATCACCACCGCCATCATTACCACCACCACCACCACCATTACCACCACCACCACTACCACCACCACCACCATCATTACCACCACCACCACTACCACCACCACCACCATCATTACCACCACCACCACCACCTTTACCACCACCACCACTACCACCACCACCATCATTACCACCACCACCACTACCACCACCACCACTACCATCACCACCATCATTAACCACCACCAATTACCACCACCACCATCACTACCACCACCACCACCTCACTACCACCACTACCACCATCAATTACCACCACCACCACCACCACCATTACTACTACCACCACCACCACTACCACCACAACCACCATCACCATCGCCACCACCACTGCCACCATCACTAATATTATTATCATCATCATCATCACTATCACACCTCTACTATCATAAAGGATCCCTGTCTTCTACACACTTATAAACCTCTCTTCACCTTAACACAGTGCTGAGTATACCAACGACATTTAATTTATATTATTTCATGATGATGCAGCCTGCTGTGGTGAAGGACGTGAGACTAAAATCAGAAGCCTTATGTTCTAGGCTCCACTAAATCTTTATGTGACCTTAGAGAAGTCACTTAAACCCTCTCAGCTTTATTTCACTGTAAAATGAAGAAGTTGGAGCCCAAAATTCTCATAATGCTCAAACTTTTACAATCCGGTATAAAGTGAGGGCAAGACTGGCACTGTGAGTATCAATTTCTGTGAGATGAGAGGTCTGGGAAGTTTCAGCTTCAGTCTCAGCTTTCTTGTTCTCCCTACCTTCAGCCTTACCTTAGCCAACTAATCTTCTCAGAAAGCCCAGAAGAACTTTCTTAAACGAAAACTCAATGACATTACTTGGCTGCTTAGCATCTGTCAGTGACTTCCCATTGCCTTAAGAATAGAATCTAAACTCTATGGCATGACATGCTAAGGGCAGCTTGTAACCATGAAACATTGGAAAGAACATATATGTCTCCTGTTGAGGACAGAAGTAAAAGTCGAACCGTGATATTTCAACAGAATGTTATTTGCAAGTTAAAATAGTGCTGTAAAGACTAAGTAATAACATGGAAAGTACTTATAATGAAATAAGTTGAAGAATGCAAGCAAAAATATTTTATATACAGTATCATTATAGCTATGCTAAATAAGACAAACCAGTTTATTTTTTTAAAAAATACAATTTTTAAAAACCCCAAACATAAATAGTAGATTTGAACAGTTTTCTTCTTCCTTTGTAACTTCACTGTTTTATAATTTTTTTGCTTAATGAGTGCCTATTATTTTAAAAATTTTAAATATTCAATGCTTTTTAAAAAATTCCAAAAGTAAATCATGTTCATTTTAGAAACTTAAAAAAATCCAGCTAAGAAAAAAACCCAAAACTACATGTACTCCCTGTTTCTCAGAAATAACCACTGCTAAATCCTCTTATATATTCTCCTTCTTGTATATTCCTATATCTAAGCAAATCTAAAACGTTATACAAATTCTGGCACTCAGAGTGGCCCAGTCCAGATGAGCCGTGCCATTGGAGCGTTCCCATTTCCTGAGGCTCACCCTGCCTGGGTGTTACATCTCGTATAAGGTTTACTTGCATTTTCTACCCTGCAGTGGCAGCTCTCATTCCTACTTCCTGGATTCATGTCTGGAAGGTGCTTCTGGGTCCAGGAGAGAAGAAATGTTCTTTTTTTTTTACTTTTTTTTTTTTTTTGAGATAGAGTCTCGCTCTATTGTCCAGGCTGGAGTGCAGTGGCATGATCTTGGCTCACTGCAACCTCCACCTCCCAGGTTCAAGCAATTCTCCTTCCTCAGCCTCCCGAGTAGCTGGGACTACAGGTGCATGCCACCATGTCTGGCTAATTTTTTTATTTTTAGTAGAGATGGGTTTTCACCATGTTGGCCAGGCTGCTCTTGAACTCCTGGCATCAAGTGGTCCCACTGCCTGGCCTCCCAAAGAGCTGGGATTACAGGTGTGAGCTGCTGCACCTGGCCAAGGAGAGAAGAAATATTTTCTAAATGAGAAGTTCAGTTGCTTTCTTCTCATTTTACTCTTAAAGCACAAAAAGCAAACTTTGGAACTCCCAATACAATTTAATCACAGAGGCATTAGTCATGGATATTTAATCATTCCTAATGGCAAAATTGTAAAACTCTCTGGCCACTTTCATGAACACTCTTTCTTAGAGTTTCTGAAAAGGTGGTGCCCCACTGTCCCCATGACTGCAGGAAATAAAAAGTGAAAGTAGGATAAGGCTCTTCTGTGGACCTGGCCCACATGGTCCACAGCTGGGTAACCGGTGATACGAATGGCAAGTTTTCTCATTTGTGCCCACAGACATAGTTTCACCAAGATTGGAAACTGGTAGGGAGACTTTTATAGAAACTCAGCCCACTCATAAAGCCTGATCCTACCGGGAACCAAGCTTTGGGGCTTACCCAACCAAACTGTGAAACAAGTGTACTCATTCAACATCCACTTGAATGGTGACTGTATAGAGTAGATGTGCCAGGTGTCAGGGGACAATGGCTACCAAGACAGCAAGTTCCCTTCTGGTGGTGGAAATGCCCCCTTCTCTCAAAATAAGAGTAAATACATGGAGAGTCAGTTCTGGGATGAGCAGCAGGAAGGGTTTTCCAGGAAGAGGCTATGACACATGCAAAGATGGAGAAGAGCTGGGTACATCCAAGGGACTGAAACAAGATCAGGGCATCTTCAGAGCAGTGACGGGAAGTGGCAGAGGATGAGGTGGAATTCGCAGGGGATTTAAGGCCATGGTGAACAGTGGGGATGTCATTCTCAGGGCAGTAGAGAGCTGCAGAAGGAGTTTAAACAGAGCAGAGGCATGAGGTTGGACTTGGGCAACCCTGGCCTCTCTTTCACACCCTTCAAGGTACCCACCTCACCCCTTCCCCCCTATGTTCTTAGCTGCCCTCAAATCCTAGATTTTTTTTTTTTTTTTGAGATGGACTCTCACTCTGTTGCCCGGGCTGCAGTGCAGTGGTGGGATCTCGGCTCACTGTAACCTCTTCCTCTCAGATTCAAGTGATTCTCCTTCCTCAGCCTCCCAAGTAGCTGGGACTACAGGCACATGCCACCATGACTAGCTAATTTTTATTTTATTTTTATATTTTTGGTAGAGATGGGGTTTCACCATGTTGGCCAGGCTGGTCTTGAACACCTGACCTCAAGTGATCTGCCTGCCTCACTCTCCCAAAGTGCTGGGATTACAGGCATGAGCCACTGCACCCGGCCCTCACATCCTAGATTTCTAAAATGACTTTCAATCTTAAGAGGCAAACACCAGAAGACATCTTCAGGATTTTGCACTGTAATGGCAGTCAAAGCCTCAACAACAAGGTTGATTATCTGACTACAGAATTACAGGTGTTGACCAGGAGGCAGGAGGAATTGGTAGAACGTTCTTTAATTATGGGCTGTTCTCCCAGTTCATCACATACCTCACAAAGGGTTCAGATTTAGTCTCAAAGGAAGCTGAGAAAGCACCTTTTGCCTGTTTTCCTGATGGTGGGACAACAGAACCATCGCCATATAGAGGGCAGGATTAGAACCCTAGGGTCTTAACAACAGAAAGGATCCTTGAGTTCCTTTGAGCCACAGCCCACCCATCACCCGGGCTCTTCTGAAGGGCAGGCTAAAATGGTTTTCTTTACTTCTATCAGGTTTGCATAAGTGGCATCTCATAATGTTTTTCATCTAAGAAGGGCTAATGAGTGGAGAAAGAGCCAGTGGAGTCTAGGTTATCCACAAATTAGACACCTAATCTTGATGTCATAAGAGGTGGTGTTTCATTTTCAGGAGAAATCAACGTAAACCTTGAATAACTGAGCTGACATCTATTGCATTATTTCCCACTTAGTCTTAGCATGCATGGCTTTAGGGTATTTTTCTAATATATCTTTGTCTCCTCTGAATCTTTGAAATCTTATCAGGCAGCTGTTGCAATACATCTTTTGAATTTTGGAAATTTTAATGTAATAAAGCAATTACCTGTTGCCTGAAGACAGTGTCAAATATTATCAGGTGGATCTCAGAAGCCCCAAGAAATTTCTTCTCTCTTCTACCTTTCTTCCTCCCCACCAAATCACACTCCCCCACCCCCACCAACACATACATCTTTATTCTCCCTTCAAAACCCCAGCCTTGGCTTGGCACATGGACTCCTTTTCAACCGTTCACTCTGGCTAACCCATTTCCTGCCCCAGCCTGTACAAGGCTAGCACAGTGATTGTTCCATTTGCTCTGCAAAAAGTCAAATGTCACCCTCTGATGTTTACTTGCTTTGACGTCTCTTGGCCATGGTATGTGGGGAAACTTACCTGCTCCATGACACTCCTCCTTACCCTTGATTGTGGGCACACAGGCTCTTCTAGTTGCAATTGCTCATTTCTACCCGCACATCCTTTCAGTGGTAGGACTTCTTATCATCTTACTAACAAAAATAGCAACAACACTTACCAGGGACTTACTGTGAGTCAGATGCTCTTCTAAGCACATTTGGATCTCTTAGCTCATTTAACCCTCGCAATAACCATCTGAGGTCGATGCAATCATAGACTCTATTTACAAACAAGGAAACCAAGACACTGAGAGGCTAAAGTCACCTGTCCAAGGTCACCAAGGTACTAAGTGGCAAAATCAGGGCTCTTAACCACCGGGGGTCTTCTCTGCTTATTTTCTTCTTTTCCATTAATCTCCTAGACCAAATTCAACCAGCTCTCACTACTCTGTGCCAAGCACCTTGCCAGGCACTTGGGATTCAAGGATGAAGAAGTTGAAGCCTTGCCTGCAGTCTAATTGAGATAAGCAGGCACGTAGTAGACTAGAATGTGCTGGGTGGGGAAGGGGAGGTCTGGCCAGGGTGCTGTAGAAAGACTTCGAAGGCAAGTTGGAGCCTGTGATACCTTATCTGAAACATTTACATGAGTGTATGTGATAGTGCTCTGTAAACCGTATAAGCTTCTCTTCCACTGCAAGATGTTATTTTGTTTGCTTCCTTCTGTCTCTTTCTTCAACTTTTGAAACCTCAATTATCTTTCCCTTTTACTCCAGGAGAAGAGTATTTGAACTTAGCTGTGCGTTAAAATCACCCGTGTGGCCCCGGCTGGCTGCTTTTCCTCCTGCCTATGCAGTTGACCAGTTTCTCAGTCCCTTACACTCAGAGGTGGTGTGTGCCTGCGGCTGGCCGACAGAGTGAGGATGGAAGTAATGCTGCTCACCCCCAAGCCTGGCCCATAACACCTCTCTTGAATCCTTCTTCCCTTCCTCCCCTCTCCCAGATGGATTTGAGCATCCAGTGGAAGACTCTGGGGGGATTTCAGTTTGAGAATCACTGACCCCATATATTTGTTTTAACCACTGCTCACTACCTTTGCTACATTCAGCAGGTTCAGCCGGCTTGATGTTTCTTGAGTGGCTTACAAATGCAGACTGATATTTTCATCTTTAACTTTTCTCAGAAGAAATACTCTCTCTGCGATTGTAGGCTATTGGCTGTACATGTGAGCAGATAAGAAAGATGGGTGCCTAAGGGTCCTAACACACACTGGAGGCACTGGACAGAAAGTATTTTCCTTTCCCTTAGGACTGAAATCACGTCATACTCTATGTGGGCAGAGACACTGAGAGTGACTCGAATACTTTCTTTGGACCTGTGAAGTTTGCTTTCAATAATAATAGTTATTATTTTGACTGAATTCAATAAACATAAATCAATACATACATATATGAATACAATAATATTGAATCATCTAATATGAGCCAACTACTATGCTAAACACAGTAGCTCATGTAATCCTTACAGCAGCTGTAGGAGGCAGGCGTTATTGTGATTATCCTGTTATACGAATGGAAGGAAGGCACAGAGATGTCAAGTTATTGCTCAGGATCACACGATGAGGAGCAGGAGAGCCAGATCTGAAAGCCCGTCTCTGACCCCAGGCCTACAGGACTACCCTCTGTGTATGTAACCTTCACATAGCTGCCTGGGCCCCCAGACCCTTCACCCTGCCACTTTTCTTGCCATACCCTCTCTCTCTCTGTGGCCTTTTTCAATCCAGATCACGGCATGCGGGAAGTCCACCCTCCTTGCCTGCTGCTCACCACGCTTTCTGTAATTAAAATTTAGTCCATTTAAGCAAAGCCCGGAACCTGACGTTTCTGCCTAGTGTTCTCCGTCACCATGGCAACCAAATTCTTGGCTGAAACTGGATCCCTGGAGGTAAGAAAATGCAAGAAAAAAGCGAAGTGCAGAGAAGACTCTTAGAACTGGGGAGTGGTTTCCCCTGGCGAGTGGCATCTACCATTGCCTAGATCCTCACCTGCTGCACCCTCCCTGACTGAAGGCCATTTTAGCTATTAAGTACCATCAAGGGCCTAACCAAGATGCTTAAGACCCCCTCCCCTAAAAAATAGTAAGGAACTCCAAAGTAGAAAAAGGACTGCAAAACTGAAATTAAAGGCTGGATTAAATGCCTACAAAAATTACATGCTGATCTCGTGAATAAATTGGGAATTCATAAAACTTCATTATGCTTAAAAAAATAAGGCTTGCTTTTCTTTCTTTGAAAAGATTTTCTGGCTTGCATACTGATGGTTGAGAAAGCACAGCCAATCACAGATTGAATGTATTCCTGGTAGGCGAATTATTTTAAAAGTAGAATTATAAAAGCATCATTTTTTTTACAGTCAAAATGCTAGCAAATAAAACTTGCTCACATTGGCCAAATACTTAATACATAAGATGTGTGGGGTTTTTTTGTTTGTTGGTTGGTTGGTTGGGTTTTTTTTGAGACAGGGTCTCACTCTGTTTCACAGGCTGGAGTGCAGTGGCACAATCATAGCTCACTGCAGCCTCTAACTCCTGGGCTCAGATGATCCTCTTGCCTCAGCCTCTCACCTCAGCCTCCTGAGTAACTGAAACTACAAGCTCATACCACTATGCCCAACTAGTGGTTTTTTTTAAAAAGAATATTTTTAAGAGGTGGGGTCTGGCTATATTGCCCAGGCCGGTCTCAAATTCCTGGCCTCAAGCAATCCTCCAGCCTCAACCCAAAGTGCTGGGATTACAAGGTATGAACCACTGTGTCCAGCACCGAATGCTTTTTAATATGTTTGCTGATGTGGAGTGGAGCCTCCAAACGAATTCTTGAAATCACTTGGAATCATACAAATCCACTTCACAAACCCTGAGAGCTTAGTGTAGACAAGAAACATAGCTGGGGTGTGAGAGCGGAAGGGTGGCCCTGGGTGAGGTGGGAGGTTCAAGAGGGGAAGTAGACTCCTTAAATGAAATGGAAGTGTTTACCCAGCCAGCCTATCTCAGGGAGAGTGACAGTTTGAATGGGTCCAATAGATTCCAGCTGCCCTGGCTGGAAACAAGCCAAGAAAAGCCTGCTTCCTATTTTCCCTTCATTGTAGGGGACTGGGAAGCCTTTATTTTTATGGGGTTGGGGGAAATGACAGGGGCTGCCATCATCCTATGTGATTTTCTTCCCTTCAGGGAGGTGGGGAATGCGCCTTTTTTATCATTCAGCCCAAAGAACTCACTTGACTCACAGGCATTGCAAATCCACGTCTATTTTCTTATCAAAGTCCTGGACCAGAGGGAGAACCAAGCAGTTGTCTCCCCAACATCAGGGATGGCTCAGGGAGAGAGCTCTGTGGCTCTATGATAAAACTCGAATGCAGAAGTTAATCAGGGAGCCACCTCTCTCCTTTGTCTCGGCTGCCTGAACCTCCTGGTAATGCAGGCGGTGTGCACTGAGCTCCTGGGGTCCCAGGGCCCAGCCTCGATGTAACACTCGGAGCGCCAGGACATGGTTTTCTCACCTGAAAGGAGGATAATTGTTCCTGACTCTCCTAGTTTTTCTAGAGGAAAGAAAAGTAATGGCGATTCCTGTCACTTTTTCCCATCAGAGAAATTGTAGGCTAGAATAGGATAATGGGTATGAAATCGCCTCAAGAGGTTTAAAGCTTTGCTACTCAAAAGTGTGGCCCTCAGGCCAGCAGCCTCATTTGAGAGCTTCTTCAAAAGACATATTAGACTCTCAGGCCTGCCGCAGACCTACTGAATCAGAGCCTGCATTCAAACAAGATCCCAGGGGATTTGTATGCAAATTAAGCACTGAGAAGCACTGATTTTTAAAACCCTGTAAAGCATATCTTGTAAGGTATTAGTAGGCAATGATTTATTGAATGTCTGTCTTCTTCTCTGTTAGCTCTATGAGGTCAGGCCCCGAACTGGCTTGTTACCCACTGTACTCCACTTTTTGTTTCAGTGTCTGGCATACAGTAGGCACTCAATATTTGCTGAATTAATTAATAAGCCTTATAACCTGTGTGACTGACCCCAGAGGGTGGTAAGAATAGACAGGATTCTAAACTTATGCCCTGGTGAGAGGTGCCAAGCCACCTGCATTTGACATCTGGTCCAATGCCCTGTGTAGTGGCACAGTGGTTCTCAAATTTGGCTGTACACCTGGAGGCCTTGTTAAAAAGCAGATGGCTGGGCCCCACCCTTAGAGTTTTGGATTCAATAGGTCTGGGATTGGCGGGAGCAGGAACATTTCTAATAAGTTCCGGAGGATGCTGCTGCTGCTGTCCAGGGCCCCCACCTGGAGAACATAGCCTGCTTGGTGCATTGATTATACCTGAATAAGTGTCTTCATATTTTAAATACAGAACATGAGGATCCACAGTGACAAAAATATCAAACTGGCAGAAAAAAGCATTTTGCAGACCAACGAGTATGGCTGCTATTTCAGGTCCTGGCATGCTTTTCAGGTGGCTGGGGCAGCCTGAGATGGGGCAAGGACAGTGGTACCAAGGGGCCAGAGGATGGGATGGTGCCGGTGGCCACAAGGTTATGATTTGGGGCCCCAGGGTGTGGCTCCAGGGTCACACCTGGCTGTATGTCAGGGCCAAGTGTAAGTCCTATAGGCTACAGGTTTCCTTCCCTTGCCCAGGCTCCTGAATCGCCAGGGGTGGGACTCAGGTGACTGCAGTAAGAAGTCAGCCAGGCACTCTCTGGTTATTTACTACCGAACAGCAACAGCAATCACCACCCATCTCCCATGTGCCAGGGCTTGAGCTAAGTACTTTACAGATATTATCTCATCAGATTGTCACAGTAGCCCATGAGGTAAGTATATTAGTTCTCTATTTGCTGCTATAACAATTACAATGCAGTAGCTTAAAATAACACAAATATGTTACTACAGTTCTGAATGTAGAAGCCTGACACAGGTCTCACTGGGCTAAAATTAGGGTGTCAGCAGGGCTGAAGGCTCTCTAGGGGAGAATCCATTTTTGTGCCCTTTCCAGCTTCTAGAGGCGGCCCTGTTCCCTGGTTCACGGTGTCCTCCTCCATCTTCCAAGCCAGCAACATCGCATCTCTGCCTGCCTCCTGCTTCCACTCTTAAGGACTCTTTGGTTACATTGGGCCCACCTGGATTATTCAGATTAATCTTTCTATTTTCAGATCAGATTAACATCCTTAATTTCATCTGCAATTTTAATTTCCCTTCGCCATGGTACCTAACATATTTACAAGTTCCAGGGATTAGAATGTGAACATCTTTAGGGGGCCATTATTCTGCTTACCACAGTGATAGCTCCTGTGCATCACCACTTTGGAGATGAGAACATTTAGGTTTAGAGAAATTAGGCATTTTCCTAAAGTCACACAACTAGAAGTGTCTGTCTTAGCCTGGGTCTTACCCCAAGGCAGAATCTAACACAAAAATGTGAAGTCAAGTCCTCTATTGGGGAGTGTGATCCAGTGAGCGGGAGAAATGGGGAGCAAAGCAGGGAAAGAGAGAGAGTTACAAAGATGCTGCATCCAACTGCTCATTGCCTGGGGGCAGACAATGGGGTGAGAAAGGGGAAACCTTTAGGCATGTGTTTCCTCCAGGTTCCAGGTTGTACCTCCTTCCTCCTCCCCTGCCTCCCCTGTTCTTGTTGCCACACTGTCTTCCCACTCTCTCCTGTCTTCAGGCCTGGCTGCCCTTCTCTGGTCTCTGAGAGAGGAAAACAGTCTCTGCAGGCTGCATGCATTCCAGAATCTTCCTGCGACACTGAGGGGAGTCTGCTTCCGATTGGTGTATGTTGACTTGGTGTACCAGTGAAAAGGAAGATAGAAACAAAAATGTACAGAAAACAACCGGTTAATTTTTTTTTTTTTGAGAGGGAGTCTTGCTTTGTCACCTGGGCTGGAGTGCAGTGGTGCAATCTTGGCTTACTGCAACCTCAGCCTCCTGGGTCCAAGCAATTCTCCTGCCTCAGCCTCCCTAGTAGCTGGGATTACAGGCGTGCACCACCAGGCCTGGCTAATTTTTGTATTTTTAGTAGAGATGAGGTTTCACTATGTTGGCCAGGCTGATCTCAAACTCCTGACCTCAAGTGATCTGCCCGCCTCGGCCTCCCAAAGTGCTGGGATTATAGGCGTGAGCCACCACATCCAGCCACCTGCTTAATATTAATACTTGCCATATAATCCTGCCCCATGTCTACGTATTTGTTTATTTCCCATTTGACACCCTGTACCAGGTTGAACAGTGTCCCTCCCTCCCCCTCAAACTCATGTTCACCTGGAAGCTCAGAATGGGACCTTTTTAGGAAATGAAGTCTTTGCAGATGTAATAGTTAAGATGAGATCATACTGAATTAGGGTGGGCCCTAAATCCAATATGACTGGTGTACTCAGAAGAAGAGAAAGATCTGGACAGGCGGCAGTGGCTCACGCCTATAATCCCAGCACTTTGGGAGGCTGAGGCAGGTGGATCACTTGAGGCCAGGAGTTTGAAATCAGCCTGGCCAACATGGTGAAACCCCGTCTCTACTAAAAAATTCAACAATTAGCCAGGCGAGGTGGCGGGCACCTATAATCCCAGCTACGTGGGAGGCTGAGGCAGGAGAATCGCTTGACCCAGGAGGCAGAGGTTGCAGTGAGCCAAGATCACTCCACTGTACTCCAACCTGGGTGACAGAGAGAGACTCTGTCTCAAAAAAAAAAAAAAAAAGAAGAAGAAGAAGAAGGAGAAGAAAAGAAAGATGTGGACACAGAAACCTAGACACACAGGGCAGAAGCCATGTGAAGACAGAGGCAAAGACTGGGATGAGGCAGCAATAAGCCAAGGAAGGCCGAGGTTGACAGCAGCAGCAAGGCCAGGAAGGACCCCCCACCCAGAGCCTTCATGAGGAGCATGACCCTGCTGACACCTAACTTCAGACTTCTGGCCTCCAACACAGTGAGAAAAAGAATTTCTGGTGTTCGAAGCCACCCAGTTTGTGGTAGTTAGTTATGGCTGCCACATAATGAACATATGCCCAGTAAGACCTTAAGGACCTGGAGGGCAGGACCCACGTCTGTTGTGTTCACTGTTAAATCTCCAGTGCCTGGAGGATAAATGGTCCTCAGCACGCCTTTGCTGAAGGAAGGTGTCTAATCCTGAGCAGGGTGACTGAAGCAAGAGGGAAGAGAGCTGACTGAGTTGATCTGCTTAGTCCCATGGAGAAAAGCAGCAGAGAAGAGGAAGAAACTGAACTTGGCTCTTCCTTCCCCATTTCACTCTCAGATGCTGAAATGACTATTTTTGGTGAATGCAAATCATAGCTGTGGCCAGTGTCTTCAGTCCAAGGCCACAACTGCACGCGCTGAGCCAGGGTTATAGTCACAAGAGTTTATTTTTAAAGTAACCACGCCTGACCTTCAGGCTCAGAGGCTGCAGACTCAGACTTTCCTGGTCAGGGCCACCCCAGGGTGGCCAGTCATACTCAGCAGAGAAAAGCCACGTGTTCCAAAATGGAAAAGGCGCTCAGGCTTCTTCCTCCACCACAGCTAAGGAATACCTTCCCCTCCCATCTGTCGCCTACATGCTGACCGCTTTCTGGCGCATTTAACACCCACAAATCACAAGCTGTTGCTCTTGGCTTGGAGCTCCAGTTTCTTGAACTAAATTATAAGTATGAGCATGCTGTGTAGCTTGCAGGGTGTGGCTGCTGGAAGAACACTCTCCCACGAAGGCAGAGAGCTCCCTGACCCCTTGATCATCCCCAGAAGGGACAAGAAAGCATTCTTCAGAACTGCTGGATTTTTTTTTTTTTTTTTTTTGGTCTTAGTTGAGCCATAAGTAAGCAGCAGCAGACTGTCCATAGGTACAACATAGGTTGTCAAAGACCAGGATTCTCTCATGTCTCAGAAGTTCTCCAGGTCCCAGCTGAAGAACACCTTCAGATAGACGCAGTGGCTTATGCCTGTAATCCCAGCACTTTGGGAGGCTGAGGCGGGAGGATTCCTTGGGCCCAGGAGTTCGAGACGAGCCTAGGCAACATAACAAAACCCCATCTTTACAAAAAATACAAACATTGACTGGGTGTTGTGTCATATGCCTATAGTTCCACCTACTTGGGAGGCTGAGGTGGGAGGGTCTCCTGAGCATTGGGAGGTCAAGGCTGCAGTAAGCCATGATCGTGCCACTGCACTCCAGCCTGGGCAATGGAGCAAGACCCTGTGCCAAATACCCAACCAACCAACCAACCAAATAAAGAATACCTTCCTCAAAGGTTCAATCAGGATTTGAAAAAATAGGGAAAAAATGGTGTTAACCTGGTAGGACTCAGGGTAACTTTTTTTTTCATTTTCATAAATTGTATTTTCCTTATCTAATCTTTACACCAATAAAGAAGGACTCTGGCACCTTCTAAACAAACAAATGTACACATTACCCATTTATACCCGAGCCGGGCTTCCTTGGGGGCTGTGCACACTCACTCCACACCCACCATGAGAACTACTGCACCTGTGGCCTTATTGAAACAATGAACTGAAAACTCCATGCAGCTGATTCAGAAAACATCAAGGAAAAATGTAGGTTTTTACTGAGGATTTCTAAGGGAGGTGAGGAGGGGCATATAGTACATCATACACACAAGGCTTTTTTTTTTTTTTTTTTTTTTTGTAAAGAAAGACAGAGTTTTGAGATCCTGCCCAGGCTGGTCTCGAACTCCTTGGCTCAAGCAATCCTCCCACCTCAGCCTTCCAAAGTGTTGAGATTACAATTGTGAGCCACCACGCCCAGATCTTCTTTAAACTTGTCTTTAAACATGTCTTTTTACCCTAAAGTCTCACCCCCTGACAATGTCTGCTCCATCACTCCCCCTTGTTCTCAGCTTCCCTGTCCTCCTCTTCTCTCTTCATGAACTTGTAGCCACACAGGCTGTCCTTCTAACTCCCTCTTCTTTCCAGCTTCTTCTGCTGTATAAGGTTCTTTTAGCGGGTTATCTCCTTGGGCTTCTCTTGCAGAGAGTAACTCTGCCTTCTCTTAGTTTCTCTGATTCTCCTCTCTACCCATCACCCCACACGACCCAACAGCTGAGTTTGCTGAATGAGAAGATGCTCTTCCTTCCTAGAAAGCATGTGGTTCCCCATCATAAGCAGAAACCTTTGGTGGATAGAAACAACCACTCCTTGTGTTGACATATAGGACACTAGAGTGGTCCGGGCTGGTCCCAGTGATGATAGAGAGCTGGGGGTGGGGAGAGAATGGGAGATGTCCAGGACTTCAGTTCCAATCTCATAAGATCAAGGATTTATGAGAACCGATGTGAGCTCACCCCTGTGGAGATGCATCAGACACAGCCATTGCCCTCAAGGAGCTTATAATATGATTGGGGAAACAGAAATGAGGCAATTCTAGAGCAAGCGGGACATGCCATGTGTTAAGTCCCCAAAGAGTTCATAAGAGGGCAGGTAGGCTCAGTCTGGAGAAGTCTCAGGAACCTACAAGGGCAGGTTGAGAAGGATGGACCAAATCTAACCAAGTGGAGGTCGAGAGAGCAGGCATCCCATTCAGGAGAATCTGTGTGAACAAAAACTTGGAGGTAAAAGATGGGAAACAGAAAGGAAGGCCACCTGGTGAGTGATGGATTTCCCCAAGCACATGCCTAAACCAGTCCCATTACTTTAAAGTGGGACTTGAACTACATCCCTCCTTCAAATTCTCTCCTTCCTAACTTTAGAAAGGCTATGGCCTAGTGGACAGCCAGGCAGCCCACCCTGCATTTACTGAGGATTGAGGCTCCAAAGACTGTCATTTAGATTGGTTGATTGAATCTGGGCATGCATTTTCCCACAGAAACAAAGTTGTATGTGGTAATTAGCAAAGGCGGAGTGAGACTGAAGTACGTGTGTGTTGAGGGTGGAGGTGAGGCTGAGGGTGGTGGTGTGTTGATTAGTTTAACATAGTTGTGGTAAGTAGGCCTGAAGCAAGTAAGAAACTTCATGAAAAACTGATATTTTTCAAATGGGTTTTCTTTTCTTTATTTCTTTTTCTTGTCCTGTCTTTTTTTTTTTTTTTTTTTTTTTTGAGACTGAGTTTTGCTCTTGTCACCCAGGCTGGAGTGCAATGGCACGATCTCGGCTCACTGCAACCTCCGCCTCCTGGGTTCAAGCGATTCTCCTGTGTCAGCCTCCTGAGTAGCTGGAAGTACAGGTGCATGCCACCACACCCAGCTAATTTTCTGTATTTTTAGTAGAGACGGGGTTTCACCATGTTGACCAGGCTGGTCTTGAACTCCCGACCTCAGGTGATCTGCCCGCCTTGGTCTCCCAAAGTGCTGGGATTACAGGCATGAACCACCGCTCCCGGCCTCAAATGGGTTATTTTAAAAAGTCATCACATTGCTACAGTATTACATGAGAAATTGTTGTAATGGATCTGGGGGGCTACACTGAGTTAGGCTCCTAGACTATCCTAGATGTGCTAGTGGTGACCCCGAGCTGTGCATTCCCAGGTGTCCAGAACCAAGGGAGTGAGGCCTACTGGGCTTCAGTCACATGGCGGTAGAGGGGAGACCTAAGGCTTCACTAGCTGGGGTCTGGGGTGAGTCTAACATCTCCAGAGCACAGAACTTCCTTGACATCTGGACAACCACCAAGGCCAGGTGGCTAATCCGTGGGATTGGGCACAATAGTTAGAATCCAGGTGGGAGGAAATAAACGAAGGCAGGCAGGTGTCTGGGGCACAAATCAAAAAAGTTTTGTTTTGCCCAGTAAGATCTCAGGCACTGTCTCGTGGGTTTGGAAGCAGCAATTAATCCTCTAAGGAAAGGTCTGGAAGAGCTTGGTATGGTGTTGGGCTCCACAAAGCTGGCTGAGATCCAGTAACAGACTCAAAGCTATGTAGGCAAGTTGTTACAGAAACCTAGAACTCTGAGCTGAGCCAGCATGGCAGGGGTCTAAATAGAATAGTATGATTTGGATGGTTCATATGTACCCAAGAACTAACTTCCTTCCTTCCTTCCTTCCTCTCTTCCTCCCTTCCTTCCCTCTTTCCTTCTCTCCCTCCCTACTCCTTCCTTCCTTCTTTCCTTCGTCCCTTCCTTCTCTCTCTCTCACTCATTTATTCACACCATGTGCCAAGCCAATTCCTAGGTGATAAGGATATCATGGTTAATACAGTCCCTACACTCATGGAAGTTATGGTCTGAAGGGGAAACAGACATGTAACAATGGTTAAATTTATAATGGTACAACCAAAATTGTAGACGGCCCTTCAAAGATGGACAGCATCTAACAACAGTAAGGGGGAATCTAATTAGGTCTGGTGGGAAGAGGGCTCTGCAAGGCTTCCCTGAGGAATGACATCTGAGCTGAGACCTAAAGGATGAGAATTTAGCCATACAAAAGGGAAGAAGGGGCCAGGCATGGTGGCTCATGCCTGTAATACCCAGGACTTTGGGAGGCTGAGGTGGGCGGGTCACCTGAGGTCAGGAGTTGGAGACCAGCCTGGCCAACATGGTGAAACCCCGTCTCTACTAACAATACAAAAAGTAGCCAGGCATGGTGGTGGGCACCTGTGTTAGAAATACCAAAATTGCACCGATTATCTATTTCTAACAATTTTGGTATTTCTAACAACCTGTAATCCCAGCTACCTGGGAGGCTGAGGCAAGAGAATCACTTGAACCCAGGAGGCAGAGGTTGCAGTGAGCCGAGATTGCACCACTGCACTCCAGCCTGGGTGACAGAGCGAGACTCCATCTCAAAAAAATTAAAAAAAATAAAAGGAAGAAGGGTATGAGGGCAGGAAGGAAGATGGCATGTTCTGGGAACTTGCTTGAGAGAGTGAGCAAAGGGATCGGGTATGAGACAGCAGGAGCAGATCACTGGGTACAAGTCTGGGGCTGCTCATGGTGGGCTGGGAGTACCATTGCCTCCTAGTGGAGCTGAGTCTTTGAGCATTAATAATGTTTTTGGATGAGAATAATAACTACTTCTTATTAAGGCAATTTCTATATGCTACATGCTTTATATGTCTTATGTTATTCAATCCTCACAATTCCCCAAGGGATTAGTATGGTTGTCTTCCCATTTTACAGATGAGAAAAACAAGGGTTAGAGAAATTAATGAACTTGTCTGGCGCCATGTAGCCAATAAGTGAAGGAATTCAGACACGATTCATGGCCTGCCTGATTGCAAGGCCATGGTTCTGAAAACTTTACTGCCTTTCAGCATCAGTGCCTCTTGCTGAGAGGGGCTGGGGAGGCTGTCTCCGATAGCTCCTCTGAGCCCTGAGAAGGGTGGGGAGGAGGACGTGAGACAAGGGATAGGGAGCTAGTGGCTCTGGCAGTGGCAGAGAGTTGTTCGGGAGAACTTCGGTGGTGGTGGAGGCGGTGAGGATGCTCAGAGCTCATTTGTATGTGTGAATCATTTGTAAGTTGAGGATTAGTCAGAGGTTGGCTGCATTGTTACGGAAATAGTGGGCTGGGTGTGTGCTCAACCTGAAGCTGTGAGGGCTGAATTTTTTCTCTCCTGGAGACATTGTGAACCACAGAAGGCAAGTCAGCTTTTGGGGGCGAGTTTTAAGTGGAGAAATATCTCCTTCTCTAATGCTTGCAGTTGGCTCTGAGGGTTGTGGAAGAAAGACACAATTTAGAGAACTTATAACGTCCTTGGCCAGATATGCCCAAAGCCAGGATGTCCCCCTAACAGAAGAAACATAGCACTCCTTTTGCAGGCTGTTCACGCAATCACTAAGGACCTCCTAGAGAAGATTTGAAATGTGTTGGGGGCAGGAATTTATCCCAAAGATAACTCAGGGACTTCTGGGAAAGTTTTAATGCCTGTAATGCAGAGAACTCCCAAGCCCCTTGAGTATAGCAGGGTTGGTAAAAGCCTAAGATTGACTTTGGTAAGATAGACATCAAAATAGCAAAAACAAGAACCATTGTAGAATTTAAGAGAAGCAAAATAATGTCTTTTCTTGGGGCTAACACTCCTACCTTAACTATAGCCCTGGTGGTGTGTTCCCTGTAATTTTCAGGGTGTCTGACTCTGTGTATGAGAGGCTTCCCATTTCAGTTTGACTCTGATATTAGTGGTCCAGCCATAATTGCTGTTCAAATACTAAGAGGCAGGACAGGGATGGAATGTTTGACGTGGGAGTGACATCCATTTATTCATTTCTGTGAATGTATTAGTGCCAGGTATTTCCTCAGGCCTGTTATCTCTAATGGTCTTTGGACTAGTTCAACCCTCATTGTTAAGATTAGGAAGGAAGTCATGTTGCCCAAGTTGATTCTGTGGCTGGCAGCAGTTGGGTCTCTTTCCTTCTTTGGGGAGATCATCAGTGCAGCAGGGGCTGGGTATAGAATATTGTGAAGGAGGCCTCTGAGCATATAGGAGGCTCTGCACCAGCTTCTGTAGTTGGAGCCTCAGCTTGAGGAGGCAGTGTGGCCACCGGGGAGGAGCTCGGCTTTCCTCACACAAATCCATTTCCTAGGTGTGATCTCAGACAAGGCCCTTTGCTTCGCTTCTCTTTGAGCCTAGCTTCCCTTGACTGCACAGTAGAAGCAATTAAACCTTCCTCACTGGATTGTGGTGAGGATGACATGAAATAATAAGCAGCAAAGTTAAGGGCAAGTTTTAATGACCCTATATGTAATTTTTGGTACATTACAAATTTTCCAAAACATATAGGTATCATAAATATCATCTGATTTTTTTAATTTAAAAAAAAGAAAGGAGGGAAGGTGGGGGCGGGGGAAGAATGAAATACTACCTATTGGGTACAATGTATACTATTGGGATGATGGGTACACTCAAAGCCCATACTTTACCACTGCACAGTATGTTTATGTGGCACAACTGCAATTGTACCCACTAAATCAATAAAAATTTTTTTTTTAAGTTAAGGAAAAAAGAAAGGAGATTAGTGCATCTAAAGCTTTGATTTCTGGCACACAGCAAGCCAACACGAACCTTAACTATTAATGAGCAGGACACCCCCCGGATGCAGGCATGTCTAAGCAAGTCTGGGGAACTGGAGAAGCTAGACTTCCATGGCTGTATTTGCACGATGGTCTGAGGCTCCTCCTAGGAGAGAATTTGTGCTAAAGGAAGATAATTAAAGTTCCCAAGTCTGATGGAGGGCAGTGGATAAAAGCTGAAGGGTACAGCTATTAATACCTCTGAGCACAGCCCTGTATTTGTCCCCCTAATTCCTCACTTTACCCGCTCTTCGCATGGACTCCTGCCTGAGCTCTAGGGGAGGAGTAACAAAGCTGAAAAGCCATTTCTTAAAAGCTCTTCTATACTTTAAGGACTTTAAGCAGTCCAGCTTGTGACCTTTTAACACACTATACATGTCGGGGGACAGAAGGTGTATCTCTTCTCTGATCCCAGGAGGTGTCTGTTGGAGTCTGGAGTATGGGAACCAGAAACTCAGATGTCTCGGTGCAGTAATCTGCAAGGCAGCTTTTATTGTAGGGAGAAAATACAGCAGCCACATGGTACCCAAGGGAATTTCCAAAGCACACCTGGGACATCTCTCTAGGGTTGTCAGATCTATTTAGAAAAATCTTTTTGGAGAAGTCAGAGTGTAACTTCCTGGTCACCTGAGGCAGAGAAAGCCTGGGGCCTGGGCCAGGGAGGGGTGGGGTCTTCTGAGGGGGCCTGAGCCCGAGAGGGGTGGATTCTCCTGAGGGCCTGCTCTGTTGGCTGGTGGGTAAACAAGTGAACCTGTCTTATTTTCCGCTATTGGGTTTTCCTTAATGACCTTAACAATGGCTGAGTTAACAAGATATCTTTTAAAATGCTGACAAGGGCCAGCCTATAATCCCAGCACTTTGGGAGTTAGGAAGATGGTTTGAGGCCAGGAGTTGGAGACCAGCCTGGCAACTTAGTATGAAAAATAAAAAAGATTAGCCAGTCATAGTGGTGGAGGCCTGGCTGAAGCAGGAGGATTGTTTGAGCCCAGGAGTTTGAGGCTGCAGTGAGCATTGATTGAGACAATGCACTTTAGCCTGACTCCGATATCATAGGAAAGGAAAGAAGGGGGGGCGGGGAGGGAAAAAGAAAGGAAAGAAAAGACAGTGGAGTGAGTTGACAAGGAAGAAAGTGCCCAAGGAAAGGAAAGGAAAGGAAAGGAAAAAGAAAAGAAAGGAAAGAAAAGAGAGTGGAATGAGTTGACAAGGAAGAAAGTGCCCCAGGAAAAGTAAGAGATCCCCTTCCTTTATCCCATGTATACTTTTGTTTTTTTAAATTGTGGTAAAATATTGATAACATAAGACTTGCCATTTTAACCATTATTTTCAATGTGCAGTTCATTGGCATTAATTACATTGACAATGTTGTACAACCATCACTGTTCTATTTCCAAAACTTTTTCATCACTCCAAACAGAATCTCTGTAACCATCAAAGAATAACTCCCCATTCTCCCTTCCTCTAGCTCCTGGTGACCTTGAATCTACTTTCTGCTGCTGAGAATTTACCTATTTTGGATGCTTCATGTAAGTGGAATCATATAATGTTTGTTCTTTTGTGTTTTATTTCATTAGCACAATGTATTCAAGGTCATCCATGTTGTAGCATGTATTAGGACTTCACTCTTTTATACAGCCGAATAATATTCCATTGTATGTATACAGCACATTTTGTTTATGGATATCCATTATGTTCATCCATTTATGGACACTGGTGTTGTTTCTATTTTTTGGCTAATGTGAATAATGCTGCAATGAATATTGGCATACACGTATCTGTTTTTTGAGTCCTTCCTTTCAGTTCTTTTTGGCATATACTGAGGAATGAAGTTGTTGAATCATATGGTAATTCTATATGTAACTTTTTGAGGAACGACTAAACTGTTTTTCACACTGGCTGCACCATTTTACATTCCCACTAGCAATGTATGAAGGTTCCAACTTCTCCATATTCTTGCCAACACTTGTTATTTTCTATTTTTTAAAAATTCTAACCATCCTTGTAGATATGAAGTGGTATCTTGTTGGGGTTTTGATTTGTATTTCCTTAATGACTACTGATATTGAGCATCTTTTCATGTGTTTATTGGCCATTTATGTATCTTCTTTGGAAAAATGTCTATTTAATCTTTTTTCCATTTAAAATTTTTTTTTCAGTTGTTGCATTGTAGGAGTTCTTTATTTATTCTGTATACTAATTTCTTATCAGATATATGACATGTGGATATTTTCTCCCCTCTGTAGGCTCTTCTGATTTTCTCAACAGCATCCTTTGCAGCACAGAAGTTCTTAATTTAGATGAAGCCCAATTTATCTATATTTTCTTTTGTTGCCTGTTTTTGGTGTCTCATCCACAAAACCACTGCCAAATCTAATGTCATGAAGGTTTTCCCCAGCGTTTTCTCCTAAAAGTTTTATAGTTTTAGCTTTTAAGTTTAGGTCTTTGATCCATTTTGAGTTAATTTTTGTAAATGGTATGTATAAGGTAAGAGTCTAACTTTTTTGTGTGTTGATCTTGTGCCCTGCAACTTTGCTGGCTTTGTTTATTAGCTCTGGTAGATTTCTTGTGGATTCTTTGGGATTTTCTATATATAGGATCATGGCATCTACAAATAGAGATCGTTTTACATCTTCCTTACAATTTGTATGCCTTTAATTTCTTTTCAATCTGGTAGCTAGAGCTTCCAGTACAATGTTGAATTGCAGCAGTGAAAGTAGGCATCCTTGTCTTGGTTCTGATCTCAGCGAGAGAGCTTTTAGTCTTTCACCATTAAGTCCAATGCTATCTGTGTTGTTTTTTTCATTAATACCCTTTATTATATTGAGAAAGTTCCCCTCTGTTCCTCATTTTCTAAGAGTTTTTTCTTATCATAAGAGGATATTAGATTTTCCCTCTATTATTGCCTTCTTTTGTGACTAATTGATTTTTTTGCATAGTGAAAGGTTTTGATTTCCTTTTCATTTCCTTTTGTCTATATTCTCTAAATATTTTCTTTGTGTTTACCTTGGGGATTACGTTTAACATCCTGAATTTATAATAATCTAATTTGAGTTGATACCAATTTACCTTCAACAGGGTGTAAAACCTCTGCTCCCACATGGCTCCTTCCCCTCCTTGTATGTCATTGTTGTCAGAAATGACATTTCTTTATATATAGTATTTCTAATGCCATAGATTTATAATTATTTTATGCATTTGTCTTCTAAATCATGTAGGAAATTAAAAATGCAGTTACAGACCAAAAATACAAAAATACTGGCTTTTGCACTAGCCCATGTATTTACCGTGACCAGAGATCTTTATTTCCTCATGATGGCTTCATTATGGCAACAGCCCAGTGTCCTCTTATTTCAACCTGGAGGACTCCCTTTAGCAATTTTTAAAATACAAAAATACTGGCTTTTATATTAGCCCATGAATTTACTGTGACCAGAGATCTTTATTTCCTCATGATGGCTTCATTATGGCAACAGCCTCGTGTCCTCTTATTTCAACCTGGAGGACTCCTGTTAGCAATCTTTAGGGCTGGGGAGTGAAAACAAACTCCTTCAGCTTTTATCAGCTAGAGGCGAGAGTTCAGAGTCTTCCCATGTCTTTTCTGTGCATGGATCTTGCCCTGAGAATGTGCATGGTTTTCTAGATTCCCCCATACACCCAGGCGCTTTTAAATGTCCTATTTTACAAAGAATTTGCCCCAGCCTTTCTTCCTGGGCCTTAGACAGTCTGTTGAATATCTGTACCATAAGCTGTTTCCCCAGGTTTCTGTGAATGGTGGGTTCACCTTGCTGTGTTTTTGAGCGATGGGCACCACTTTTCCAGCCTAAGTTAGGTGAAACCAATACAAGCATCCGTGTCAGTCTTTCACATAGTCCCCAAATAGGTTATTAACAGACACATGGGATAATTTGTGAGTGAGATCTGCTCTGCTTCTTCTGGAAACTGGGACCAGAGTTCCTCTCTGGAAACACAGGCTGCTACCTCTTCAGGACTGCTGTCATGCTGGGAAGGAGGTGGGCAAGGACAGGAAAAAGTGCCACAAAGCTTTCCTACCATTTTCAAGTTGCTTTTTCTCGATTCAGCATTCATATGGTTGCTGTAAACCTTTGGCTGTTTTCCAGAGTTCTGACAAAGTTGGTTCTGACAATTTCTGCTTTTGTGTGTGTGTGTGTGTGTGTGTGTGTGTGTGTGTGTCTTTGTAGGGAGATGAGAGCTTGGAGCTACCCACTCCGCCATTTGCTGACATCATTCCCCAGCTATACTTTTAACAGTGACCTTATTTTTTACCTGTATACTACTGTGGCCTGGGGAACTGGATTACACACATGAATCCACTTTGATCAAATCCTTGAACCTGGTGGATGATACTTGCATTTGGTGGAGTAAGTTAAAAAGGCCATGGGAAACAGACCAGAGTCAAACAAAAGAATCAGTCTCCACAGGTCACACTTTTACTTGTACACAATTGTAAATACTGTGTAAGTGGCATCTACATTATAATGGAAAGGTTGCTAAAGTTAGTCTTCATTTACAATTAAGAGTAAAGGGACACTTTCTAAAATGTTTGCTTAAGTGTTCAACTTTTCCTGTTGGTCCCCCAGATCTGTGCTGGCAAATGAGTTTCATCTCTGATGGTGGTGGCTGCCTAATGCAATGTGTGAAGGGTTACAAAGCCATGTTCAGGTTCAGGAGATAAGAGTTTCATAACAAATGGTTATGGCACAGGAGGGTAGAGTGCCAATGTTTATCTATTGCTGTGTAATGAATTATCCCAAAACTTAGTGGTTTAGAACAATATCTCTCACAATTTTTAGGGGTCAGGAGTATGGGAGTAGTTGGATTGGGTGAGTTTGGTTCAGGGTCTCTTATGAAGTTACAGTCAAGATGTTGGCTGGGGCTGGATGCAGTGGCTCATGCCCATAATCTCAACACTCTGGGAAGCCAAGATGGAAGGATTGCTTGAGCCCAGGAGCTTGAGACCAGCCTGGGCAATGTAGGGAGACAGCAATTTCACTACTGGGTGTCTAACCAAAGGAAAAGAAATCATTTTATCCAAAAGACACCTGCACTTGTATGCTTATTGCAGCATTATTACAATAGCATACATAGTCAAGGAATCAACCTAAATGTCTATCCATTGATGATTGGATAAAGAGAATGTAGTATATATACATCATGAAATGGTATGCAGCCATAAAAATAAAAAGAATGCAATCATGTCCTTTGCAGCAATATGGATGCAGCTGGAGGTCATTATCTTAAGTGAACAAACTCAGAAACAGAAAATCAAATACCTCATGTTCTCACTTATAAGTGAGAGCTAAACAATAGATTTATTAACGGCTAAACACATGAACGTATTTCCAAAGATATAAATAATGACACTGGGGACTTAATAAAAGGGGCAGAGTGGGAGGAACATGAGGGTTAAAAACTTACCTATTGGGTATAATGTTTACTGTTTGGATGATGGGTTCACTAGAAACCCAAACCTCACCATTACATAATATATCCATGTAAAAAACCTGCGTATGTATTGTCTGAATTTAAAATAAAATAAAATAACAAAAATAAATATAAAAAATAAATTTCCTTAACATTAAAAAAAAATTAGCTGGACGTGGTGGCATGTACCTGTAGTCTCAGCTCCTTGGGAGGTTGAGGTTGGAGAATTGCTTGAGCCTAGGAGGTTAAGGCTGCAGTAAGAAAAGAAAAAGTGAAATGAAACAAAAGATGTTGGCTGGGATTACAATCATCTGAATTCTTGACTGGGGTGGAGGATTCACTTCTGAGAGGGTTCACTCACAGGACCGGCAAGTAGATGTTAACTCTTGGTGTGAGGTGCAGCCCTTCAACACCTGGGCCTCTCCTGAGGGCTGCTATGTGTCCCTACTACCTGGCAGTTGGCTTCCACCAAAACAAGCTACACGAGAGTGACCAGGCAGGAGTTATCATTTTTATGACTTAATCTCACATTTCTGCCACATTCTCTTCATTTGCAATGAGTCAGTAAATCCAGCCACACTCAAGAAGGAAGGAATTACGTTCTACTTTTTGAAGGAAGGCATGTCAAAGAATTTGTGGACATATTTTAACAACACCACATAACACTGTGACAGGTGTTTACTGACCTACTTCAGAACACCCAGAGAACCCTCACACAATCTGAGCAACAAAAATTAGTCTTCTTTTATTTAAAAATTTATTTTAAAAAAATACAGAGTTGGCTGCATGAAGGCTTTTTTTTAAAAGTTCAGAGTCAAAGGTAGAGAATATGTGTGTGTGATGGAAGATGAAGAAAGATTTTCATATTTTCCGTCAATTCTCCTGGTTTCTTAGAGAATCACTCAAAAACAGCTTAAGGGAACTACAACAATTTAACAGCTCACTGTCTCAAGGAGTGCTCCAGCTAAAATCTATCTGTGCAGCAGTGGCTCACACCTGTAATCCCAACACTTTTGGAGGCCAGTTGGATGGACCACCTGAGGTCAGGGATTCTAGACCAGCCTGGCCAACATGGCGAAACCCGTCTCTACTAAAAATACAAAAATTAGGTGGGTATAGTGGTGGGTGCCTGTAGTCCCGGTTACTCAGGAAGCTGAGGCAGGAAAATCGCTTGAACCCAGGAGGTGGAGGTTGCAGTGAGCTGAGATGGCACCACTGCACTCCAGCCTGGGTGGCAAAGGGAGACTCTCAAAAAAAAAAAAAACTAATAATAAATAAAATAAAATCTATCTCTTAGAATATTGGCAGAGGAAGGCGTGAAATGGCTCTGATGATACCCTCTTCACTTCTATCTTCCCCTAAGAAGGCTATGCCACAGGATTGGGATTTTAAGTCCTGGGGGCAGCTCTAAGTTAGAACAAGGTTATTTGAGCAGAACATCCTAGTTAGGTCAAGTCAATGTAAAGAGTTCCCTCGGTTAACAGAAATAACCCAACAAGCTAATGCCACCAGCAAACAGAATTGCAGTGTGGGAAGTGCATATGAAAGCATGGACACCTGCTTTCAGTATTCCACACTCAGCCCAAGAGAAAAACAACTGCTCAAGTACAAAATGGTGACTCTGTTTTCTGAACATTTGGTCCTGAGTGTCATGTGGTCTGGTCTGTGGTGTCCTAGCTTTGAAATATGTCTCTTCTTATTTTCAGGAGACGATTCCTCTTAGCAAAAGGGCACTGTGTACCCTCCAAGGCTGGAAATGATAGGTTTTCGGCGAGGAGTGAAAATATTGTGCTGACAGCCCTTTGCCTGTGTAGAGCAGGGTTGTTTACTCGCGCTGGAGCACAGCTTTATTGAAGCAGAGAGTCATGGTCCCATCATCAGGGTTGCCTAGCAACCAGTCTACGCCACTCCACAGAGTTTCAGAATGGGCTGGACCACAAGTACCCACTTTGGGGGATTTCCAGTGACAGTCCTACTCTCACTCCATCACATCGCTTCTAAAATCTGAGTCACATGGTAAGACACAAGATTAATTGTTCAGCATCTCCCTTTCTTCTTTGAAAGTTGAAAAGAGCATTTGTTGGTTGAGTATGTTTTTTCAGATACTACAGAGAATTGGTCACTCTAGGTTATTGAGAATATCTAATTTTAGTTTAATTGGATCTTTTTCTCTCCAATTCCTTTAATATTTTATTTGATATGATATTAAGAGCATAGTCTGTAAATGAATCTTATTATGACTAGCCAGTTTAATATTCAGCAAAGTAGCTGAATGTACACAATGCTCATTTTATCAACAAAGATGCATGGTACCACACACAGTTTGAAAAGATACTCTGTCGTTAAAAATGTTGCTACCAAGGAAAGAAATCCTATATAAGCATAAAGACACATTCTACTAAGCAACAGATTGAAGGAGTTGGATATGATACAAAAACAAACAAAAAGACAAATTTACAACATCCTTTATTAAACAAACATTTATGGACTGACTATTATATAGATGTGTCACTTACTGACATGGATACATTCTGAGAAATGTGTCATTTGATGATTTTGTTATTGTGCAACCATCATAGAGTGTACTTACATCAACCTAAATGATTGCATAGCCTACTACGCACCTAGGCTATACAGTATAGCGTGTTGCTCTTAGGCTGCAAACCTGTACAGAGTGTTACTGTGCTGAATACTGTAGGCAGATGTAACACAATGGTAAGTATTTGTGTATCTAAATATGAAAAAGGTATGGTAAAAATATGGTATGAAAGATAAAAAATGATACACCTGCATAGGGCACTTACCATGAATGGAGCTTGCAGGACTGGAAGTTGCTCTGGGTGAGTCAGTGAGTGGTGAGTGAATGTGAAAGCCTAGGGCAGCGGTGTTCAATCTTTTGGCTTCCCTGAGCCACATTGGAAGAAGAATTGTCTTGGGCCACACATAAAATACACTAACACTAATGATAACTGATAAGAAAGAAGAAAGACAAAGAAAGAAAGAGAGAGAAAGAAAGAAAGAATGAAAGGAGGGAGGGAGGGAAGGAAGGAAAGAAGGGAGAAAGAGAAAGAGAGAAAGAAGAAAGAAAGAAAGAAAGAAAGAAAGAAAGGAAGGAAGGAAGGGGAAGGGGAAGGGAAGGGAAGGAAAGGAAAGGAGAGAGGGAGGGAGGGAAGGAAGGAAGGAAGGGAGGGAAGGAAGGGAGAGAGAGAGAAAGAAAGAAAGGAAGGAAGGAAGAAAGAAAGAAAGAAAGGAAGGAAGAAAGAAAGAAAGAAAGAAAGAAAGAAAGAAAGAAAGAAAGGAAGGAAGGAAGGAAGGAAGGGGAAGGGGAAGGGAAGGGAAGGAAAGGAAAGGAGAGAGGGAGGGAGGGAAGGAAGGAAGGAAGGGAGGGAAGGAAGGGAGAGAGAGAGAAAGAAAGAAAGGAAGGAAGGAAGAAAGAAAGAAAGGAAGGAAGAAAGAAAAAGAAAGAAAGAAAGAAAACTATCTGTGCATAAATCTCGTAATGTTTTAAGAAAGTTTATGAATTTGTGTTGGGCTGTATTCAAACCTTGGGCCGTATTCAAAGCTGTCCTTGGCCACATGCGGCCTGTGGGCCATGGGTTGGACAAGCTTGGTCTAGGGCATTACCATACGCTACTGCAGACCTTATAAACACTGTATTCGTAGGCTATACTACATTTATTAAATTTTTTTCTCTCTTCAGTAATAAATTAAACATAGCTTACTGTAATTTTTATTTTATAAACTTTTTAGAAAACATTCTCTTTTATAATAACACTTAGCTTAAAACACACATGGTACAACTGTACAAAAATATTTTCCTCTTTACATCCTATGCTACTAGTTTTGTTATATTTTTAAATCATTTTATTCTTTTTTCTTCAAATTTTTTCTGTTAAAAACTAAGACAGAGGCCAGGCACAGTGGTTCCTGCCTGTAATCCCAGCACCTTGGGAGGCTGAGGCAGGTGGATCACTTGAGGCCAGGAGTTCGAGACCCGCCTGGCCAACATGGTAAAACCCCATCTCTACTAAAAATACAAAAATTAGCCAGTGTGGTAGCACATGCCTATAATCCCAGCTATTTGGGTGGTGAACCCCCATCTCTACTAAAAATACAAAAATTAGCTGGGCGTGGTGGCATGTGCCTGGGAGGCTGAGGCAGGAGAATCGCTTGAACCTGGGAGGTGGAGGTTGCAGTGAGCCGAGATCGTGCCACTGCACTCCAGTCTGGCGACAGAGCAAGACTCCATCTCAAAAAAAATAAATAAATAAAAATAAATAACCACAAATGTTGTGGGGAGAAAAGACAATGAGTGTTTGGGAACCACAGTATGTAGAGGGAGAAGTTAAGGTAGAGGAGAAAGAGTCTGAAGATGAGACTGTGCTTGAGGAGATTCTCCAGGCTGGAGGGTGATGATGGGGTATGCAGTACACCCCCCAGGTACTCCTGAAAACAGAGCTCAACTGCAACATGCCTCCTTTCCTACCACTAGAAGATGGGCAGGTGATGGTATTTTTGTGGTGTACAACGGTGGACCTGTGTATCTTTGTGGAACAATTGCTGTTGACGTTGGCCCTGTTTTGCATTATTTATGATTTGTAAAAGCAGTATTGATTTTATTATAAAGGGGCTATTTTTCCTCAGAGGATTTGTTGATTTATGTTTGTTTCAGTTAAAGATTCAAAGTAGCCACTACTGATTTTTGTCACTTAATCTTTCTATCAAATGTTTTTATTAACGACTGTGCATTATGTGTTCAGGAATTCAATGGGAAGTTGATTTACGGTCAGATCAGATTGAAGGCTTGGGTTAAAAATTAAGTGTATTTTTTCTATGTCAGTCTTTAGACATTTTTCATGGTTAAATTAAAGGTTAGCATGTTAATATCAATTTATGCCAGCTTGGGTCTTTACAAGAATATACACAAAGTAGATCATTGATCTTAAAATATGGCCTCTATTACCTCTTTAAAGGCATAATCTCAATCTTTCCAACTTACTTTTTTGTTTTTGTTTTGTTTGTTTGTTTGTTTTGTTTTGTTTTTTTGAGACAGAGTTTCGCTCTTGTTGCCCAGGCTGGAGTGCAATGGCACGATCTTGGCTCACTGGAAACTCTGCCTCCCGGGTTCAAGCTATTCTCCTGCCTCAGCCTCCTGAGTAGCTGGGGTTATAAGTACATGCCACCACACATGGTTAATTTTTTGTATTTGTAGTAGATACGAGGTTTCACCATGTTAGCCAGGCTGGTCTGGAACTCCTGACCTTAGGTAATCCACCCTCCTTGGCCTCCCAAAGTGCTGGGATTACAGTCGTGAGCCACCATGCCCTGCCCCAGCTTACTTTTTATAGTAACTTTGACAAAACCCTGTATAAGAGACATTGGACATATCCTTTTTGTAATGAGAATGACAAATTCATTGTTGCTAATTGCAGAACTACGGCTAACATTAACTAGTTATTCAAACACCAGCCATGTTTGCTGGGGATTTCTAACATTTTAGAGGAATCCAGCAGTTCATGTTTATCTAGAAAGGTTGGAATATTCAGTTCAAGAACAGTTTCAAATCATAGCTGCTCATTTTATTTCCTGTTAAGATTATCAGTCTCATATCTAGCTAGGGTGCTTGGAGTGGCAAGGGCAGTGTGGAAAGGACTGGCAACACAGATATTATGTTAAAGTGACAGAGTTGGATTACTGATAAGCTATTTTGAATAAATTACAATGAATAGGAATCTCAAAAGAGGTAAGGAACATTGAGGACTTAGACCAGATAATCTTGAGATAATCCAGTCTATCAACAAAATTATATAATTTTATATTTAAAGTAGAGAAAAATAAACATTGATGTTTCTTACCTGCTCAGTGTAGCTTTTGTTTCTGTTTTTGTGTAAGGTTCAAATTTCACAGTACAAAGTGTGTTCTTCAGATCTGGGGTTCTCTCCAAAATGGATAATCATTATTGATTTTGTAATGCAATGCCAAGACCATCAGTAAGGTAAGTTTAATTATTTATTGCTTTGTTTTTTCTTTAGCGTGGTCTTAAAAATGCTTCTCAATTGTGAAACTGGTTATCACACAGAAATAGCATATGCCATGCATCCTTCAGAATTTCAATGTCAGGCATTATGTCTCTTTCAAAGATATTTCATTCATTCTCTTCAATGTATATGTGCTAAGAGTTAGTAAAGGTTTTTTTTCTTTCTTTTCTTTTTTTTTTTTTTTTTTTTTTTTTGGAGACAGAGTCTTGCTCTGGCTGGAGGGCTGGAGTACAGCGGCACAATCTCAGCTCACTGACTGCAACCTCTGCCTCCCAGGTTCAAGCAATTCTCCTGCCTCAGCCTCCCTAGTAGCTGGGATTACAGGTGTGCACCACCATAGCCAGCTAATTTTTCTGTACTGTAGTAGAGACAGGGTTTCACCGTGTTGCCCAGGCTGATCTTGAACTCCTGAGCTCAGGCAATCTACCTGCCTAAGCCTTGCAAAATGCTAGGATTACAGGAAGTTGTTTTCGTTAGTTCACCGGGAAGGCAAATGGTTGTAGAATTCTTTTTAAAACTTGGATCCCTTTGGAGTTGGACAGGCCTGGGTTCGCTTTATGTTATATGCACTTCACTTCCCACCCTGTGCTTCATCATGTGTAACCTTGGGCAAGGCAGTTAACCTCATCAAGCCTTCATCACTAATCTGTAAAATGAGAAGAATGATGATGCCCACCATATGGGACTATTTTTAAGGGTTAAATTCAACTTGAGCATTCACTACAGTTTTAAACACTTAGTAGGCCTTTGGGAAAGGTTGGCTATTCTTGTCACTCACACTTGGGAGAGGCTGAATTGTGTCACCCTCAGAATTCATATGTTGAACTCCTATTTCCCAGTACCTCAGAATGTGACTGCATTTGGAGATAGGACCCTTAAAGAGATAATTAAAGTAAAATGCAGTCATAGGGGTAGAACCTAATCCCATGTGACTGGTATCCTCATAAGATGAGGGGATAAGGACGCAGATACACACAGAGGAAAGACCACATGAAGATGCAGGGAGAGGCCAGCCATCCACAAGTCACGGAGAGAGGCCTCAAAAGACACCAACCCTGCTGCCACCTCAGTCTTAGACTTCTAGCCTCTAGCATTCTGAAAAACAAATTTCTGTTGTTGAAGCCACCTTCTCTGTGGTACTCTGTTATGGCAATCCTAAAAAATTGATACTGATGAAGAGTCTATTTCTAAATTACATGTTAAACAGTGCAAGATAAGGATGTTTCTGAAAGTTACCATGTTTGTTCTGTTTCTATAATTTTCTTGCATGGGGAAATAACATCAACTGCATGTTCTGTTCTCTGGCCCTAAGCTGCCGTCTGTGGGATTTGGCCAGCCTGAGTTAGGCTGTGGATGGTATACAGACACAAAGATCAGGCGGCCGTGGTGGTAACCAAGATGCCCCAGGGCATAAAATCAACAGTGTAATGATTTAGCATTTGTTATGTCAATACCGTGCTGGTTAGAGCAGCTAGCCTGGGATAAGCACATCAGAGGTAAATCAGAGTGAGCTCATATTTAAACACCACTCGGTTAGAACAATTTCCGTTTTTCTCCAAGCAGAGCTAAAGATGTTGTTTGTTCACTTAGTGTTATTATGGGAACAAAATCATTAAACTGTATAGATTTTATTTTCCTTAAACCAGATGGAATCCTGATTTCATTGGGACCGAAGATAATAATGTCCACATGAACTGCTGATTGCTCTTGGTGGATAACTCCCCTAACTCCACGTGACTCTTTCCTTCTCCCTGGCAATTTGCATTCTTTCTCTTTCCTGCTTCCAAGCCTATCCTTGGGGCTGCTCATCTGCCCTTTGTGCTGCTTTCTTTCCCAGCTAGGCAAGGTGTGGGCACAGGGACAACCCTGACAGCCCCGGAATCCAGGCCACTTGAATCCTTTTGTCCTGCTTTCATTCATCCCGGGTTCACCAACCCTAGGGACAGGGAACAAGGACTTCCCCATCCTCACTACCTTCGGACCTTTCTGCAGCCATACTGAAGCCCTGACGGCTCTCTTGCTGATGAAAAGCAACTTGTCCATTGTCACGGAAGGGAAAAAAGAGACCTAAGTCATTAAAACATTTATCCCCGAAGTTTTGGGAGGTTGGCTCTCTGTAAGTGACACCAGGGTCTGTGTCCGTAAATTGGAGATGGTAAAAGGACAGAGTTTAGCATTTCCATGTGGTTGGGCAACTGCAGGGTCCACACAGAGAGTCAGTGCCTCCTGACGTGCTGCGTCCCAGGTGCCCTGCTTGCTTGCCTCTGCTTGTCCTGGGACGTGCCCTGTGACCATTCCCCGCTTTTGGCAATCGTAACAAGGAGCAGCTGGCAGGGGGAGCGTGGTTTGCAGAGTCCCAGCTCCAGCATCCCAGAGCAGAGGTGGATTAGTGCTGAGAAACAATAGCTTAACAGCCAGCACAGTCACATAGGCTCTGTCGCTTAGTTTGAACCTCATGACAATCCCGAGAAGTAGAGCAGGTACTGTCATCCCCATGACTCAGCTCAGAGACTTGCTGAGGTCTTGGGAGGAGATCTGGAGCTGGGCGTCGAGTCTTCTGAGTGTCCTGATGTTTCATCACCCCTCAGATCACGCCAAGGAGGCAGCTGCCTACTCAGCTCATCCACAGCCTGGCCTGATCCCCTCCCTCCGTCAAGAATATTGTGCTGTGCCACGCTCTTACCAAACCCAGCCTGCACAGTCTTACTCAACCCCTGGTTGCATCTTTTTCTTGTATCCTACAACATCAATTTCATTTACAGATAACTTTTCTTATTGCTGGATATCTGAGGGCTGCCCGAAACGTCCTGAGCACTTTATTTTCCAGAGTAGGGATTAGCAGGAAGTCTTTTATTTCTGCCAGCAGGAGCCACCTGAATCTCTCTGGCACAATGACTGTCATGATCTGTTTCCTACTGTATCTTGCATCCAGAAAAAGAAATGCAAAAAGTACAGGTTGCAAGTACAAATGCCAAGCCTGGATTTTTCCCAACTGGGAAGGGCCAAACCTGAAAGTCATGCCCAGAGTCCTGGTGGCCACTATAACTTTGCCCGCCTTTGCTTTGTAGAAGTAGTTTGGCCTGATAGAAGCTGCCAATTAAAACCATAAAAATTGAGCCAGGCGCGGTGGCTCACGCCTGTCATCCCAGCACTTTGGGAGGCCGAGGCAGGTGGATCACTGGAGGCCAGGAGTTCGAGACCAGCCTGGCCAACATGGTGAAACCCCATCTCTACTAAAAATACAAAAATTAGCCAGGCGTGGTGCCTGTAATCCCAGCTACTCGGGAGGCTGAGGCAGGAGAATCGCTTGAACCTGGGAGGCAGAGGTTGCAGTGAGCCAAGATCATGCCACTGCACTCCAGCCTGGGCGTCAGAGCAAGACTTTGTTAAAAAAAAAAAAAAAAGACATAAAAATTGACCTAAGGCCTGTTAGGTGATTATACATTGATTTTATACTTTGTGCCAAAACCTGTCAGATCTTGGCCTGCCTGTCTCCAGCTTACACAATTGGGCGCATTCCTCAGTACTAGGGGTTGGCTGGGGCAACGGTGTTGGGGAAAGAAAATGAAGAAAACCGAGGCGTTTTGTGCTGAGCCTCTCAATCTGTGTGCCAGCGTTCTTGAGCAACTGTTAGAGAAGCCAAGTCCAGGCGGTAGGCGGTTTATGGGGCTCGGAATTCCCCCTCGAGGTTCCCATGGAGACTCCCCTGAGAGAGCTGCTCCCAGCCGCCCCAGGCGTGGAAGGAACAGGCAGAGCTTGGTAAAGGAGGAGAGAAGGTCTCAGGGATGGCAGCGTGGGAGCCCAGGCAGGTGACCCCCGCGCCTGCCTTGTTGGGGACTGACCTTGAGAAAAATTGTTACTTCAAATTGTTACTCTTGCTGAAAGGGGCGTTTCTGTGGTACCCTCTCTCTGGACATCAAGTCAGTTTCCCTGGGAAGGCCTGGGGGATCCTGAGAGGGATAGGGTGTTCTCTGAAAGTGTGATTTCCCCTGCCGGTCCCAGCTGCTTCTGCTCCAGCCACACTCTTCAGGACTGTCAGGGTCTGGGCTGAAGGTGGCTGAGAAGCGGGAAGGTAGGCACGGCTCTGCCACAAGTTCTCCTTCAGGCCCTGACTAGCTATTGGTAGTCTAGTTGTTGGTAGCCATTGGCCACCCGGCTGCCATCCCAGCCACAAGCCCCACAGACCCAAGAAGACACCCCCTGATCCATTCACATTTGGAGTGGGAAGGAAGACCAGGTTGGTTTTCACAGTAGGACTTAACTGTTGTGAGAATGGAAATGTGTGGATTAGAGGCAGGAATATTGGTGCCCAGTTACCCTTTGAGCCTATTTGTTCATTCATTCATTTGAGTAGAGCTGCTGAGGCCTACTATGTGTCAGGTTGGATGCCAGGCCCTGGAGACAGAAAGGTAAGTAGGCCAAAGTTACTGCTGAGCCCACCGTGAAGAGACAAAGCGAGTTTAAGCGATGACAGTCCGGTGTGGTAGGCGCTGAGATGGGAGCCTGGCCCACATGCTCTGGGATACATTGGAGGATGGGCTCCCAACTCAGTCACACAAGACAGGGAAGAATTCCTGGAAGAAGCAGCAGTGAAGCTGAGGCCTTGGGCTTGGTTTAAACCCCAGACTCCCACTTGGTCTGTCTCTACAGCCCATTTCTTGTCCTATCCACATGTGCTCCTCTGCCTCTTTCGTCTGCTGATTTCCATCCCTGTCCACCCCCCATATCAAGCCTCTTTTACTTCTAAATCTTTGTTGAGTGTTGACTCTGTGCACTGAGCTAGAAGCAACCATTACCTCCCAGCAACCCTATGAGATCATGAAGTCAGACCACCTGGCTTCAAACCCCAGCTCAGCCACTGCAAGCCATGAGATCTGGGTCAAGTTAGTGAACCTCTCTGTGTCTGTTTCCCTAACTGTACAGTGAGCCTAATGATAGTACACACTCCACAGTGTTGGTGTGAGGTCTAAATGAGTTAATATATGTAAAATGCACAGAGAGACATCAGGGATATGTTCAGAGCTGCGTGTGTGTTAACTAATATTGTGGTAGCCTCCACTTTATAGATGAAGAAGTTGAATTCAGAGAAGTTAACAATTTATCCAAAGCCACACAACTGGTAACCGGTCAGAGGCAGGATTTGAAGTCAGGGTTTCTGACTTCATGTCCAAAGTTCCCTTTTCCATGACACCACAGCTGCCTCTGATACCCTTTTCCATGACACCACAACTGCCTCTGATACCATCTCTGGTTCAGAGTCCTACCTGCCCCTGTGGCCAAGGTCGTGACCTCCTGCCGTGCTATCTCAGCGCTGTCCCACCAACCTATTGCAGCAGCTGAGCCTGGTCCTGTCCACCACAGCCCACGTCTGAGCACTGGAACACACAAGAGTTTGGGCCCTCAAGACCACTCTCAGCCTGAGCCCTGCCTATTCAAACTGGCTGTTCTTGTGCAGAGAAGGAAGCGGGTCACCTCAGTGGCAGGAAGGGAGCATCAAGAAGGCAACTGAGAAAGCTGCAGTGTTGAAATGAGGGAAGTGTCAAGGTGTCATAGTGGAGGCATGGAGTGGAGCCAGGCAGGTGGAGTGAGGCTAATAGGTACACAAGGATTTCAAATAAAGGCAAACTTTCCCCTTTTGGAGGTGGTTTTTTTGTTTTGTTTTGTTTTGGAGACAGGGTTTTGCTCTGTGGCCAGGGCTGGAGTGCAGTGGTATGATCACAGCTCACTGTAGCCTCAACCTCCTGGGCTCAAGCGACCCTTTGGAGGCTTTTTAATGTGACTTTGTAATGCTAACTAAGGCACTGAGCACTAATTTCAAATGGAAATTCCTACAATTATCCTAAATGTTCTCATAACAACCCACTAGATCCGTATTAAGTCTATCCTGTAGTCCTTTCGGCCATTTGATAGAAATTGACCAGGGGGTCAGAAATTGGGAATCAGAGTCTCCAAGTTCTGTGCTTGCCCCGTGACTTTGGAGAGATGTTTCTTTTTAAGAATCTGCTTCCTCATCTGGAAACCAAGGGAAATTTTACGGTTTTCCTCTGAGGGGTATTTTTGAGGGTAGTTGTAGACCATCTTCCAAGTACAAAGCCTCAGATATGCAGAAAGAGAGCTGGCATTTCAGAAAATGTGGAGCTCAAGTGTTTTCAAATCCATTATTATTTCCATCTAGGAGCATTTTTTTAAAGAGGCCAGGTTAGTTCCAATGGATTCAATACTGTGTTCATCCACTCCTGAATAACAATAATCAAAGTTCTTTATTTATTTGAGTTTCGTTTGAGATGTTTCAGCCCATTATCCTTCAGCTGGGCCACTGAACCTACACTCAGAAATGAGAACCAGCTGACTAAATAAATAGTTGCATATGGAAAAGAAGTAGGAAACACCTTTCCAAAACTAATAATATTAACAAACTTCCAAGAGACACACAATCCATAATTAGTGACTATTTGGGGGGAAAAAAAGACACAAACCTTGGAATTTGAAATGTGATTCTGAGAACAGCCTGGTGTGTTTTTTCTTGCTCAGAATCTGTCCACCCTTTTTTTTTGGCCCCTTTCCCTTCTGACAGCCACATTAATTCAAATTCTTTCTCTACATGTCTGTAGATTGCAAATTTAGATACTGGGATTCAATACTTCTTGCCTGAACTCCCAGAGTCGCCAGTCGACAAAGGCTTATTAAAAACCTCAGTAAGTCATGTGACCAGACAGAACTGATTCTAGCTCAGCCCACAGGAAGGGTAGCCTTGCTCTCAGAAACCAAATCTCTGGCAAGGCTGCCTTTAGGGTCAGATTCAGTGACATTGGACTCCATGCTGGGGCAGACCCAATCGGTGTGCCTAGGCCAAGATTCAGCAGGCCACAGATGCCTGGGGAATGAGCTTGACCTCCTGGAGTCACTCCTTAAGAGAAGCACCCAGCCTATATCCCTGGGTTGTCCCACTTCCAACACAGCCCATATAATGCTGAAATTCATATGCCATTTACTAACCTGTGCCAGATCATCATATCACCCTCCCCTCTTTCTCTCAAGTGTGGTAGAAATGGCTAGTTGACCCCTGAAAAGTCATGATCTCCTTGACTCCTTGATCTGTATAGTATGAACTTGCTGTTGAGAAGCAGGTGACTAACCAGGGACTCCATTTCCCAGCCTCTCAACCCACCCCATGTCCTTCACTCTGGCCAGTGAAATAAGAGCCTGAGAGATGTGTCACTTTCTGGCTGAGGTGGTTAAGTATCCAGTGTGGCTTTCCTCACTCTCTTCCCCAGCTTGTATCACTAAAGGACAGAGGCCTGGATCCCTGAGTAGCTGGGTGGAGGAAGAGCCCAGGACTGCTGCCTGACCAGGAATGTCTGATTAGAGTTTGTGTGAGCCCGAAATACACTTTTGTGTTCAGCTGTTAATACTGTGGGTTTTTCATTGCAGCGGTTCGCTGTGTTGACTAAGATAATGCCCATGCAGCATTTCCTAAGCAGCGCATCCTGTGATAGTGGGATTTTCCCCTGCTCCTATCTTTCTTTGTGCAGAGAACACCAGTGCTGCCCACGTGCCCTGTGGTCTTGTTTGAGTCTCTGTATACCTCTCTCTCCACCCTCCCGAATGGAACCTCGCTTTGTGAGGAGGCAGTAGAGCATGGGCAGAAGTTACAAGCGTAGTTTCTGATCAGATTGCTTAGGTTCAAATCCTGACCCCACCACTTACAAACATGTGAGGCCTTGAGCAAATGGCTTAACTTCTCTGAGCTTTAAATTCTCTCTCTAACAGAGGGAGAGTACCTTGCAGAGTTGTCATGCTGAATAAACAGAACAGTGTAAAGTACCTGGCACATAATCAACATAGTAAATATTAGTATTGTTAGATGGCTGTTACCTACTGAGCCAGCTTCAGCATAATAGATATGCAGATTGACTGCAACCAATCAGCATCATTGCCACTCTTCTTTCTCCTCCTTTCTTCTATTCATGTCAGTAATTCCCACCAGTAATGCACAACAGTTTTCTTTCATGGGTACTGGTGTTTCTTCTAGCTCTGTACCATGGTAACCACCGACCTTCTATTCTGAGGTGCCACAACAAATTTGAAATGTGTAAGTATTTTTTTTCAGAATTAGAAAGTAGGGTGGATTCCAAGGAAGTGGCCCCTAGTGTGTGCTGGATGAACGCTTACCTGCTTTGGTAGATATCTGGTCCTGCTCAGGAACAGCTGTCCTGATGGGTCAGCGCTGCCCTCCCTGCCTCCCCTCAGGGTTCTGTGTTTCCAGCTCAGCTCTTGGGAGCTTTGGTAATGCAGAAAGCCAAGTGGGTAAAAGGATAAGAAGCACCCAGACTAGTATTAGAGAGGGTTTCCCCAAGATTTCAGAGGCAAGAGAAGCTAGGGCATTTGTGGGTTAAGAAGGAAGCAGAAGGAAGAGACAAGGAGGGCTGAGAACTGTATTGCCTGACATCCATCTTCTTTAGGATGGCCGAGAAGTACAAATAAAGGCCTTATGTGATTTCTAATTGCTTTTTGGTGGCTAGACTGTCTTTCATGTATCATGGTCTTATTCTGAGACTGGACTGTGAAGCCACAGCTTCAATAGGGTTATAACGCTTTTTTGCATAGATTGACATTCATCCATCCTATAAGCAGATGATAAACCTTATTTGAGAAATTAAATGAACACAGCAGCCTTTGTTCAGCTGAGTAACAGGATTGAGGGGTTCCATCGGGGGCAACAGGTGTGGCAGAGCAGTGAAAAAGGCTGGCACATTCCCAGAGGAGGCAGCAGCCCCAACCTTGCTTCTAGCTTTCTGAATATTGAACAGGCAAAGGCCAGCACAGACAGCATGAGACAGACATCTCTGACCCCATAGAGTCTCGGGCATTCACCTCCTAATGCTATGAGTAAACCAGCGCTGCCATCAGAACGTCTTGGCTATTGGCACCAGAGCCGTGACTGTCGCCCCATTTCAGATTCTGGTTAGAATGCAGATAAGTTCACAGTTTACAGGCTTTGAAGCCCTAACTGAACCTTTCTCCAGGACCTGTTTGCAAGTGGCTCTTCCATGATAAGTCCTCCTCCACTGGGATTCTTATGGATTTGGGCCCAGAAGGACTTTAAAGGTCATATAGCACAACTCCTTTATTTGAGAGAGGAGGGCACTTGAAATCCTGTGGCTTCTCCTCTAACACATGCTTTGCTAACTGAGATGGTAACAGAAGCTGAACTTGGCCAGCATGCCCAAGGGGCTAGCATTTCCGTGGGTGTTAGTAGTGAAAGAGAAACATGTTCACTGGGGTCTGGGGTGCTGAGACTTCACAGCCGTGGGCTGGGATGGCCTGGAAAATGGGCTCCCTTCCTCTAGGCTGATGGTCTGAATTGCCTCTGAATGGAGGGCATCAGGGGTCCATTTGGTGCTGGTGTCACAGAGCTGCATTTCTGTTCACTCTATCGTGACCTGCCGGTGGCTTCCTGGAAAAGGCTGAGCTAATCCTCAGCAATCCTTAGCATGAGAGCTCAAAGGTGACTGATGTTTCACAACAGGAGACTCGGTCCTTTGGCTTAAGTCTTCATCCTCTATTACAATGCAAATATCCTTGAACAAGAGGTGCTATAGTGGGAGAGTAGAGAACTGGATGCTAGTGCCAATTCTGCTATTGGCTCCTGGGTAACCGTGGGCAGCATTCTCACACTTGGAGCCTCAGCCTGTGGGTCACAGGACACTATCTCTGGGGTACCTGAAAGTGCTGCTAGGATTCTAACGTAACTAGAGAAGAATGAATGACCCCTCACACTTGACTGTGGTCCTTTTCCAGAGAGCAGCTTAGGAGAAAACGGATGTGGAGAGTCATTGGGAGACTTTGGGCTCTGAAAGGGAACTTCACAACCTGGCTCAGGGCTGCACAACACAGGAAAGGCAGTGCTCATGGCTCAGAGCCCACCAGTGCTGCTGGTCTGGACAGTGACATCTTGAGCCCTTATGAGGGGGCAGCTCTGTTCCCAGACGTGTGTCACCCAGAGTCCAAAGCCTCTGTCACTTCAGAGGAAGCTGGAGAGATGATTCTGGAATAGCTCCTCTCTCCTGTGTGAGGCAAGGAATAAGTGAGCTCTTAAAAGGAAAGGTGCCCAGCCTGTAATCCCAGCACTTTGGGAGGCTGATGGGGATGGGTCACTTGAGGTCAGGAGTTTGAGACCAGCCTGGCCAATATGGCGAAAATCCATCTCTACAAAAAATACAAAAATCAGCCAGGCATGATGGTGTGCACCTATAATCCCAGCTACTTGGGAGGCTGAGGCACAAGAATCTCTTGAATCCGGGAGGTGGAGGTTGCAGTGAGCCGAGATTGCGCCACTGTACTCCAGCCTGGGCGAGAGAGAGAAACTCTGTCTCCAACAAATAAATAAATAAAAATAAACAAAAGGAGAGGTCCCCATCGGTTTTTGTTTGTTTGTTTTAAGACAAGGTCTCTGTCGCCCAGGCTGGAGTGCAGTGGTGCAAGCATAGCTCACGGCAGCCTTGAACTTCTGGGCTCAAGCGATCCTCCTGCCTTCCGAGTAGCCTGTAGTCTTGGCTGGGACTGGACATGGACCACCAAGCTGAGCTAATTTTTCAATTTTTTGCAGAGGCGGGGGTCTCCCTATGTTGCCCAAGCTGGTTTGAACTCTTGGGCTCAACTGATCCTTCCACCTTGGCCTCCCAAAACATTGGGATTACAGGTGTGAGCCATCAGGCCTGGCCCCATTGGGTTCTTGATAATTCTTTAATCAAGCAATTGCTCCCCAAAAGTTTTATACCATAAATACTCTTGCTAGTTTTCTCCAATAAAAGATGAAATGGCTTCTCTTTTGCTTGACTTCGGAGGGCCCATTACTGTTTGAATTTGAATTTGAGCTACCCCCACTTCAGGCAGAAGAGGAGTCTTTTTAGTCTGCATGAGGGAGAGCTGAACTGTGTTAGGCAAGAGAATTTTGTTGTAGTTGATGTTGTGCTTAATATTGGTGGATGGTGGATATTGGCCTTGGGGCCCCTTAAGCAATTGAATGAAGCAGACACCTGCCACGTTTCCTGGCTGTCCAGCAACTTTTTAAACTCACCTTTGCTCTACTTGGGAAATGTCCTGCTTTGTAAGTCCTACTTTCACCAGGAACAACCCAGAAAATTCAGTCTGCAAACTCCTCTGCCATTACAGCACAAGTAATATGAGCTGGGTTCTCCCAATCAAATTACCTGTGGGGGACCTGGACTTGGAAGTGAGGACCTTACAGAACCCATTTTGCTGGCAAGGCAGGTAACAGAGGTTTCTTTGGGAAGAAATGTGGTTAAGATGGCATCAGTGGAGTTGCCTGGCTGGGAGCTTTTGCCCGGGTGGCAGCTGCTTCCTCATCAGGACAGGGCTGTAGCATGGATTTGGACATCGTTCTATGGAATTGCTTCTCCAGGCTCCCGCTAAGTCTGTGAGCTAGCCAATTCCCTTCCCATAAACTCCTTTATTTTTGATTACCAGAGCCGGCCTTTGTGGCTTTCTGTTGAAAGCTTCGAAGGATTCAACAATCAACCACTAACTGGACGACTCCTCCTCACAGGCACTCTGTGCCCTGAGGTTGCCACAGCAGCAGGAGGCTCAGCCATACCTCCAGGAGTTCCCCTTCTCAAACCTCATTCCTCACCATTTCTTTCCTGCCTATTCACTCCAGGCCTCCCACATGGTCCTGTTGAGTTTATCCCCTCCTGTTGCCACACTAACGGCCACTCTGTGGGAAATGCAGTGGTTTTTTAAAACCACCTGAGTCGCCTGGTTTTAAAGAATGAACCTGGCCTAAGGGAGGCACATATCCTCCATTCCAGAGATAGAGACCAGGTGCTCTTCCAGGATGGCAGCCCCCCAAGAATCTGCTTGGGGGTTTCAACTCAGTTTCCAAATACCTGGGCCATCATTCCTTACACAGAGCCTTTGATATCTTCTTGCTTAGATAATTCACCACTAGCCCATGCTAGAATCCAAAGAAATGTCCAGTTAGGTAATTTTTGTTTGTCTCCAGTGAGAAGTATTTCCAGAAAGTAAACACTACAAGGACAGGGATGTGTTTACTGATGCAGTCATCCTAGTGTCTAGAACTGTTCCTGGCACCTAATGAGGTACTCAGTAAATCACTGTTGAATAAATGTAGGAATTTATTTAAACTGCAATCTGCCAGATAATGGTCTAAAACAGCGGTCCCCAAACTTCTTGGCACCAGGGACTGGTTTAGTGGAAGACAATTTTTCCACAAACAGCAGCAGGGCAGGGGTGGGTGGAGGGGGGATGGTTTCGACATGAAACTGTTCCACCTCAGATCATCAGGCATTAGATTCTCATAAGGAGTGAGCAGCCTAGATCCCGTGCATGCACAGTTCACAATAGGGTTTGCATTCCTACGAAAATCTAATGCCACTGCTGATCTGACAGGATGTGGTGCTCAGGTGGTAATGCTTGCTCACCTGCCACTCACCTCCTGCTGTGCAGCCCAGTTCCTAATAGGCCACAGACCTGTACCAGTCAGTGACCCAGGGGTTGAGGACCCCTGGTCTAAAACAGACTGAAATAGAAATGAACATCACATTGAAAATTTGGTATGCCTTAAGAGCTTCACACACACAAAAAAACTACAGTGTATCTATCCATCTGTTCTAGAAGTCTATAGCCATGGAGGGGGAGGCCCAGTGTATGGTCTTTGTGGAGAAGATGGGCTCTTTTTTTTTTTTTGAGACAGGGTGTCACTCTGTTGACCAGGCTTGAGTGCAGTGGTGCACTTATAGCTTGTTGCAACCTTGAACTCCTGGGCTCAAGGGATCTTCCCGCCTCAGCCTGGTAGCTGGGATTACAGGTATATACCACTAAGCCCAGCTAATTTTTAATTTTTTTGTAAAGAGGTAGTTTTGCCTTGTTGCCCAGGCTGGCCTCAAGCAATACTCCTGCCTCGGCCTCCCAAAGTGTTGGGATTACAGGTGTGAGCCATTGCACCTGGCCTGGTTAGCTCTTTGTGATATTTTTTGGTATCAACTACTAATTAAAATTTGTTGGCATTTGGTACATTTTTATTCTAGGAAGCCCTGAAAAATCTCAACTATTTGCAAAGCACCTTCTTCTTCTTTTTTTTTAAAAAAGGGGGCAACAATGTATATTGACATTTTTAGTTTTAAGCCTGCTTGAAACTGGTCTTTAATGTTTATATAAATTTAATACAAGCTTCCTGATGACATCACCCTCTTGCTGTGGCCTTTGGGAGATAGTGGAGAGTCTCACATCAAGTGCATTTTTAGTCTGTGGTTGACAAGCATGTTGAAGCTTTTGCATGCATCACCTCAGTTATCCTTCAAGGACCTTGAAAGATACAAGTCATTTAATAATCTCCATTTGACCAATAAAGAAAGTGGTGCATAGAGAGGTTAAATTACTTGCTAGTGATTGGTGGAGCCAAGATTCCAATCCAGTCCAGCTGACACCAGAGCCTGCGGACCTGACCATCGAGTGTTCTGAAACTGGTAGACCAGAGGGCTTCTGGGGCCCCTCTAGTGTCTATGTACAGTAGAAAATGCTCAAAAATGATTGTCATCCCCAAATATTCAGCCCCTACCATAAGTCTCACAGCATCTACTAGAGGCACCATGATAACTTAGCCCAGGCAATAGTCATTGCTTCTAGGATGTTATTCTCTAGCCTTATACTCTAGCATGCCCCATCCACACAAATGCAACTTTTTAAAACCAATATTTCACAGCTGGGTGTGGCGGCTCACACCTGTAATCCTAGCTGCTTGGGAGGCTGAGGCGGGAGGATCACTGGAGCCCAGGAGTTTGAGACTAGCCTGGAAAACACAGTGAGACCATGTCTCAAAAACTAAAATCAAATCAAGTATATCTAGAAAATTCTCTGTGTGCTCACTCAACAGAATACAAAGGCTCAATTTCCCATCTTAGCTTTTAGCTCAAATGTTCTATGTCTTCTAATCTTGCTCTAAGCACATTGAATCCACTTACAGAATTTCTTTGATGCCAGAGTTGCTCTGAATTGCCAACTGACCTCAGTGGTAAAGGTTTGACAGCAACATTATTTGCTTTAAGTTGTCAGCAGGAAATACTTTATCACCACTTACTCCAATATTTCAAATTTATCTTCAATTTGCTTAAGAAAGTTTGCCTAGGTTGGGCATGGTGGCTTATTCCCATGATCCCAGCACTTTGGGAGACTGAGGCAGGAGGATTGCTTGAGCCTAGGAGTTTGAGACCAGCCTGAGCAACATAGTGAGACCCTGTCTCTACAAAAAAATAAAAATTAGCTGCGGTGGGTGGCACGAACCTGTGGTCTCAGCTACTCGGGAGGTGGAGGCAGGAGGATCACTTGAGCCTAGGAGGTTGAGGTTGCAGTGAGCTGTGATTGCACCACTGCACTCCAGCCTGGGTAACAGAGCAAAACCCTGCCTCAAACAGAAAAGAAAAAAAAGAAAGTTTGCCTGAGTAGTTTAAACGTTTGTGGGAAATGGAGTGGTGTGGGGGATGAAATGTGTTTCTTCCCCTATTTTCCAATTCCTTCACCTCTTATCCATCAAAGTAAGGATATGATATGATTTAGCTCTGTGTCCCCACCCAAATCTCATCTTGTAACTCCCATAATTCCCACATGTTGTAGGAGGGGCTAGGTGGAAGATGATTGAATTATGGGGATGGGTCTTTCCCATACTGTTCTCATGATAGTGAATGGATCTCACAAGATCTGATGGTTTTAAAAATGGGAGTTTCTTTGCACAAGCTCTCTTTTTGCCTGCTGCCATCCACGTAAGATGTGACTTGCTCCTCTTTGCCCTTCCGCCATGATTGTGAGGCTTCCCCAGCCACACAGAACTGTGAGTCTTTCCTTTGTAAATTGCCCAGTCTTGGCTATGTCTTTATTAGCAGTGTGAAAACGGACTAATGCAGGATGTAATTTGCAGACTATTTTAAAGATAACAGCATCTCGATCATAGAGCTCTTTTAAAATTAACTGTGAATATAAATTATTTTTCAGATGCTACAAACATATTAGTATGTTTGTGGAGTAGCTTGTTGTCATCGTCTAAGGCCCAGGTGTAAGCGGGGTTTTGTTGAGATTAAGTCAGCTGATGAAGGCTCTTATTTTTACTTCCATCTTTTTTCACAAGAATGACACTTATGGACAGTTTCCTTCTTAGGACGCTATGCTGAGAGCATCTCCCAGGAGAGGAGTAAATGTTGTCCCTAGCTGATTCTGTATGGAAGCTCTTGACCTGGTCTGCTTGTGTTCCATTCTGCTACCCAAAGTCAAACCTAAAAATACAAATCTGAAATTATAGCCAGCACCAGTGTATAAAAAAACCAAGAACCAATAAAACCATTTCCACTTCTTTGCCAGAAGAGAAAGTCATCCCCAAATAGAGGATATGGATGCTTAGGTTTCAAAGAAAGGCCAAGAAAGGGTAACCCAGCACAGCTGAGGCAGGTTTTTTTTTGTTTGTTTTGTTTGTGGTGGGGGGGGTAAGGGGGGTGTGGGGTGTGGAGTACTGACTTCTCACACTCCTAAGAGGTTGCTAAGCAGGGCATCTTATTAAATGCCCGGCAATGGAAATCAGCCAAGTGTTCCCAGGGAGGGGGCCCTCTCCCAGTCCTGGGCTCCCCTAGGAAAACAGATCTTAACAAAGCTCTTGATTATTTTGCCATGTCCATGATTTAGCACTTTTTCCTGGCGTTGGAAAACAGCTGAGAACATTGAGCAAGTCCTTTTTGCTCATAGATAATTCCTTTAGTTTGGTTCTTACCACTTGTTTGAAACAGGGACTGGCTCCAGCCCGTTCCTTATACGGATGGCGCCTCTAATTTGGTTTCAGTTTGATTTATGCCAGGATCTAACTCACTATGGAGTTCAACTAAGAATTTTACAAACACTTTTTGATGCTAATGATATGTGTCTCACAATCTAGACATCTGGACTTAATGTCAAACAAATATTACCCACCACAAAAACCAGTTGGATCTGTTTGTGGTTACTTCAGCCCTGAGCAGTTCCTTCTTTAAAGGCTCTGACCTGATAAAGTAGCTTTTGGCCCCATCAGCCTGCTGGCTAGGTGAGATAAAGCGATCCCTGAACCATTTGCTCCTTTTTCTCAGACCTACACTCTGAAGCTGGATGGCCCAGCCCCTCCCCAGCACAAAAACATTGTGTGATCCTGTCTGTTGAGATGCTTTTCTCTGGGCCAGATTCTCCACATAAGCAATGCAGGATTAGGATATGATGCTTGTTTGCTTGGAGATCCAGGTGGTATTTGGAAGTGGCTTGCACAATCACATCCCTATGGGAACTTACCTCCCATGTGCTTTTGGGAAAGTTTCCCACTCAACTCCATCCACCCTGAATATAAAATAGAGGTCACAGTGGTTGATTCACCAGCATTTTCTAACCAAAGTTTCTTTACGCTGTTTTTATATTACCCACAATCCTATTACGGCAATCACACTCACTATGCATACAAAGAATCATTAAACCTTTTTCATGCAAGATCTCGTTTCCTTCTCATAACTGCCCTGTGAGCTGGGTATCACTGTTACTTAAGTGGGAATGGGTAGGGAAACCGAGGAAGATAGGGTGGGTTAGCTTCCTCAAGAGCACACAGTTTATAAATAACAGAGCTACCACTAACCCAGGTCTGTCTGATCCCCAAATTCATGTTCTTAATCATGACCCTAGGCTGCCTGTCAAGTCAGGGTTAATGATAGAGAAAAGAAACCCAAGTTTTATAGAACTGATACGAGTTATGTGACATGAGAAGCTCAAATGAATAGTTCTTATTCATTCCGAGATCCCTCTCTTGGGGTCATCTTTCTCCTTTTCCCAGGATGCCGGAGGGCATGGGACTCCAGTTGGAGGAGGTAACAGAGTGAAGGTGTAGCTAAAAGATGCAGAGCAGTGGGAAGGGAGGAGGAAAGTAGAGGGTGGAAGGGTGCTTCTTCGGGAAATTCAGGGAGTGAAGGCCTCTGAACTGCATAAAAGGGGTCAAAGATCATCAGCTGAGGGATCATCTTGGAGTGAAGCTATTGGTGCTGCCAATACGACCAGTGCTTTTACTGTGAGTTCCAGAATGTCCAGCCACCAGCACCCAGACACCTGCGGGGGTTGTGACAGCAGAGTGGCCTGGTGGGCTTCATGGAGGGGGTTTTTCAGTCCTATATTGCCCTGGCCTTAGCAGTCTCTGAGAGGTTTATGCTTTTTGAGTGTAGATTAGACTCCCTAGCTCTGTTTCCACCCATACTCCTCCAACAGAAACTCACAGAAACCTCTCCCACCCTTTCTGCCTTGACCACACAGCAAAGGACTCCCCAGAAACAGCCCGAGCTTGTTGCCAGTGAGGCTTAAGAGCAGAGCTCCTGCTGCAGCAGGGTCTCAGATTACCAAGACTTCTTTCCCTTGTATCCTCATTCTGCAGGACATTTTTAGTGGCTTATAAGTTTTAGTATAAATAATTAAAACTAGGTTAGCCTTGTCAGAAAAAAACAGATGCAGCATGAGCTATCATTCAGCCTTGGAGGGCATGTGTGTTTTGTGTTTCTTGCTGATTCACAAACGTTGGTGATGCACAGGCCCCCATTCCAAGGGTCACATTCCTGTATCTGTTGCACATGACTGTGAGTTTCATTCCCTTCAACCAAGCAGCTACCTGGACCTGGGGCAAGCTGGTACCGCCAGTGTGCCCAGGGGCAGCTGTGAGCTGTAAACCCATGGGTCTGGGTTAATGTTTGCTGATGTTTATATCTTTCCTGATAGGTGGATGGAATTTGCCTAATGATTGTGTTTCCTTGAAAAGTTAATCAATGTCTAAGTGAGCCAGTCACAGACCACCTCAGAAGTACAATGACGTTGGACTCCCAGCACTTTTCCCCCAAGGCCATGTCCCTGGGGTCAGAGTGACAGGAAAGTTGCAGTGAGCAATAGATGTGACCAGAGGGACCTGGGGGCTCTCTTAGTGGTTGTCTCTTGCACACCTTATGCAAAGCTCTGGAGTCCAGATGTAAGGGGCACACCCACAAGGCAAAATGTGGCCTGGTCCACCAGCACTCCCAGCCATAGCCCTGCTTTCTTCGGGCCCCCTTATCACTTTAAATAGGGGACCTCTGTGCCCACGTCATCAGGCCTTTTCATCCTGGGGTTGTCAGCCAGAAGGGACCCCTTCCTTCCTGCAAACATATCTCAAGCATGTATGCTGTGCCGGATCTTTATGATACTGAGAGGAAGAAAGTGGATGAGATCCCAGCCCTCAAGCTGCTAATAGTTGCGAGAAGGGAGGCGAAAAGGCAGTTACAATCCAGGGCACTGGGAGCTTCATTAGGGAGCCAGGGGCTGTGGAGAGCAAAGGTGCAGCCCCGAACACAACCTTGGGGATTGGGGAAGCCACTCAGAGGAGAATGATGAAGTCTGAGCAGAACCTGGAAGGCAGATAGGGAGTTACCAGCTTGGTGAATGTGGTAATCTCCAAAACATCTGCATCCTAATCACTGGAACCTATCAATGTCACCGTATGGGGCACACAGAACATTGCAGATCTGACTGAATTAAGGGTTTTGAGGTAAGAGGTTGTCCTGGATTATCTGGGCAGCCCTGAATGTATCACCGGGGTCCTTAGAAGAGGGAGGTAGAAGAAGATTTGACCACAGAGGAAGAGAAGGCCTTGTGACCTCACTGACAGAGATTGGAGGGGTGTGCTTTGAAGCAGGAAGGGCCCACAAGTCTTGGAACACAGGTGGTCCCTAGAAACTGATGAAGGCAAGAAAACAGGCTTCACCCTCAGAGCCTCCAGAAGGAGCCAGCCTGGCCAGCACCTTGACTTTGGCTCTGTGAAACTGGTTTCAGGCTTCTGGCTTCCAGAACTCTGACCTACTAAATTGTTATTTGTTTTTGTTTTTGTTTTTGAGATGGAGTCTCACTCTGTTGCCTAGGCTGGAGTGCACTGGCATGATCTCAGCTCATTGCAACCTCCGCCTCCCCAGTTCAAGTGTTTCTCCTACCTCAGCTTCCCAAGTAGCTGGGATTAAAGGTGCCTGCCACCACGCCCCACTAATTTTTGTATTTTTAGTAAAGATGAGGTTTCACCATGTTTGGCCAGGCTGGTTTCGAACTCTGACCTCAAGTGATCCACCAGCCTCGGCCTCCCAAAGTGCTGGGATTACAGGTGTGAGGCACCACACCTGGCCTGTTTTGTTTTAAGCCACAAAGTCTGTGGAAATTTGTAACAGCAGCAACAGGAAACTGATCCAGTGGGGTGGGGCCAGGGGGATGGGCGTGACCCAGGAGGAGGGAAAAACAGGGCCACAGGCTGGGCATGACACATCTTGTTACCCATGCAATGTTGGGGTCAGAGAGTGTAGAGAGTGGTGTGGGGAGAGTGCAGGCTGAAGAGTTACCTAAGGTCAAAATCCTGACCTATGAGCCAAGCCATCGATTTGGGATTTCTACTGAGGACACTGGAAGTCACTAAGAGCATCTGAATGGTGAGTGAGGAAGATGCCACCACTGTGGGGCCCCAGTTGAGGAGTGGGGAAGTGGGATCACGCTAGTCAGAGAGGCCACAGGGGAGGCTGTCGCCACCATTCAACCCCAGATCTGTGGCTCTAGAGCTCCACTAGAGTTCCAGGCTCTCCTCTGAAGTTCCGAGGACCTAGGGCAACTCCATTTCATTCCATAAACTCGAGTCATTCTTGACTTGTATAGGGTTATCCCAGTTTGTTCTTTATGATCCTTGCCCACAAATGCTGCTGGTTAAGCCTGAATTTTTGAGTTAGAAAATTAGGCTGTTCAGGTGGATTTTTCCAGCTGTAGCTTGTGTGGCCAGAAAGAGGAACCTAAATAACTTGTGAGAGCAGCTGGGCCTGGGACTGGCAGGCTGAAACTCGGGGTCTATGAAGTGAGTTCCCATGTCTTTACTGGCCCCACTCAGATACGAATCTATGGCTGCTCAGGCTGTCTGGTTTTTGGATCCTTTATTCAGGTGCCAAGGGCCCAGCCAGCATGCAAGTTTTCTTGTACTCTTCTAGATGCCTGTAAACAGAACTTGCCACAAGGGCTACCAACCTAAATACTTACTGGGGCCAGTCAAAACACACTAGAGAGTGGCTGGACCTGAGAATCACTGGAGAGTTCTCCTCCTGCCCAAAAGCATTTAAATCCAAATGTTCAAAAAATATATTTGAGGAACCCATTCAGCTTTCAGCCAATTTTGTAATCCTGGTGAGACTACACCCTTGTCAAAATCATCCTTCTCTCACAGTCTCATCAGGAGGCAGGTATTTTAAAAAGGAAACCCCACCACTGTAGGTTTTTTTTTTAAAAAAAAAAAAGTTGATTTGTGGTATAGGGATGGTTGGAGAAGGAGCATCTGGTTGGGGCAGGTGTTAGCATTTTCCTGATGTACAGGCCAGAGCATTCTGATATCAGCTCTCACTCCTCCAGCTGCACCAGCCAAGGTTTAGGCCATGTTTAAAGGACACTTTAATAATAAGCTAAACCACTTAGAAATCATTGGTTCAATACATGAACTTAAGGCTGGGATATGTGACCAAGGAGAAAAGCATTTGAGAAAACAGGCTTTTTCTCTGAGGTAATGGTATTGTGGTAGCCCTTCAATCATTAATAAAAGACAGGGAAAGCTTCATAACAGGATGTCCTTATTTAACAAAATGTCTGGGGGTGCTCTCAGCCTAGTGATTGGAACTCATGATAAAATTTTAGGCAAGCTCACTTACAGGAGTAAGGGAAATAGGTGGTGAGGGAAGGTGATGACAATGAAGTAAATTAGCAAAGAACGAGAGGCTTGAAGACCACAATTTATGGCTTCTGTTTATAGTTTTGGCATCTTCAGTCTGGCAAAAAGTCAGTAGATAAATTAAAACGTAATTTTAAAAGCAAAATCCGTTAAAACTGTAAAGAAAGCAGGAAGGAAGAGCAGGGGGAAAAGAAAAGATTAGACAAACTAAGAACAAATAATAAATAACTATATCAACAATTACATTAAATGTAAATTGACTAAAACACTACAAAGTCAAGGATTTTCAGATTGGAAAAAAAATCAAGACCCAATTTTATGCTATCTACAAGCACAGAACAAATATAAAGTCAGAAATGGGTTGTAAATATAAGGGTGGAAAAAGAGATATTACCTAAATTATTTTATAAAATGGAATAGGAGAGAATACTTCCCAATGCACTTTATGAGATCATCCAAACCCAAAGAAGACTGATACCTGATACCTAAACCAAAGAAGGCTATTATAATAAAAGTAAATTACACACCAATATTTTTAGTGAATATGGATGTATAAAATTCTTAACTAACTACTCGCAAGTTGAATCTCAAAAGTAAAAAGACAACTCCATCAAACATGGGCAAAAGATGTGAACAGATACTTCACAAAGGAAGACATACTACTGGCCAATAAGCATGTGACAAAGTTCTCAATGCCATTAATCATCAGAGAAATATAAATTAAAATCATAATAAGATACCACTACATACCTACCTGAGAGGCTAAGATTAAGAAAACTGAAAAACTAAATGTTGGAAGGATGTCATGCAACCAGGACTCTCACACACATCTTTAGTAGGAGTGTAAAATGGCACAACCATTTTTGAAAAAATGTCTGTCAGTTTCTTATAAAACTAAACATATGCCTACCCTACAACTCAGCAATTCTACTTCTAAGTATTTATGTAAGAGACATAAAAACCTGTAACTTCAAAAATCTTGTACAAGTTCACGGCAGCTTCATTTATAATAACAAAAAAGGGGAGACAACCCAAATGTCCATCAACAAGAGAATCAGAGCACAAACTACGATATAGTCATATAAATGAAATAAAATCAATAAGCAAAAGGAATTAACTACCTTTTTTTGAGGCAGGGTCTGGCTCATTCACTCAGGCTGGAATGCAGTGGTCCAATCACAGCTCACAGCAGCCTCAACATCCCAGGCTCAAGTGATCCTCCTACCTCAGCCTCCTGAGTAGCTGCAACTATAGGCATGCACCACCATGCCCAGCTAGTTTATATATATATGTGTGTATATATATTTGTGTATGTGTGTATATATATATATTTGTGTATATGTGTGTGTGTGTATGTGTGTGTGTGTGTGTGTGTGTGTGTGTGTGTATATATATATATATATATATATATATATATATATGTAGTAGCAACAAGTTTTTGGTTTTTGCCATGTTGCCCAGGCCGGTCTTGAACTCCTGGGCTCAAGCAATCAGCCTACCTTGGCCTCCCAAAGTGCTGAGATTATAGGCATAAGCCACTGTGCCTGGCCTGAAATTAACTACTTTTTAAAAACTTTTCTTAAGAAGAATAAAACATTAAAATACTATTTTAAGTGACAAAAGAGTAGATACTGAACAATGTCATTTATATGAAATTCTAGAACAGGCAAACCTAATCATCCAAGGCAGAAAAAAAGTCAGAACAATGTTTGTTCTGGAAGTGGGAATAGAGATTTAGGTATTTGGGAATGCTTTAAGGTAATGGAAATATTCTGTATCAGATGAGGGTTTGGATTACACAGATATGTGAATTTGTCAAAGTACATTGAATAGTAGACTTATGATTTGTTCATTTGAGGTTTTGTAATTTTTTTTTTTTTTTTGGAGATGGAGTCTCGCTCTGTTGCCCAGGCTGGAGTGCAGTGGTGCAGTCTTGGCTCACTACAAGCTCCGCCTCACGGGTTCAAGCCATTCTCCTGCCTCAGCCTCCCGAGTAGCTGGGACTACAGGTGCCCACCACCATGCCCGGCTAGTTTTTTGTATTTTTAGTAGAGATGGGGTTTCACCGTGTTAGCCAGGATGGTCATGATCTCCTGACCTCATGATCCACCCGCCTTGGCCTTTCAAAGTGCTGGTATTACAGGCATGAGCCACCGCACCCAGCTGAGGTTTTGTAATTTTTTAAAAAAGAACTGCTGGGCCCAGCACTTTGGGAGGCTGAGGTGGGTGGATCACTTGAGCCTAGGAGTTTGAGACCAGCTTGGGCAACTTAAGGAGACCCCATCTCTACCCACCCCAAAGAAAATTAGCCCAGTATAGTGGCATGAGACTGTGGTCCTGGCTACTCAGAAGGCTGAGGTGGGAGTATTGCTTGAGCCCAGGAGGTTGAGGCTGCCGTGAGCCATGATTGCACCACTGCACTCCAGCCTAGGTGACAGAGCAAGACTCCATCTCAAATAAATAAATAAACAACAAAATTAAAAAATACAAAACAACCATTCACAAACATTGAACTTTAGATAATGATACGCATGCTAAAGTGTTTATGGGTCAAGGATACTGAGGTCTGCCACTCACTTAGAAATGCATCAAAAAGTTAGGACGGAAGGATGTTTGGATAGATGGTCGGATAGATAAAGGATAAGCAAATACTACAGTGAAATGTTAACAAATGTATAATCTAGAGATAGGGCATATGCATGGCTGATGTATAATTCTTTCAACTTTTCTGTATGTTTTGAAATTTTTCATAGTAAAATGTTGGGAAAAAGGAGTTAAAAATGTGGTTAGGTGGGAAGAAAAATGAAGAGAGAGTTTTAGGATATATAGGAAACCAAAGGAATATATGAGAAAAGTGAGGCATATTGAGAGGTCTAGGGCACAGTTTCCAAATCTGCCTGTTCCCCAAAATATCCTGGAGAGCCTTTAAAAAATATGGATACCTCAGTTCTACTCATAGAAGTCCCGATTAAGTAGATCTGGGATGAAGCTGGGAATCATTTTTAAAAGCTCACTAGTTGATGATCATCCCTATTGGTCGTTGGTCTAACAGGCCACACGACCTTGTTGCTTTTCTCTACAAGGAGTATCATGAAAGATACTATGTACAAGCAAAAACAATCGATATTTTCATTTTTAATAATCTCTCTTCCCCAGGCTAAACTTACACTTTAAGGACAGTGCAACACTGAGCAATTAGTAGCAACAAATTTCAGCTCATTGTCACTCCAAGTGTGACAGAGTTGGGCTGTCAAAATCTAGCCCTCCTCATTCACTCACTCAAAGGAGTAGTGGTGATGCCACTGTCAGTTAGGACTACTGGGTGATGCTGAAGAGACTGTCAGATGGTAGATGAGATGGGTCCCAGCGTGTCAGACCTTGATCCTGCAGAGAGCTGGCATGTGAGAGAGGTCAGGCTGTCTCCTCACTGCCCCAATACTGCGTCAAGCTAACTCCCACCACTGTGTAGTTTTCCCCAGGCTGGGGTCCCACTCCACTCCTCCCCACCTATCCCAAACCTTCACACTCTTCAAGGGCTCCCTTTTCATTAAGAATCCCCCAACTCCCACTGGGCAGAACGCCTATTGCATTGATAACCAGCACAATTCCTAGTCTGAATAATTCCTTTAAAAAAAACATAGAAATTGGCCAGGCACAGTGGCTCACACCTGTAATTCCAGCACTTTGGGAAGCTGAGGCGGACGGATAGCTTAAGGCCAGGAGTTCGAGACCAGCCTGGCCAACATGGTGAAACCCCGTCTCTACTAAAAATACAAAAAAATTAGCCAGGTGTGGTGGCACGCACCTGTAATCTCAGCTACTTGGGAGGCTGAGACATGAGAACTGCTTGAACCCGAGAGGTGGAGGTTGCAGTGAACCGAGATTGTGCCACTGCACTCCAGCCTAGGCAACAGAGTGAGACTCTGTCTCAAAAAAACAAAAACACTAATTGTTATTCTTTCACATTCATACTTCCTGTTCCTGCGCAAGGTGTGGGAGGTGTGGTGAACATTTGTGATTCATTTTGGCTGCCCTGCATCTGAACCCCTTCCTATGTTTGTGAAATTCCTTGCCTCATGCATGGGTGCCCACATCCCACTAAAAACCAGAAACTTCCAGATACTCTATTTCCAGCTTCCCTTGCAGCTAGGATGTGGGCATATGGCTCGGGACTCTGGCCCCAAACTTAGAGTTGACAACTAATGATGAAAAGAAACAGGGTTTGTAGAGAATCTGTTCAAGTTTCAGCTGCAGCCAGAGCAGAGGCTCAGGCTGTGGTGTGCAGAGTCCAATGCCAGGATGCGGGTGGTGCAAACCCTGGAGTCCTGGATCTTGCTGTGATGACAATGGGGTTATTCCTTATTCCTGTACTTATTATTCCTGTGGAGTTACCCAGTGGTGCTTCCTGCTTACAGCCTCTCATGGTTTCTGCCTTTTTCTGAGCCTAGCTCCTCAGCCTTTCAGTTACACGTTTACTACTAAATTTATTTTAATTTCAAGTCAGCTAAAGTTGCTTGCAACTGAGTACTCTATGTCAAGTAGATTTCAACTATAGAAGTATGGAAGATACTGAAAAATTGAATATTTAGGATTCAAAGTAAGGCTCAGAATCTGAGCCTTTGAGGCCAGGGGCTGTTGTGCATACCTTTTGTATCCCAGCAGAGAGGCTGGCCTGTAGTGAATGCTTGGTAAATGCTTGTTGATTGATTGATTTTCACGAGCATGAATGAGCATGATCCTCATGGCCCAGTCATTCCCACTTCTTCCCATGCTTGTGTTATGTGCATTTCCCAGATACAGCAAGAGTCCCTTCATTTTTGGTTGTTAGTGCATTGTCTGAGGGCTATTTCAGCCTTTTCTGATTTCCTTTTGGACTTTGACTTATGAGAAAATTATATCCAGAGGATTTAAGTTTTCTCCAGGACACATTCAAATACCTGCTCTTCTTTTAAACTGAGTGATCCCAGGCCCCAGTCAGACCCTGCAAGAGGCTCAAAAATCTAGGAGTCCAGAGGACAAAGGTCAGCTCATTTCCAGCAAGTTCCTTGGTTAGGCATGCCCCCCTCACCTTGAGTAGGTGAGAAAGGCCATCCCAGTCACTGATTCCCACACCATTCCACTGGAAACTGGGAGGACTTTAGGGGCAGCTGTAGACAGAAGCCACACATGATGCCTCCAAGCAGGCCAACAGGGCATTGCCAAATAGGCTGTTTGTTGAGTAAGACTTGGCCATGACCTTTGCCATGGGATAGCCTCTCCCCGTGACATTTATGAGGACCAGATCCCCTCTGGGAGTTTACCAGCCACACCGGAAGCATACCAAGGGCAGCTGACATAACTCTAATTCTAGAGAACAAAAGCCAAAATTGCCCACAGAAGTTCTGTCTGGCCATGTCATTGTTAAAGGCCCTCAAGGTTAACTCCATTCGCTTGCCAGTGTTGGCTCTTTCTTAGCAAAAACTCATCTGTGCTGACGTCTGCCTTTCCTGAGTCATGCCAAGGGTGTCTCTGCCCAGCCGAGAATCTATGAACAATGAGCATGAATGAAACAGCTTCTTCTGCCTCCAGAAACCACTGGAGGAGCCATGCCATGTGGCTGGGTGATAACTAAAGTGTCTGTCTCCTCTTCTTTTTCTTTTTGTTGATACAGCCTGGACCCACGCCTTCATCAATCTACTGTCAGGGATAGATTGTGCATTTTCTGTGTCCCAGTGGGTGCCCCCCCCCCAAAATAGAGCAGACAAAGCCTGGCCTGCGAGGGTACTGGTTTAGTTCAACAAATATCCATAGAATGCCCACTTAGGCAAAATGGCATAGGGCAGATTGCCAAAATCAGGGTTGACTCGGCCTGGAGCCATGAAGTGGGTCCAACAGGTCTCTGAACTGAGGCAGGAGGCCCCAGGATCCCGAGGTGTGCTGTAAAGCCTTTGATGACAGCATCTTGTGCCTAACACCTGACCACATCTGAGCCACTAGAGACAGTACCTGATAAGGATGCAGATGCCTGGGCCCTACCTTCCAAAGTTCTGGCTCAGTAGGTCTGGGGGAAGACCAGTAATCTTCATTTTAACAAAGACCACTGACGGTTCTGATGCAGGTGGTCCAAGGACCACACCTGGAGAAACTTCCACCTCTAGGAGCATCTGGGGTAAAAACTTCACCCAAACTTCCTAAGGTCACAACATATCCCCCCCAACAGAGGAAGCAGTAACTTTTGGCCACAGCCCCTAGAGAGGGGATTTGCCTGGCGTTTCTATACTGTCCTCTGTCCAAGGACAAAGTGTGCCTTACCCCACAACTGCTTTGTGGTTAAAAGCTTCTATTGAGGGATAGTTTATTTACTTCTAGCACTATGAAGCAATATAGTGAGGTTTTTGTTTCCTTTGAATCCCAGTCATTTTATGCTGCAGAAAATCTAGAGTTTTTGCCACAGTGGAGGACTCTGCTTAAGGACTACCTATCTGGGTCTGGTAATAGCTACCCCAACCCAACGGTCCTGAACGAGTAATATGGTTCGACTGTTTCCCTCCCCACCTCCAAATCTCATCTTGAATTGTAGTTCCCATAATCCCCACGTGTTGTGGGAGGGACCTGGTGGGAGGTAATTGAATCATGGGGGCGGTTAGCCTCATGTTGTTCTCCTGATAGTGAGTTCTCACAAGATCTGATGGTTTTATAAGGGGTTTTTCCTCCTTTTGCTTGGCACTTCTTGCTGCCACCATGTGAAGAAGGACATATTTGCTTCCCCTTATGCCATGACTGTAAGTTTCCTGAGGCCTCCTGAGCCATGTGGAACTGTGAGTCAATTAAACCTCTTTCCTTTAGAGATTACCCAGTCTCAGATATGTCTTTATTAGCAGAGTGAGAATGGGCTAATACAATGAGATAGAACTTAAATCCCCTGCATGCTCATCAGAGGAGGCTCCATAGAAGATCATGGACCTTGAACAAGGTGCAAGTAAGCCTAGATGCAATGCAATGGATTAGGGATTCCAGGCTTGAAAACCAGTGGGAAGGAAGGGGTCAGGTGGGAGTGGTCCTCAGTTCCTGTGTGGGCTCTGGCATCAGGCAGCACACAGGAGTCTTCCCTGCTGGTGGGGAGAGAAAGAGGCAGTAGAAGGGGTCCCGAGCTGGAAGGATCAGCAGCCACTGCAGACTACTGATGGAGGCAGTGCCAGGGAGGAAGAGGGTCGTGCCTAGTGGTGTCCAGGCATTGGCATGCAGGAGGCAGTCCAGGCACTGGTACCCGGGAGAGTTAAAACTGGGGGAAGGGAAGACAGCAGGGGATTCTCACAAGGAATGTGGAGCAGAGGCCCAGGCAGGGGGCCATCAAGGTGGAGAGGACTGAACCTGGAAATGGAAGCTTTCCAAGTCACACATTGAAGAGTATCAGCAAGGTCTTAAGCCCTGGAACAGTGAGGGATGGCATCAGGACAAACTGAGGTCAGTGAGTGTGTTGGCAGCGGACCAGGCTCCGAACGGCACAAACTCCGTCTGGGATGGGGAATCTAGCAGAAGACCTAGGAAGAATTTGAAGAGGGTTCAGAGGTGAATTAGGGATGCTTGTAGCTTTTGTGTGGGCAGTGCGTTACTGGGGTGTAGTCCTCATTGAAGGCCCAAGATTCTGCCTCTAAGGGTGTAACTCTGCTGAATCCAGCACCTGAGAGGCTGTCCAGAGCAGGCAGGAGGTCAGCTGTCAGGCTGTGGGCCCAGTTTTAGAGTCAAATTGAATTTCCAGTGGGGAAGACCAAAGCTGAAGTCCATCCCCCAGAGGATGAGAGAAAGGAAGGCTGCAGCTCAGGCAGCTCAGGGAGTCTGAGGCAGCAAACGAGCTCTGGACCTTGAAGTGGGGAGAGGAAGTCCTTTCACCTCATCACAGTGCTCACATCACCTCAGAAACCAGGTGGGACACACAGCTGTGACAGGTGAGAGATGATTCCATTGGTGCCTGGGATACCAGATTCATGCTGGGAAGTAGGATGGATGTGGTGGTTTGCAAAAGGCTTTGTCTGCTAAATTGAGGATACTGGATCATACCCCAAGAGAAAGGGGAGCTCCAATGGAAAAGCCACCTGCATCATGATGCTGCCTGTCACTTGACTGAGCGTTCCTGCTGCCCAGAAGCTCCTGTTGTCCTCCCAACTGACGGGATGCTCTTGGACAGTGATGCCAGCTGGAATTAAGACTGGGTTTCCAAGGCCACTGTGACCACCATGATTAATGTGAGTATCGCCAGGTCTTCTCCACACAGGCCCCCTCAGCATGGTTGTCCCCAAAGCCCTGACCCCAGCTTTTCCTGGTTTTCTGCTTCCTTTAGCAATCCCTACTGCTAGGGCTCCAACATGCCTCAGCCAGAAAGCTGTCATCTCTTTCCTGGGAACATTCCTTAAGAAAGAACCATCATGGGGTTGGATGAAACTAAACTTGCAAAGAAGGTGATGTGTAACCAAGTTGGAGTGTGGAGTGTGGGGTCAAAGATGATGGCATTCTGTGTGGATCCGCAGTGGTAGGAATGGAGGTGAGGAGGAAGAAATGAATCCAGGAGGCAGCGTGACAGAAAACACAGACTTTGGTGACGACATGTGAGAAGCTGTAAACTGATAAGAAGAAAAGACGTCTCCAGCACGTTTGGGTTAGTGTCATCAACCCATGGATCCTGCCCACAGCAAGACTTGGCCCAGTCACAACCCCCTTTCTAGCAATGTGGAGATAAATGTCTTCAACAGAAAGGGTTGGGAATCCCATGTGACAGCCGAGCTCTGTTCTGCCTTTGACAGAGTCTGATGCGAAGTGGATCATCTCAGGGATGTGCCTTGCTGGCTTCACCCACCTGGAGCCTCAGGGGAAGTCTCAGGTGGGAGATGTTAATTTGAGAGGCCTGGGTATAAAAGTAATCCCAAGATGTCACAAGATAGAATACTTTCTCTGAGGCACAAACAGGGAGAAAAACAAGAACAGAACCCCTTAGCAGGACACTCATAATAAGAAGAATTAGGAAAAGAAAAGGGAACCCGGGGTGACACAAAACTGGGGGAGTCTGTTACCACAAGGTAGATGGCTACCTCCAGTTGGACAAATTTCCATGGACCACCATGCAATTTCTGGAGATGCCGCCTTTGATCCCCTCTTCTCCCTTTGCTCCTCCCTCATCTCCACACTCAAAGTGCACATTATTCAGATGTCCAGCACGCCCCTAAATCAACTTGACTTCTCTTGTTCCTTGGCAGATTCAAGGACCAGCCTTCATTGGATTTGGGGTGGAAGCTACATGCTTGTGTCAAGGGTTGTAATCCCAAGTCTGGTCCTGTTTTCTGCAAACAATATCATTGTAAACACATTGAATGTGTCTGAATGGGATTCACATAACCTATTCAAAGGTTAATATCACAAGACTGATACTGAGCTGGAAGCTCTGAAATGTACTTGTGCTCAGGGAAGATATTTGCTAATGTTTGGCTTTAATTTCCCCTGGAACTTGTACACATCAGTGAGGCCTGGGGATAATGAATAACAGCATGGACAATAAATTTTAAAACAAACAAAATAAAAACTCAAAGAACATTAATGCAGACCAGTGCTGGGATATGATGTGTGTTACAAGAGAGTAATGATTACTCTTGGTGAGCAGATTCTATTATCTGCTTCTTAGGAGCAATAGGTGGCTGCCTCTTGATTGTATTAGTCCTGGAGTTATAAAATCCTCAGTCCTTTACAATGCAAAAGTGACACATGGGGCGAGTAAGCAGGTAAGAGAAGGAGCAATTGGAGGAAGAGAAATGAGATCTGTGGCAGGGGCTATTGGCTTTCCACTAAAACCCATTCTCTACTTCTTGCTGGGCAAGAACTAGGCAGTATTTACCAGCCCCTCTTGCATTTGGGGTGGCCACAAACGAATTCTGGCCAGTGGAGTGAGGGGCTTCTCAGACAGCAGCCTGCCCCTTCCACACTCCTGTTCCCCTTGCAGTGGCTCAAAGCCCTTGGGTGATGATGGAGCCATAGCTGGAAGAAGCCTGGGTCCCTGGGTCCCCCGTGGAGCCTCCACGCGGGAAGGTGGTCTAGAAATACACTTCCATATTTCAGCCAGCATGCCTTGGGATCTTTTTTTAATGGTGGTTCAGCCTACCCTAACTAAAGCTGGGCCCACTCAGCACGCCCCACACAGGGATTCTGAAATGGGAGCAGGGTCCACCAAAACTCTGCTTTTCAGAGAGCTCACACCCTAGGGGAGTATAAAAGTGACGAGGACACTGGAGCTGGCAGGCAAGACCCAGGATGCCAAAATTAGGGCCCCTAAACACAGCAGGGAGGGTGAGCTATCCTCTTGTGAGGTGGGAGGAGGGTCTCCGTGAGCAGGGCTCTTCTTGGGCCAAACCTGGATCATGAGGAGGAGGGAGAGATGCTGAATATGACATGTCATTCAAAGTGCTGTCTGGAAATTTGAGTTCGTTTCTTCAGTAGAGGCAGCACAGGTTAATCAGACAAACCAGCCATCAACAGGCTTCCTTTGAGGAGCTTGGTAAGAATGGAAAACCCAGGGCTGAGGGGCTTACAGAGCTTACAGAGCAGCACAGTATCAGGGGCCCAAGGCACCAGGAGCTCCTCTGGAAATTGGCGGGAACAGCTGGAGCAAAGCCGAGGTGATGGTACCCCTGGTGGCGGGACGGCAGCGACCCTCCATGGTATAAGGAGTGGTGAGACCCCAAGGGACAGTGTGCAAGGACTCTGATGGCAGCAACACTCCTCTAGGAGCTGATGAGAAAGGCCTGGAATCCCAAGATGCACCCCTGAGGTTCAACTCCTACCCTGATCATCTCCTCCAAGATTCTGTGACCTGGGGAAGTCAACAGTACATTTCAACACCTATGATGTCAGCATGTGAATGACATTCCAATGCTGCTCATGGGGTCACCCCTGCAAAGGTGAACTCAGTGGAAAGACCTTGCCAAACCGGAAGGAAAACAGGATACTTTTCTCCAAAATACTCATTCAATAAATATTTGCTTAGGCATTACAAAGACAAATAAGACTTGCCCCTACCTGTTAGAGGTATGTATGTCGAGAAAAGGAAGGAGTGATTCAATAAGAGAAACAGCATTCAGGGAAGAGAAAGAAGGAAGACATAAAAATTCAGGTCATATTAGAATAATATATATAACAATGAGTTTGGCTATATTTCAGAATTTTCCCAAAATATTTCTTTCAAATTTGATTGACATTCTAAACTATTTAGCTTGATATAAATGAGATCTTTGTGTACCCTCAGCAGGAACTGCATTTTAGCTGGTTTTAAATCTCAACAATCACTTTCCTGCCTTGGAGAAGGTATGAACCAGGCTGTTTATGTAGAATCCAGGTGGGTTTGAGAGCAGCTTCAGCTGAATGGAGAGTGACAGGGAGGCTGAGGAAGGGAGGGAGGGGACCCATGGGCTGTCATACCCGGGGACTTAGGAAGGCTCTTGCTCTTGCTGGAAGGGTTGCAAATCCCTAAACCAAGTAATCCCATCCCTAAACCAAGTAATCCCATTAAAACATGAAACATCCAGAGTAAAATTAAGTTTAGAATACTATTTGCAAAGCCAAACATAGTCTTACCATAGGATCCAGGCATCACACTCCTTGGTATTTACCCAAATGGGTTGGAAACTTCCATATAAAAATCTGCACACAGGCCGGGTACGGTGGCTCACGCCTGTAATCTCAGCACTTTGGGAGGCTGAGGCGGATGGATCACCTGAGGTCGGGAGTTCAAGACCAGCCTGACCAACATGGAGAAACCCTATCTCTGCTAAAAATACAAAATTAGCCAGGCGTGGTGGCACATGCCTGTAATACCAGCTACTCAAGGGGCTGATGCAGGAGAATTGCTTGAACCCAGGAGGCAGAGGTTGCGGTGAGCCGAGATTGTGCCATTGCACTCCAGCCTGGGCAACAAGAGTGAAACTCTGTCTCATAAAATAAATAAATAAATAAATATAAACCTACACACAGGCCAGGCAGGGTGGCTCACCCTGTAATCTCAGCACTTTGGGAGGCCGAGGCGGGTGGGGTGGATCACGAGGTCAGGAGATCAAGACCAACTTGGCCAAGACGGTGAAACCTCATCTCTACTAATAATACAAAAATTAGCTGGGCATGGTGGCACATGCCTGTAATCCCAGCTACTCAGGAGGCTGAGACAGGAGAACCGCTTGAACCAGGGAGTCGGAAGTTGTGGTGAGCCGAGATCACACCACTGCACTCCAGCCTGGTGACAGAGTGAGACTCTGTCTAAAAAAAAAACCTGCACACAAATATTCATGGTAGCTTTATTCATACTTGCCAAAACCTGGAAGCAACCAAGATGTCCTTCAATAGGTGAATGGGTAAATAAACTGTGGTACATCCAGACAATGCAATATTATTTGGTGATTAAAAAAAAAGAAATGAGTTAAAATCTTGGATTTCTTTTTTTTAAATGAGTTATAAAGCCACAGAAAGACCTTAAATACATATTGTTAAGTGAAAGAAGCCAGCCTGCAAAGCTACATCTATACATGACTGTATGACATTCTAGAAAAGGCAAAACTATAGAGACAGTGAAAACATCAGGGATTGCCAGGGGTTAAGAGGGAAGGAAGGATGAAAAGGCAGAGGACAGAGGATTTTAAGGCCGGTGAAACAATTCTATATCATACCAGAATGGTGGATATATGGGCTGGGGCTCAGAAAACAATACCCCCAAATGAATGCCTCAGAAGCAAAAGTTTCTCCTGCCCTCCCATCCCTGACCTCATTCTCCCCCAAGGTTAGCCATAGAAACCAGAAGTCCTCTTTCCCAAGGTGGGTCATAGAAACTTCCAAACCCCTTTTCCCCAAAGCCAGTCATAAAACCTAAAAATATGACTCTAACTTCCACCCCCACCCCACCACCTTTCTGTGTAAAAATGTGTCATAAGGAAATCATCTAACCTGCCTTGTTTGGTTGTCGGTCGTAAGACCCCCATTCGAGAGAGGGCCCTGCCCCGTACCCAGCAGGAAGCAATGCTGCCCAGAGAGGCCACGAGGAATCTAGACAGGGCTTGCTGGGGGGCCCCACTCACTCTATGAGCATTAGCTCATTCCCTTTTTTGTCCAATCACATTTCTAAATATTTTGTTGCACCTAAGCTTAAAAGTGGGCAGAGTCCCCTGCATCTCTGGGTCTTCGTTCTGAAGGCTCCCCTGTCATGTAACACTATGACCAAATAGATGTGTGTGCCTTTTCTCCTATTCATCTGCCTTTTGTCTGTTAATTTTCAGTGAAACTTCAGAGGGTGAAGGGGAAGTTTTCCTTGGCCCCTACACGTGTCATTACAAACCCATAGAATGTACAATGCCAAGAGTGGACCTTAGTGCAAGCCAGGGACATTAGTCAGTAATAATGTTCCACGCTGACGCACAAATGAAAGTTATTTTATTTGTGTGAACAGGAGAGCTGACATGGTCTGTATTGATATCTCCTGGGCAGGGAGGTGGTGAGCACGGCCCCAGAATTCTGAACTGCCAGGAGCCAGGCAGCTTTGCATCCTGGAGCTTGGCCAATTCAGCCGCCCAAGTTCTGGCCATGGGTCTGCAGCCCCCTGGCCCTTGCCTGCATAAGCAGGAGATGAATGAGAGGAAGCAGAACTCACACAGGAGGCAGGAGGAAGCCACCAGGAAGCTCACTGGCTCCAGGGGCAGCAGATCTGGGATGGGGTCCCAGTTCTCTCCTTCCTCATTCATGAAATGGGGCAATAACAGTACTTACTTCATTGGAGGTTCTTGGAGGGAATAAAAGAGATATTAGTTAAAGGCATGGAGCACAGTCCCTGGCACACTGAAAAAGTTTCATAAATGTTACCAATTAATTGTTTGTATTATATAATGTCTTCCTGATAGGTTTTTGGGAAGGAATAAATCAAAGGTGAGAAAATATATACAAAAACCTGACTGAGCGAGAACATAGCTTACACACAAGAAGTGGCAGCTTGGTGAGCACACTGCTATGTCATGTTGTGCCTAGTCATGACATAGCCAAGGACTGATACAGGCGCTCCCATAACCCATGGATGGATTCCTGCTGGACTCTATTCATGAAGGTTCTGATTCTAATTTTTTTAAATCCATGGATAAAACAGCTACCAGAAAATCCCATTTGGGTTTGCATGTTGTTCTTTGGCTTCGGTGGACAGCAATCATATCAGTTGCATTTCCCGAGCTAGAGCTCTGAGGCTTAGTCATCCCCCTCCCTGGCTGGCTTCCATGCTGTCTGCAGTGGGAGCATCTTTTATGAGATGACAGGAGGGGACTTCATGGATGTGCAGCCTGGGCTGCTGGTACTGCCGGGGCTGCTGGTACTGCTGGGACTGCAGGAGAGGGATGGTTTCTATTAATCCTCACAATGGGAGGGTCCAGTGGGCTGTCACAGCACAGGCAGGGAATCACAGGCCTCCCTGGGTGACCAGCTGTCCTGGCTGCTACCAGATTCGGACTCCAGCAGGCTTTCCCTGGGGGCAGAGATGACCTTGATCTCTGGGCAGCTAGGCTTCATGTCCTTGATATTTGTGGCCCTGCATTGTTGGGGCACAGGATGCAGAGCTGGGGATGACTGAGCTTAAACTCCTGCTGCTATGGAGGGCTGCCTCCTTGCCCTGAATGCCCTGGGAGCCCTTTTAAAAACACAGGTCCAAGGAGTGATAACATGAGGGGCAGCACCTCTGGCCCCTGAGAGAGAAACTTGTCCAGTGATATGTGCACAAGCAACATCTCCAGGCATTCCTTCCAGACAAGGCAAGAGGCCCCCCAGGTGTGATATGTTAGCTACACATGGGCTTGGTCTGTACTGCAAATGTGTACTCAGTGATGGGGCCATTAGATATTTGGTTTCTACATTGCTGCGATGAAAATTTACAAAGAACGTTCATGGGGAAACCAGCTCCCATCCATGGGCAGCAGAGGAATGTTGTCCAAGACTTACATGGACAGGTAAGACTAAGGTCTCATCCCATACTCAGCAGTTCTGTGACCTTTTACAGAACATAGGGAGGCAAGAAGGGAAATGAGCCTTAGTTAGCCTCAGGGAGAACCAAGCCAGGTCTGTTTAGGGTCACCACCTTCACTGAACTGCCCTCCACTGGAGGCTAGGAACTGCAGGACATGAGTTCAACATCAAAATAGTAAAAATAGTGGCAAATGTTTAGCAGTGTTTGCAACATATCAGGTGTCACAGCAACCTCTGCAGGAGAGGTGAGCAGGGCTAATATTTAGCAGGTGCACCCTTGTACTGGCTGCCTGCCATTTAATAGGTTAGTGCCTCAGCTGGTTATTGAATATTTTCAACATCGGCCCTGGGTACTAAGATTAGTTCCCATTTTACTGATTAGGAAATCGAGGTTAAGAGAGGGTAGGCGATTTGCCTGAGATCACACAGCCTCGTGTGTGGCAGAGCCTTAGATTCCAAGCCAGGCTGTCCGATGCCAGACCTTCACAGCTATCCTATGCTTCCACGGCACCCCGGACTTCCCCTTGGAGCACTTGCCAGTGAAACAAACATGCCCTGGAGAAATGCCTGGGTGAGTGTGCCTTCTTCCTTGCACAGAGACGGGCCTCTTGCACCCTCTACTTTCCTACTGTGGCTGGGGTGAGGTGGCGGGTAGAAGGGCGTGGGTTGTAGCTCACTGTCTTCTTCAGGAGTCCCACAGTGGGTAGGAGCACCAGCTGTTCAACAAGAGAAGACCATTAGGCTTCAGGAGGGAGAGGAAGTTTTTTTGGGAATGAGAGGACCAAGAGAAATGAGGCACAGGGGAGATCGGCCCCAAGGCTTGTCCTGAAAAAAGAACATCATCTTCTTCTAAGGTCCCGAGCGTGGGATTTATCTGACACATTCTTCCACATGCTTATTGCAGGAGGAGCGTTGTGTTAAGTGCTTTGCATGCATTAATTATCTCATTTAAACCAAAACCAACCCAGTGTGGCTGAGTGACTATATGATGTCCATTTTACAGATGAGGAAAGGGAGGCTGAGAGAGCTTAAAGGACACACCACTTTTGAGTGGCAGAGCTAGGATGCAAACCAGACCTGACTGCTGTTAAAGCTTGTGATGTTTGTAGTCATTCTTCTATACTGTACCCTCATAGGAAGTTCAAAAACAGAGAGGGTGGGATTTGGTCTTTGGCTTTTGTTTAAATGTATGTTTTTATAGATATATTTCCTTAGCCCATGCTATGAACCAGGAGTTTCCATTTGTTTATTTAACTGATTTATTAAGCCTTTTTAGGGGCCAGCCCAGGTTCTGGGCACAAGCTGGAGAAGGAGAGCTGCTGCGGTCCCTAACTCATGCCTCTTGCGGCAGTGGGTGGGTGTGAAGAGGGAGGAGGGGAGGAGGTGGTGAGAAGTCTGCTTCACATTATTCAGAGTTTCCTGTGAGCCAGGCACTGTGCCTGGGGCTAAGTGATTATATCATTTAGCCCTCCCAATAGACTCTCAGGTAGACGCTCTCTTATTTCCACTTTTTCCCATTTACAGATGGGGAAATGAAGACTTAAGAAACTTAGGTAATCTGCCCAAAGGCTTATAGCCAATACATGGTAAAGCTGAGATGTGAACTCAAGTATCTGACTCCAAAGCCTGGGTTTTTTCTCTTTCTCTCTCTCTTTTTTTTTTTTTTTTGAGACAGGGTCTCACTCCTTCACCCAGTCTGGAGTGCAGTGACATGGTCATAACTCACTGTAACCTCAAACTCCTGGGCTCAAGTGATCCTCCTTTCTCAGCCTCCTGAGTAGCTGGGACTACAGGCACACACTTTTATGCCTGGATAATTTTTGTACTTTTTTTGTAGACAGGGTCTTACTGTGTTGCCCAGGCTGGTCTGGAACTCCTAGGCTAAAATGATCCTCCTGCCTCAGCCTCCCAAATTGCTGGGATTACAGGTGTGAGCCACTGTGCCCGGTCAAAGCCTGTGCTTTGATTTGCCACCTAATCCTCCTCCGTTTTATATGTAATGTTAACCCCAAACCTGCAGGGTAGCCGTTATCAGCCTCATTTAACTGACAGGGAAGCCCAGTCTCAGAGGGGCCAGATGCGTGCCCAAGGCCTTGCTGGGAAGAATGGGATTCTGGGCCCAGGCATTCCAGCGCCAAGTCCAGGGCGTGATTGTTACTCTGCAGTCCCTCTCTGTGACAAGAGCCTCACCGGGAACTCGGGGGTGGGGGCTCCCCCAAGCCTCCTGGCTGGACCCCATTCCAAGCGTTAGTGTAACAGATGTTGTGTGGCGGGAGTCTGTTGTGCTCCTGGTGTGTGGCTGGGATTCAGAGGTGTCTTCAAGCGCTCTAGGAAGCCGGCGGGCGGGGCCATGGCCGCAGAAGTGAGTGCAGGGATGGAGAATACAGGGAGTCCCTTGACCGGAGGAGACTTTGGAGGCATTTGTGCTGTTCGCGTGAACTCCGCGTCCATGGCCTACCCTGTGATTGTCATCATTTCTATGTGAGAAAAAAGCGGCTACTGATTCACAGCGAAAGGAAACGGACTAGGTTCTGAAACTTCCTGTTTGTCTGGTATCTGCAAAGATATGTGTGTTATGCAAATACCCTGACTCCCCAGAACTGCAGGTGTGTACAAACACACACACGCACGCACACACACACACACACACACACACACACACACACCCTCTGCTTGGCCCCATGCAGTGGGTCTCCTCTGTACCCAGTAAACTGAAACATGACTCTACTAACATGGTAGCCAGGACACTGGGGACTCTGCTGTCGGAATCCCTGATCATAGAGACAGCAGCTTTGGCCTTCGGCTCAAAGAGCTTCACAGATGTCCCTTGTAGGCGAGTCCTGGCTCTGGCTCCTGGCCCACTGCAGAGCCTGGGAGTGAGGCAGGCAGATAGGCGAGGGGGTCTCACCCAGGCCCAGGAACTCCATTTTCTCTCAGCCCCATTCCTCCCTCCCTCGGCTCCCTGACCGTGCTGAACGCAGCTCCCAAGCAGGGGGAGAGTCCAGATAATGGCAGATGTTGATTGTTTCCTGTTGGTTCACTGTGTCCTTTTGGCAGGCCTTTCTTTCTTTCAAAATATATTCAGGTTTGAGCCTAGCACTGCAGCTTGCTGAGTGGGTCTATGCTTCCATAGAGCAGTGGCTTCGGGCACAGGCCTGAGACCCAGCCTGCCTGCGGGCTGCTAGCTGCCAGCTACCTCTGCACTAGGAAGGTTTTTAAACAGCTGAATGCAAGCTTCAGCGTTAATAGGTGAAAGTGAAAATGACATGTGACTTCTAGACAATTCTCATAGATTCAAAATAATTGTTCTCTGTAATGAGTAAAATAACACTCTTGCAACAGCTGAATGCTTTTCTCATATTCTGAGTTGCCCGAATTAGGGGAAATGGGTCTAAATGGCTGCAAGAGGCAGTTTTGTCAGCTAGACGTCTTTTTACAAGTATATTGCATCCTTCAGTCTCTTCCTGCCCCACCCTAAGACCCTCACCTGGGAAATGGGAGGATGGCTTGGAAGGCAATTGTCAGGCCTCTGAGCCCAAGCTAAGCCATCATATCCCCTGTGACCTGTACATACACATCCAGATGGCCCGGTTCCTGCCTTAACTGATGACATTCCACCACAAAAGAAGTGAAAATGGCCTGTTCCTGCCTTAACTGATGACATTACCTTGTGAAATTCCTTCTCCTGGCTCATCCTGGCTCAAAAGCTCCCCCGCTGAGCACCTTGTGACCCCCACCCCTGCCCGCCAGAAAACAACCCCTTTGACTGTAATTTTCCTTTACCTACCCAAATCCTATAAAACAGCCCCACCCCTATCTCCCTTCGCTGACTCTCTTTTCGGACTCAGCCCGCCTGCACCCAAGTGAAATAAACAGCCTTGTTGCTCACACAAAGCCTGTTTGGTGGTCTCTTCACACGGACGTGCGTGAAAGCGATGAAGCTGAGGTTGCAGGAAAGGAGTGATCACCTGGCTCAGAGCTGGGCCCTAAAAGTCTAGGCCAGAGCCTCCCTGTTGTGAAAGGGAGTGGAAGGAGAAGGGGCTGGGATGGGTCAAACTGGGTGGAAAGCTAGGCTCTGCTGTTTAGAAGCTGTATGATCTTGAGCAAGTTGCTTAACCCTTGCTAAGCCTCAGTTTCCCTTCCTGCAGAAAGGGATTATCATGGGGACGAAAGGGGATCCAGAACCTGGAGTGGAGGATAGGGTGGGTAAGTGGAAGGTGTCATGAGGACAACATATGCTGAGACACTCACCACCCTTTCTGAGGGCGCCTCAGCAGCAGGTCACATGGTGCCTGAAACTCGTTTTTCTGAGTTGTGCTGGTTTGTGGAATGAAAAGGGAAGCCAGGCTTCCTTCTTACTAGCTCTGACTGCCTTGTTTTAAGGATCATTCACCTTCCCTAAGGATGGGATAAAGCCTTCCTGTAGAGCAGACCGATCTCCTTCTTTATCCCTACAGTTCTCCCACCGTGGCCATGGCCTTGGGGGCTGTTCTGACTCTTACATTTATATATCACTCCTACTTTCCCAGCCAGCAGGATAGAAAACCTGAGAAGGGAATTCTGCCTTATAAACATTTCTTACAGATGGGGCAGACAGGTTGTTTCTTTTTTACCAAGGAAGCTCAGGGCAATTCTGGTTGCAGGAATGTTAAGCACTGATAAAGAAGAGAAGAAAAAATATTCACCCTCCAGGGCCTGGAATTTCCCCATTCCTGAGCCCTGGCTTCCCTGTCTGAGATAGAGACTGTCAGTCAGTCACCTACCAATTCCCAATTTCTCTTTCTGCTTTACTAAAAGTACTTGATTTGGGATGGGGGTGGGGGGTGGCAGGCAGCAATACATCCAAGTAAAAGACTGTACTTCCCAAATCTCTTGAAACTAGGGACAGCCAATGAGGTATAAATGAAAATTATTGGGGCTGGGGTCCCAAAAGCTTCTCTCTCTTTTTTGAGACAGAGTCTCAGTTTGTCATCTAGGCTGGAGTGCAGCAGCAGGATCACAGCTGTAAAATCAAAAGTGTCAAAGACAGGTCTCAATCAATTTAGAAAGTTCATTTTGCCAAAGTTAAGAGCACACCTTTAACCTCAGGTGATCCTGACAGCATGTACCCAAGGTGGTTGGTGCCCAACTTGGTTTTATACATTTTAGGGAGCATAAGGCATCAATCAATATGTGTAAGATGTACATTGGTTTGGTCTGGAAAGGTGGGACAACTGAAAGGTGGGACTTCCAAGTCATAGGTGGATTCAAAGATTTTCTGATTGGCAATTGGTTGAAAGAGTTATTATCGATAGAAAAGAATGTCTGGGTTATGATGAGGGGTTTTGAAGGGAGGAGGGTAGAATGAGGCATGTCTGACTCCCCCTTCCCATCATGGCCTGAACTAGTTTTTCAGGTTAACTTTGGAATGCCCTTGGCTAAGAGGAAGGGTCCATTCAGATGGTTGGCGGGGGGGCCTTAGAATTTTATTGTTGGTTTACGTGGCTCAGTGCAGCCTTCACCTCCTGGGCTCAAGTGATCCTTCCATCTCAGCCTCTTGAGTAGCTGTGGCCACAGGTGCATGCCACCATGCCTGGCTAACTTTTTTTTTTGGTAGATATGGGGTCTTGCCATGTTGCCCAGGCTGGTTTTGAATTCCTAAGCTCAAGTTATCCTCCTGTTACAGGAAAGGGGTCCTGATCCAGATCCCAAGAGAGAGTTCTTGGATCTCACACAAGAAAGAATTCGAGGTGAATCCATAGAGTAAAGTGAAAGCAAGTTTATTAGGAAAGTAAAGAAATAAAAGAATGGCTACTCCATAGGCACAGCAGCTTCCAGGGCTGCTGGCTGCCCATTTTTATGGTTATTTCTTGATTATATGCTAATTATTTAGTGTTTGCAAAAATAGCCAGGCTATAAGGGGTGGATTATTCATGAGTTTTGTGGAAAAGGGGTGGGCAATTCCCAGAGCTGAGGGTTCCTCCCATTTTTAGACCATATAGGGTAACTGCCAGATCTTACCATGGCATCTGTAAACTGCCATGGTGCTGATGAGAGTGTCTTTTAGCATGCTAAGGCATTATAATTAGCATATAATGAGCAGTGAGGACAATCAGAGATCACTCTTATCACTATCTTGCTTTTGGGGGGTTTTAACCAGCTTCTTTACAGCAGCCTGTTTTATCAGCAAGGTCTTTGTGACCTGTTTCTTGTGCTGACCTCCTATGTCATCCTGTGACTTAGAATGCCTACCCTTCTAGGAATGCAGCCTAGTAGTTCTCAGTCTTATTTTACCCAGCCCCTACTCAAGATGGAGTCCCTCTGGTTCAAATGCCTCTGACACTCCCACCTCAGCCTCCCATAGTGCTGGAATTACAGGCTTGAGCCACTGCACCTGGCCTTAAAAGCTTCTTAAAGGGATCTAAGAAATTGACTCTCCCCACCCTCTTTCTTAACCGTAAAACACTAATGTAATGGCTGGAGTTCTAGCAACCATATTGGGCCATGAGGCAACCTTGAAAAAGGAAGCCACAAACTAAAACATTGACTCTCAACCTTTAATGCTGAAAAAAGAAAAAGTATCCCCTGACATCCGGGAAATGGCCTGACACTTTGAGCTAGGGCTTAATCTTATTAAAAGCTTGCCTGGCTATTTTTGCAAACACTGATGTCAGTCGCCAGTCTGCAACTGTGATGAAGAGGTCAAAAGAGACCCCTTCCTAACTCTGTCTAAGCACAAACAACTCCACAAAACACTAGACACACCCCCTTCTGGCTCATTAAGTGACAGGGGCCTCCTTATCAACTATAACTATAGCCTTGATCTTGTCTTCTGTCCTTATAGATAAGATTTACTAACATACCCAGCTGCAGAATTGTCCCATTTCCAGACAGCAGACAATGCAGAGCAAGCCCTTCCCTCCTAGACCCTCCCCAAATTCACCTAACCAAAGCCCAAAGCCTAAAAGTCCCTTTGAACACCTTTTTAGTGAAATGGTGCCCCCATGATATCTTCCTCATTGCAACCAGTAATAAAGCCAACTTGTTCAAATGCCGGTTTGCAAATAAATCACTTGGGGATTTGTTAAAATGCAGACTGTGGTTCAGTAGGTCTGAAGTAGAGCTTATTCTGTGTTTGCCACAAGCACCCAGTGAGGCACTTGCTGCTGGACCATGGTCCCACTTTGGGTAGCAAGGCAGTTAAGGGTGGCAGATTAGAACACTGGACATGCTTAACCTTGACCATGGGACCACTGTATGCATCCTGTTGTTTCTCAGTGAAAATATGCCTGTATTTCATGTAAGCCCCCGCTATATATGTTGGCTACTAGCAACTTAACCAACACGTTGTCCTTGTCCTTAGAAAATGTGTGGTTACAGCCAGGTGTGAGCAGGCCTAGACCAGGCTTGGGGATTTATTGACCAAATGTGGTGCCTTTGAGGTGAAACCACAAGTAATCAGAGAAGCTGAGTCACTCCACTTAGTGGACTGGTGGAAAATTCTCAAATGGTCTTAAGCTGGCCCCATGTTGGGCTGAGGACTAGAGATCTCAGAGGCTCCACCTGCCCATCCAATTGCAGGTGTCTGGGCCTGGCCCCACCTTGCCTTCCTGCTCCATTGCTCACCATTCCACACCCAAAGGCACCATGATGTTTTGTACCTCCTTGCCTTTGCTCTTCCCTTTGCCAGGGATGCCCTTCCCACCTTCCTCCACGTGGCTAACCCTCCCTCAGCTCTGCTTCCAGGGTGTCTCCCCTGGTCGCCAAGGGCTGGCTAGTGCCTCTTCTTTGCTCCCAGGGCACCCTGTGCCTTTCTGTGCCCCAACTATTTCCCAGTTTGTAGCAGTTATTTATTTTGTGGTCATCTTCCCACTGGTCGTCAGCTCCTAGAGGGCAGGGATCATGTTTTGGGTTATTCATCACTGCATCCCCTGACATAGTCCCCAAACCTCGAGAACTATGAAACTGCACCAAAGGTTCCAGCTCCCCCACAGCCTGCCCTTAACCTTGAGCCATTTGAAGGGAGAGTATGAGACAATAGTGAAAGAAACCCTTCTCTAATGTTTTCCCCATTTAGGTTATGTGAAGTTGGCAGTTCCCAAGGGCTTTAGGCTTGAAGCTGTGGGTCATACCCCTTCGGAAACTTGGTCCCCAAGAGAAATGTATGCTTCTGAAAACCACAGGTGCATGAATCGTGTTTAGTAAATGACTACTAAACTGAAATCAGGACTTGTCTATATCTTGGCTTCTCAAACTTGAATATGCTTATCATCTGGATAGCAAAAGCATTCCTACACGTTGAGGCCTGCCAGCGTGGGTGTCACCCAGGAGCCACTCGGAAAGGCTCATCGGAAACCACCCCGGACTGACTGAGGCAGAATCTCTGGGGGCAGGACCCAGGCCTCAGCATAAAAACTCCAGGTGACGGAAGAGCTCCCACCTAACAGGTGTGTTGGCATTGTTGTAGGTGACTGACGTAGTTTCCCATCTCACAACTCTACCTCCATGAAGAAAAGTCATGGAAAATTGAGACTTTGGGCTGAGTGTGGCTCATCCCTGTAATCTTAGTGCTTTGGGAGGCTGAGGTAGGAGGATCGCTTGAGGCCAGGAATTTGAGGCCAGCCTGAGCAACATAGTGTCTCTTCAAAAAACTAAGTTTATTCTTTCCTCTTTTTTAGTTTTTATTTTACACGGCTCACTGTGGCTTTGACCTCCCATGCTGAAGCGATCCTCCTATCTCAACCTCTCAAGTAGCTGGAAGCACAGGCATGCACCACCACACCTGGCTAATTTTTTTCTTCCTTTTTTAAAGAGACAGTCTTGCCATGTTGCCCAGGCCCTGTTGACCAGGAAAAAAAAAAGTTTTTTTTCTTTTTTAAAGAAAGAAAATAAAAGAGACTGAGAAACCACAGAAATAAAGAAGCGCTGATGACAATGCCTGCTTGCTGATGGTTACGATGATCATAGCAGTGTGCATTTTGTATGCATGAAGCCTGCGACTAAATAAACGTGTGGGGAAATATTTGTAAGGAAATAAGCTATTAATAAAATAAGCTAAAATCACAGTTGCTGGACTATGACTGATTTTTCCCCTTTCTCTCATTTAAAATTAAATATTTGTATGACTTGTATAATAGAAAAATACATGTATTCAATCTTAAAAAGATATTCTTATTTTACACTTTACGGGACAAAAGAGGTTGTAGGTTGGAATGGTTCAGTCCCCTTGTGACAACTCAAAAACAGAGACCTTAAGCCTTTCTCAACCAATGTTGCGGGACAAGCAGGCGTGTGAGGCGACAATGCCATTAGGGTATTTTTTGGAAAAATTTTAGTGTGAGAGACAAAAGCCAAATTCAAACTGGCCTGAGCCAAAATAGGTAGGAAAGGGAGAAGCGGAGACAGGGAGGAAGAAAGAGAGAGAACAGAAAGAAAAAGGGAGAAATGTCGAAAGGCAAAATTACAACACATTTAGTTAAATGATTGAATTGGTTTTTATTTGTAATTCATGAATTGGGGCAGCATCTCCTCTAAAACTTTAGGAAAAGTGCTCTGATGAGCTAAACAGAGAAGCTTGGCTTTATAGGCAGAAAAGGGTGAAGAAAGCAGACACAGGGAACAAAAAGCAGATTGGTAAGCTCAGGTTACTTCAGGTTACTTTCCTTATAAAGGTTAAAGTAGAGGGGACTTCCTTATCATGCTGGCTACAACTGGCCTGTTTGGGGATTTGCATATTATCTCTCTCTGTCTTGAGTTCTGGGAAGGTCTGATGACTTAGTTTCAGTTTGGTGATATGGAACTTAGCATGAGTGACTCCATCTTGGTTTGGTCTACTGGGGCCTCCTGCAGGAGCTCAGCCCAAATCAGTGACCTCCTATAAATTTCATTTAATAGAAAAGGAAGGAAGGAAGGAAGGAAGGAAGGAAGGAAGGAAGGAAGGAAGGAAGGGAGGGAGGGAGGGAGGGAGGGAGGGAGGAAGGGAGGAAAGAAGGAAGGAAAGAAAGAAAGTTGCTTATAAGTTGCTTATAACTAAAAAGACCAGCTGGACCCAGGAGCTCTGAGGTTGCTTTCAGGCCTCTGTCCATCTCTTAGTTTTCCATCCTCAGACAGGCTCTGCCCTGCCTTACAGTCTAGCATTGTTGGCCAAAGGTGACTGACTGGCCCAGCTTGGGCTATATGTCCTTCCCTGTGGCCAGAGAGATGTGTCTCTGTGATGGCCAGGCTTGGGTCACGTACTCCCTCCCCTACCAGAATCACATGAAAAGAGGGAGGAAGAGCCGCTTTCCACCAAAGGAAACTGAAGTGCTATTGTCAGAGGGGTTGCTGGGCAGACCAAAAAGATGACAATATCTGCTCCAATCGCTCGGGTTGTTGGTGCTTGGCAGATTTGCCCCTACGTCACTTTTCAGATGTGGATAAGACTGAAGGTGACCACAGGCTTCCGAGAGGAAAGCTGCCAATGGGGGTGTGAGAGGAGGGGGAATTCTTACTCACCAAGGTTAACACTGTGCACACTGTTCTCCGAGGAAGTGGGAATTTCCACATGGTGAGTTCCCTTCCCTGTACAATGAATTACTATCTTGATGAGAAACCCGTGGGCAGCTGGTTGAGAAGAGAAAGGTATTCTCTGAATGAGAGGGAATTTACCACCTTCCTTTCAATGGTGACAGTTTTTTCTGGTGTCACCGCAGGGTGTGGATTGATTCATATACAAATATACATATCTACATAGATGCCATTCTGCTAGCCTCTGCAAAATGCATGCCTGGAGACCATTTCTGCTGCCTAGGAGATGTCAACTTTGTCACCACCACTCTCTCTCCACCACTCCCACACCCTGCAGGGGCCAGGTGTGTGGGTGGGGAGCTCCCCAGCTGGAGGCCAGATTAGAGGTCTCTGTGTGGTGGGGATGGGGAGGATGGGGTGGGAATGAGGTGGTAGGCCACTGGCAGTGGTCCAAGTTCCATCCAGGATCTGTCCTAGGCCTCTCCCCAGGCTGTCGCTTCCACCATTGAATTTCTAACCTGGATCTCTAAGGTTATGAATATCTCATTCCCGCATCCTGGGGTGCTCAGACATGTCTCCCCTGAGTCTCTAGCTGGGCTCGTGGCTGTGATCATTGTCCTCAGAGTTCCATCCTCCCAACAAAGGGACAGAAGAAACACAGGGCCCACTTTTCTGGATTCTGAGTTGGAGCCAAGAAATTCTATCTGCTGCTTCCTTCCTGTTGAATTATCCCCCAAGGACCCCTTAGTCCCTCCAGTCTCCTCCAGAGGCCTATAGCTGCCCCAGCTCCCCATGATGGATACCTGGCTCTTTCCTACCCAGAGGAAAACGCAGGCCCTTCCCCAGCCCTGCACTGAACTCCTGTGAGTGGCTGAGGAGATGAGGAGGTGTGAAGAGTGAGTGTGTTGGGGAGGGAGGGGTCCCCTGCCACCAGGTACCAAGGACTTCTGCCAGATCACCAGAACTGACACCTGGTTCCACCGGCCAGCTGTGAAGTGTCGGCCCTGACATCAACAGCTGACCTCCCACAGGGCCTAAGGAAACGGAATTGTGGGTAAATGAAACATTTTATTTATTTTATTTTGTTTTATTTTTATAAATTTTTGGGGAGACAGTTTTGCTATGTTGCCAAGGCTGGGCTTGATCTCCTGACCTTAAGTGATCCTCCTACCTTGGCCTCCTGTGCTGAGATTACAGGTGTGAATCACCATGCCTGGCCAAGAAGTGAATTTGTAAAAGACATGAGGAAAGGCCTGGTGGAAAGCTAACAGTGAAAAAAATTTTCAATACTTGCTATAGAAACTAAAGAAACTCACAATATTTTGCTCTCTATTGGATCATTTCCATCAACATACAAATAAATACCTGTTATTTTTTCCATCTTTAAAAAAATGCCTTCATTATAAGTGATTCAACAAATTAATAAACGAGAAGGGAAAAATCTTCTCTATAGAAGAATTCCAAATAGCATATGTAGATACTCTCCCCTCCAGGAAGCCGAGCTTAAATCCACTCTCTTTGAGAGTGGACTGGATTTAGTGACTCACTTCCAAAGAGTAGAGTATGGAAAGGGAAAATAGTAACTTTATAGGAAAGAAACCCAGCAGGTACCTTGTTAACCAAATGATGAAGGTTAACATCACCGCTGATAAGTCATGTTGCTATCATTCACCCGCTGATACGATCTCATGAGAAGGGCAATTCCCGACTGTGGTATTCTTCAAATCTATTGAGTTATAAGAAAACATGAGATAAACCCAAACTGAGGAACATTCTACAGAATACATGACCAGTATTCTTCAAAGCCCTTAAGGTCATGATAAACAAGGGAAGACTAAGAAGTGATCACAGATTGGGATGACTGAGACATGATGACAAAATGCAGAGTGATATCTTGGAACAGAAAAAAGACATTAGTGAGAAAATTCAAAAAACTCTGATTAGAGTTGATAGTTGGGCTATTAGTTTTATACCAATGTGAATTTCTTAGTTTTGACAAATATACGTGAGGGAAAGCTAGGCGAAGGGTATTCTGGAAATCTCTACCCTGTACTGTCTTTTCAACTTTTCTATGAATCTAAAGCTCTTCCAAAGATAAGTCTATTAAAAAAATAACAAAAACTTCCTCTAAAATTTAAAGACGGACAATATCAGGTGTTGATAAATCTGTGGAGAATTTGGAGCTCATACATTGCTGGTGAGAATGTGAAATTATGTAGTTATTTTGGAAAACAGTTCGGTAGTTCTTATAAAATGAAAGATACATCACTAAATGACCCAACGATTCTACTCCTTGATATCTACCCAGTAGGAAGGAAATGATGTCCGTACAAAGACTTGTATACAAATATTCATACCATTTTTCATCATAATGGCCCAAAACTAGAAACAACTCAAATGTCCATCAACAAGTAATGGGTAATCAAATTGCGGTATATATATACAATGAAATATAACTCAATATAAAGTAAGAAACTACTCATAGATACAGCAACATGGATATTTCTCAAGTATATGCTGAGCAAAAAAAGCCAGACACAGGAGCACATCCTATATGATTCAATTTATACGACATTTTAGAAAAGGCAAAACTAATCTCAGAGACAGAAAGCAGGTCTGTGGTTGCCTGGAGCTGCGGATTGGGGAGGGGATGATGGGAGAGATTGACAAAAGGAGCACAAGGAACCTTTTGGGGTGATGCTGGTAATATATATCTTGATTGTTGTGGTGGTTACATGGATGCATACATTTGTCAAAAATCATTAAACTGTATACTTCAAATTTATTATATGTAAATTATGCCTTAATAAAGTTGATTTTCTGAAAAGCTTTCTTTGATCCGTTTACCCTGCCAGCTCCCCTTTTGCAAGACTCCTGAAAGAGCTGCTGATACTCACTGTCTCCACTTCTACCCCATATGTTCTTTCTGAAGCCCACCCCAGCCAGGCTTCTATTCCCATCATGCCATGGAAACCATTCTCATCAAGGCGGCAGTGACCTCCGTGTTGCTAAATCCAATGGTTAGTTCCCATTTCCCAGTCACATTTCATTTGACCTGTCAGGAGCATTCCACACAGTTAACTCCTTTTTCTTCCTTTGGCTTCCAGGACACAGTAGTCTCTTGGTTTTCTGCCTACCTCTGATTACTCCTCCTCTGTCTTCTGTGCTGCTTCTCCTTACCTCTCCAACCCCTTCATGTCGGCTGCCTCAGGATTCCCCTTTCTGTGCTCCCTCCTCGGATGATTTCACCAAGTCCCAGGGCTGTAAATTCCGTCTATATGCTGAGAATTTCCAATATGATTGAGAAATTCTATCTCTAGCCCAGACCCTTCTCCCAAATTTTGACTCATAATTCCAAAGGCCTACTTGGCATTTCTCTTTGGTTGTTGAATAGACATCTCCAACCCAACGTGCCCCAAACCGAACTCCTGATCTTCTCCCTTAAACCTGTCCCTGCTGCAGCCTTTCCTGGGCTGGCATCTTGCAATTTGCTCAAATAAAAAAACTAGGAGTCATCCTTGACTACCCTTTCTCAGGCTCCACTAGCTCTACCTTCAAAATACATCCACAATCCATTGATCTTTCGGCATCTTCACTGCTACTACATTCAAAATCACATAGCAATTCTTCATTTTTCCCAAAATTAAAGCCAGTGCCCTGGCAATGGTCTGCAAGGCCCTAAATGATCTGCTTTCTCCTTCCCGACACCTTAGCTCTGTGAGTTCAGCTCCCAACACTCTCGCCCTTGCCCAATCTTCTCCAGATATTCAGGTCTTTTTGTAGTTTCCCCATCATGTCAGGTGTGCTCCCGCCCACCTGAGAGCCTCTGCTCTACCTGTTCTCTCTGTTTGGGGTACTCTCCTGGCCAACTCGCTCACTTCCTTCAACTCTGTGCATTCAGACTTCTCAAATCTCACCTTCACAATGAGGCCAGCTCTGACCGCAGAATTTAATGTAACCTGCCCCACTCCCAGCACTTCTTATTTCCTTACCTTGTTTTATTTTTCCTTTGTTTTCAGAGCACTCACCACTTTCCAGTACAGTATATTATTCAACCTGCTTGTTTATTTTGTTTACTTTTCATTGTCTATCTACTCAAAGGCAGGAAACTGCTTTGTTCACGGCTGTATCCCAAGTCCTAGAGTAGTGCCTGGCCCGTAGTAGCTGCCCAGTAGGTACTTGTTGAATGAAGTAATAAAGTTTCACCAGCAAGAGCAAACTTCCTACCTCTGGCCTATCAGCCCAGGTCTGAGCAGACTGATCCAGGAGACGACAGAGAAAAGGTGGATCTGGAGGGATCCTGCCCTGTCCCAGGATTGGGAGAATTGAGAGAGGCTCCGGATTCTTCTTCATTGTCTTTGGTTGTGCCTCGTGACCTCAGACAGACCTGGGCCTCTGGTTCGCTAGGCTGCAGCTGTGTGCTCAGAGCCACTGCCCACCGCTTAACGTCATAGTTCTCAGGGGACCTTCCAGGAATACTCAGAGGACATATGTCTGTGACTGCACTGTCCAGGGTACCAGCCACTGGCCATGTGGCTACTGAGTACTTATTTGGCCAGTCCCAAATGAGATGTGTTGAAACTGTAAAATTTCAAAGACTTAGTACAAAAAGGAATGTAAAATATCTCATTAATAATTTTAAATATTGATTACATGTCAATACTATTTTGGATATATTGAGTTAAATAAAATATATGATTAAAATGAAGTTCACTTCTTTCTTTCTTTTCTTTCTTCTTTCCTTTCTTTCTTTTTCTTCTTTTCTTTTCTTTTTTCTTTTTGGATACAGGGTCTCACTCTGTCACCCAGGCTGGAGTGTGGTGGTGGGATCATGGCTCACTGCAGCCTCGACCTCCTGAGCTTAAGCAATCCTCCCACTTCAACCTCCCAAGTAGCTGGGACCACAGGTTTGTGCCACCACACCTGGCCAAATTTTTGATATTTTGTAGAGATTGGTGGGGGGGTTTCAATATGTTGCCCAGGCTGGTCTCGAATTCTTAGGCTCAAACATTTCTCCCTCCTAGGCCTCCGAAAGTGCTGGGATTACAGGCATGAGCCACCATGCCCAGCCGCTTGTATCTTATTACTCTTTTAATGTGACTACTTGAAAATTTAAAATTATATAAGTGGCTTGCATTATATTGCTACAGAATGGTTCTGGTGTATGAGGAAAAACAACTCACATCTAGAAATCAAATCCCAAGACCCTGAAAATCCACATTTCCTAAATCCAAACTGATGGCTCCTTTATTTCAAATAATACTGAGATACAGTGAAATTTCATTAAGATAAAAGCCACTTCAGAATATGACTAATTCAGTTAATGAGGATTTCTTTAAAAGCTTTGGCTTTGTATCCTTATATCATCTTGTGATGCTTTGCCTGAGGGGCAGAAAGCCCTCACAAAACATTCATAGTCTCCTCCATTTGTTCCTCAGACATTTATTGAACTCCTACAGTATGCCAGGAGCTGGGTGAGGAGTGGGGGATTCAACAAGGCTGGCTCCAGCCTCCCTTCCCTAAGCTTCCCTCATAACATTGCACACGTGTTGGGTCGCCCACTGAGGTTCATGTGGGCAGCCACGGAATCGGGGGCTGGGTGCCTGATCGGACCTGGGCCAGCGTCAGTACAGGCCTGGAAGAGGAGCTCAGGAGCTTGGGCCCTGAGCTTAGGCCTGTGGGCGGGCTGCTGGCGTCCGGCAGGGTATTCTAGACCAAAGACTTGCAGGGTGAAGAGGTCTGCAGTATGCCACAGGACCATGTGGAGTATTTTGAGCTGAAGACATTTGAGAATCAACAGCTGCAGGAAGAGGCTCTTCCTGAACTCCCCTTATCTTCCTAAATGCAAAGCCTCCCCAAAGAATTCAACTATTATAAATCCTTTCCCGGGAATTTCACAAGAAGAGAAGATTGACTCTTATCATTGAAGAGAAGTCAACACAAGGCATCACCTGGATAAGAAATTGCCTGAACGGATATTGTTACAAAACTATCCCCACAGTTCATGGGGACAATACATACTTCCCGTGGACTCACCTAAGAAGCTATTTATTTTTCCTAAGTTGTTTGGTCATGTAGAAGTTCCCCTCTGCATCTGCCCACTCCCTGTTAAGATGGCATATAAGCCCCAGATTCTAACCTCCTCCTGGAGTCAGCTTTTGTGTGTGTGTGAACTCTCATGTACACACAAATTTGAACAATAATATGTTCTCTTTTTTTTGGAGGCAGGGTCTCACTGTCCTCCAGGCTAAAGTGTAGTGGCATGATCAGGGCTCACTGCAGCCTCGAACTCCTGGGCTTAAGTGATCCTCCTGCCTCAGCCTCCAGAGTCACTGGGATCAGAGGCATAAGCCACACCATGCCTGGTTTTTTCTTTTGCTAATCTGTCTTTTGTCAGTTTAATGTACAGGCCCCTAAATACTGAATGTAAGAGCACAGAAGAAAAGTTTTCCTCCCCAGCAATGGTCATGCACTGACACTGCACATGCTGCTCAGAGATCCGTGTGCTTTGTAGGCTAAGGGAAGGAGGCTTTGTGTTCTCAGTACTAAACGCAAGGGGTGCATTGACCCTGGGAACTGTTTTGGGGATGGATATAAGAGGCTGTGGGAGAGTTTCAGGAAAGATGAGTCTGAGAGCCTGGGGAATGCCGTAGAGCTGTGACTTCCTAGAGGCCAGGCCCGGGGGAGAAGGGTGCCCTAACAAAGCTAGGAGTCACAGGGGAGCAGGGAAGACAGAAAGGGGCTCAGTGGCCAACAGGACCTGGCACCAGGAAGACATGTAATGAAAGGAGGGGTGGTCTAGAGAGACTTTCTCCTATCTTCCAAGATTCTGTTATCTTGCCATATTGTTTTTATGGGATTAAAAAAATAAAGTGGGAGAATCCAGGGAGCAACATCTCTAGAAAAGTTGCCCCTGGATCTAAGCTCTCTGGCCCTGGTCTTTCCCAGCAGGGATGATTCCTTCCTGACTTGGGGCTGAAGATCTGGACTGGGAATTATATGCTAAGTTTCTCATGAAAAGAGCAATAAAATTTACCCTCTGTTTCTGCCTCTTTCTCACTGTGCCAAATGTAAAGAAAAAAGAAAAGAATAAGAAAAGCAAAAAGGATTCACTAGAGATTGCAGGGCTAGAAAGGGAATAAGAAATGAAAACAACAAAATGTTATTTTAAATTTGCTTTAACAGCAGCTCAGAGATGCAGGTCAACCATTTACGAGAGGGAAGTGCCTGATACTTCAGGGATGGACTCTGGGCAGGAGACAATTTAGGATGAGAACCAGGGAAAACACATCCCCTGCCAACTTGCCACTGGGTCACGGAGAGTCTCCTTGGGGAAGGGGGGTTGCTTGAGATCTTGCCAGAGCCATGCACACATCTATCTGCTGGCAGAAGCGGGCTGCCGGTGGCCATGGGTGGGAGTGAAGGGGCTCAGCCTTAGGGGCGGGAAGTCTTTTCTTCCACCCAAATCCATTGTCTGAGTGTGAAAGTGCTTTCCTCAGCTGCAAACTGTATTTATGGCTTCTCGGAATTTTCCGAATGAAGTAACTTTTTTCCCCAGACCGTTTTCTTCACAACTGAAATTGGATCCCCACAGTCCATGGAGACAAACAAAACAGCATGACATCACCCGCCTGGGAGTTGTCATTTCAGACACCACGGCAGCCTTTTGTTCAAGATCAAATGGATGTGATTTGCCTTGTGGAGGTGGCATCCTGCCCGGGCGGAGGAGGGGATGGTTCCTGGAGCTCCATCTTGAGGATCTGGGAGGCCAGGAAGACAGCAGGTGCCCGGGCTGCCTGCAGGGCAGGACTGGAGAGGAGGGGACAGGTGGTAGCAGGTCCCTCTGCCTCCTAACTGCAGAGCTTTGAGATGATGCTCCATGACACAAGTCGTGACGGAAACAGCCCCACCCAACAGGGACGCTGACGTCTGTATCCCTTCTTTCTTGCCTTCTGAGGCTCAGGAGCACAGGACACTGACCTAGAGATTAGATGGCCTGGATTCGGCTTCTGTCTTGCCTTGCAAAGCTTCCAAGCCTCAGTGTCCTTCTCTGTAAATGTGGGGAAGACAGATTAAAAAAAAAAAAAAATCCCAGTTCTGTTAAGCTGCAGAGATGTGCCAGGACCAGATACAATCATAAATATATAGAACCAGAAAGCACAGGCTTGCTTCTCCTCTGCCCATCTCAGCTCTCAACGCTCACAGGAAGGGTCCTGCCGCTTCACAACTGTCCTTGGCTTCCTATAGGGAAGGCTGGGAAGATTGGCAAGGACTGTGTTCAATGTCCTCTCGAGCTAATAATTAAGGTATTATTTAATGAAAGCTCAAAGAGCTGAAGCCATCTGGGAACCTAATCACCCACTGCCTGCAGGCCTGACCAATTACACAAGAATAGAGGTTGACCTGTCTTTCAGCAAATAAATGCTTCCTAATGCAGCACAGGGCAGAGCTCTAGATTGTGCTTGGCCTAAAGAGGAAGTAATCATATAATTACGCTGATTATTGAGAGCTGCTGTGCACCAACAACAGTGTTGAGCGGCTTACACATCGCAGCTGATCCCCTGGTTAGCATTACTATTCCCATGTAACAGATGAGCTGAGTCAGGAATATCCCCATTGAACAGATGGTGTACCTAAGGCTAGGGGAGCAGGGGTAGGTAACCTGCCCACTGACACTCCATCATAGTGTAGGCTGGGGATCCAAACCCAGGTCTGCCTGAGTGCGAGACCCCTGTGCTCACCACCACACTCTTCTGCCTCCCAGTCACAAAAGAGTGGGTGTTTATGACAAGGAGTGTCTTGTTTATTTTCTTATGTATCTGGTAAATGGTGAGGTAGACACCAAGTTGTGTGTGTGTGTGTGTGTGTGTGTCCTGTGGTGTACTGAGGGTAGGCATGTCATCTCATCCTTTCACATCTATTCTTGTAACTCAGAAGCACTGTGTTTCTCATTACTACTTATTTTATCCAAATTAAATGACAAAAAAAAATCATATACACATACCTATTTTAAAAGGTTGACATTGAAATAAGTTGACTGTCTGTATTTATTCCATGGCTGGGAATGTTATTTGAGCAGTTGTAAACCAATAAACCAAAGTTAGGCTGTTGGCTGAGTCATTAGGGCTCCATTAAAGACAATGAAGAATTTCGGCTGGGCATGGTGGCTCACGCCTGTAATCCCAGCACTTTGGGAGGTCAATGCGGGCAGATCACTTGAGGTCAGGAGTTCGAGACCAGCCTGGCCAACAATGGTGAAACGCCATCTCTACTAAAAATACAAAAATTAGCTGGGTGGGGTGGTGCATGCCTGTAACCCCAGCTACTCGGGAAGCTGAGTCAGAAGAATTGCTTGAACCCAGGTGGCGGAGGCTGCGGTGAGCCGAGATTGTGCCACTGCACTTCAGCCTGGGTGACACAGTGAGACTCCATCTTAAACAAACGAACAAAAAGACAATAAAGAATTTCAATCAGTAGGAGAAAGGGGGAAAGGAGGCTCTGCCACATAACTCTGGAATTGGAATAACTTCTTTATTGTGAGAATGAATGAGCCTGTTTATTTAACAGAAACTGCATTCTGAGTAAGGTCAGGTGTTTGGTCTGTAGAACAGCATCATTTCGAGGGTGGGGAGCTCCAGGACCCTGCTATTTATAGCATTCTCTGAGCCAGGTGCAGGCAGCAAGGCAGCTGCTTACCTTCAAGCCTCTCTTCCACCTGCAGCTCAAGGCTAGGGCAGGGCAGGCCTTGGAAAGGTATAGAATTAGAAATAAGATAGGACAGAGCTCTTTCCACTGGGGACTGGGACTGGCACTTCCCAGAATGAGAATTCCAGAATGATGACCGGACAATAGCTGAAGTTATTCATTGAGGATGTAGTGCATTCCTGTTTCTTGTGACCAACACATACTTTTTGAAGATTATAAGAAGTTTAGTGGATTTCTGAGCTCAGCCATTAGAACTCTTTTGTAATTAGGCAAGATGATGTCACCACAGTTCTAGGGTCTTATAGTGTCAAAAATCATGACAGAACCGTTTCATGCTTCCTAAACAGAAAAAAATCTCAACCAGAAAGAAAATATAAGCTTCCATAATTCTCACTGACTCTTAGTTCTGAGAGTAGTTCTATTAGAGGAATATCTTTTGAAAGAATTTTGCAATTGTGACTACCAATATCTGAATTTTTACTCATGGAACTCAATCAAAATCATCCTCTTGAGTGTCACAGGATGTGCATTGGGCATTGTAAAATTTCATGATTGGTTAAAACGTATACACTTCCCTGTTCAATGTAAACCTGAGATTGGCTGGTTCGGGGGTTAGAAGCCCAGGCATTTTCCTTCTCCCATTACTGGAGAGATCTCTGGGCTCTATTGAGGCTTTCTTGAGAAGAGACTGCTAGAGTTCCTGAGATGATGCCTGGAAGGTTCTATGGGGTCTTATAAGGCCACTGCTATGAAAAACCATGAACAGGATTTGTAATTGATAATGTAGTTATACTTCCTCAACATATCAGAAATTTTGAGATAGTATGTAGATGAGTTGACCATAAGAAGCTGGAGTTTAGTCAATAAAACACATATAACATACATTGAGTCCCTACAGAGCACCAGGTCCTTTCAGATGTGGGTCTTCCTTCAAAGAAGCACCATGGACGGCATAATAGTTGAGCACAAAATCACTGGAGTGAGTTAGGCAGAATCTGGTTTCAAAAATGACTCTACTCCCTGACTTTAGGATACATACTTAACTTCTTAAGCCTCACTTTCTTTATGGGGATAATAACAGTATCAACCCTGGTAGGGCCTGGTACACATGCAGTACTTAAATAATACAGTTATTATTTGTATTAATCGTGATAGGTCTGTGAGGTTCCTATTATTTGTTTTAAACATGAAAACAGATTCAGAAAATGTATTTGATCAAGGTCAGTTCATATTAAGTTGGGATTTGTTGGCTCCAAGTCTACGTGTTTTCTTGTATAACCACAGCCTCCACTGTCTGATCCAAAATTGGAACTTACCTAAAATAACAAATAAATTTGGATTGTTCAATAAGGTGAAATATAGAACTGTTAGCTGGTTAAATATGACTGCCTTTCCCCCAAATCAGGGGATCTACAAAGAGAATTACCCAAACTTAAGTTATAGTGTAAGAATGCAAAAGCACTTTTGGGGTTAGGGTAACATTTAAGGATCTCTAAGTTTTATTTTCTCCTAAACTTGAATCACAGTCTAAAAGAACAGACTGTGCTGGTGGAATTGTACTAACTAGGACTATCCAAAGTAAGTTACAGATTTTTGCCAGCTTTCTGTGCCAGTGACCTAGAAACTACTTCAAAACCTATTTTTATTTCTTATGGACTGAAATTTCGGTGAAACAGTCCAGACAACTCTGACCCAGAGTCTTCAAATTTAGAAATTAATCCCCAAAGAAAGGGAGTAACTTTTATTGTGGCAGAGAATAACCTTCTCATAGCCCAATCACAGGAAGAAATAACTAACTCTTCAATGCCACATTTCCTATTTGCAATTTATGATATGAATATGCAAGAGAATTAGGCTAGCAATTATTCTTGAACCTCTAAAAAGTAATTTGGCCTAGGGACACATAAAAACACAAAAGCATTCTGTAAAGCTGATGTTGCATACCATAAAATTGTAAATGTACATAAAGGGATACTGTGAAAAAGAGGAAAACCATTGAAATTTGCCAAGATGTATCTATCCATAAAATATGCAAACATTAATTTGTAATGATTCCAGCAAATATTTATCTATTTTTAAAAAAAAAATTAGGAGATTTACTATTGTGCATTTTAAGCTGAAATTTCCCTAGGTCAGAGCTTACGTTTAAATTGATTCTTAAACTAATTCAGACATGAAAAAATAATCCAAGTTAAAAACAACAAAACAATAATAAATCTTTAGGGAAAAAAAGGGAGAAGACTCTATTGAACATCCTGAAAAGTGATTCCTAAGCAGAAACAGTGATAGTTTTATCCTGAGTGTGGGTTATTCCTCCATCTTCTTTTTTTTTTTTTTTTTTTTTTGAGATAGAGTCTCACTCTGTCACCCAGGCTGGAGTGCAGTGGTGCAATCTCGGCTTACTGCAACCTCCACCCCTGGGGCTCAAGTGATTCCCAGAGCTCAAGTGATTCTTGTGTCTCAGCCTCCCAAGTAGCTGGGACTACAGACACGTGCCACCACACCCGGCTAATTTTTGTATTTTTAGTAGAGATGGGGTTTCACCATATTCGCCAGGCTGGTCTCAAACTTCTGACCTCAAGTGATCCAACCACCTTGGCCTCCCAAAGTGCTGGGATTACAGGAGTGAGCCACCACACCCAGCCTTATTCCCCCATCTTTACACATATTTCATTGCCTTTTCAGAGATGCTTCTAAAGATGTGGAAAAGGATACAGAGAAAAACATATTGAAGAGCTTAATTAATACCTTGAAGACATCTCTGGCACACTGGAGAACCAGGCAGTAAATGTTTTTTTGTTTTTGTTTTTGTTTTTTTAAATGCCATCAAAAAAGGCATTTTATAATCCCAGGGCTTAAGTTGACAAATGTTCCTGCAACCATTGATCTCCTCACTTGAATCAAAAGTATGCAGCGGACAATGAGCTTGAATATATAATTGCTTCGCTGTTAAGAAAAGTACTGTGACTAGCCAGTACAAAATGTGGTAACATCATGCCTGCTCTTGAAACCCCGGGGCCTGTTGCTCAGCTTCCTCACGGTATTTCCATGGTGCAAGGTGCTTTACAGAGAAAGTGCATTAACCGAAATGGATTTTTTTTGAGAAGTGGCAAGATTTCTCAAAAGAAAATTGTTTATCAAGAGAAGGTAAGTTTAGAGTGAGTCTCCTGTTGACACACAAATAGAAACTAGGTTACAGAAATCCACATCCTCAGCTATGACTATCAGCTTGATGAAAAGATCAGTCTGTATTTGGCCTAACTATGAAAGTACACAGAACACAATACTGACACAGTCTATCTTTAGGTATTTCACACCAGACTCTTGTAATTTTAATATTTAGAATGGCACGCTGAGGTGCGGGGGAGGGGGGGGGCGGTGATGGCAGCGTGTGAGGGAGGGGCAGTATGGAAGAGGGAAGAACAACAGACTGTATCTGGATTCAAATAATGGTTCTGCTCCTTTCCTAAGAATGGGACCACAGTCATTCAGTTCCCCTTGGTCTCCCCAACCCTCTCCACTCCAGATGACTTCTAATGCCCCATCTCTAAAATTCTGTGATTCCAGTAACTTGTTTTTGTTTTTTTTTTTTTTGAGATGGAGTTTCACTCCTGTTGCCCAGGCTGGAGTGCAATGGCATGATCTCAGCTCACTGCAACCTCCACCTCCCAGATTTCAAGCAATTCTCCTGCCTCAGCCTTTCAAGTAGTTGGGATTACAGGCATGCGCCACCATGCCCAGCTAATTTTGTGTCTTCAGTAGAAATGGGGTTTCTCCACATTGGTCAGGCTGGTCTCGAACTCTCGACCTCAGGTGATCCACCCGCCTCGGCCTCCCAAAATGCTGGGATTACAAGTGTGAGTCACTGGCCCCCAGTAACTTGTTAATGTTCATTTTTCAGGCTTCATTCAAATGATTCATTAGAATGCTAGAATAGAACTCAGGTCATTTGATTTCCATAGTTTAGAATAATATCGGCTTATTCAGCTGAACATAAATCCTTTTTTGGAACACAGAAAGACACAAATAAGGTAAACTGACATTTCCAGGTATGCTAGAAACCAAGACTGCATTTTGAATATGAGGCAACAAAGTATTGTTTCAAATTGCAAAAGGTCAATACATTTTCTGCTGTTATGTTCCAGAAATCAAAAAGTAATTTTATGGTAGTCCTATCAATTCACACTAATAGCTATCTAACTATCCACCCCCCCATCATAATCTAAAAACAACTTAAGTAGGCTAAAGTGAATATTTAGAACAAGAAAATAAAACTAAAGATAAGGATTTAAAATAAATAGGAATGAGGTTCTAGTAATCATCATAATGACGTACATTACAGTTGCTTGTGGTGAAACCCAAATTTAGCATTAAGCTTTTCAGCATCCAGTGTGAAAGATGAATTCTACCTGATCAATTACGCAACTCCTAGAGAACATAAATTGAAAGTAAAGTAACTGCTCAGCAGAAATACAGTTGTGCGTGTTAAGAAACAAAAGTTCCTTGTCAGGGGTCTTCATAAAGAATGGTGCCAACAGCATCCTCAGTAGCTTTCCTTTATAGATCCAATGGTTAAATCCACAGAAGACAATTTTCACTTCAAGACAATTGCATCACAACTAAGTAGACAGGCATCACAGCAGGATGGTGACAAGAGACCCCGGTCCCATACTGCCTGAGTTCAAATCCCAGCTCTGCCGCTTACTGGCCGTGTTACCTTGGGCATGCTATTCAACCCTGCCTCAAATGCCTTAGTTTCTCTAATGGTGAGGTGGGGACAATAATAGCATTTGTGAAGATTGAGTTAATAAGTATAGCATTACCACTTATTAATGAAGAGCTCAGTAAAAGCAGTTGGGCTGGGCACTACTATTAGCACAGTTCAAGTACCCAGCTCTCCACTGACCTGACTTGAACTCAAGGCGGTTTCTACAACAGTGTGGTCCCAAAGAACTTCCTGTAAAAATGGAATCTTCTTTACCTTTGCTGCCCAAGAGTACCAGAAATGTGGCTAATAAAGAAATGAATTTCTAATGTAATTTAAACAGCCACAGGTGGCAAGTGGCTACTGCATTGGACAGCATATAGAAAATTTTCAACGTTGCCAAGTTTGATTGGACAGTGCTGCTCTAAAACATCCTCCAAGCAATATTCTCTAAATACTGTTATCAGCTAAGCTTTTAATGAGTGTTGGGTAGCAAGGAACTCCAGATTGTAGTCCTTGACATCTAAGGAGTGTGGCCAAATCTCTGTCCCCAGGTGAATGTAGACACCTATGCCTCTGGCTATGGAGCAGTCTGGTTGTGCTGTGAAAAGTCAAGAATGAGTGGCTGAACAGAATGCCAGCCTATGTGTGCTTTGAGGGGAGCCAAGGCCAAGATCCCCCCTTAGAAAATTGTTTTGAATCTACTTGGAGCACAAAGGAATTAACCTCATCCCAAAGTTCTATTTTAGCACAGCTGGAATTGCTTCGGCCTGAACAATTTTAAAGGTGTTTTAATCAGATACTGGCCTCATTTTCCCCAAATGTTCTATTAACTTTGGGAAAAGCTACTTCCTGGTGTTCACTCCAAGATAAACTATTTGGAAAAGGTACATCAAGATGACTACATAAGGCTGGGCGCAGTGGCTCACGCCTGTAATCCCAGCACTTTGGGAGGCCGAGGCAGGCAGATCACTTGAGGTCAGAAGTTCAAGAACAGCCTGGCCAACATGACGAAAACCCATCTCTACTAAAAATACAAAAATTAGCCAGGCATGGTAGTGCACACCTGTAATCCCAGCTCCTAGGGAGGCTGAGACAGGAGAATAGCTTGAACCTGGAAGGCGGAGGTTGTAGTGAGCCTAGGTCACACCACTGCACTCCAGCCTGGGTGAAAGAGTGAGACTCTGTCTTAAAAAAGATTAAATAAGCTAAGCTATAGAATGGCTCCCAGATAAGTAGGAGTTAACAACTGTCAAAATCAATAAAATGATTTCACATAAATTATGTAATAGAAACACAAAATAAAGGGAAAGAAATTTATAATAAAATGTATATTTCAATATGTAAATGCTCAGGCCCAGCTACATTAGAAGAAACAACGAAGTCATTACTATCTGTAATAGAATTATGTTGATGACTTAATTATAAGTAGCACTGCTGTCAATAACAAGATTTTTGAAAAGCGGTGCAATTCTTGATAAAGTTTTGAACAAAATGAAGTCGAATCTTCCCTTAATTATCTCGTGGTTGTATTCTTGGAAAATTCATGATACATTAAAACTATATACCAGGCCGGGTGGGGTGGCTCACGCCTGTAATCCCAGCACTTTGGGAGGCCGAGGCGGGTGGATCACGAGGTCAGGAGATCGAGACCATCCTGGCTAACATGGTGAAACCCCGTCTCTGCTAAAAAATACAAAAAATTAGCTGGGCGTGGTGGCACGCCCCTGTAATCCCAGCTACTCAGGAGGCTGAGGCAGGAGAATGGCGTGAACCCGGGAGGCAGAGCTTGCAGTGAGCCAAGATTGCACCACTGCACTCCAGCCTGGGCGACAGAGCGAGACTCTGTCTCAAAAAAAAAAAATAAATAAAATAAAAAAATAAAACTATACCAAATAATACCTTGTTTTAAAATGTGAAATGGTTGGGTTTTAGGTTCAGATATCTAAAATTGTTTGTTTTCTAAACACACGAATGTCCAGCAGAACATTCAAGAATCATGTGGGATTTAGAACAATCCTTTGTTAGACTAAACTGTCCCATGCACTGTGGGATGTAAAACAACTATGGTCCCTGCCCACTGATTGCCAGGAGTGGCCCTAATCACTTCTAAAACCATTAGTCCAAGCTCAACATATGAATTCTACCAACCCCACCCCTGCCAATGACTGGTTCATCAATCCAGGCCTAAGTCAACCTGTGTAAGGGTACTGGTTGGTTTGAGAATGGGGTACATGATATCATGTCAGCCAATGAAACAGCTTGTTTGCATCAAAGTTTCCTACGAGGGAGTCACAGGAAAGACGGTCTCTTCTCTATGTGGTGATAAATGGATGTGATGTCTAAAAATTCTGTACTCATTGCAGAACCAGCTGGAGGAAGCAGCCAACAAGGAGGGCAGGGCAAGAGCACAAGGGAACTGGGCTAAAGATTCTGGATGATGTCACCCTTGGGGTCAACCCTACCTTTTTATGTAAACGGGCTTTATGTAACTGGACTTTCAGTTACATAAACAAATACATTTCCTATGGGGTAAGCCGTTTTGAATTCGGATTTTGGTTCCTGCAGCTGAAAGCACTTTGATACATGCATAAACAATTTCACAAGTCAAAGACTGAGGCCTGGTTTTGAAATAAAAACATAGAAACCAAAACAGCAGCAGTGGCAGGTGAATATTGTTCCTGGGCTTCTACACGAAGTGGTAAACCTGTGGCAGGTGCTGCTGATCGGAAGCCTGCATGCTCCACAGGTGAGGGGGCTCCACACTGCCAGCCTGTATAGTTCGTTCATGAAGCTACAGGCGCACTGTGGAAGGAGGACCAAGCACAGCTCACACCTGCAGCTTGTTGCGGGGGATGCATAAAAGGCAAAGAGCTATTCAACCTGAAAAGAAAAAATATAGCTACAGGTATAAAAGCAATGCTATAAGTATTTGTGTACCAAGAGCTCTACAGGATGCTCTGTAGACAGATGGGGTTATAAAAATAGACTAAGTCCCTGCTCTCATGAAGCTTACAATTAAACAAGTTAGAAAGAAAATCATGTTTACAGAGAAACGGATCAAGGAATGCAAAATACAAGTAATAAAACTGAGTGTGGTAAGTGGTGGGGAAAGGAGGGGTTGGGAAGGAGGCAGTCAAGTACGGTTAACTATGGAAGACTTTCTGACAAGCCAGGGTTGGAGCTTGAATATTAAAGCTTCTACCACTGGGAAGATGTGTAAGAAAGGAAAAAAAGTAAGTATATAGGACCACGAGTGGAAAATTTAGTAATGTCCTGCTGAAATGGTATCAGGCGAGGTTCTGGATAAATATGGTTCCATTTCCAGATTCATGAAAGACAGCGGGACAGGAGGAAAGCACAAGCATAATTGGGGCTGGAGCCTCAATCTGGAATCCCTCTTCCACCAGGTCCTACCTGTTTGACCTTGGACAAGTTACTTAGCCATCCCTGTGTCCATTTTCTCATCTTATAAACTGGGGTCATGTAGTGCTCAAGGGGGCGTAGGGTAAAACTTGCATGCTAAAAACTTGCATAATTGGGAGGGGCTTAATTGTGGTAGTTATGATCATCACCCTTAAATCTACGAGCAATTCACTCAAATTAATTTCACAGTATTTATAAGGCAAACATATATGAAACTCAATATACCTAATACATTAGGTTTGAAAAAAAGCTGTGTTTTAAAAAGCAGCTAATTGCAATCCATTACAAAATCCCCAAATTAAAACTATAATACACTAAAAAAAAAAAAAAAAAAGAGAAATCGTGATTAAGGGATATATAAATACATTTATTGGTGGTATTCCTGAATGATGAATGCAGAGAACAGAATACAAAGAAATCAGCACATAAAAGGAACCATTAATCTTTAAAAATGCTATATACTTACATTTTGACCAATTTTGCATATTTGTTTAGATTTACAAACAAATGTAAAGCTAATTCCAAAGTTTTCTTCTGAATATACTTCAAATTTGAATTGTAGTGTTCTCCATTCCAAAGCCAGCTGTTTTTTGCTGGATTTACACCAACTATGATTTACTTTGTTTGTATCTAACCTAAAAGCAAGACTCTGCAAGCTGATCCTGAAGCAGCCAGTTACTCAGGAATTTTACAACAGCTATTAAAGAGAGGATAAAGCCACATGAAAGAGCAAGCCTCAATACTAGATACATAGATACAAGAGAAAATACCAAGAAGCAAAAAGAATCACAGAAATACCAATTCTATTCTAAAGCATAATTTCTAATTCTAGCAGCAATTCAATTAGCAATAGCTTAGGTGCCTTTATTCCAAAAAACAAAACCATTAGTTCTTTCACTACAATTTCCTGACTTTACCCAATAAATAATTATCAAGCCTTCATATTCTTTTTTAACCACTCAAGAACATAATTCATACATTACAGAATCATTAACAAAAGAGGCCTTCAAACATACTGCTGAAAGCTGCAATATAGTTTGAGGGCCAGATTTCAATTTACATAATATTACCATTCATAAAGAGTTTATGACACCCAGTACGATACTGTCCAGCACTGTTAACTCAGAAATGCTCCATCCATTCTTGCCATCAGAGAATTACAGATATGGATGGGATTGTTAAAAGTCTAACAGGGCCTCCAAATAGGATTGCACATGAAATAATTATGAACTATGATAAAACTGTGACAACACAGCTAGCTTATAGAACTGAGTTTTTCACTATAATAGCACTACAGAATTATGACAGTTAAATATCAGAATTATTTTTCCCTGCTAACTATTCAGTAGAAAAAGGATTTTCTGACTGTAATTCTGATGAACTGTTATCTTTGATGACTAGGATACTCGGGAAAATTGGAAAGTGAACAAAATGAACTCATTTATTTTTCACAGATATTAACAAGCAAAGCAGTTTACAAAAAGATCAAAAATTATCCTAAAAACAAATAAATATAAGATCAAATCAATTATCTTTGAACAAAATATAGCTCATTTTCAAAAGTTTTGTTTGGTTTGTGACTAGACTTAAAAATACTAAAATAAGCCAAATAGATGCTAACAATACTAATTTGCACACAAGATTTGAAAAAAGTACTTCAAGTTTTATCTCTTATCCCTAGAGAAAGTAAATAAAAAGTGGCTCTTGCAAAAATAAATGAAAACAAAACCACCAACAAAAACTAATCATATAAGATACTGTTTTTCTTTTTGAATACTTCAATTGGTCCTATATTAGGATAAGGTTTTGATAGCAAGGACTTCCTAGCTTCTTCCTTTATCTTCCATTCTCTAGTCACTTCCGTGTTTTTATCAAACAAGGCTACGTGTAGGCTTTCCTACAAAGTCAGGTTGAGTCAGAGGTAGCGTTAGGATGCAATATACTTGATCATAGTATGTAGTTAGTTCAAATGAACACATCATTATCTAAAAGGATTACAATAATTAAAAATGCAAAAAGAACATGTACTGCCCTCACTGCTTTGCGCTAAGAAAAATTCTGAGAAACTGAGAACAAACATTGGAAGCCAGGAAACAGGCAATTAATTGCCTCATCTTCCATGAGCTCCTTTAATGCACCAGTTCAGGCTGGTTTTCCACGAAGGGTAGCACCCCACTCACATAATAAGCAATGCCAAGAGACAGCAAAGCAATGACGAAGATCAACAGCAATACTCTCCAGAAGCCCAGATCCTCCACAAACTCCTGCCACGTGGTTCGGAAGCTGGAGAGGACTCCTTCACCTTGCTGCAGGTTGGGATTGAGGAGTGAATGGCTTTCCATGGCACTGTGGAAGAAGAAAGAGCAAAAAGGGCATTAAAAAAACACAGCAATTCCAAAAACATAAAACCACAGGGCTACTATTTAGAAAAGACCAAATACACACACACACACACACACACACACACACACACACACACATATATATATATACACACTCTTACATGCTTACGTATCTGAACAATATATACTAAACTGTAAATTGCTAAATGGTAATGAGTATGTTTCTCTTGGTTTAGAATTTAGTAAACTCAAGTTAAAAATTCTATTTAAAAGGTCCTGGCTGGGCGTGGTAGCTCATGCCTGTAATCCCGACACTTTTGCAGGCCAAGGAGGGAGGATCACTTGAGCCCAGGAGTTCGGGACCAGCCTGGGTAACATAGCGAGACACCATCTCTATTTTTTTTTAAGGTGTCCTGAGCAGAAGTCTTGAAATAGGTTATGAGTTGTCTCCATCAAGATATTAAACCACAACACATTCTTGTTATGTTAAATTTAGAAGATTCAAAGTGCAGACTCATAATTTAAGAATGTGTTAATACGAATAAGCAGACATGCAGGTGATGACACCTGAAGAGGACAGTCATCTACAAGTCAAGCAGAGAGGCCTTAGAAGAAACCAACTTTGTGACACCTTGATCTCAGACTTCTAGGCCCTAGAACTGAGAAAGTAAATGTCTGTTGGGGGGAGGGGGGAAGATGAGTAAATCTAAAAAGTCACTTATACAGTGTGTGTGAATCTTGAAGTTAAAAGGGAATTTTTATTAATTTAGTTCAATAATCTGACCAATGAAGGAATTCCTTCTTTAATTGTAATTCTCTAATAATGGAAGGTTACTCCTCAGCCTGTTGTACATGTGGACTCGTCTAGTCATCAGAAATTCTTTTTTTTTTTTGGAGACAGAATCTCACTCTGCCGCCCAGGCTGGAATACAGTGATGCGATCTCAGCTCACTGAAACCTCCACCTCCCCAGCTCAAGCAATCCTCCTGCCTCAGCCCCCCAGGTAGCTGGGACTACAGGTGCATGCCACCATGGCTGGCTAATTTTTGTATTTTTGGTAGAGACAGGGTTTCGCCATGTTGCCCAGGCTGGTCTTGAACTCCTGAGTTTAGGTGATCCACCTGCCTTGACCTCCCAAAGTGCTGGGATTACAGGCATGAGCCACCACAGCTGGCCTAGTCATTAGGAATTCTTAATAGTTTCTTCCTATTGGTGTTAGTTCTATCTTGTACAGTAAGACAGAATATGTTCATTTCTCTTCTGCATAAAGGCTAGTCTAGTTGAAAATAAGGTAGTGCAAATACCATAAAAACACTGATTCTGGTTTTCAGAACTTTATCAATGAGAAATACGACTACCACAAAGAGAAACTGCATCTGACTTTGGTACTTGGAAGCACTAAGGGAAGAGCACTCATGGTTATATCACAACATACAGGCCCAATAAGAGGGTATCATTTAGATTAAAGCCACCATAACCATGATCATAGGAATCAACTATCTACTGGTTATCAAAGTTCATTACTATCCTTCCTAACTCCCATAAAACAGTATCTTAGAGTCTCATTCATTATGAACTATGAATAAACATGCAAAACTGACATTTTTTAACCTACAACTTTATTTTACTTCTTGATACCATCAAACAAAAGTCCTTCAGCCTTTACCAACATTAGAGGTCTTCTCTGATCATGGGAAACTGACTTCCTAATGGGCCAGTCTGCTTAACACCCAAACTTTTTTTTTTTTAATAATTAAAACATGTTTATTCTCTGAATAAGAGATGATGTTTTCAGTGGGAATCTACAACACCACAGTAATTTTGGAACACTTGACAGCAAGTTTAAAAATAAGATTAGAACTTTGAGAAGGCCTAAAAGAGTAAAACCACAAATAGATAACACAGTTCTGCAGAGGCTTAGTTTGACCTATGTAAAATTTATTGATTACGAGTTGACATGCCCTTATACATGTTAGGTATAAAATGAAAATTCCATGAGCATTCTCATTGTTCTTCAGAGCTCATGAAGCTCTGCCAATCGGGATATTCTATAAAGACTTTATCCAATGAAATGCTTTCTACTGTCCAGGGAATATCTGATTCTAACATAATGGGGTGTGTGTATAATCTTTTTTTAAAAACGTGATATCTACACTGTCTTTGGGGGGTGTGTTTGCATGTATCTTTTTTAAAAAATGTGATAGCTATACTGTTTTTGTTATCCCATACCTACAAAGTAAAAAGGAATTAAACTTAGAGTTATATGGAGGAGTGGGGAAATATTTTTCATTAACTTGATTTATAGTCCCTTATAAGGCCTGCAGAAGTTGTGCTGTCTTGGGGGAATCCTAAGAGAAATGGAAAATATTATAGTAAATACATTTAAAACCCTGCTTTATCTTCTGCTCTAGAAAAAGCCATTACACAATTATGCCATAATGCCATGTGCTAGCCAATCTCTTTAAACTTTTTCATCTACATTTATTGAGACATAATTCACATCCCATAATATTTACCTTTTGAAACTGTACAATTCAGTGGCTTTTCATATATTCCCCAAATTGTACAACCATCTCTTCTAATTCCAGTACACTTTCAGCACCTCTATAAGAAACTCTGTACCTATTAGCAGTCACTCCCATTGCCCCTTCTCCCAGCTTCTAGTCTACTTTCTCATCTACTTTCTGTCTCTATGGATTTGCTTATTCTGGACATTTCACATAAACAGAATCATGTAATATGTGGCCTTTTGTGCCTGGCTTCTCCAATGTAGCATGTTTTCAAAATTTATCCATGCTGTAGCATGTATCAGTATAATATAATAATATTAGTAATATTCCATTGGATGAACAGATGATGTTTATTCCTTCATCAGCTGATGGATATCTGGGTGGTATCAATGTTTTGGCTATTATGAATAATGCTGCTATGAACATTCATATATAAGTTTTGTGTGGACATATGTTTCAATTTTCTTTGGTATATTCCTAGAAGTGGCACTGCTGGTCAGATGGTAACTCTACGTGTAGCTTTTTGAAGGACTGCCAGACTTTTCCAAAGAAGCTGCTCTACTTTCCATTCCCATCAGCAGTGTATGAGGGTTCCAATTTCTCCACATCCTCCAGAGCACTTGTTATTATCTATCTTTTTAATTGCAGCTATCCTAGTGGGTGTGAAGTGGCATTTCACTATGGTCCTCATTTGCATTTTCCTAATGACATTACCTTTCAACTTTCTGATTTAAGCTTCAACCACTGAATTTCTACCATGACACTGAGGGGTAGGAGTAAGATAGGAAAACTAGGTAATAAAAGTGTTAATAACTCAATTTTTGAAAAACGAGCTTTATACAGTGTTACAATTAATACAAACTCTCATGCTGCAGTGAAATGGCAGGTATGTGAAGGAAGCAGGAGTACTTCCACTGCTCATCCAATGGAATATTATTTTGTACTTATCACTTCTTAGTAAGTAATCACAACTGAGGCAAACTAATGCTAAAAGTATATTTCTAATAAAAGGGTGCCAAGAAACTGGCTATTAACAAAATAAAGATCCTAAAAATATACCAAACAAGAACACATTCTTGGTTGTTTTTCATGGTAAAGAAGCTTAAAGTACTTAATGTTATTTCATAAAAAGATAAAAATAAATTTCAAGTTATCTTAGAGGAAAAAATCTTTAACAAATAATAGTTAACTCAATATTGTTAAAGTGCTTATGCCATTCTGTCAATCCAAAGTACAGAGGAGAGAAAAACAAGGGCTTGCAAATACATCTCTGACTTCTTGATTATCTATTTGTCAGCTTTCAGTGATCACTCAAGAGGAGTATGCACTGTTCCAGAAGTAAAGCTCTTGGATTTCTTTAGGACTGTATTAAAGTGCTTGAAAGTATCTGAACAAAATAGACCTAAGCTTGAGAGTGGAATTAATGGTCCCCAAAGAGCACATCATCTGGCACACGAGAGGAGGAAAGCAAAAATGGGTACAAAGGAATCAAATGAAGGGTAAGCTATGAAAAACAGAGAGGATTTCATTTAGAACTCACAGAAACAATGATCCCAATGGTCTAAGTGGATTATGTGATTCTAAATCCAAGTCCTAGTCCATCAGCTACTAGGTAAACAGCTGATGTGGGCCCTTGCTTATTCTATTTACAACCTACCGAGAATACTGGGAAGAGGCTATGGAAGCTCAGCATCCTTTTTCCTTCACACGTATAATGTGGAAGGCTGAAACTGCATGGTGGTCAACCAGATAATATGCTACTAGAACTAAGTCTGGCCTATTAACTTTACCTGTTGAGCCCAGTGACATCAGGAGAAAAGATGGTGCGCCACCTTTTTGGAGCTCTCTGAACTGCATTCTCCATTGCTTCTAGATGAGAAATGATGAGCTATTCAAGACCCTGTCAGTTACCACATCTTAGCTTCGATTACTCACAGGAATCCAAATTTCATTAGCTCCAACTCATATGAAAGTCACTTTCACTTTCACATTACTGAACTGTGCATGTGTTAAATACTATCTTGCTTTCCCTCTCTTGTTTTCTTGTTTCTCAGCATTCCACTTCCCTACCCTTGAAACTACCTTTCAGTCTTTTCTAAAATTGCCCAAGTTCTTGGCTTTACTTATACTTCTCTTTTTTTTGAAATTCCATTCTTTTTGTGACCTGTACTTAAAATCATCAAGCTCCGGCTTCCTCCCCTCAGATTCATTTGTTACTATTTCTCCTTTGTACTGTCAATACAGCAGGTGGCTAACAGAACATTATGCGCACATGACATGTAGTACTTTCTGTTAATAGCTTCTCAATTGTAATCTGCAGTCATAAGGTCCTATATAAAGTTCAAGTTGCACTTAAAAGCAAATGAATATTAAAGTTCACAAAGTTAACCATAAATCCACATACTTAAAGTGACTTTCCCCTTAAAAAATCGTATTATCTTGCTGGGTGTGGCTACATGTGCCTATAGTCCCAGCTAGTCAGGAGGCTGAGGCAGGAAGAATGCTTGAGCCCAGGAGTTCAAGGAATGAGTAATACAGTGAGAAAAAAAAAGTTGTATCTCCAGTACCTTTCACTCTCAGCTGTTTGCATGGTCTCCAGTTTCGAGTGGGTTCCTCTGTTAAATCCTTTCACCTCCTGTTCTTCCAAAGATTCCAGCAATCGGATGACATCTTTATTTACTCCTCTGCGCTTTGCCAGAACTAAAGGGGTAGCACCTTGATGATTGCTAAAAAAAAAAAAAAAAAAAAAAGTTTATAAAAATAAAGAAGCCATCATAGCAGTTATACTACATTGTCAGTTCCATTTTTAGTACCCACTTATATAGATCTCAGTGAAGAAAGAATGGGCCCAATTAGGGCCTACCCTAGGGCTGTGGGGAACTAAAGGAGTATTTGGCTCACTACAACTCTTCCACCATGAGCCTTGACCATCTGGCTGCAATCAGATGTTGACTGATGGGATTTTTGCACAGTTCATCACAGAGGCCGTTATCCTGTTAACCAAACACGTCCCCCACCTCCAGACCCCATCCTCACACTGAATGTCTCCTCAACAGCAGATTATGGTAGAAGTAATAGCCGTGTGCCTCTATTTTTTTCTGAATTGTACTATAGAAAGTGTTTATGAAGAACAAATCACCAAGGGGAAAAAAAGGATGGGTCCAGTTTAACTCAAAAGTAAAACCCAGAGCTGAGCCAAACATCCAGTGTAGCTGAATTTTGAATTAACCCTTGTTTTTCTTTTTTTTTTTTTTTTTACTTCCAGGGAAAAGAAAAAAGAGAACATATAGTCAAAAAAGTGGATAAATCTAGTTCTAGATTCATTCTTATTTGATATTTACATTTTATGAGACAAGTACTTTTTTTAAAAAAGTCTAAGAAAAAAATGTCAAATAAGCTGCTTCGGTTCACGCAGCTATTTAGCGCTAATAATAGGTTAGAACCCCAATCACATTAAATCCTGCAGTCAATTCCTACCCCATTTTGTCCTGCAGAAACAAAAGCATTTACTGTCTTATTCAGATTTAGGGGCATTATGGCATCAATAAATTAGGGCAGTGTGTAACTGTAATTTAAAGGTCAAGCTCAGTTTTACAGGTGACTTGACATCGTTCCCACTCAAAAAGCAGAGTATCACTAAAACAAACAAAAAGCCCCATGACTTCCTCAAATTGTTCAGTCTAAAAAGGATCCTGGACTCCCGGGAGATTATGAAGCTCACATGGTGCGTTACATGACAGAAGGCACACAAGCGTTAGAGTCAGCGGAACTAGGTTCAAATTCCAGCTCTGTCCCTTATAAGCTGTGACCTTTTCAAATCCTCTATAAACTGTGTGAACTTTGTCCAATCCTTTTTTGTCTTCACTATCTAATCTGTAAAATGAAAACACCTATTGTGAGAGCTCTTCATTCTGAGGACTAAATGAGCTAACAAGTAAACACAGTCTAGCTCATAGATTTTCAACAAATGTTCTTTTCTTCTTCTTCCCTTGTTGTAACACTACATAATTAGTAGCAGAAACTACCTACTATTTTCATAGAAAAAAATATGCTGCTTTAGCAAAAATCTAGAAGTCAGCCCCTCATTCCCTCACTTGCCTAACAGGATTACACTGTCTTCAATGCTTTCTGAACTTATTTCAACTGATTAATGAGGAAACAAAACCAACAGACCCAAGATAAGATTATCAGTTGAGAGATTAATGGGAAGAAATGACTAGACTTCTAAAACAACAGAGAACTTACCAAATATCAATTTTGAGTCCATTGGAAACCAAAAATTGGATAGTATCCACATGGCCACAGAGGTGAAGAGCTGTGTTTCCTTGATAATCTGTGGCCAGAAGATCGGCACCGAATTTATGCAGTAACTGGCAGATGTCTACATTCCCTCGAGCTGCTGCAAGGTGAAGGCCTGTTCTGCCCCTGCTGTCACGAATATTTGGGTCAAAGCCACTTTCCAAAAGCCGCTTGGAATAATTAAAGTCCCCATCAATACAGGCTTGCAGCAAGGGCACGTTAGTCTGAGAAGAATCATTTACAAAAACATACGACATTGTTCTGATGTGGTGGATGGAACACGCCTGTAATGAAATAGGTGAGTGAGATTCCATGAAGACAAATGAAATCAAGACAAAGGAGTCATTTAGAAAAGCAATATTTCTCATCCTTTTTGGCCTCCTGCCTCTAATAAATAAATGACCAAACAGAAACAACAACAAAGTTATCAATTGTATTTTATTTTCCATTAAAACATTTTATTTTCTTCACATCTGCTGGATTAAAATTCCAATTCAATTACTGTAAAGCTCTATTTTGCTTTTCACCATGTAAAAAGATTAAGAGATATTTTTAAAGTTAAGCAAGACATAATAGCTTAGATTTAAGTATTACATTGTCAGAACACATAGATAACATGGTGTTTAAACATCAAAGAACTACCCATATATAAATGCTACTGCTGGTAGACATTCTTATTTAATACAAACTAATTCTCTTTGATATATTTGCTTCTTCTTGTATTTGAGATATTCTACATGGTAACTAAAACTACTTGCATGAAAAGAACTTATACTCAACAAAGACCTGTAGAGTGTTATGTTTATAGCACAATTTTTTTTTTTTGAGATGGTGTCTCGCTCTATTGCCCAGGCTGGAGTGCAGTGGCGCGGTCTTGGCTCACTGCAACCTCCATCTCCCGAGTTCAAGCGATTCTCCTGCCTCAGCCTCCCAAGTAGCTGGAATTACAGGTGTCTGCCACCATGCTCAGCTAATTTTTTGTATTTTTAGTAGAGACGGGGTTTCACCATGTTGGCCAGGCTGGTCTTGAACTCCTGACCTCATGATCCGCCTGCCTTGGCCTTGCAAAAAGTGCTGGGACTACAGGCGTGAGCCACCGCGCCTGGCCTATAGCACAAATTTTAAGAGAAAGGCTAAGGAATGTAACAAACTGAATTTAAAAATCAGAGCATGAAATCAATTCAGATTATGCTTTTTCCACTATTGATCTTATTCTGCTGTGCTCTGTGGTTATCTCAATATGTGACTGTGCCAAATTCCCACCGTCCAAAGACTGAGAGATGAGGGGAAAAAAAAGTAGGGCTGTCTGGGAATACCAAGTCAGGACAAAGCAGCAATCCCAACTAGGTCTGATGTGAATTTCATCTCTTGGACTCATCCAGCTCACCAGTTTGCCCACATCTCTTTCACAGATGTTTCCTGGCCCCACTGGCGCACCTGAACTCAGGTGAGAGTTCAGCATCTGCCTGGTGCACCTGAACTCTCAGGACATTTTGCTCTACCAAACTGCATACAACTAGGTCTCTCTCTCTTCCCCTAGGTTCATTTAAGAAAGAGTTAAAGCCTGTCAAAAGAAACTTCGCTAGGAAATTGACGAGAAAACAAACAAGAAAACAGAAAGGCAGAGACCAATGCTTTTCTAGAGATGGCTTTTTTATTCTTAGGTTACAAAAGCTTAGTCACATATGGACTTGGCTTATACAGCTGATCAGGTAAAGTCTCTTTCTGAAACACTGATGGAACTGGACGCTAGACCCATCTATTCTTGTGCCTAACCTCAAGGGGATTCAGGGAAGCCTGGCTGCTGAGTTTGGTGAGATTGCTGCCCCTATTCCTTTCAACTTGGCTTCTCAGCAGAGCCATTGTCCCAAAATCTGGGGCTGCCTTACACAAGGGCTCTGCTGCTACCATGGGCTCTCTGTGGAAAGAGTGGGCATTAACATACACTGAGACTTGTTCTGAGCCAGGTACCAACTAGGAGCTTTTAATGAATTTAATTTAATCTTCCTAACAACTCCACAGTTAGGCTTTTTTATACCTGAATTTCAGTGAGGAGCCACTGAAGGATTTTTTTTGTTTTAAATTGAGACAGGTTCTTGCTCTGTCACCCAGGCTGGAGTGCGGTGGTACAATCATGGCTCACTGCAGCCTCAAACTCCTGGGTTCAAGCAATCCTCCCACATCAGCCTCCTAAATAGCTGGGACTACTATTTCAATGAGTCCAGCCCACTGAAGAATTTTAAGTCAAAGAAATGGCACAGTCTTATTAGTCTTTCAGAAAGATGACTTGGATGGCAATATGGAGGCACTGGATTGTAGAGACAAAGACTGGAGGCAGGGAGATCAATCATTAGGTCATTGCAGCTATCTAGGCAAGAAATGAAAACCTGACCTAAGGCAGTGGCAGGCAGAAGGGGACGCACTGGAGAGGAACAGAGAAGACAGAATTAGCACAACTTAATGACTCACTGGATATGAAATGAAGGGTGAAAAGGGGCTGTTAAGAATAATTTCAAATACGAAAAAAAGTTTATGATTAAAAACTACAGAGATTAAAATCAAAATAAACTTCAGATTATGATACATATGATGACTTTTTAAAAATCTGGCTGGACACAGTGGCTCACACCTGTAATCCCAGTACTTTGGAAGGCCAAAATGGGAGGATAGCTTGAAGCCCAGGAGTTCGAAACTAGCCTGGGCAACATAGCGAGAGACCCTGTCTCTATAAAATATTTTAAAATTAGCCAGGCATGGTGGCGCGCGCCTTTCGTCCCACCTGTTCGGGACGCTGAGGTGAGAGGATCACTTGAGCCCGGGAGGTCGAGGTTGCGATGAGCTGTGATTGAGCCACAGCACTCCAGCCTGGGCATCAAAGTGAGGCCTGTCTCAAAAAAACAAACCAAACCAAACCAAACCAAACCAACAAACAGAAAAACTCAATGAGAAGAATTTACTCAATAAAATAGTCAAGAATTCTTTTGCGAGGGTAATCTAAATATTTTCCCTTACAGCAAGGGTGTCCAACATTTCGGCTTCCCTGGGTCACAATGGAAGAAGAATTGTCTTGGGCTACACATAAAATACATAATGATAGCTGATAAGCTTTAAAAAATTGCAAAAAAAATCTCAGAATGTTTTTTAAAAGTTTATGAATTTGTGTTGGGCTACATTCAAAGCTGTTCTGGGCTGCAGGTTGGACAAGCTTGCACAGTATTGAATCATAAAAATGGAAAAGCTATCATAAACCTTTTTCAAAATGAAATGCCACATATCAAGTGCTTTTCAAAAGGTAATGTGTTTTGGTTAAATTTTTAAAAATAGATAATTTAAAAAATCTAGTTGGTGTTTTTGATTCAGACACAGTAAGAATTCTTGTGGTTTGCAGACTAGGATACTTCTGAGTGTTGGCTCAGCAAGAAATACAAGTCTCTGTGTCTATTTTTCAGGTGAGAACAAGTGTGTATTTTGTCAGTTTCTCTGTGTCCCTGAGCAACTACTAAACTTAATCCCACATTTAATAAGCCCAATGATAGTTATTTTTCATCTTGATCACAGAACTGAATCTGTCCTAAAGCAGTTCACTGAAGGTTTCACATCTTGTGAGGAAGTCCACAGTAGTAAATACTCACGTAAGCCTTAAGATTAGATCTTTTCGTTCAGTGGTCACTCAGCAGTTTCTCTGAATTCTCAAGAAGGTTCAACAAAAATATTCTGTAATGTGCTGGCAAGGATCTACAGTAAATAGAAAATTAAGTTATAATAGAAGTGTGGTGAGAAAAAGAACTCACTGTTCTATTAAATACAGACAGGTTACTGAGCCTGAAGAAATTCTCTAGAAAATCTGTAGGTGAGGCATCAACTTGTGAGGCCAGAAAAATATCTGACGAGTAACAAAGTAGTGAAAAGGAAGCAAAGAAGGGCTTAATAGAAGCTGCTCTGTGGCCCACAAACAAGAAAGCAAGACAGAAAGATAAAAGAATAAGAATCAAATTATGTGCCATCACTAAAGAACAAATTGGGCTCCGAAAATTCACTCTCAGTCATTACTTGGAATTCAGAATGCATATTTTTCACATTATAAATGGAGGCTAGATCCCAGATTAGTCCACAAAAGCATTTTTATAAATAAAATACTATTCATAGTGGGAAAAAATAAGTTTAAAAAGCCAATACTTATATTTAAACCAAACAGGATACATTTAAGAAAAAGTATTTCTAATCTACCTTGAATGCTGGTACTTAAATCTCTTTAAATCTGTTCCCTTCCTTGTCTTTTCAGTGTGAAATAAAAGCTGGCCCAAGTCTATCTGTAGTCTTCTTTACATAGCCTGACGCTGCTCCCCCACCCAGGCTGCACTTCTCTGCACTGAGAGAGACTACGAGGGCACCCTGTCTGCCCACTCAGCTCTTCTCTGGAAGGACCGTGGAAGCAGGGTCATGGGCAGGCAGTAAGGACCACAAAAATAGCAATATTAGTTCATGAAACAAACATTCACTGTGTGCCTGCAATGTGCCAGATACCATGCTATCAAGTCCAAATCCCAAATTCCTGGTCAGGGTGAAATACAGGTTAACTTTTTACCGATCATCCTTGTTCATTGTTATCAAATCCCTGTGAACAAATTTATATAGGGAAATAATTAATGGTATTTTACAAAGCTCCATTTACAATATGTAAGTCAGGTTGTATCATAAAGGCTATCAGTGCTAGGCTGGAACTGATGACAATAGCTGACAAACTGTACCTGAGGACCAGTCCCACACGAGGGTCAGTAAATATCACGAAGACATGATAACACACAAAACATCTACGCTCCTCATTTCCTACTTCTTTTGTGATACCACAGTATCAATTTAGACGAACTTCATATCACGGAGCCACTTACCTTGATTTCCTTAAACAAATATTATGTATTCACCCAAAGCCTAATATTTTTCCTCTCTTGTCCTGACCTCTAGAGCTGAGTCTTTAACGACTAGAGCCTGTCTCTAATGTATGATTTGGCTTTAATTTTCAATGTTAATTAAAATGGTGCAAGTGGGTTATTCTGGATGTGGTAGAGCTCACATTAGGGAAAAAGAAAAAATTTTGTTTTTCATCTAGAGATGGAATTATAGTTCATATGGTCATGCCCCCAAATAATCCTAATGTTCTCTTAAATCCACAAGAAGGACAATGCTTCTGCAATTTTTTCTTTTTTTATTTTTGAGACAGAGTCTCACTCTGTCGCTGGTGCCGGAGTGCAGTGGTGCAATCTCGACTCACCTGCAGAGGCCTCCGCGTTCAAGCAATTATCCTGCCTCAGCCTCCCCAGTAGCTGGGACTACAGCCATGTGCCACCATGCCTGGGTAATTTTTGTATTTTTAGTGGAGATGAGGTTTCACCATGTTGGCTAGGCAGGTCTTGAACTCCTGACCTCAGGTGATCCACCCACCTTGGCCTCCCAAAGTGCTGGGATTACAGGCGTGAGCCACCGCAACCAGCCTGCCATTTTCTTTGGATATTACAATGGCCCATAAGAAAATACACTTGAACAAATTACAGATTTGTATGATTTCATAATAATATTATACAAATTCATTAGACTAAATTACTAGAAACCTGCCAAGAAAACTTCCAAGACCTCAGTTAGACCTTACTCACTAGACTCTGTTAATAGCTTCCCTAAGAAGTCATAAAGTGAATACAAATCAGAGCACATATTTAACGATTGTCCAATGGGTGAAGAGGACTAAAGACTTTTTTAAATTAAACTTTTTGAGATAATTATAAATTCATATGCAGTTGTAAGAAATAACACAGAGTGATCCTGTGCACCCTTTATCCAGTTTCCCCCAATGGTAACATCTTGCCAAACTATAGTACAACATCACAACCAGGATACTGACATTGATATAGTCAAGATACAGAACATTTCCATCACCATGAAAAATCTCTCATATGTTGCCCTTTTTAGCTATTCCTGCTTCCCTCCCATGCCAGTCTCTCCTTAACACCTAGAAAACACTACCTAGTCTTCCACTTCTTTAATTCTGTCATTTCAAGAATGTTGTATAAATGGAGCCATACAGCACATACAGGAACCTTTTGGGATTGGTCTTTTCACTCAGTATAATTCTCTGGAGATTCATCCAGGGTAGCTGTGTGTATCCATAGTTTGTCCCTTTTTTATCCATAGTAGTATTCCGTGGCATGGGTGTACCACAATATAACAGTTCATCTACTGAAGGACATCTGGTGTCTCCAGTTTTTGGCCATTGTTAAAGCTTCTACAAACATTTGTTTGTATGTGACTGTAAATCTTCATTTCTCTAGGATAAATGGTCAGGAGAGCAACTAGTGAGTCGTATGAAGACCTGAAGATTGTGACTAAAAGACTGTTGAGCATGAAGATGTCTATTTCCCCCATTCAAGAAGAATGTAAGGTCATCTTTGGAGTCATGTGTCTCGGTGTCAGGTTATTTATGGAAGAACCTGTAGGACCAAGCATTTGCAAGGGCACAGGTGGATGTACTGGCATTTACCAAAGGGAGTGTTTAATAAGAACCATTCTTCAAACAGAATTACAGGCACTAATAAAAGTGTGAATAATGAACCAGTAATCTTTCAAGATTCACTGAGGACTGAGTCTGTGCCCCTGTGAATGGATGTGAAACCTAAGTAAACATAATGAAGCCTGCTTGGAGAGGTGGGAAAAGTAGCGGGGAGAGATATGTGATAGTCTGACTCTCCTGAAAGGCACTACTCTTAGGAGTGTACCATAGAGAGACAATTTTCTTGTCAGATGCTGTTAAAAAAACTTGATTACTCCACCCAGAATGTATATGGAGCTGGACTGCCTGGGTTTGAACCCCAGCTCAGCTACTTACTAGCTGTATGACTTAGCACTCAAAAATAAGCTATTATCCTTTTCAGGCTAGACACAGCTCTGGGGAGACAGTCCTCAGCCATACGGAAGAAAGCTTGCATACAGCACTGATCCCCTGGTAACAGAGCAGCTTCTGATAATGGGGTGACATCTAGTTGGCAGTAAAGACCTCCAGGAAAGAAAAATAAAAGAACTGGTTCCTGGCAGAGGAAAAACCACATAGTCTAGTGCAAGAACAGTCAATATGGGAATAACCACGCCCCAGAAAGCATGCTGGTTGCTGACCAGGGCCCTGGTTCCCAAGGAACAGTGTCCATGAGGAACAGTGTCCACTGACTGGTTCAGAGGCAGACTAGCTGGCATTGTTAAAAGCAGAACTTTGGGGGTCAGGTTTTTGAGGGCTGGTGTAGCCTGACACTTAAAACTCCTCACTCTGTGCTCTGTGGCACTGCCTGAGAGACTTGAAGATGGAGTCATTTATCCTTTCACATGACGCAGTCACTTAGATCGCGGCAACAAGAGCTTCTTATGTCAACCAGCGTGATTGTCTCAACCCAAACAACAATAAAAAGGTTTTGATGGAAGCTTGTGATTCACTGACTTGATGAAAAGTCATGCCTAATTTTCTTTTATATCTCAAATTTTGGATCCACAATCTTAGGTCAATCTGTAAAACTTTAAGATATAATAGTATTCTTAATGGTTAAGGACTAATGGAGAGAATATATATACTTATAACTAAAAATTGTTCTATATCCAATATCAACAAGAATACATAATAGATGGATTTTTCATTTTGAAAGGCCATTTGGAAAGGGAAGACTAAGTACCACATTCTTGCTTCAAATGGACTGACTACATTATGCCTACACAAGCAATTTTGGTCAGAGATCAAAGCACCAGACATTTCAACAAAATGCAAGGAAAAAACGACATAGCTGGAAAGATATTCTGTCAGATCTTATTGCCTTTGCCATTTTCTAATGTCAAAGAAAAGTACTAAAACTGTAAAAATGAATGATACACAGTAAATGAAACCCCCAAATCTAGATTCTATCACTTGCTTATTCTTATCCTTTTAAGAGGATACAGCTGTTTCAAAATATAATCTCAGAGAACTATAAAACAAAAATTTCCAATGAAGTCATTAAATCCTAACTGCTAGTACTTTAAAATTACTGTTCTTAAAACCTGAGCTCTGCAAAAATCCAAAGATACTGGGCAAGGAAAAATGCCATGTTGAAAAGAAATTTAGCTGTGAGCAAGTAAGAATTTTAACAATTTAAAATCCTTCCCAAAACATTAACAATATATTTCTTCAGTCTGCTTATCTTCAGCAGCTATTTAAACAGCAACTCTTTCTCTAATAGAGTGATCTTAATTCCCAAGGCCCACAGACATTGAGTCTAGGGCCATACTGCTTTAAGTGGCAGGGTGGGGCTTCATATTTAGCTTATATATTTCCAATATGCCCTGCAGCTGCTGTAAGTTGTCAAGATAACCAGGAGAAAACAGTTCATGTAAAACTTTGTTGCTTGTTCACAACTGTCCTAAAATTCCTGCCAGAATATGTTTCTAGAAGCCAAGAAATGGGTCTGATTTGTCTATATATACTGGCTGACTGCAATGCCTGGCACATTAAGTTTCTTGAAGTCTAGACATAGGGAAATCCAATAATTCTTTCCTGAATGTACACTCGATTAAGTTCATTGTCACAAGATTTTAAAGTAATATTTTTTCTTATGACTAGTTCTGCAGTGCATTGTAAAAATTTTTAGGAAATAAATATGAAAAAAAAGAAACTAAAAGCTGCACACAATCAACCATGAATCAAATTAATGATTCAACCAACCATGAATCAAAAATATTTGGGGAAAAAAATTGCATCTATACTGAACACGTATGTACAGACTTTCTTTCTTGTCATTATTCCCTAAACAACACAGTGTAACAACTACTTCCATAGCATTTACATTGTATTAGGTATTATAAGTAACCTAGAGATTATTTAAAGTATATGGAAAGATGTGCATAGGTTATATGCAAATACCATATCATTCTGTACCAGGGACTTGAGCATCTGTGAATTCTGGTATCTGCATGAGGTCCTGAAACCATCCCTCTTCAAACAGGGGTTTGAAGAGGATACTAAGGGAAGAGAAACCCATCCCTCTTCAAACAGAATTACAGGCACTAATAAAAAGTGTGAATAATGAACCAGTAATCTTTCAAGATTCACTGAGGACTGAGTCTGTGCCCCTGTGAATGGATGTGAAACCTAGGTAAACATAATGAAGCCTGCTTGGAGAGGTGGGAAAAGTAGCGGGGAGAGATATGTGATAGTCTGACTCCCCTGAAAGGCACACTGCTCTTAGGAGAGTACCACAGAGAGACAATTTTCTTGTCAGATGCTGTTAAAAGAAACTGGATACTAAGGGATGACTGTATTCTATGTATGTACCATAATTTTACTGAATTCCTTAGCACATTAAAAAAGAATTTGTCCTGTATTTTTCCTATCACATAGATTCAATGATGTTTTTGGCTAACCAAAATGTAAAAAGAATTTTGTGATGCAGATGAAAGCTGTCTAATGTATGGCTGTGGAACCAGTCTCTGACCGGTGAATAGTTTTACTGTGACGTCAATCTTGATGCAATGCTTTCTTTGCTCACTGCAAAACTTCTAAGATTCTGGTTTATGGTTCATCCTAAACTAGGATGGACTTAAGTTCCTTATTTCTCTATTTTTTGGAAAATTGTATTAGAAGGGCCTAGGAAGTAATTTCTCACTGATCATATGGCTAGGGCCCAATTTTTAACCTTTTAGTGATCTGTCCTAAATAAAGATAAAATATGTGAATATTTATTTGGATTCTTTAAAAAAGGAAAAGAGTTGCTCTCTTTCTGTGGGAAGTAAATAAAAGGAGGAACTAAGAACACTATCCTTTTAGGATATCCCAGTACTATGAAGAACATTGGAAAGAAGGAGTTTATAAGCAGAATCTTCTGAATTTTATTTCCAAGGCTCAATAATAACAGAAGTTCAAATTTTTAGCAAATTTTTGGAGCAATTTTTAGGCAGATGTAGCTCTACCACAGACATACATTTTTATTTTATATCCAACTTTGTAGAAAACACACATTTTGTGGTATTTCCAACATTTCAGTCTAATGTGGCTGTGTCTAAAATTCTTAACTTTTTGATGTCTTCAATACAAAGCTATTAGTAACTTCATAATTAAAACTATTAATGCATAAAAATGAGGTTAATTTGAAGTATGTGAATTACACAATAATACTTAAAGACAGGCCACTAGCCAGGTGCAGTGGCTCATACCTATAATCCCAGCACTTTGGGAGGCCAAGGTGGGAGGATTGCTTGAGCCCCGGAGTTCGAGACTAGCCTGGGCAACAATGCAAGACCCTGTCTGTACAAAAAACAAAAAAGGCCAGTTCACTGAGTTAAGTTCATATAATAATTAAAACTCTGTTAATCAGATATTACTTAGTAGATGTTCTTCTGGAATTAAGCTTAATGAAAAGAGAAAAAAGAATTTCCTGTTTGTTATGTCTGGTATTACTATGCAAATAATTGCTTGGCAACATTTGAGATACACAGTATTCTACATTTATTAAGTTATACTGCAGGCACAGTTCTAAGTGTTTTTCCTATAATAACTCATTTAATCCTCATAGAAACCCTACAAGGTACATGCATACTATCACTATACTCATTTCATGAGTAAAAAAAAAAAAGTCACTAAGTTTGTTTCATAAGATTTTTTGTTTAATGAATTAGCTTAGCAAATGTCTTCATCAAACATAAGGGAGAACATTAGTCTAGCATACACATTCCATATAACTCTTTACAATCATTTCATTCAAAGTGAACGTCTTCTTAAACTGTAGAAACAATACCTGGAAATGTCTTTTACTTCACAGAAAATATTCTAGCACACATAAGCCAAATTAACTGTTTTTAATCATCTCATAAAAATAAGTTTTTAAAGTATGGGAAAATAACAATAAAATATTTTTGGAAAAGTCTTCTACTTCACAGGTGACTAAATTCTTAGACTCATCATTCTCAAGTACTTCCTACTGATTGGGATAACAAGAAAACACCTAAATTTTTCTTTCTCCATCAGGAAATCAAAAAACACCAACAACGATTTCTGATATATTTCTGGCAATATTTATATTGCTTAACTATTATTTGTTTGCATTATTAAAGTTTAGTTACAATTCAACTTTTAGAAAAGGTATTGGCTTAAGACAAATCAAAATTAATTGTTCACAAAAGGAATGCTGGTTATTTTGGATATTCTATTTCACATTCTAATATCTTAGTATTTTCCAAAATCTTTACTATGTAATTTTACCATGTTTAAAATTCTTAGCAAGGGACTTCCTCCTCAGGAGGTTTCCAGTTTATAGTCTATCATTACATAATAAAGTTACTTGATTCTTTAAAACTGTTTTTTTCTAGTTGCAACAGCACTTTATTTATATGGCCTAAGGGTGCCACCTTGTGGCCTGCATAGGCTTCAAGTTCAACTTCAGCATCTAGTATGGCATAAGGTGAGAAGTCTGTACCTCCGAAGTTTCTCTGTTCCATTTCAAGTTATTTACCATAATTCTCACTAACTGTGAATTTGTGAAAATCCAAAATTGGGATGAAGTTCAATTTTCCTTTTAAAAAAACTTTTCAAGAAAATTAATAGCAAAAATATGATTCCAGGCCTATTCAGAAATCTAAACCTCATTAAACCCACCTTAGCAGACTTTATATAAAGTGCTACTTAAATGGCATTCTAACTTATTCATTTATTGTGTTGTTTCAAAATATAAGAATTGTGAGTTTTGCAAAATATTCCTTATTTTCTAAATAGTCTACAAAATTTAAACCAGACTTCACCCTAAGTAAGTTTGAAGGTATGAGATTGTATCCTTAGAAGAAGCTTAACTGTAGTAGTCACGTGTCGCTTAATGATGGGGTATGTTCTGAGAACTGCATCGTCTGGTGCTTTCACTGTTATGTGAACAACACAGAGTGTCCTCAGGTGCCTACACAAGCCTAGAGGATATAGCCTACTACATGCCCATGCTATACATGACTATTTCCATAAAATTCTTAGAGCTGGAAGGCCATCCAACATCATTTAACTCAATCTCATTATTTTACAAATAAGGACACTGAGACCAGAAAGGCTGTAACTTTGTTACTTTACATGCTACCGCTCATCCCCACACGTTCTAGTCCTATTCATGATTCACTGTCGAAATACAAAATGCAGTCATACACTGCATAATGACATTTTGGTCAACGACGGACTGCATATATGAAGGTGGTCCCATAAGATTAGAATATTCTTACTATAACTTTTCTATGTTTAGATACACAAATATTTGCCACAGTATTAAAACTGCCTACAGTATTCAGCACAGTAACATGCTGTATAGGGTTGTAGCCTAGGAACAACAGGCCATACCATATGGCCTGGGTGTGCAGTAGGCTCTTGTATCTAGGTTTGGGTAGTAAGTACACTTTGTACACAAACAATGAAATAATCTAATGGTGCATTTCTCAGAAGGATGTACTGCATCCTTCACACAAAACATACATAATGACAGTGGGTGGACAAGGGCCCTCCTCCCTACACTATAAAACCCTGGAGGATCTAGTGGACTTCTTTAAGGTGGGGTCTGCTGTGTGTGAAGCTATGCAAATCACTCTAGTCTACATTTACCATTTGTACATTTATGGCCTAGGTAAAACCTTAAAATTCAGAATTCTTTACGTATCCTTATTACACTCACATCCTACCTCACTCACTCTGACCTCCAGGGGCCCTCATAAATAAGGATATACAACATAAGACAACTGGACAGCAGACTAAGGAGATGCCTTAGTCAAACTGTATTTTTAAAATGGCATGTTTGTAGAACAGACATGAAACGACTGAGAAACGGCAGAATGACTCATATGTGGGGTATTAGATGTATTTCTTCTCTCGCCACTGGAAATGTTGATTTAATGCTGAGACCCTTGGTAGAAAGGGAATAAATAGTCTTATATCTAAGGGAGTTGAGGAGTGTCTGTGGCTTTAAAGGGAATCTGTGGCTCTTTTCCTGCTGTCCCTGCTCTGGACTAGGGGTAACCTATTTTGGGAAGGAGTCTTTTTTGAGAGTAGGAAGTACATGCTTAGAAATGGCTCCAGGTTCACAAAAGAAAAACAGATTCCCTGCCCCCAGGTTTTCTAGCCTAGTTCATGAGGATAGAAATAAATAAAGGATTATAGGCAGAAGTTGTAACTTTTGGCTAGTGCTTTCCTCATGCTGCCAATTAGGAAGGGGTGGGGCAAGAAGTGGAAGACACCGATATTCTAAAGCAGAGCTCAATCACCAGTCCTGATAACTCCTTCAGCAGAGTAATTTCAAGCATAAGACAGCGAATTACAGCAATTCTCTTTCTGACTGAGCCCTGGCCTCTACACACAGCCTCTCCTATTAAAATGGTAATCTGTGAGTTAGCTCAGTTTACATGTGTGTACTCAGAGCATTCTGGAGAATCTTTCAGAAACGGGAAAAGAAGATGACAAGTTCCTATATCAGTTTCCCATGGAGCTATTTTTGCAAACTGCCCAGAGACCAGACACCTGCCCATTGTGACTAACATGGGAAAGAATTGTCAAAGACTATGGATCTTAAGTTTTAATAGCTACATAGCTCTTCCAGATTTGCTGCTTTCCAGGAAATGTCTTTAATAAACAGGCTTTGTTTGTTTAGACACTGTCAATTAAAACTGATTCCCAGTGTTAGCAACTGTTGATACAAACCTTATTTTCGTTTTAATTCTTATTCTCAATCTCAAAACCATTTAATATTTTGCGATTTGTTCTATAACAAATACTAAGGAAACTGGGAATAAAATGGTAAATTTCTTTATATCAAAAAACAATTTTCTAAATGACTTGTAGATAGGAGCAGGACACAATATAAAACTGTTAAGAACTTGTTTTTAAAAGTTTGAACAACTGCTAAACTTTCGTCCTTGTACTCAAGAGAACTACAGTGTTAAACAAAGATAATTATGATTTAAAAATTATTCTTTAAAATGCTGTCAGAAGATAATGGCTTCACAGTCTTCAAACAATAGGAGAGTAAGTTTCTTGTTTTTAAATAAATAAATTACACTCTCAGGATTGACGAGCTTTGGATTTGGGGAAATGAACTATAATATGAAATGTTATATCTTAAACTGTAGAGAAGTATAAGAAAAGACACACAAAAACAAATTAAAGGCAAACTTTCAGGTTTATGGTAGCTATTAAATTTACCACTAATATATCTGCATGTCTTCTTCAGTGATACTATCAAAATAAATCTATTCCAAATACATCTAAATATTTTTATTCAAATAGTGTCCTTTCATACCATGTCTCTCTGGCCCAAATTTTTCTTTTTAATTATATTTTATTGGATGGTTTCAGGAGTGTAATTGAAATCATTTAAAGATTAACCCAAGAGTTCTTAATGTCAAAGACCTTTATGTCCACATCACTTCCATCACTTAGTTGGACTTTGCACACTTAGAACTTAACTCCACTGCCCAGATCTTGACCTACAACTACCTTTTATATTGCCTTACACTTTAGGAAATATTTCTCATTTATTCTCTCAATCTCTCCCTCACCCTCCTTTTGGCTACCCCAAGCAGCAAGAAATCTGCCCATACAACCATCCCTAACTCTCTTCAGTCAGCTTCTGGTTCCTTCTAAGGCTCAAAGCAGATCACTTCCACTTCCACCAGGAAAGAAAATACCTTACTCATCCATGGGACCCGGACATAAAGAAGCAAGGACAAAGAACATAAGCCTAAAGTTGGGGAGGGGCCTAGCAATTGGAGAAAAGACTATAATCAACATCTAGAAAGAAGTGAGCATTGGATCAAATCTCAGTGTCAGGATTCTGCTAACCCCAAAGTACAACTTGCTCGTACTCTAGACAAGGCTGAAGCAAGGAAAAACAATCAAGTGATCTTAAGTGATAAATAGCGAAGGCAGACTTCCAGACTTGAATCAAGAGATCCATGATCTGTGAATTTATCAAGAATTATTTTTCAGGATAAGCACTAAGTACTAGACACCAATCAAAACGTTTGTATCTTAGGTCCTAACTCGGCCATTTTCTAAGGCACTATCTTGAGTAGTCCAACTCTAAGAGTCCCAGTTTCCTCATTTGCAAAACTGAGATAATATCTGTCTTACCTACTTCACAATATTTTTGTACAGAACTTTGAAAACTATAATGAAATATACAAATATAAGATGCTATATATTTTTTCTTAGTTTCTTATTCCACATCTTGGTAACAAGTAAAAGGATTTCTGCCTTGAATGGGGTCAGAGGCAACAATGGGAGCAACTCATAGAGTCTGGTGCTCTTCACAGAGTGAACAAGCAGAGAAGCCCAAGGAGATAATAACAGTATTGTACACTGGCACATGAGTATGTACATAGGGCAGATCAACAGTCCCAAATGGATATTTTGCCATGGCCTTAATATCATATCTAAAACCAGCACTCCAGAGGCTGGGTGTGCTGACTCATGCCTGAAATCCCAGCACTTTTGGAGGCAGAGGTGGGAGAATTGCTTGAGCCCAGGCATTCGAGACAAGCCTGGGCAACACAGTGAGACCTTGTCTCTAAAATATACATATATAAAAGTTAGGTGTGGTGACGTGCACCTGTAGTCCCAGCTACTCGGGAGGCTGAGGTGGGAGGATAGTGATTTAATTTGGCTTTGTGTCCTCACTCAAATCTCATTTTAAATTGTAGTCCCCACATATCAAGGAAGGGACCTGGTGGGAGGTGAATGGAGCATGGGGGTGGTTACCCCCATGCTGTTCTCATGATAGTGAGGGAGGGCTCATAAATAAGATCAGACGGTTTTAAAATTGGTCGTTTCCCCTACACATTCTCTCTTGCCGCCATGTAAGATGTTCCTTGCTTCCCCATAACCTTCCACCATGATTCTAAGTTCCTTGAAGCCTCCCCAGCCATGTGGAACTGTGTATCAATTAAACCTTTTGTTTATAAATTACCCAGCCTCAAGTAGTAACTTTATAGCAGTGTGAAAACAGACTAATACAGAGAATTAGTACCAGGAGTAGGGCACTGCTATAAAAATAACCTGAAAAAATGGAAGTGACTTTGGAACTGGGTAACAGGCAAAGGTTGGAACAGTTTGGGGGGCTCAGAAGATATGGGAAAGTCTGGAACTTCCTAGAGCCTTGCTGAATGGTTTTGACCAAAATGCTGATAGTGATATGGACAATGAAATCAAGGCTGAGGTGGTCTCAGAAAGAGATGAGGGACTTTTTGGGAACTGGAGTAAAGGTCACTCATGCTATGCTTTAGCAAAAAGACTGGTGGCATTTTGCCCCTGACCTAGAGATCTGCGGAACTTTGAACTTGAGAGAGATGATTTAGGGTATCTGGCAGAAGAAATTTCTAAGCAGCAAAGCATTAAAGATGTGGCCTTGATTTTTCTCAAAGTGAACAAATGTGTTCACGAAGAGATAATCTGCAATTGGAACTTCTGTTTAAAAGCGAAGCAGAGCATAAAAGTTTGGAAATTTGCAGCCTGACTGGTAGAAAAGAAAACCCCATTTTCTGGGGAGAAACTCAAGCATGCTACAGAAATTTGCCTAAATAACAAGGAACAGAATGTTAATAGCCAAGAAAATGGGAAAAATTTCCCCAAGGCATGTCAGAGATCTTCATGGCAGCCCCTCCCATCACAGGCCACAAGGCCTAGGAGGGAAAAAATGGTTTTGTGGGCTGGGATCAGGCCCCTGCTGCTCTCTGCAGCCTCAGGATATGGTGTCCAGTGTCCCAGCCACTCCGGCTCCAGCCATGGCTAAAAGGGGCCAGACTACAGCTCAGACCATTGCTTCAGAGGGTGCGGGCCCCAAGCCTTGGCAGCTTCCATGTGGTGTTGGGCCTGTAGGTGTGCAGAAGACAGGAGTTGAGCTTTGGGAACCTCTGCCTAGATTTCAAAGGACATATGGAAATTCCTGGATGTCCAGACAGAAGTCTGCTACAGGGGCAGAGCCCTTATGGAGAACCTCTGCTGGGGCAGTGTGGAAGGGAAATGTAGGGTTGGAGCCCCCACACAGAGTCCCCACTGGAGTGCTGCCTAGTGGAGCTATGAGAAAAGGGCCACTGTCCTCCAGACCCCAGAAAAGTAGATCCACTGACAGCTTGCACCATGCATCTGGAAAAGCCACAAGCATTTAATGCCAGCCCATGAAAGCAGCCACAGGGACAAAGCTGCTCAAGGCCGTGGGAGCACACCCCTTGCATCAGCATACCCTGGATGTGAGACATGGAGTTAAAGGAGATTTTGGAGTTTAAGATTCAATGACTGCCTGGCTGGGTTTCAGACTTGCATGAGGCCTGAGGCCCCTTTGTTTTGGCCAATTTCTCCCATTTGGAATGGGAGCATTTACCCAATGCCTGTGCCCTCATTGTATCTTGGAAGTAACTAACTTGCTTTTGATTTTACAGACTCATAGGTGGAAGAGACTTGCCTTGTCTCAGATGAGACTTTGGACTTGGACTTTAGGTTAATACTGGAATGAGTTAAGACTTTGGGGGACTGTTGGGAAGGCATGATTGGTTTTGAAATGTGAAAAGGACATGAGATTTGGGAGGGGCCAGGAGCAGAACTATATGGTTTGGCTCTATGTCCCCACCCAAATCTCATCCCAAATTGTAATTCCCGCATGTCAAGGGAGGGACCTGGTGGGAGGTGACTGGATCATGGGGGCGGTTTTCCCCATGCTGTTTTCATGATACTGAAGGAGTTCTCATGAGATCTGATGGTTTTAATAGTGGCAGTTTCCCCTGCATTTTCTCTTCCTCCTGTTGTCATGTAAGATGTGCCTTGCTTACCTTTCACCTTCCACAGGGATTCTAAGTTTCCCGAGGCCTCCCCAGCCATGAGGAACTGTGAGTCAACTGAACTTCTTTTGTTTATAAATTCTTTAGAGCAGCGTGAAAACAGACTAATTCAAATGGCTTGAGCCTGGGAGCTTGAGGCTGCAGTGAGCTGTGATCATGCCACAGCACTCCAGCCTGGGCAACAGAGTAAGACCTTGTCTCAAAAAAATAGAATAAAATAAAACAAAACCAGCACTCCATACATATACTCCAGACACTGCTCCAAAATTCTCTGCCAATGGTAACAATATCTCCCTAGAAACCCTGGCTTCAAATCCTTGATGCTTTCTTTTCTCCTGACAGTGAATCAGACACAAAGGCCTGTCAGTTCTGTCTTTCATTGTCTTGCAAATTCTTTTTCCATTTTATTGACACTGCTTTCACTCTTAATTTGTGCCCTAACGAACAATTTTATACATGAAGTTTTCCAATGTCTTCCTAACTGGTCTCTCAGTCTCATTCTCTCTTCTGTCACCCTCTACCCCAGTCAATCTCATTAAGCTATCATGTACATTTTTTCATCCCATGCTTTGTGAATATCACTTCCAAGCTAAAAGTATTTTTAGTAGCTCCCATGGCCCAAGCATGGCCTTCTACCTTAGCTAATCTCCATTTCCACTTCTGCCTCTCTACAATCCGTTCTCAATACAGAAAAAAAAAAAATCTTCCAAAAACACAAACCATTTCCTTTCATTCCCTTACCTGAAATATGTCAATGGCAGCCCAATGTATTTAAAACAACAGCCAAAATCCTTAATAAAGGATAAATTATCAGGCTACAAAGCCCTGATAATTTTGTTCCTGCCTACCTCTCCAAATTCATCTTTAACCATTCCCCCTTCTTGTTCTCTATACTCTACCCCTGACTTGCCTCCTTCCTGCCTCAGAGGTGCACTTACTTTTCTTCCTGCTGGAATGTACTTCCCTGGATGGAGAATCACTCAGGTCTCAGCTCAAATGTCACCTACTTCTCCCCACATTACTTTTCACATCACCCTGCTTATTTTGTTCGTGTTCTTATTATAATCTATAATTTTCTTATTTATGTGCTTAATCATGTATTGTACATCTCCTCAGTTTGAAAGTAAACTTTGAGGGCATGAGTTGTCTTGTTCCACACTATCCACAGTATTTCGCATTACCTATTACACACTAAGTGCTCAACCTGTATCTTTTCTGTTAAGTGAATGGATGGTCCAAACGTAAAGTATGCATTCAAACAAGTCTTTCAGTGGAGTCTGGAAGTCAGTATAAATGCTTAAGTAATGACAATGAAAATGAAGGCATTCACTGAAGGTGGACAAAAAATATAACTAAACTAAAAATGTATAGCAAAAATGGGGTACCAATAAAACTGATATTACATTTAAAAAGAAATCAAATCACGTTCATATGACTACTTCTTGAACATCTTTTAATGTCTGAGAAATAGGAATATTTAGAAATAATAAACATTTGTTGACTCCTCCCATAAGCAGGTACATATTAGATAGAAATGCAATATGATATACACCTATTATGTATCCACAAAGATTTTTAGAAATAAGAAATTTTTTTAATTAAAAAAATTTTAAAGATTTACCCAGAAATGAAAAAAAAAAGTAATTTGGGTATTTCACACTTATTTTATATAATATGGAATACTAGCATTAATGCTGTTTTTTTTTTTTTTAGTTCAGAATTTTTTTTTAAAACATATGGGGTCTCACTATGTTGCCCAGGCTGGCCTCAAACTCCTGGGCTCAAGTGATCCTCCTGCCTTAGCCTCCCAAAGTGCTAGGACTACAGGCGTGAGCCACTGTGCCCAGCCTGGAATGTTTTAACAAGTTAAATGTTCAACACATTTGAAGTAAAAAATAACATTTCAGAACATTAAAAACTCATAAACTTATAAAAATACAAGTGTTAAGCATACATTGCCATTCTAATATAAATCAGGGAAAAAAGTGAAACATTTTAAAAGAAACCATATAAAAATGAGGAAAATTTAAATAATCACCAAAAAATTGAGAATTCTGATTTCTTCAAAAGCATAATTTTGCATAAAAATTGCATTACTAGTATCACAACTGAGCTGTGAGCATATTTTTTATTACTTTATCTTTTTTAAAACGGTCTTTATTTTTTAGACCAGTTTTAGGTTCACAGCAACACTGAGCAGATTTCCCATATTCCCCCACCCTGCCACCACCAGAGGGTACCTCTGTTATAACTGATGATCCTACACTAACACATCATTATCACCCAGAGTCCATAGTTTGCATTAGGGTTCACTCTTGGTGTTATACATTCTATGGGTTTAGACAAATTTACAATGACATGTATTCATCATTATAGCATCAGGCAGATTAGGTTCACTGCCCTAAAAATTTTCTGGGCTCTGCCTATTCATCCCTCTCTCTACCCAACCCCTGATATTTTTATTGTCTCTATAATTTTGCCTTTTCCAGAATGTCATATAACTGAAATCATACGGTATGCAGCTGTTTCAGATTGGCTTCTTTCCCTCATAATACGTGTTTTCTGTATCTTCTCATGGCTTCATAGTTTCTCTTTAGGACTGCATAATATGTCATTCTCTGTATGTATTACAGTTTATCTGTTCACCTACTGAAGGACATCTTGGTTGCTTCCATGTTCTGGCAATTATGAATAAGGCTGACATGAACACCCACATGCAGGTTTTTGTGTGGACAGTTTTTCACTCCTTTGGGTAAATACCAAGGAGCATGATTGCTGGATGGTAAGAGTATGTTTAGTTTTTTTAAGAAACCACCAAATTGTCTCCCAAAGTAGCTGTACCATTTGGCATTCCCACTAGCAATGAATAAGAGTTCCTGTTAATCCACATTCTCACCAGCATTTGGTGTTGTCAGCGTTCTAGATTTTAGTTAGCCATTTTAGTAAGTGTGTAGTGGGATCTCATTGTTTTAATTTGCATTTCCCTGATGACATATGACGTGGAGCATCTTTTTCATATGTTTATTTGCCATCTGTATATCCTCTGTGATGAGGTGTCCATTAAGATCTTTGGCTCATTTTTAAAATCAGGTTGTTCATTTTCTATCTTTTTTTTTTTTTTGAGTACAGAGGACTTTATTGATGGTACACGACAAGATAGAGCTCTTTGTGGGGTCTGCATGGAAACTGTGAAGAGGGGAGATTCCCAGTGTGGTGGGGGACTGAGCATGGCAGGGACTGCCCAGAAGCTGAAGGTCTCTTTCTTCCTCTTGTGCTCTCACTGGGGCTGGTTGTCGAGCAGTCTTACTCCTTGGAGGCCATATGGGCCACCACCCTGTTGCTGTAGCCAAATTCACTGTTGTACGAGGAAATGAGCTTGACAAAGTGGTCACTGAGGGCAATGGCAGCCCCAGCATCGAAAGTGGAAGAGTGAGTGTCACTGTTAAAGTCAGAGGAAACAACCTGGTGTTCAGTGTAGCCCAAGATGCCCTTGAGGGGCCCTCTGACGCCTGCTTCACCACCTTTTTGATGTCATCATATTTGGCAGGTTTCTCCAGATGGCAGGTCAGGTCCACAACCAACACGTTTGCAGAAGGACACGGAAGGCCATGCTAGTGAGCTTCCTGTTCAGCTCGGGGATGGCCTTGCCCACAGCCTTGGCAACACCAGTAGATGCAGGGATGATGTTCTGGAGAGCCCCACAGACATATGCCACAGTTTCCCACAGAGGCCATCGAGTCTTCTGGGCAGGAGTGGCAGCATGGATTGTGGTCACAAGTCCTTCCACAATGCCAAAGTTGTCATGGATGGGCTTGGCCGGGGGATTAAGCAGTTGGTGGTACAGAAGGCATTGCTGATGATCTTGAGGCTGTTTTCAGACTTCTCAGGGATCATGCCCATTATGAATATGGGGGCATCAGCAGAGGGGGTAGAGATGATGACCCTTTTGGCTCCCCCATTAAGTGAGCCCCAGCCTTCTCTATGGTCATGAAGATGCCAGTGGACTCCACGGCATACTCAGCTTCAGCATCACCCCATTTGATTTTGGTAGGATCTTGCTCCTGGAAGATGGTGATGGGATTTCCATTGATGACAAGCTTCCCATTCTCAGCCTTGACGGTGTGGTGGAATTTGCCATGGGTAGAAATACTGGAACATGCAGACCATGTAGTTGAGGTCAATGAAGGGTCATTGATGGTGACAATATCCACTTTACTAGAGTTAAAAGCAGCCCTGGTGACCAGGTGCCCAATATGGCCCAAATCTATTTACTCTGGCCTTCACCTTCACCATGATGTCTTAGAGACATGGCTTTGAGAAGAGGATGGTCAGCACTGAGTGACCTCAGCCAGCACCCATACCCACCTCTCTTTTTGTTGAGTTTTAAGAGTTCTTTGTGTATTTTGGATAACAGTCTTCATCATATATGTCTTTTGAAAACATTTTGGGCTGGGTGCTGTGGCTCACACCTATAATCCCAGCACTTTGGGAGGCCAAGGTGGGCGGATCACCTGAGGTCAGGAGTTCAAGACCAGCCTGGCCAACATGGTGAAACCCCGTCTCTACTAAAAATACAAAAATTAGCCAGGTGTGGTGGTGTGCACCTGTAGTCCCAGGTACTCGGGAGGCTGAGGCAGGAGAATAGCTTGAACCTGGGAGGTGGAGGTTGCAGTGAGCCAAGATCGCGCCACTGCACTCCAGCCTGGGTGACAGAGTGAGACTCTGTCTTAAAAAAAAAAAAAAAAAAAAAGAAATGTGTTATTTAATGTCTAAGTATTCAGTGATTTTCCGGCTATCTTTCTGTTATCAAATTGTAATTTAATTCCTTTTCGTCTGAGATCAGATATTGGATGATTTCCATTTTGGCCAATTCCAAAACAGCTACAGCCTCACTCATTACTTTGTGCTTGTACTCTATAGAGATGGTTATCCTATTTACTATTCTGACTATACTTTGGCGCTTTTTTTTTTTTAACATCAGTTATTGCCAGGTGCCCAAACATGAATTTAATATATTATTTTGACTGAAAATCAACTATGTGTTTTTAATTTCCTCAGATGTCCCCTGTCTACCTAGACTCCATTCCTACCTGTTCCACTGGTACCCAACTCCACTACTCTTCACTGCTCATATGCTTTGGAGGGGTCAGTCTTTATTATCTAAGGCCATGTAACATATCACATTCCCTAGCTATTGTGGTTTATTTAAAGGTGAGCAAGTGACCAGTCCAATAAAACTCTTTGCTTGGAATGCCAGAGAAATACATTCACTTTATTTTTCTATGGTGTATAAATGAGATACCTAAAATTGCTTTTGTCATTTTTATATTTCATAGATAGCAAGTATACAGAGTGAGGCAGAACAGATAAAAGGGTCAAGCCTTGGGCTTTTCCTATTACGGGTATCAATAAAGGATCTTTTTAAGACAGTTTAAATTAGGTTTTCTGTTACTTAGAACAAAATATCTAAATGACACAGAATCTGAAGTGGTCATTACTATTTGATTTCCACTCTTATATGCTTCTGTCATTGCTTCCTAAAAAGGAAAAAAATATGGTTTGTGGCACATGTTTCAGCAAAAGACAAAGGTCAAAGGGTGAAGTGCACTGATATTTAACTCTCTTTGAGAAGGAGCTGAATCCAGGCCTAAGAAATCTCATGTTCAGCACAGGAGATTGAACACTGACTGAGAGCTTGGTAAATTCTAGAACTGACCAAGGAGATAACCGAAAAACAAGTTGAAAGGATATTCTGAATAAACAAGTGAAATAAAAATAAGCCTATTGTGGGAAAACTTTTATAAGCAATCCACAGTTTTTGTTGTGTTTAAAAAAAATCAGCATTAACAGCCAATGGGCAAAATACAGCCAAAAGACTGAGGAGAGGGCAGAGGGGCAGATTTAAATTAACGTAGCAGCAATGCTGGGCTACTGGAAAAAAGATGACTGATAGTAGGACTAAAACTGCCACCAAAGTTAAAATGCCTATATAAACTGTTTCAACAAAGTCACACTCAGAATATTTTTGTTTTTTTAATTAAACTTACGCAGGCTGGGTGTGGTGGCTCATGCCTGTAATCCTAGCACTTTGGGAGGCCACAGCAGATCACTTGAGGTCAGGAGTTTGAGACCAGCCTGGCCAATATAGTGAAACCCCGTCTCCACTAAAAATACAAAAATTAGCTGGGTGTGATGGCATGTACCTGTAGTCGCAGCTACTTGGGAGGCTGAGACAGGAGAATCGCTTCAACCCAGGAGGCGGAAGCTACAGTGAGCTGAGGTTGCACCACTGCACTCCAGCCTGGGAGACAGAGCAAAACTCCATCTCAAAAACAAACAAACAAAAACCAAAAAAACTCAGGCAAACCAAAAAAGGCATCATAATGTAATAAAAGAAAATATAGGTTATTTGGCTAGTTTTAATATGTTTACTTTAAAAAATAAAATACAGCAGAGTATCTAATGTCATCAAGACCCAATATGGAAAGGTAGCTAAATAAACCATTCGTGCTCTTGCATTTGTTTCTGATTTACTTGGTACCATACCTAAATAATAATGTGCACAAATCTTTTAATTGATTGTATTCAGAATTTATTAAAAGCACCACTTATTGGATAGTTTATTAAATGCATGCAAGTATCTGTATATGATTTCTTCAGCATATGTGTGTTTAAGGCAACATGAGAGAGAGCCAGAGACAGGAAAGCTGTCCATTTTAAAATCAAATTGGTGTATATCTCCTGCTTATTCAACATGTTTTGGTCTTGGAATTGTTTCTCTAATAATGTACTGGCAAGTCAGACGTTAAATTATTTAAGGTTTCTAAACACTGATTTGGTGGAAGTGCTAACAATCCTTGTGAACAAAGATAAGCTTCAGAAAAACTGAACAGCACTAAAAAAAAGTATCTACTTTGGAAAATAATGATCCTTTGTAATTGATTTTGGTTTTAGATATAAAGTTTACATTGGTAATTCTAATGTCTGTTTACCAGTTTAATTTTAAAAAGTACTTGGCTGGGTGCAGTGACTCACACCTATAGTCCCAGCACTTTAGGGAATCTGGAGCAAGAGGATCACTTGAGCCTAAGGATTCCAGACCAGCCTGGGCAACATAGTGTGAAACCCCATCTCTACAAAAAAAATTTAAAAATAAACCTTGCATGGTGGTGCGTGCGTGCCTGTTGTCCCAGATATTCAAGGCTGAGGCAGGAGGATCACTCGAGCCTGGGAGGTGGAGGGTGCATTCAGCCATGATTGTGCCACTGCACTCCAGCCTGAGCAACAGAGCAAAACCCTGTCTCAAAAAAACACAAGGAAAAAAAAAGTACTTAGCCAGGTGCAGTGGCTCATGCCTGTAATCTCAGCAGTTTGAGAGGCTGAGGTGGATCACTTGAGGTCAGGAGTTAGAGACCAGCCTGGCCAACATGATGAAACCCCATCTCCACTAAAAATACAAAAATTAGCTGTGTGTGGTGGTGTGTGCCTGTGGTCCCAGCTACTCAGGAGGCTGAGGCAGGAGAATCGTTTGATGCAGTGAGCCAAGATTGTGCCACTGCACTCCAGCCTGGGTGATAGAGTGAGACTCCATCTCCAAAAAAAAAAAAAAAGTACTTATCACAGAGACATAACCATAAACTTAAGTTCTAATAGTACTGAAAGTTATTTTAAATAGAAATCTTTTACAAACATCACAATAGTGTCTTTTATAGAATGCCTAGACAAAACCCAGTTCTCTAATTATTTTCCTTATAGGAAATCTAGAAAAAACCTTCAGTAGAATGGTACTAGTATGACAAATTCAATATTATAGTCTCAGAAGTTCTTTCATTTTTAAAGGATAAAAAAAAAACCAAAAGAAAGTCAACATGGAGTCAGTGAAAAAATTCTACACCAGAAGCAAAGAGGTGCACTAGATCTACATGAAGAAAAGCACACCACTGAGAATTACTTACAATAAGAAAATGAAAAAAATCCAGAAAAATACTGTGCTCTCAGGGACATACAAAAAATTAAGAACTCAGGGTGGGGGAAAAAACAGTATTAAAGAGGACTGGGACTAAAAAAAAAAAGACTATAAGTTAAATAAAAACACAATAGAAATTTAAAATCCAAATTATAAGCAGTAAGGAAATCAGTGATGGAAGGGCCTAACTTAAGAAGCTATGCAAAAGAAAAAAGTTAGAAAGGATGTGTGAGATGACAGCAATGAGAACAAGAAAGGAGAGCCAACCAATGAAAAATTCCTGGAGAAAAAAACAAGAGCAAAACAAAAGGCACCAACTTAATATTTTCCTCAGCTAAAAAAAAAAAAAAAAAAAAAAAAAAAAAAAAAAAAAAAAGATTTCCACATCTAAAGGACCTGTTATCTTTTAGATAAAATTATTGGATTTAAAAAATCAGTAGCTATAACCCTAAACTTTGAAATATTTTAATCATTTTACATCTACAATGCAACAGATGGCTGTATTTGCTATGGAAAAGGCACATTTATCCAGTCAGGATGGTGTAAATCTGGTATTTTACTGCGTACCTTGATTATTTTGTATTTGGGTTTGGACATTAACTTGCTGAGGGCAGAAACAAGAACCTGAACTCATGCCTTAAGATAAAAATTGCATTCTTTTTATACACCTACTACATTTGAAACTATGCAGTGGCTCAATCATGGCTCACTGAAGCCTCAATCTCCCAGGCCCATGAGATGCTTCCACCTCAGCCTTCCAAGTAGCTGGGACCACAGGTGTGTGCTAGCACGCCCAACTAATTTTAAAGTTTTTTGTAGAGATGAGCTCTCCCTATGTTGTCCAGGCTGGTCTTGAACTCCTGAGCTCAACAGATCCTCCAGTCTCGGCCTCCCAAAGTGTTGGGATTACAGGCATGAGCCACTTCGCCCAGCCCACCCAAGCATTTTTATGGGCTCTGAAATGTACTACGTAAAAAGGACACGCTTTATTGGTTTAGAAAGTTAAGTATACATTATTATTATGATCAGCAGTAGGATAGCTATTTTATTTCCACCAGTCATTGATTAAAACAATCCAAGTGTAGTAGGTATTAATCAGTAGCTTAAGCTGGAAATAAAAATTTACTATGGGAACGACTACAGTGCTTTCAAATAACCGACATATGAAAAATTTACAGCTAACCTCTTCCAAAGAGCTGTCCATACTGCAGTCTCCAATGCTCTTCCTCCTGTTGTCTCTTGAAACCACACCAATCAGGTTTTCTTCCTCACTATTCTCCTGAAAGTGCTCTTGCAAGGTCACCAAGGACCTTCCTATTACTAAATCCAATGGTCATCTCCTAGTCTTCATCTTACTTGACTTGTCAATCAGCAGGAGGAGACACAGTTGGTCACTTTCTCCCTGAAAAACTCTTTACTTGGCCTTCAGTACTCCATACTCGCTTCTTTTTCCTCCTACCTTCAAAAGCCTCTCCTTTGTAATTATTCATCTCTCCAATATCTGAATGTGGAAAGCCCTAGAGCTCAATTCTCATTTCCTTACACTAGATCTCATAGGCTCATGGCTTTAAATACTACCCTTCTGTGCAGGGGTAGCCAATCTTTTGGCTTTCCTGGGCCACAGTGGAATAACTGTCTTGGGGCACACATATAACGATAGCTGATGAGCTTAAAAAAAAATACAATCAATCTCATAATGTTTTAAGTAAGTTTACAAATTTGGGTTGCACAAGCTTGCATTAGTGACTTCCCAAATTTCTATTTCCAGTTGGACCTTTCTCTTCAACTCCCGTCTCTATAACCCCACTTGAACAGGCATCTCAAACCTGACTAAAACTGGCTCCACCTACCTTCACACTCAGTCTTCTCCATCTCAGTACACTGTTTAACTAAAGCCTTCCAATAGCTCAGGCCAAAGGCCACAGGGTCGTGCTTCACCCTTTCTCTCATAAGCACATCCAAACCATAAGCAAATCCTATCAGCAATACTCAGAATACGACGGCTTCTTACTGCCTCTCTTACTACCCACCTGGTCTAAGCCACCATTCTCTCTGGCTTCAATTACTGCATCAACCTAACAGGTCTCCCTGCTTCCATCCTTGCCCTTACAGTCAACACTGAACACAGCAGCCAGAGTGATCCTTTAAAAACCTTAAGCCAGATCCCCTCATTCCTCTGCTCAAAACCCTCCAAACACCTCCCTTCTCACTCAGAGTAAAAGCAAAAGTCCTTACCTGGGCCCATTAGCTCTCTGACCTTGTCTCACCCTCCTTCCCTCCAGGTGCTCAAATCTACTGGCCTCCTTGCTGTTCCTCTCTTGCTGTCCCTCTAACAAGACTGAAGGGTTCTGGGCTTTTGCCCTTGCTTGGTATGCTCTTTCCCTAGACAGCTGCATGGCGGTCCCCAACGCCTTCAGTTTTGCTTGAGTCTTTTCCATGGCACCAGTCCTTATTTTAAAACTGCACCTGTTCCTTCCTTGGTGCTTCCTATCCCCCTTTGCTACTTTATTTTTATTCCTAGTAACTGTTACCATCTGACTCCAGATACGTTAACTTTCACAAATCCCGCTTATCGTCCCCAACCCCACCTTCCTCCAGTGACATGTTAGCTCCTGGAAGACAAGGACTTCATTTTGTTCACTCTCACATCCCCCAGTGCTTAGAACAGAGCCTGGCCATAGAAGGCACTCAATATACGCTTGCTATATGAATGCCGAATATGCAAATTCTTAAATCTATAATAGGTAAGGCTAAGAAGTTTGGGACTATAAAGCCCAACTTATTTCCACAATGGGAAATACAATTTCCCTTTTGATAAAGAACTGTGAGAATCCTTTGTTTTCCATAGTAACACAATTTATATAACATGCCAAAAATTCCTTATCACTTCACATCCTCTCTCCAGTGCCTTTCCTGTATTCTGTAAAATATTAACTTACTATCATCAAAAAATCTTTGATTTCCCTCTGGTACTGCTACCATAATAATGCAAAGGCAAAGTGAACTCACTAAAAAATGGTATGGAAACATAAATAATGAAGAAATGTAATAAAGTGTGTTAACAACCAAACAAATTCATCTCTATTTCAAATCAAATTGTACTGGCACAGTGAGAACCCCAGTCCAAGTTTAACTTTATTATCACTATAGTCCTTAATGAGCTAACAGTTTTCTTACTAAACTCCTTTTAAACTAAAAAGGAGTTCATGTAGGACTCCTGCATATAACCATGAAAACTAAGCCTGAGAGAAATCAGTTCAGGCTACAAATCTAATTGATAAAACTCTTAGACAGCGCTACATGTTTGGCTAGATAACAGACGCAGGGATACTGAAGTAAGGGAGATGAGACCAAATCTCGCTCAGCCTTTGCTAGCTTTCTGACCTTGGAGAAGTCAGACTCTCGGTGCCTCAGTTTCCTTATCTGTATAATGGAAATGGTACCTGATAGGGTTGCTTCAAGGATTAAAGGTACCAGGTATTTAAAGCAATGGCACCGTGTCTGACATAAAATAAGCACTGAAAATAGCTATTACTAGAACATAAAAATAATCCCCACACCACTCATATTACAGCTCTTTAAGAGGCTCCTAGGTACCACCGTCATTTTTTAAAGATTGAGAAGCGCTACTATTCAATGGCATATTTTTACCTTATTATGTTCTGTAGCCAATTCCGAATACCGTGGAACGTTACAAAAAACAGATGTTATTTTCTTGAGGTACTGTTGGGAAAACCTCAGAGAGAACGATCTGCTTTTTAGCACTGCAAGCCAATTAAGGGAGGAAGTTTGCGATTACCCGAGCCCTAAGTGGAAGGTGTGCAAATCCTTCCTTTTAACCCGGGCACCCCGGAGCCATGTGCCATTCTGGAGAGCTCACTCACACCCCAACAGCTTGTCCCGGCGCCTGAACTGTGCGCTCCTGCAAGCACACGCCGCGAAAGCACCGTCTCGCCCCGGCCGAGCAGCTGGACCTGCGGCGTGGCTTCCGCGCTCCACCCCCCGATTAACCGCGAGCCAGGGCTGCCCGCGCTGCCCAGGGGTTCCCCGGACCACAGCCCTAACCCGCAAGCGCAAACGAGAACCCTCGCAGGCCTCTGCCCGGCCCTCGTGAACACACAGACCGCGAAGAAGCCATCACGGACCCGCGGTCGCTTCCTCGGCCCGGCTCCCTCCAGTCGCCGCGGAAGGTGTGGGAAGCCCGGGCACCCTCGCCCCTCAGGGCCCCGGCCAGGCCTACTGGACCTCCAGTGCTACAGGGACGGTGCAGGAGATATCAAGTGGCTCTAGCCCAGGCGCTGCCCACAGGCCCCGGGCCAAGTACCTGCGACTCGAACGAGCAGCAGCGACAGCGGCAGCTTCAAGGAGGCGGTGACGGGCGGAGGGGAGGGGCCAGACAGGGGTAGTCGGAGTCCCCGCTGGGCCAGAGCGGTCTCGCGCTGCAGCCCCCGGCGCGCCCCCTGCAGGTGGGCGGTCCTCACGGTGGCTCGGGCTGCTCTGAGTCAGAGACTCCGGGAAAGCCTGCTCTGAATTAGGGAAAGCATCAAAACTGTGGCTTCAGAAGAGAAAGACAGCCTAGAAGAGGTTTATCCGATCTGAGTCCGGGAGCATTTTGCACTTTTCACGTCCTATTCTAAATTCACATCCCATCCCCTTAGCTAAATGGGGGCTTCAAAGGCAAGGGCAGTTTCATTAGGTGCTATAAGCATCAATTAATAGTTGCTGGCCTCTAGGTAGGTCTTCTATAGACCCGAAATTGACATATTAGGAATAGCCACTAATGATTGGCTGCACTATTTCTAAAATATAACCCTGCATTTTTACTTTTTTCAAAAGCAGTTTGAATCTTTTTTTTTTTTTTTTTTTTTAGACGGAGTCTCACTCTGTCGCCCAGGCTGGAGTGCAGTTGCTCAACCTCGGCTCACTGCAAACTCCAACTCCGCCTTCCGGGTTCAAGCGATTCGCAGTTTGAATCCTTCCATCCTACTTTGTAGGGTTCCTTGACTTATTGCAACATGTACAGCCAAGACTAACTAAAAGTGTGGTGGGACATTCATATGCTGGAAACATTCTTTCATGCAAAACTAGTTTTTTCTTTTTTTCATTTTACCAACTCCAGTCCTACAGCCAAGACAACTCTCACTGCACAGTGACCGTCCTCTGAATTCTAGCACCCTCATCCAACCAAGCCACGCTCTATGGCAAACTTGTCCAACCCCTGGCCCACACCTGCAGGCTGCATGCAGCCAAGACAGTTTAGAATGCAGCCCAACACAAATTAATAAACTCTCTTAAAACATTATGAGTTTTTTTTTTTTTGCAATTTTTTTTTAGCTCATCAACAATTGCTGGTGTTAGTGTATTTTATGTGTGGCCCAAGACAATTCTTCTTCCAATGTGGCCCAGGGAAGCCAAAAGATTGGACACCCCTGCTCTAGGGTATCTCATGGTTCATTCATTCAAGGACCACCTACACCATCTAATAATTTGTTCTTGAAAGTGTCATGTAAAGGTTTAGGACTATTGTCATATTAGAGGAAATCACTATTACATTTCTTTCATGTAAGAATTATAAGATCTGGCCATGCACGGTGGCTCACACCTGTAATCCCAGCACTTTGGGATGCTGGGGTGGACAGATCACTTGAGGTCAGGAGTTCGAGACCAGCCGGACCAACATGGTGAAACCTTGGCTCTACAAAAATACAAAAATTAGCCAGGCACGGTGTTGCACACCTGTAATCCCAGCTACTCAGGAGGCTGAGGCACAAGAATCCTTGAACCCCAAAAGGCGGAGGTCACAATGAGCCGAGATCTCACCACTGCACTCCAGCCTGGGTGACAGAACAAGACTCCATCTCAAAAAAAAAAAAGTTATAAGATCTTAGGGCATTTCACATTTTATTGTGCTATGACTAATCAGCAATATTACTTGTTAAATTGATGACATTTATTAATCAGTTTGTTATTGATGTCCTCCTTCTGGTTGTGTATTGAGTTTATAATATCTTCACTGATGCCTATAAACTATGACAAATTAGCAAGGAAATTAAAGCTTTTCCCAATGTATTAATAAGATTTACTCTTCATTAGTTGACTCATCCAACAATCTGAGAGCCTCTCCATTACTTCTATTCAAATTTATCTCTTCCTCTTCATGAATTACTGCTTTTGATTGATATGAAAAAATGTAGGGATGGTGAAGACAGCTTTTTTCTCTGATGAGATTAAAGTGAACTGCATGCTGCACATATTCTATGGCTCCTTCATGTTACCACACCTGGGCACTTTGACACAGTGGCTGTTAGGAGCTGATATGGTTTGGCTGTGTCCCTGCCCAAAATCTCATCTTGAATTATAATAATACCCATATGTCAAGGGCAGGACCAGGTGAAGATAATTGAATCATGGGGGCAGTTTCCCCTATGCTGTTCTCATGAGAGCGCGTGAGTTCTCATGAGATCTGATGGTTTTATAAGGGGCTTCTCCTTTTGCTCAGCACTCATTCTGTCTCCTACCACCCTGTCAAGAAGTGCCTTCTGCCATGATTGTAAGTTTCCTAAGGCTGCCCCAGCCATGCAGAATTGTGATTCAACTGTGAGTCAATCACACGTCTTTTCTTATAAATTACTCAGTCTTAGGTGTTTCTTCATAGCAGTGTGAGAATGGACTAATACAGGAGCATTTGCAGAAGCCATTCCTACTCTCCAGCAATAAGTTAATAGTGCATGGAAGTGACCACGAACCACATGAACGTCTCCCATTAAATGCAAACCAAAGTACCCCCAGCTGCATTTCTGTTTAGCTGGATCCCAAAAATGCCTGTAGTCACTCCAATGTTAGCCAGTAGAAGAATACTCCGGAAGTCTCAGTGGAAAGAGAGAAATCTTAATCAATTGTAGGTAAAGTATTTTAATTTTGCAAGCTTTACAAAAACATATAACCATATCAGCACTGCTTCCCAGGGCCTTGGAAGGGGCCTGAACAAGGGAGGGCTATATATTGGTTTCCTATTGTCATTGTAACAAATTACCCTAAATTTAATACTTTAAAACAAGGATTATTTTACAGTTCAAGAGGTGAGAAGTCCAAAATCAGTTTCGCTGAGCTAAAATCAAAGTGCGGGAAGTGCTTTCCTTCTGGAGATTCTCAGGGGAGTTGGTTGCCATGCCTTCTCCAGCTCCTAGAGGCCACCTACGTCCCTGGCTCATGGCTCCTTTTTCCATCCTCAAAGCTAGCAGTGTAGAGCATTTTTACACCCCTCTGACTTCTGCTTCTGTCCTTGCATTTCCTCTGTGACTCTCCTGTCTCCTTATAAGGACCCTTGTGATTATATTGGGCACACTTGGATAATCCAGAATAATCTCCCTATCTCAAGATCTTTCACTTAATCACATTTGCAAAGTTCTTTTTACCATGCAAAGCAACATATTCATAGATTCTGGGGATTAGGATTAGGATGTGGACATCTTTGAGGATCTGTTATCCAGCCTACCACAAGAGCCCTGAAGCTTAAACTTTACACTCTTCAGGTAAGTCTGCCTCTTCTTCCTCATTACTAAAATCTATCTGGTCCTGAGTTTTGATCGTGAGAGTTCCAATGGCGGAGGAATACCTGTAATTACAACCGAGATAAGTGTCATGAAGCGAAAGAGAAAGGATTCCTTGAGGGCAAACAATATGGGAGCTAATTTAGATAGAAGGGCAACAATGTCTTTGAATAAGTGATATTTAATCTAAGATGCAAAGCATGAGGAATTAATTATGTAATGAACAAGGGAAGTATTCTAGACAGAGGAGACGGTATGTTTGGCCTGTGAATCCTGATGGCAGAAAGCTATCACCTTCTGTGGCAGTGTCTCTACCACTGAATCCTTAGCACCACCACGGTGACTGGCACATCAGACATGTTTGGGAATATTAGCTTAGTAGTTTTCAACCTGGCAGCATGTTACAATCATGCAGCAGCTTAAAAAATAACAGTGCCAGCCGGGCGCGGCATCTCACGCCTGTAATCCCAGCACTTTGTGAGGCCGAGGCGGGTGGATCATGAGATCAGGAGTTCAAGACCAGCCTGGCCAAGATGGTGAAACCCCATCCCTACTAAAGATACGAACATTAGCCGGGCGTGGTGGTGGGTGCCTGTAATCCCAGCTACTTGGGAGGCTGAGGCATAGACTTGCTTGAACTTGGGAGCCAGAGGTTGCCATGAGCCAAGATCGTGCCACTGCCCTCCAGCCTGGGCCACAGAGCAAGACTCTGTCTAAAAAAAAAAAAAAAACAGGGCCTGGGCCCTAGCCAAGATCAAGTTAGAATCATCTGGAAGCACGGCCCAGGCATCTGCATTTTTAAAAGCTGCTCAGGGAACTCTAATGTGCAGCCAGGATTGAGTTGAGAATCGCTGTATTAGATACAATTGAGTGAATGAATGAATAAGTGAAAGGAAATATTTGCTTTGGGTAGGCTTTTCATTTAGAAAGTTTTCTTATTAGGGATAAGAAGGGTTTTGACTATATTCGTTATATAAATTCCTATCCAGTCTTAAAAAATGCAGACAGACTTTCAAAAATATTATACTTGAATGCTCATCAGAAGAGACTGAAAGTGATCTAGCAACTATCCCAATGTAACTAGCTGTCTCTGTAGAAAGGCGATATGGTCAGAATGGGGAGGTGTTTGAAAAAAATACACCGCACCTACGAAGTAAGTGTTTTGAGCTCTGCTTTCCTGTTCCAGGGTGCATTTGGTTTCTGTAGTACTGACGAATGACCATGAGAGGGAGACATGCTCCTGACAGGTGTTGCTTCCGTGGGTCTCCCATCTCTCAAGCCCGGCTAGCACGAATCAGGTGTTTTCCACAACACTGTGGGTTCTCAGGCATAACAATGGAATGAGTAAGTACAGGAGATGAGACAAGTAGCACATATTTATCTACACCAAAGTTAGGGTCATTTCCGTTCCCCAACAATTTTAAACATTTAAACAACCAGAAAAAAAAAAATGAAGTGTTTTGTGTGCCGGACATATTTGCGAAACTATTAGAGAAAAAATTTGAAGCCAGGAGAATAATATTTTCCTAGAGCAACTGGCACAACTAAAAAATATTCAAGAAAAACTTTCAGAAAGGGATCTCTTTTCTTAATTGCAAAGTAAAATCTTAGATGTCCTTGGGTTTCTGAAGTTACTAAGATAACAGTTGGACTCTTGGAAAGAAAAAAAACGATCTCAGCTCCTTGCCATAACATCCATTTGTCATTTCTCTTTCCACTTACCTACACATGCCAGAACCACACAGATTGTCACACACACACACAAGGCAAAATATGATGGAATGTACATTTAGGCAAGTTACCTAACATATGTCCTATACACCTTCTAGCCCTGCTGCCTTGGGAATTAAGTTTCCAACACATGCTTTTTGAGGAACATATTCAAATCATAGCAACTGGTTTGATAAATTTGCTTAGAAGCAGGCAAGGAAAAGTAACAGAAGATAACACCAGAAAAGCTCATGGCCCAGGCTCATCTTACCTTTCCTCCAGTTCCTTTCTGGCCCTGGTTTCCTAATTTTGTAATAGTTCAACTCCTTTGAGACCAGGATAGTTCATGGCTTGTTAAGTCTGGGCAAAGGTAAAGTTAAGGGTTCGTGCAGGTCCCAAAAGTCTTTGGGATATCCATTCAGTTCAGATAATGAGGAGAGTTGAGGATTCCAGCAATCTGTGTTGTTAAAAGGTTCACTTCAACCCTAGAATGGAACTTAGCTTACCCCAGGGACTTAAACTGAACTGAAATCTTAGGCTTAGAGGGATCTTAACTTTTACATTAGCCCAAAACAAACTCCTGGCAATCATTCAAACAGAAGCAAAGCACATCTCCTTCTCAGTCTTGAAACATATGCCAGGAACTATATTAGACTTTGCCTCAATTCTGCTCTCCTCCTCTCAAAACACTGATCCTGCGGTTTCATTTCCACCTTTACAAAATTGTGATGCCAATGTCAGGGTAAAGCCTGAGGCTATCCTATTCCGACTTTTGAGGATATAGTCATACTCTGACAACTATTTTCTGCAAATACAACTGAATGAACATATCTTTTGGACACACACTCCTGCCTTATTCCATTCAGGCTGCTATAATAAAATACCACAGACTGGATCACTCAAAAAGAATAGAAATCTATTTCTCACAGCTCTGGAGGCTGAAAAGTCCAAGATCAAGGCATCAGCAGATTCTGTGTCTGGTGAAGTCTTCTCTCTGCTTCCAAGGTAGCGCCTTCTTCCTGTGTCCTCATGTGGCAAAAGCTGAAAGGGCAAAATGCACTAGGGTGTTCCCATCAACCTCCTTTATAAGAGCACTCATCCATTCATGAGGGAGGGCCCTCTTAACTTAGTCATTTTCCCAAAGGCCCTACCTTTTAGTACCATCACTTTGGGGTTTAAGCTCCAACATATGAATTTTGGAGGGACACATACATTAAAACTATAGCAACTCATGACCAGCAAGAAAGGAAACTTTTGACATTTTTATAAGAAAAACAAATAGGTGGATAAGTAATACAAATTGCTCTTAGCCTATGATTTATTTTAAGGCAAACAGAATGAGAAAAGACTCTTAACAATGACTTCAAATTATTTTATTTTATTTTATTTTTATTTTTTGAGATGGAGTCTTGCTCTGTCACCCAGGCTGGAGTGCAGTGGTGCAATCTTGGCTCACTGCAAGCTCCACCTCCTGGGTTCACTCCATTCTCCTGCCACAGCCTCCCAAGTAGCTGGGACTACAGGTGCCTGCCACCACTCCTGGCTAACTTTTTGTAGTTTTAGTAGAGACGGGTTTCACTGTGTTAGCCAGGATGATCTCGATCTCCTGACCTCGTAATCTACCTGCCTCGGCCTCCCAAAGTGCTAAGATTACAGGCGTGAGCCACCAGGCCCAGCCAAATAATTTTATTTTTTTATTTATTTTGAGACAAGGTGCAACCATGACTTACTGCAGTCTGGACTTCACAGGCCCAAGCTGACTTCTTACCTCAGCCTCCCAAATAGCTGGGACTACAGGTGAGTTCCATCATGCCTGGCTAATTTAAAAAAAGAAAAAAATTTATAGAGACAGAGTCTCCCTGTGTTGCCCAGGCTGGTCTTGAACTCCTGGTCTCAAGTAGTCCTCCTGCCTTGGTCTCCCAAAGTGCTGGAATTACAGGCATGAGCCACCATGCCTGGCCTGATTTTTATTTTTCAAAGACCTGAAAAATGAATTTTATTTGTTTATCTGGCAGGTCACAAGAGACATTAACAAAATAAATGGAGTTAGTTGCTTTTTGTGTTTTTGTTTTGTTAGTCACCCAACAGGATTTTTTAAGTCGCAGGTAACAGTTTGCAGTAGGGTAGTAACGTTTTAGGATTTTTCTGTAGTGAATTCACTGCCTAAGATTTTCTCATCCTATCTTCACTGTGAACCCCCAGACTGCATGTCTGTCACCTGTTTTAATTTTGACAAAGAAAAAGGGAAAACAGAGGAAGTTAAAAAAAGGAGGGGGATTAAAAAAAAATCTATGAATCTATGACACAAACAACCCATAGTTAATTGCAAAAGTAACTAATACTTATATTACATGATTAATAAAAATCCAGTTACCTGTAAAAATGTTAGGTTTAACCACTATGATTTGTATCCAGTCAATAATTAAAAATAAACCCTAATTTATAATCTTACTACGTTCTTCCTTAATGTGGTGCTGTGCAAGTCATGGTAGTGGAATCGCTTTCTCTTTATGCATAAGTGGGGTACTTGTTGGCAATGTGCCTCTGGAGAGCATGATGCTCCACCAGCTATTGTGAGGCAACACCCAGGTATCAATTCAATAGCTGATTTTGGAATGGAATTTGCCTTCAGGTAGTTGACTTTTACAAATACTTAAGAAGTTTAATAACTGCCATTTCACTTGTTTTACTCAGCATTTTTGTGTTGTAGAAAATCAAATTCTGAACTTCCCCTGATCAGGACCCAAATACAGTAGTAGATTTCTATCTTCTCTTCCTCTGCACACTAGACACCATGACAAAGGGAATCTCCCCAGAAATTCTGCCAGGACCAGTTTCCAGTGAGGATAAGAGCATGCATGGGCACAGCAAAGCCAACTCAGAGGACGAGTTTCAGCCTGCTGCTCTGAGTGCCTCCGCCCAGACAACTGCTGCAACTCGGAACCCATCAAATACATATGAGCTCGTGTGGACAGATGGAAAACCCATTAGGAAGTACAGCCAACTGTGTGTTACCACATTTCTGGGAAAGAAACCACATTTGGTGCAGGAGCAGTGCAAAATCACTAAGGTCAGCACCTTTAAATCAACAGAATGTCTAACCTCTTTCAAGCTATCACACAAGTAAAGCTATTTGGTTAGCTAAAGACTTTGCCCTACAGAAAAATACATGGGCTAGGGCTAGACCAAAGACCCAAACCCACCAATGACATCATGTACTTTTCTGTAGCTGTCTAATTTTTCTTAAAATTGTGGTACAGACAACTTACTTCATAAGAATACAACTGTTAGCTATTATAAAGTAACTTATGAGCAAAATGTAATTATACCTCAATAAAGTGGGGAGAAAGTACAATTACAAAGCTTAAAAGCCATCTTCTAAGAAATCGTTGGTTAGCCATACTTTTTTTAAGTTAACTCAGCATGTCTTTTTGTGTGTGACAGAAAAGCATACCTACTTTTTTGACATTTTTCTTGGACTATGGGTGACAGGAAGGAGAGAACTCTCCCGTCTTCCACAGTCCTGCGTCCACGCAAGCCACTCCCCTCATGGGCCACTGAATACACGCTGCAGGACAAGGGACAGCTAAAACAGCAGCTGAGAAAGTAGACTTGCCTCTATTGCTGAGTTTTCTTTTGTAGTTTTCCTTTGTTTGGTATTTTAGAATCATTTTGCCACTGTTTTACCACCAAAGGTTGGCACCTACTTGTTTTTTCCACAAATTAGGAACACCAAGCTCTTCTCAATTTTACTTTGAGGGTAATCTTAAGGTAATTTCTAACTGAAATGTTTAATGTAAAATTTGCTTAAATGTCCATGTGGGGATGTGTGCAAGCTGTATGCTGACCACACGCTGATGTAAACTGAGACCTAGTTCTGGGGAGGATGTTAGCTTATATATATATATATGGGATTTTAGAGTTATGAGCCAGGAACCATGGATGAAAACCAATATATATGTATCATAATACCACCAGCCACTGATGGGGACAGTCCTTTAGTCCCTTCATGTTGAGTGTTAACACATACTTGTGAAGGCATGTAAACCAGCCCTTCATTTTATCTCCCCATTCTAGACAACCGATGTTCTAATTAGTTGTTCTACTTCTCTATTACTAAACGTTTACTCTAAACTATCAGGCCACCCCCTGGTTTTCAAACACAGATCCCTTTCATCAAAAGAATATACAGGCCAGGCATGGTGGCTTACACCTGTAATTCCAGCACTTTCGGAGGCAGAGGTAGTAGGATCACTTGAGACCAGGAGTTTGAGACCAGCCTAGGCAACATAGCAAGACCTTGTCTCTACAGAAAAATAATTTTTACAAAAGGACATACAATTCAAAAGATATCGCCTTATTACTAGAATCCCACACAGTCATTAATAATTAGTCCAGTCCATCATTGTGTATGAATGTCTCCCAGAGTAAAGTCACTCAGGTTTGCAGGTTTCCTCTCAATCTTATCAGGTGCCAAAAACAGGAGTGGTCTTGGCACCTAGCCTCACCCTTTGAGGCATCTGGAATAACTGAGCTGAGACATCATGTCATCTTTTGCTCTGAGACTCTTTTGAGGTATTAATGTAATATTGAATTTCCTTCCATTAATAACCTTTTTTTTTTCTTTACTCTCAGCTACTTTTTCTCCTTCTCTCCATTAATACTCAAACTTTTTCACCTTTGGAAGGGACATTAGAATTGCCACTGTGCTGGTCTAGATTGTGGGCAGCAATACTAGTCTAGCAAGTAGCTCCTCCTCAATCCACCGCCATTCAGATAGGGTAAGGTTACACAGGTGCAGAACTAGTGAGCTAGTTTTGCCACCAGAGAACATAGCTGCATTCACTCTTGATCCCAATTTCTTAGATGGGGTGAAGGCACAACCCGCCCCCATTATCCCCTTAGGAATTCAGATACAAAGTTTAAAAATGTAGTTACAGCTTCTTGCTTAGAAATCATCCTTGCTTCCAGCACTTGTAGTTGTAGCCCTGGTCCTAGGATCATTGCATCAGGTAGAGGAGAGAAAAAAAAATTGAGGTTGTTTGGGGAAGAGAGAGAAAATTATAGTCATTATACTAGTGTACTCCTCCCTTGGCAAGAATTGCATAGTCATATCAGCATCCTCCCCAATCCCTCTTCCCAAATCAACCAAAAAAAAAAAAAAAAAAACAAACAAAGAAAACACAAAAATCTAGTGGGGACACTCCTTTAGTCCCATTCATGTTGAGTGTTAGCACCTACCTGTGAAGGTGTGTAAGCCAGCCCTTCATAATTTATCTCCCTGTTCTAGACAACCAATGTTTTATACTCCTTCTACTTCTCTATTACTAAACTATTACTCTAAGGAGGTATCTCTCTGCCCATTGTTGGATATTATGGCTTATACATTGTTCCTTGGTCTGAAGAAATGACAGTTTTCTGTACAAATCCATGCAAGTCTTCAGTTCTTGTTTTTTTATGGTGCTCTGAGCATTTTCATCTTCCACTAAGGAAGCAAAGCCCAGTCCACAGTCAGTGTCTAATTCCTGTCAAGACCAATGTGTAGCCCCCCCAGGGCTACCAGCATCAGTTTCACTTGCCAGCTCTGGTCAGGGCCTTCCCACCAGGCAATCTGCCCCATAGCCACTGGAAGTTTCTGTCTCTCTTGCTGACAAACAGGACAGTTCTTATTGGCATTCTGTGCCTGCAAAGATGCAAAAGGAACATGTTTAGATTCATCCCATCTCTGCACTGCTGCAGTATTCCTATATCCACTCACTTCATGGACCAGGTGATGACCACAAGGGCAGACACGGAGATAACTGCTTGTCTATTCCAGTCACCTTCTCAGCCTGGGGAGGAAGTTCTTCTGATGGGCATTGACTTATTCTCCTTTAATGCACCCCTCAAATTTCTATAGGGCTATGCACCATATGGACATTCCTTTAATAGATCAGATTTCCATAGTCCTCTTGCCTGAGTGTATGGCCAGGCCATTGGTCACTGCTCACGAATCAGTAAAAACCCAAACATGGAGGCTTCTACTACTGTTCAGTTCTTCCATTACTGTAAGAAAGACAGCATGCAGTTCAGCCCCCTCAGCTAATCTGTTTTTACCTTCTTTGATCAAAGCAGCAGCCTTCCAAACAGGAGGATGTTGTCCATTCACTTTGGAAATGCTTTCTGTAAACAGAGCAGCTCCTTATTGGTCAATCAAGAGCTGTTCACAGTGCACTGTCCAAGTGTCTATAGAAACCAGCAGCACCTTACAGTCTGTGTCAGTCCTGGGGGTAAAGAGGCTCCCTGCTCATGAATATCTCCTTCTTGCATTCCCCAGGTGGCATGATCCCCTAGAAACAATTTCCATTTTATTGGGGAACTCTTCTGGGCACTGCCACTCCCTGTAGCATGTTTCTCTGCTGTCAGCTCTTCAATCAAAGCCTGCACATGCTTCCCTCCATAGGGCCCAAAGGGGCTCGGTGGGGCCTGACCACAATTTAATCACCTCTGTCCAATAGTTATTCTCATTATGATTTGTGTGAAATTTTCAAACTCAGTTGTGTTTGCCTGTGGGCAAATTGTTTATGCCAGTTATTTTAGGAGTATAAACAGCAGTAAAATCTCATATGAATGTCTAGAAGTGGAAAGAAGTGATGGTGGATATAGACATTGCAGGAGAAAATGTGGTTGCCTGGGGACCATTTTTGCAGGGATATGAGGAGTGGACAAAGGCATAGGCTGGTAATTGGCAAAGCCATGTCACACCCCTTAGGATTAGCAGTTACTGAAGGATATCAACAGTCACCTACCTGATAAAGCCACGCACCAGCTGATGGCTTCTCCAGTGCTGGGGTGGCTGTGCCGGTGGCAGGGACTACCGCAGAGTGAGGTCCTCACCTCCTGGAGTGATGAGGGGGTCTCACTCGCCATCTTCTCCCAGCACCTGCAGCTGGGGAGCTCACTCTGGCAGCTGAAGTTCTGACTTTTTACGCAATGATCAAGTGTTTTGATCCAGAAGTGATTTAAACTCCTAAATTCCTAGATAAAACTAGGCCCAGTAATCCCCCAAAAAGGCTAATAGCTCCTTCTTCTCTCACATAACTACTAAGAAATGTATCATTTTACAAAATAAGTTTTGAATTTTGTTTCAATTTTTGTTTTATCATGTGCTACCCTAGTTCCTTTATTCTTCATGTTATATTTATATACTGTGGAATGCATGTCATCAATTGTATTTTTCTTCTCATATTCTGACACTGATGATAATCTCAATGTTTGGAAAAAAAACTATTAAATAAAATGCTTCTGTTTTTGTGCATCCTCAAAGGACAAACTGCTCTACATATACTGTAGAGATGCTGCATTAGGATATACATATATTTCTGATCCATCCCACTTCTTAGCTTTATCTCCTAACTACTCCCTTAACCTAAAACTTCGCTAGCACAGAACAAGTTTACTCATTTTTCTACAATGCCACATTTAATCTCCCATCTGTAACTATCCTTCCCTTTCTCTAGGGTGCCCCACCTTTGCTCACATGGCTCTACTCTTTCTTCAAAGTCCCTCTTCCCCTTGGGGCTTTCCTGATGGCCCCGACGTCCTTTGACATGCAGGTCCACACTACGCTGTTGTTGTTGTTGTTTAATAGATATTGGGTCTCACTATGTTACCCAAGCTGGTCTTGAACTACTGGGCTCAAGTGATCGTCCCGCCTTGGCCTCCCAAAGTGCTGGGGTTACAGGAGTAAGCCACCACGCCCAGCCCACATAGCACACTTTTGACACCAACCACATGTTGTCTGGGATTACTCTCTTACATATCAAGTTGAAACATGAAATTGTCAACATAAAACTATTTTTGGCCTACAAAGACAGCAATTATATATGGTTCAATTTATGTGTCTTCTTACTCCAAATACAATTTGTTGCATTCTTGTTTTCTCTGATAGCCTCTTCCATTGTGTAGGTGTTTGCTATTAAAAAGAGATAGAGCTTGACTACTCTTAAATTGGCAAAATAGTAGATAAACTTCCATTTTAATCTGAAGAGGATCCTAGTCCATTAACACATTCACTTAGGATGATTTGAGATGTTTGTGAGTCTCTGCAAAAATATCCTACTACAGCCTAAAATTTAAATATAAAAACTTCCAGTACTAGGAGTTACAGCTATAGGCATATGTTTATAAATATTATAGAATTTTTAATAGATTCTATATTTCAAAAAGATTATTCACAGAATTTTAATCAACAAATTTTATATTCACTGGAATTATTTTGTATTTATTATATAATTAGGTATACAACCCAGTTAGAACATTAGAATATTGTACTTTTTCTAATTACACTATACAGATTCCTCTGATCATCTCCCTTATTGTGGTCTTAATTCTATACATAATTACATTAATTACCATGAGAGAAATGAAGCTAGATAAGGAAAAACCTTGTGAGAAAGTATACATATTTTTAAAGCTAAGAGAATTATAAGGTATCTGATATCAGGTGCAGAGCCTTATTGCTTTCCAAATTAAAACATTCCAAATAGCATGTTGATTATTGAACTGCCTTCAGTACTCTAAGGACAGAATAAAATTATAACAATGGTCAAGCAGAGAACAGGGCAGCGTTTCACTTTGAGTACATCCATATTGGTAGGCTCAGACTTATGTGAGGAAAGAGATCAGTATTTCATCACCTCCTTGCTCTAGTTCTGTGTGGATAGATCAGAGAACCCAGGTTTCTTTTTCAGTGATTCCATTTCTCAGAGCCCTATTCTCCTCCGTTGAAGAGTCACATCTTTAGAAATCGATCCAAAATATCTTTATGATATTTTATGAGACTTTCATTTATGTAAATTCAAAACACATAAAAGACTTCATGAAGCCATATAAAGATCTATTTTAGAGAAAAAATAGAATGAGTTTTATATGAGTTGATTTGAATTTGCCACTTGTCATTTATGAGACATTAAAAACAAACTCTATACTGTCATGACGAAGTGCAAAAATAAAATAAAAACTAACTCTATAACTTGGTTCTTTTTTTTTTTCTAATCTTGAGATTTCCATAGAGTGCTGTGGTATAATACCTTGATGAATACAGTCCATGTTAATGCCAAAAAAATGGGAAGAGGTCAAATTTCCTCCACTGATGGTAGGTAGCCCACCTGAATCCCCAAGTTCTTTCACTGTCTTGAGATAGCCTCCAAGGATATTTTAAAATATGAGAGCTTTCTTCAGAGATCTTCTTCCTTTATGTTCCCAAAAACGCAGTCATCTTTAGCTATCTTAATCTTGCTTTTTCTTGATAGAAAACTAGAATAGTCTTTCTGCTGTGAAGTAAACAGAGAGGTCAGAAATGTAAATGAAAGGAAATCATTTCCATAACAATAACAAAGTCACAGAGGTTAAAACAGTATTGAAAGGGCAACAGAAAGCTTACATTTGTATAAGCAATGGTTATTTTAAACAGTTTTATTCTGTAGAAGCTTTATTTTGGGGTGAGTGTAAATACACTCGTTAGGACTGAGAAGAGCACCGCCTACTGGTTTTATGTGTCCTCTGCATCTTTCAGGGCCCTGGGATATCACCCAGGTTAACATTTAACTCTACCTGTCTTGCCTCTTTCCCCTCTTAAAGCCATGCGACTTTCAATTTTTAACTTTGCCCAAAATCTTTAGTGCACATTCCACACAAATACAAACTTTAAAAAAGAGGCTGGGCGGCCAGGCGCAGTGGCTCATGCCTGTAATCCCAACACTTTGGGAGGCCAAGGCGGGCAGATCACGAGTTCAGGAGATCAAGACCACCCTGGCCAACGTGGTGAAACCCCATCTCTAATAAAATACAAAAAAATTAGCTAGGCATGGTGGCTGGCGCCTGTGGTCCGAGCTATTCGGGAGGCTGAGGCAGGGGAATCACTTGAACCCTGGAGGCAGAGGTTTCAGTGAGCCAAGATTGTGCCACTGCACTTCAGCCTGGCAACAGAGTGAGACTCCGTCTAAAAAAAAAAAAAAAAAGAAGAGGCCGTGTACAGTGGCTCACGCCTGTAATCCCAGCACGTTGGGAGGCTGAGGTGGTGGATCACTTGAGGCCAGGAGTACGAGACCAGCCTGGCCAGCATGGTGAAACCCCATCTCTACCAAAACTACAAAAACTAGCCGGATGTGGTGGTGCACACCTGTAATCCCAGCTACTCAGGAGGCTGAGGCAGGAGGATCGCTTGAACCTGGGAGGTGGAGGTTGCAATGAGCCGAGATGGCACCACCGCACTCCAGCCTGGGCAAGGGAGCGAGACTCTGTCTCATTAGAAAAAAAAAGTGTTATGCTTATTTTAAAACATTTTAGAGGTTAGGGTTACCGCAAATCTTTAAAGAGTAATTTGCCTTCAGTACTTATGAAATCTCAAAGACACGGTTATGGAAAGTGGAAAGTGAAAAAAAAAATGTGGAGCCCCTCAGTGGGCAGATGGGCTACAACTTTTTTTCTACGAGGGATTTGTTTTGATAGAGGGGCCTCACTGCCAAGTGGTTAAAGCAACAAACTAATTTTATTTGTTAAACAACAAATAAAGACTGCTTGGGTTCAAATACTGGCTCTGATATTAACTGACTGTGTGACCTTGAGCAAGTGACTTAACCTTTCTGTGTTTCAGTTCTCTGTGCAGTAAGCCAAGGATAATAACAGTGCTTTGGTTGTTTATTGGGATTAAACGAGTTATACATAAAAAGTAATTATAGCAGTTCATGGCTCAGGATAAGGTCTATACAACAGTTTGCAAAATAAATTAAAACTCAATATAGTTGGACACTAGGTCTCTTTCCGACCTGCTGGTCCTACTCACAGCATGAGATAGGTTGGCCTGTATTAGAGTTACCACTCATCCGAGAGGACAACTGAACTGATCACAGTTGTGCTGAGTGTTATCTGTTGTCCTAGGACAGTGGCTCTCAAACTTGAACATGCATCAGATTTGTCTGGTGGGCGTGTTAAAGAGATTGCTGCGGCCTTCCCCCAGAGCTGCTGATCCAGTAGGTTTGGGGCCTGAGAATTTGAATTTCTAATAAGATCCACGTGATACAGATGCTGTTGGTCCAGGGACCACACACTGAGAACTGGTGTTCTAGGATAATGGTTCCAATTCTGGTTGTATAATAGGACCACTTGGGGAGCTTTTAAAAATTCCATTGCCCAGGCCCCTCAGACCAATTAAATCCAAATTTCTGAGGGTGGGGCTCAAGCATTAGTTTTTAGAGCTCCCCAGGTGATTCCAATGTGCAGCCAAAGTTGAGAACCACAGCTCCATGCTGTCGGCATGCTGCTAAAATGGGTGCATTAAAATGATGAAGTGATTGCCATCTACATTTTACAGACAAAGATATGGAAGTGCAGTATCAGAGTCCCTAATGAAGTTAGGTTTTGGATCTGCCTAATGACACATAGCCAGTAAGCAGTGGAGTTCCTATCTCGTCTCTCTGTCCAACCAGCCAGAAGTGCTGTGATTATGAAGGAGAATGCTTTTATGCATTTCTGCTAGTTTATTTTCCCTGACTGTATTCATTCAAGAAAGGACTTTATATACTTACATATTTATAAATACTGTACATATATACTAAGGATGTTTACATACACACCAGTTCTGTGACAGGTGCTGGATCAAGAAGAAATCCCATTCAAATGCTACTTAGAAGTCACTTTTCTTTCATTCACCTACACTAGGATTTGGACTTAGAAAGGAAGAGTTAGCAAGGGCACAGTTAGTTAAGGGCATAGTTCCAGGGTCAGACTGCCTGCTTCTTTCCATCTTTGACTGCTGTGCAACCTTGGGCAGGTCACAAAACCTCTCTGTGCACTAATTTCCTCAACTTATTTATAGGGCTGTGAAGGAATGTGTTAATTCACATAAAAGTGCTTAGAATACTGCCTGGCAATAATGAGTGCTCAAAAATGTCATTGATTGTGATTTTTTCTATTATTATCTGCACAGCAGATCTAAATGCTCAAAAAGTATTTTGTAAACTTAAAAGTTGCTTTATACAGAGTATACTGCAGAAAACTATGAGACCAAAATATACTAGATATGTAACATATACAAATTAGAAAGAGAGTTGCCTCCAAAAAGTGCAAGGGGTGTACAAAAAAATCACCAAATAATTTTGTGTTTCTCTTGGAAATTTTCTATGTAAAAATTCTTGGTAGTGCTATGGGGTGCTACAATAAAAATACTATACTTCTGTGATGGCCTTCCAATTGGCCCAATCTACAAAGAGGAGCTTCTGAGAAACATAATTCTGACTTATTATTGAAAGTGAGATGACTTTGGTTAAAGAGGAAAAAAGATCAGATTTATCAAAATTATAATGTACCAATTACATAATTTTACTCACAGACCTGGCTTTGTTGAATGTGGTATTTTTTACTTTTGCTTTGTTCCGGAACTTCAATCTGCTAGATAGATTAGTGAAATGTCAGTCAGCTCAGCCCAGAGAAGCAAGCACACAAACAATCTATTTAACTAGCACACTTTCCCTTCCACGATAATCCTCTTAATCGTCCCAAAGGCTGCCGGTCAGCAGGTACACCTGCTTGTCATCTGTGCATTCCTCTTTCACTTGTCAGGGTCTAAATGTTACAGAAATAGAGTCCCCAAAAGTTAAGTAAAACTTAATGTTTCACATTAGTGGTTGCCTATGGATTTTGTGATTGAAGAAAGCTTTTAAAAGAACATCACACGAAATGAAATGTCCTTCTAAATCCTGAAATAATTCTTGGGGTTGCAATCCATATGCTGACTCAAAGCCCAGCGGGGCTTTGGTTAATCAAAAGCCACCATTAATCAAACGAAGAATCAAAGCGAAGTTCAAGGCACTTGAATATACCTCATGTACATAAGGTAAACCCAATATACCAGCAGGAAACAGATGGTGCAATCTTGGGGTAATTGAGGAGAATTTTAGGAAGGAACCGTTTAACTATTTAATGGAGGTGTGGGCAGGATTACATTGAATGCATGAAGGGATGTTGGGGCCCCCAGGGGCTAGCAATGAGGGGGATTTCCAGAGGATTCTTACCACCTCTAGGCCTGAAGGGGCGAGGGAGCAGCTGGGGCTGGAACCAGAGAGTAGCTGTAGCTATAAGGAGGAGAGATTGCCTGACGGGAGCTGTATCCCTCAGTAGAGAGACATTCCAGCCCCAGAGACCCAGCAGGTTCCAACATGGAGAAATAAACACCCTACTCTCACTTTTCTCCCACCCTCCAATCTCCTGCTGGTTTCCCAATGAGTTATCCAGGGATGTCCAATCTTTTGGCTTTCCTGGACCACACTGGAAGAAGAGAATTGTCTTGGTCCCCATGTAATATAGCTAATGAGCTTTTTAAAAATCACAAAAAAACACTCAGTGTTTTAAGAAAGTTTATGAATTTGCATTAGGCCACATTCAGACATGTCCTGGGCTGCATGCAGCCCGCAGGCTGTGGGTTGGACAAGCTTGAGTTATCCCATTGAGGGTAAGGTTGTAGTACACAGTCTCCCAGGGCACAGAGCAGAGTGGGAGTGAATCTGGAAAGGCAGAGTGCCTGGCACACCTAGTAAACACCACCTAGCCAGGCTTTTTGGGGAAAGAGTTCTTAGACTCTTCTTAATGGGAAAGAAAAGAACTGCTATGTGCGTTAGGTACATAACTCAAGCAAGTTGCAGTATTTATTTACCCTACAATTGTCAACGTCTCTGTATTAATCGCCTTTCTCCTCCAACATATTAGCTCTTTGACTCTGGATCCTCAGGTTTAGCCATCACATGGTACACACAGGCATTCATAAATGACAGAATAAACAAGTGACTTAATTGTTTATTATTGCTTACTTCTCATGAGAATATAGACGGAGACATTTAAAAATAAGTGGGCTAAATAACATGACACTGCAAAAAAGCATTACCTTTCAACTATGGTTAACTTTGTTGTAAAATCAATTGCTTTAAGGAGGTATGCATAAGACTTCCTTTAGGTTAGTATTCTTAATGGAAATGTTCACATATTTAAGCCTATTTCAATGATTTTTTATTTTATTTTATTTTATTTTATTTTATTTTATTTTATTTTATTATTATTTTGAGACAGAGTCTCGCTGTGTTGCCCAGGCTAGAGTGCAGTGGCACAATCTTGGCTCACTGCAACCTCCACCTCCTGGATTCAAGCGATTCTCCAGCCTCAGTCTCCCAAGTAGCTAGGAATACAGGTACGCGCCACCATGCCCATCTAATTTTTGTATTTTTGGTAGAGATGGGGTTTCACCATGTTGGCCAGGCTGGTCTCAAACTCCTGACCTCAAGTGATCCACCTGCCTCGGCCTCCCAAAGTGCTGGGATTACAGGCACGAGACACTGTGCCCGGCCTCAATATTTTTTAAAAAACCAGTTATTAAGTCTTGGAAAATGAGAAATTAACACTCTGATGTCTTATGTGTTCTGCTACTATTATTATTATTTTACAGTGTTACATTAGGGTCCATAAATAGTCTTGCAGCCATGAAATACAGAGCTTGGAGGAAAATTCTCAGAATTTTTCTGTCTCCTAGTCTCCTTCCCCTCCTGCTCCCTATGTCAAAGTAAATAAAATCGAACCACTACAAATGTTAAGCAATTTCTGACATAATCAGTTTCCTTGACTTCTTGCAATAAGGCCTTCAATACTTTATGTACTAGGGGGAATAAAGCTGGGGAAACAAGCAAATCTTTTTTCATAATGCAGTATTCCTATACTTCCTTTTTCATCAATAGAGTGGTTTCTGTTAATAACATAATCACTTATTCCTGCACAGTAATTTCCCCCTGGCTGTCTAAAACTGTGTCCTCCTGCTATGCTCATACCATTCTCCTGACTGCCATACACAGTTTTTCCATTTTCTATATTGGACCAGCTCTTCAAAAGGCTAACATTCCTCAGATATCAGAGGCCACTGTCCTTGGTGTTTCCCCTCCTCACTATATAATAGAAACATGTTTAAAATTGCCAGTTGCCTTTTAAATAGTTTCACCTTGCCTAAAAGGAAAGAAGAATGGAGGGAAAAATACATCTGGTGATGGTAGTTGAGGATGGAGTAAGAGGTGTAAGGTAATCAGGAATCAGAAAGCCATCTTGTTCTTCGCCATTTTTGAGGGAAACTAATTTTGAGATCAGATCTACTTTTAAGAAAAACAAAGGGAAAATATACAAACTAGGTATAGATTATTAGAAATATAAATTGTTTCTTGCCAGGCATGGTGGCTCACACCTGTAATCTCAGCACTTCGGGAGGCCAAGGCAGGCTGATTGCTTAAGCTCAGGAGTTTGAGACCAGCCTGGGCAACATAGTGAGACCCCTGTCTCTACAAAAAATACAAAAATTAGCCAGGCATGGTGGTGTGTGCCTATAGTACCAGGTACTTAGGAGACTGCAGTGGGGATGATGGCTTTAACTTGGGAGGTGGAGGTTGCAGTGAGCTGAGATTGCACCACTGCACTCCAGCCTGGGAGACAGAGCCTGTCTTTAAAAAAAAAAAAAAAAAAAAACAGTCTTTTTAAGTCAGAAAATAATTGACCAGCATACTCCTGATGTACATCTCATGTATCCAGATTACAGTTCAATATGTAAAATAATAATAATGCACTTTCAGAAATTCCTTAGGAACACATCTATTGCATAAAATACATCTACTATCTTTTCTTGGTGTCTTTTGGAATTCTCTAAATGGCAGAGATTGTTGGTAGTTTACTCCATTATCCATTCCACCCTTCTTCCTTAGTAATTACACCCAGTTTTATTTGAATAGACAACACACCCTGCTAAAAGACCACATTTACCAGACTCCCTTGCAGCTAGGTGTGGGCCTGTGATGTGACTATCTCTTGGCCAATTGTCGTAGGGGAAATTCTGAGTGAGACTTCTGAAACTTCTCCTTAAAGAAAAGAAGTGAACCCTGCTTCATATTTTCCTCATACTTGCTGCCTAGAATGTGGATGTAATGATTGGTGTTCTGGCAGCCATTTTGGGGATGAGGTGAAAGCCACATACAGAAGATCCACAATAGAAAGGTCTGTGTTGATATTATGGAGCCACCCCATCCAGCCCTAGACTGCCTACCTCTGGACTTCTTTTAGATGAGAGAGAAACAAACTTCATTGTGTCTAAGACACTTGTTTTGTCTTTTGTTTTCTATTACATGCAGCAAAACCTAACTCTAACTAATATACTTTATTTTTAAATAAAGCAATCCTTTATAATTCTGCTCTAATTAAGAGCAGCAAATATTAAGGAAATTGATTCAGGCTTTTGTACAGGAGCATAGCTTTAAGAAGAATGTTACACTTTTTTTTTCTTCCAGTTTATGGTTAATATTGCCTTTAAGGGCCAGGTACAGTGGCTCATGTCTGTTATCTCAGCAATTTGGGAAGCCAAGGTGGGAGGATCGCTTGAGTTCAGGAGCTCAAGACCAGCCTGGAAAACACAGGGAGACCTTACCTCTACAAAAAAAAAAAAAAAAATTAGCTGGGTGTGGTGGCACATGCCAGTGGTCCCAGCTACTTGGGAGACTGAAGTAGGAGGATCACCTCAGTCTGGGAAGTTGAGGCTGCAGTGAGACATGATTGCACCACTGCACTCCAGCCTGGGTGACAGAGCGTGACCCTGTCTTTAAAAAAATTTTTTATATATCTATATCTATCTATCTATCTATATATATATATATATATAATTTAAGAACTTAATATATTTTTGTTGTGGCTGTATGTTTACATTATTCTTTAGTGCATTTGCTTGACCCAAATTTTAATGATGTCTTCATAAACAGAGCACAAGTTTTATCTTTGAAAACATTACCTAAAGCTAACAAAGCTAATTAAGTTAACAATACATTTCTTTTTTCCCTCATTTCCTCTTACTAGGATAAAACTAGCACTACTTAATCTGCTTCTAGGGATGATCTGCCTTATTTATGGGGCTCATTTGGTTACAGTTCTCTCCCCTGCTTCAGATTCTTTAAGATGATCAAAATCTTGGACTCGGAACCTGCCCTGCAAAATAGAGACCTCTGTGTCCTAGTCCATACAAGCCTTCTATAAGTGCTATGTGTCAGTTTTGACTTTGTGTGTTTCCCTGGAAAACAAGGGAATGACGCCATGGTACATTTATATGGTTTCCTTGAGCCACAAAATGACTTTAATCGACTGTACTTGTGAGGGGGCCCAGCACTCAGGATGAGTTCAAACACTGAACTGTCTGCTCTCTCTACCTCCCAGGTTCCCCTCTACCCAGAGCTTTGTAGATAAAATTCGAGATTAAAATGCAGACTATCCTTACAAAATCCTCTTGGAAACCCAATTTTCAAAATGAAAGGTCTGAACTTTTCATTCCAAGAGCCAAAATAAGTAAAAAAAATAAAGAGTTTCTGGAACTAAAACGTGTTAAATATTTGGATAAAGCAATACAAGGGTACTGACTAATGTGCTGATTTTGCTAACCTCAGAGATTAATTATGGATTTCGATTCATGTGCAAACTTAAGATACATAGTGTGGTTGTTTTTCTTGAAAACTTTAAATAGATTACTACTTTCTCCATTTTACTGAGTTAACTCTTTAGCTACTCATTGTACAAGTATTTCCTGAATCAAGTAGCTTACATTTTTTTCATCCACATTTGAGAGCACTTCTCCCTTTTAATGAGGCTACTTCAGTTAATTACTTTTCTCTTTCTTCTTTTTAATACATACAATAATCTCAGCCTAAGAGGGTCCATCCTGCCTGAGAGGTTGGATTTTATTATATTACTCTTTTAAAAAGAGTTTCCTTGATTCTTTTATTGCTTTGATTTACTACTCTCTAGCACATCTTGAATTGTTCAGTCACCAAGAGGCAGTGAATTTATTTTCCCTGGAAAAGGTACGTTCAGTTCTAGAAGAAAGAGAAATAATTACAAAACACAGCTATTTTCTTAGAAAAAAGCTGGAAAGTCAAGTAAAGATCAATGTTAACTAAAGATGTCATCCATCCTCTTAGTCTAAATTTAAATGAAAACATTAGAAAAGTTTCCTGGCCGGGTGCGGTGGCTCATGCCTGTAATCCCAGCACTTTAGGAGGCCGAGGCGGGCGGATCATGAGGTCAGGAGATCGAGACCATCCTGGCTAACGTGGTGCAACCCTGTCTCTACTAAAAAAAAAAATACAAAAAATCAGCCGGGCGTGGTGGCAGGGACCTGTAGCCCCAGCTACTCGGGAGGCTGAGGCAAGAGAATGGTGTGAACCCGGAAGGCGGAGCTTGCAGTGAGCTGAGATGCACCACTGCACTCCAGCCTGGGCGACAGAGTGAGACTCCATCTAAAAAAAAAAAGAAAAGAAAAGAAAAGAAAAGTTTCCCAATATTTTCTATTATATTTTAAAATATCAATATAATATTCTACAAAAGAATTAAGTTTATGAATGTCAACCAGGTACTGGTATTTCTTTCTTTCTTTTTTTTTTTTAAGATGGAGTCTCACTCTGTCACCCAGGCTGGAATGTAATGGTGTCATCTTGGCTCACTGCAACCTCTGTCTTCTGGGATCAAGCAATTCTCCTGCCTCAGCCTCCCCAGTAGCTGGGACTACAGGTACCCACCACCACACCCAGTTAATTTCGTATATTTAGTGGAGATGGGGGTTCACCATGTTGGCCAGGCTGGTCTCAAACTCCTGACCTCAAGTGATCCCCCCACTTGGCCTCCTGAAGTGCTGGGATTACAGGCATGAGCCACCATGCCCGGCCCCAGGCATTGGTATTTCTAATCATTTAAAAAAAAAATTGTACTGTCTTGTTTGGGACATACTTGTATCATGATAACGACTAGGCAATTAAAACAGTTTAAAATATAATTTTTTCACAGCCTTCTCACCAACCTTTTTGATGAGTTACTAGGCCTTTAATAAATATAATAATAAATAAACACTAGAACAATAAAGTTTAATTTTATATTGAGGAAAAAAAATAGCCTTGAGAGTTTATTTTACTACCTCCCCCAACTGTTAAAGGCATTTTCATTTGGCACAATGGAAGTATCAAGAAGCTATGGATTCTTTCTAGAGATAAACTTATAATAAGATCATCCCCACTGTGTTAAAGACCCCCTCAAGACCCTGACTTGAAGATGTAGCTTCTGTAATAAATCTGAAAGCCTCCATGTCAGAGAAGGCTGAAACAAAATGATACAAAGTCGAGGGTTAGAATTCTCAGTAACCCAAAGATGACTTCTCATTGGAAAAATGACTTCAATTCTAAAGACAGGCTTCCTTCTGCCCTGCCATCCTGACCACTGAGCTACCAGAGGGAAGAGGAGCTCACTTCTGTGGTTTGGAGTCCTCCCTTTAGGACTAGACCTGCTGGCTCAGGGAGCTCATGAGTGTAGTTTGGTCTCCAACTGTTGGCTGATAGTGGGAACGTAAAGTGAAAAATAGACACAGATAAGAGCACTCACCATTTCTGTATTCTCAGCAGCTAGCTTTACCATCTTTTCTGAGATCATCTTTTTCAAGCAGCTACTCAGCAAAAAAGCCTAAGAAATGCAGGAATAAAGAACTCTTGTAACCGAAGAAATCTTCACTCTCTTTCTTCCCTCCTCACACCACAAAGCGGATTTTGACTCTGCCCTCCAATAACACAGATTCAAGAATTTAGATTTCTTCATTAACCTCTAGAAGTTTTCATAAGATCCAATTAGTAAGTAACTATAAATTTTCTCAATTATGTGGATATATTTACAGCAGATTTTTTAAAGAAATGAAAAATGTCCAGGATCTCACTATTAACATTTTTCCTCTTAAAACTCACCCCCTTGCATCCCATGTTTTCTATTATTTTGTAAGCAGATAATGTTTTATGAGCAATAAACAATAAAAACTAATTATTATTATTATAATGAGATGAACTGATGATGGTCAATCCTATATTTAATTCTAGACATTGTATACATAATTATTGAGAGACCTCTACTGGGCATAAAAGTAACTGGTTTGTTTGAAGGAATATATTAGCACCTTATTGCTTTTACTAAACTGAAAAAAAAGATCAGCTGTTTTTCTTCACTTCACTTTCTTATTTTTCTTTTTCTTTTTCTTTTTTTTTTTTTTTTCTCTGAGACAGTCTCACTCTGTCACCCAGGCTGGAGTGCTGTGGCTGCGATCTTGGCTCACTGCAACCCCCGCCTCCTTGGTTCAAGCGATTCTCCCGCTTCAGCACGCTGCCATGCCCAGCTAATTTTTTTGTATTTTTAGTAGAGACGGGGTTTCACCATGTTGGCCAGGCTGGTCTCAAATTCCTGACCTCAAGTGATCCACCCGCCTCGCCTCCCAAAGTACTGGGATTACAGGTGTGAGCCACCGTGCCTGGCCCACTTTCTTATTTTTCTAGTATCTTTAATCACTCATGTTCTAGACTCATAGTCACCTTCACTATCCTTCGTGGCTAAATCATCATTAGTGCCAAGACACTCATAGTTGTACAACTTGCTACACAAAAGCTGGGCTTCCTTATTCCAGGCTCTTCAATACTATGAGCAAAATTGAAGGTTCCCTGTGATTTTCCCATTTGCTCCTTTCCCACTTATCCTTTTTCTCTCTTGTCCTGCTCTTAATTCTTGGCCTGCTGTTTTCTCCTTTGGCCCTACTAAGGTTTGGGACAACTGCCAATCAAAGTTGAGGCTAGAAGAACTTAGCGCAGGGCTGTGTTCAGGGGTGGTCACTGTGTTGGAGGGGAGGATGGAGAGGAGAAGGGAGGAGAGAGTGAGAGAAAGCACAGGCTGGGGTGGTAGCCAAGTAGGAAGTTCTTGGAGGGGAGAACACAGAAAGCAGAATTAGAGGGAAAATGGGCTACATACAGCTCTCAATGTCTTCCAGGGGTGTAGAGCATTACAGGAATTAATTTTATTTAAAAGGGGAAAAGAGGGAAGAGAGAAAAAAGGGCCTGACATCAATTTTTGAAAGAATTAACAGATGGGGCATTTGTGCAAACATTTTGACTTCCTAGCTTTGCTAAGAACTAGCCCTGTTTATATGTGCATATATGAAACCTATGCAAAACCAGATAATAAAATAAACAACAAAACCCTGAGCAAATGCAGCTAGGAAGGATGTTTAATAGGGTCCAATAAGATGCAGACCAATTCCATATTCTTATACAATGTACACAAGTACATAGGCCAGGACTCTGCTATAAACTGTCAGGTTTATTAAATATGAAAAGATTGAAAATGAATAAAAAATTTAAAAAAGACAAAGCAAAAGGATCGAGTTGTTGTTTTTTTTTCTGAGATGGAGTCTTGCTCTGTCGCCCAGGCTGGAGCACAGTGGTGTAATCTTGGCTCACTACAACCTTCGCCTCCCAGATTCATGGGATTCTCCTGCCTTAGCCTCCCGAGTAGCTGGGATTACAGGTGCCTGCCACCATGCCCAGATGATTTTTGTTCTTTTGGTAGAGATGGTGTTTCACCATGTTGGCCAGGCTGGTCTTAAGCTCCTGACCTCAAGTGATCTGCCGGCTTTGGCCTCCCAAATTGCTGGGATTACAGGCATGAGCCACTGCGCCTGGCCAACAATTCAGATTTCATTTAAAAGGTCTCAAAAAGATTTGGGCCCAAGCCCTCATTTGTATTTGCAAAGCACACAAGTCACATTTCCACCTTTTACAAAAGTAGCCCTTGAGTGTGTACAACTATTATATATCCATAAAAATTATAATGTTTTTAAAAAGTAGCCTTTGGGTGTACATCAATAAAACTCACACTCCAGGGGAAATAAGACCTTACTAGGAATCCTTTGAAAGAATGTTTATTGCACCTCTTTATGGTGGTTTAAACTCATTTGCTACTGCCTAGATTGAAAAATCATAGTAAAATTTAACCGCACTTAGCATTCTGAGGTTGGGAGGTAGTTTTACTACCCAAATCTCTCTATGTCTCTCCAAGTGACTGATAATCTTGCCTTAGCAAACCAGTCTACTATTTCCCCAAAGATGTTTCATACTTAAGGTGGACCTAAGGACCCACTCCTTTAACCTAGAATTTTGGTTTAGTACTTCATGTTTTCAGAGGACTTTGATATAATGACTCAACTATACTAGAAGTAAAGAGTCAAAAGGGGCCTTGGTTTCTGAACCAGAATGTTCCATGGAACTTAGCCTGATCACCAGAGACTCAAGTTGAATATGACATCGATGCAAAGAGTACTTTACTATTTTGATTCCATTTCAGAACACCTACAATTTTGGTTTCAATTTGAAATGGCTTAATTTAGTAAAAAGGACTTTTCAATTGGATTTGGTGTTTAGATTTTCTCTTTTTTAGCATTTCCACTCCAATTTTAGTTAAAAGCCTATGGTAGACATGGATAGTTGGCTACCCAACAGCCATTGCCCCTTCTTCTTTCCTAAGAGACCCTGATTTTGTTTGGGACGATAACATGCTCAGCCCCAGGCAATGGTTCATGCTTACTCTAAGCCAATCATAAATCCTGTTTCTCTTTGCTAGATGCTTGGTTCCCAGACTCCCTTGCAGCTAGGAGTGGTCATATGATCCAGTTCTGGCCATTGAAACATAATAGGAAGTCTACTGCGGGGTTTCTGGGGTAAAACTTTTGCTTTCCAGATAAGAGAGATATGGGTTGAGCATCCCTAATCCAAAAGTCCAAAATGTGAAACTTTTTGAGCCACTTAAATGATGCCACAAGTGGGAAATTCCACACCTGATCTCCTGTGACTAGTAACAGTCAAAAACCAGATGTACAGCACAGATTCTGTTGCTGTTGTTTCACAGGTTTCACAGCTGATACAGGTATTCCAGTGATGCTATTGTGCTGATTAGCTACCCTGAACACATAATTTTTCACTGCATTAATGGTACGTCATGTTTTCTACTGTTGATTATGTATATGTGAATAAGTATAAGAAATGGATTGCTTATCAGTAGCATATAAATTCAGAGTCAGGAATGATGGTGATGCCCGACAACCACAGATGGTCCACATGGGTGGCTGAGGTAGTGACATCTTTGCTTTCTGATGGCTCAATGTCCACAAACTTTGTTCCATGCACAAATTTATTTAAAATATCATATAAAATTACCTTCAGGCTATGTGTTTAAGGTGTATATGAAACATAATTGAATTTCATGTTTAGACTTGGGTCCCATCCTCAAGATATCTCATTATATACAATTATACATCAGTTAATGATGATGGGGGTATGTTCTGAGAAATGCATCATTAGGCAAGTTTGTCATTGTGCAAACAACATAGAGTGTAGTTACACAAACCTAGATGGTATAGCTTGCTATATACCTAAGCTAGATGATAGAGCCTCCCACTCTTAGGCTATAAACCTGTACAGTATGCTACTATACTGAATAAATTCTGAGGCAATTGTAACACAATGATAAGTATGTGTATCACCTAAACATAGAAAAGGTACTACAGGAAAAAGGTGAAACATTAAAAAAAAACATAAAAAAGGTACAGTAAAAATACTGAGTTATAAACTTATGGGACCACTGCCATATATACAGACTGTCATTGACCAAAATGTTATGTACCACATGAATGTATATGCAAATATTTCAAGATTTAAAAAAATCTGCAATTGGAAACAATTCTGGTGCTAAGCATTTGGGATAAGGGATACTCAACCAGTGGCTTTTTATCTGCTTGGAAAAGGTCAAGAGAATAATAGGGATGCCAATCATCTACCTTCAGTATTTTTATTAACTAAGATCATAAAAATCTGTATTGCCTAAGTCAGGGGTTGGCAAACAAGGCCAGACCACCATCTGTTTCTATAAATAAAGTTTTATTGGAACATAGCCAGACTCACTTGTTTATATACTGCCTATGGCTGCTTTTAACAGAGTTGAGCAGTTGCAACAGAGACTGTATGGATCTCAAATCCTAAAATATTTACTATCCTTTAAGAAAAAGTCTATGGACTCCTGGTCTAAGCCACTGTTGGTTGAATCTTCTATTAATTGGTAACTAAATTCATTTCTAACTGATACAAAGGCCACGGTGACTAGTAAAATATAACAAAACATAAAACAAAATAAAAGGTATTACGGTCCCGAACGAGAGTGCATAGAACACTTTAGGGTCCTGCTCTAGTTGGGTTAGGGTCATGTGCTTCATCCACCCCAGCAAGCAAGACAGCATTTCAGCACAGAGGGTGTTCAAGGTCTGCCCTGAGAACTCACCTGTTTGGTGTAAATAACAAACCACTGCCAGCAACTATCCTCACTGTATTGAAATCTGAGCTCTAAGTTCTGGTTGAGAGTTCTCTGGGGCCCATCCGTATCCAGCAGAGTTCCCTACAAAGGAAAATATTTTATATTCAATGTAAATTTAAATGCCTATTAATTTGCCGGGCACGGTGGCTCACACCTGAAATCCCAGCTGAGGCGGGCAGATCGCCTGAGGTCAGGAGTTCGAGACCATCCTGGCCAACATGGTGAAACCCCATCTCTACTAAAAATACAAAAATTAACCAGGCGTGGTGGCAGGGGCCTGTAATCCCAGCTACTTGGGAGGCTGAGGCAGGAGAACCACTTGCACTAGGGAGACAGAGGTTGCAGTGAGCCGAGATCATGCCATTGCACTCCAGCCTGGGTGACAAGAGTGAGACTTCGTCTCAAAAAAAAAAAAAAAAAGCCCATTAATGTGTTGGGCAAAATATCAAAATGAGGGAGACTGTCCCTATTTCCAAGAAGGTATCAGTCTATGGAGGAGCCATGAAAGTAAATCACCACAGTTTGATATATTAATAGTTAAGTGTTAGGAAGGAAACACAGGTCTATGGAAGTAAATAGGAGGGGCACCTAACCCAGGCTAGGAGGGCAAAGGAAGACTTCCTGGAAGGGCCATCTGAGCAGAGGTAGAAACTACCCAAGTTTGTCGTGGTGGTTTTATTTTGTAGTGTGTAGGGGAGGTGAGAGGTGATTTTTGAAAGAGGAAATATTCTAGCAAGTGCAAATGTCCTGAGGCATGTTGGAGACACTACAAGGGACTGTGCATGTGGCTGCAGTACAGGCTCCAAGGCATGGAGGGTGATATGAGAAGAGGCTTAGGACCAGATCCTGAAAGCCTGGTAGGCAACATCTGTGATTTTTGCTTTGCAGCATCCATCATTCTTTTTCCTAGTAATGGAGTCTCAAATACCCTTGGAAAAACCATCCCTCTTCCACTGTTGGCTATTTATGTAGGACTATCAGGGAATGAAAAGTCAGAGGATGGCATATGACCAAATTTCAGGCCAAGTGGACAAGTAATTCTCTATGCTCCTCATGTTATTCCAGTCAGAGAGACCCAAATGGTAGGTCCTGATAGAGTTCCTATTTCTTAGAAAGCTTGAGCTCCTTTGGTTCTTAACTTTCTAAAGCCTCTGCATCCGTTTTTCCTTTGAATCTGTAGGTTACTCCATATCCTTCCAATAAATCCCATTTTCCACTAGAGTCCAATGTGTTGGTTTCTATTGCTTGCCAACAAAGAGCCCTAACTCTTACAGGTTTTATAAGCTAAGGATCCCTTCCTGCAGATTATATGCAGTACACAAAAAAGAAATAGGGAAAGAAAAAAGATATTTTTCCCCCTAGGGGGCAACAGACATTATCCTAAGGGCAACAGATTTTCTTTAAGAGGTTTCAGCTAGGTGTGGTAGCTCATGCCTGTAATCCCAGCACTTTGGGAGGCTGAGGCAAGAGAATCTCTTGAGCTCAGGAGTTCAAAACCAGCCTGGGCACCATAGCAAGTCCTTGTCTCCAAAAAACAGGAATTAGATTTATATTTTAGAAATATCGGTCTGGCAGCATCAGTTAAAACATGAATTGGAGGCTGGGTGCAGTGGTTCATGCCTGTAATCCCAACAGTTTGGGAGGCTGAGGCAGGCAGATCACTTGAGGTCAGGAGTTTGAGACCAGCCTGGCCAACATGGTAAAACCCCATCTCTACTAAAAACACACAAAAAATTAGCTGGGTATGGTGGCTGGTGCCTGTAATCCCAGCTACTCGGGAGGCTGAGGCAGGATAATCACTTGATCCTGGGAGGTGAAGGTTGCAGTGAGCTGAGATTGCGCCACTGCACTCCAGCCTGGACAACAGAGTAAGACTCCATCTCGAAAACAACAACAACAACAACAACAACAAAATATGAATTGGAAAACAGCTGTTTTCAGACACTGAACAACAGATAACGCAGTACTGTTAACCCAGAGAGAAGGAAAACCAAATGAAGTGAGCCCCATAATTATCCCAGCTTACCACCTGAAGAGGTTTCCAGGATATAACACAAAGACAGGGAACCCAAACAGAGCCCAGGGGTCCTAATGAGTAGAGGAGAAAGGGCAAAAGTTTCAAGAAGTTGAGATTGGAATTTGTGGTGCAGAATATCAAAGACTAGGGCTTTAAACACAGCGAGAGCTCTAGGGAGTTTTTGACAAATCTTTGGCTGAATAACGATCTACGCGTGTATAGAGTAAACCTACATGAGGCTGGGGAAAGAACATCTGGAAAGCAGTAGGTTGGAAATTGCAGGAGCTCACAAACAAGGATGGAAAGAGTTCATGTTCCCATTGGCCAGAGCAGAGAGACAATAGACAAGATGTCAGGTAGAGCTCTAAGAATGGCAGCTAAGGCACAAAGGGCTAAATTAGCCCTAGACTAAAGATTACTCTGCAACTTCATCAAGGCGGGCAGGCGCCTGTAGTCGTAGCTACTCGGGAGGCTGAGGCAGGAGAACGGCTTGAACCCGGGAGGCGGAGCTTGCAGTGAGCCGAGATCGCGCCACTGCACTCCAGCCTGGGCAACAGAGTGAGACTCCGTCTCAAAAAAAAAAAAAAAAAAAAGAAGGAAATAAAGCTTAAAAGCAAGCATCAAAAAAGTAAAACTGGCCAGGCATGGGGGCTCATGCCTGTAATCCCAGCACTTTGGGAAGGTGAGGCAGATGATTGCTTGAGGCCAGGAGTTCAGGACCAGCCTGGGAAACATAGCAAGACCCTGTTTCTACAAAAAATGAAAATCAGCTGGGCATAGGCACATGCTTGTAATCCCAGCTACTTGGGAGGCTGAGGAAGGAGGATCTCTCGAGCCCACAGGGTTGAGGCTGCGGTGAGCCATAATTGTGCCACTGCACTCCAGCCTGGGTAACAGAGTGAGACCCTGCCTCTTAAAAATAAAAATAAAAATAAAACCAATCCTAAGTAATTTAACTGCATGCCAGAATAAAATCTAATGCTCTTTAAAGGAATTCAATAAAATGCGACATTCAATAATGTAAAATTTGCAACGTTTAGCATGCCACAAAAAATTACTTGAAATGAATAGGAGGAGGAAAATATGATCTGCAAACAGTAGAAAAATCAATCAATAGTACATACTCAATGTCAGGTGATAAAAACAAACAAACAGAAAGCAAAAAGAAAAAAGTATCAATCAGTAGAATTAGATCCAGAAATGACAGAGATGATGGAATTAGTAGCAAAAATATTGAAACTGCTATTTAAAGTATGTTCCATACACTCAGGAATTTGGAGAAAAAAAGTAGCATGATAAGGAGAGAAATGGAAAATATAAAAAAGATCTAAACAGAACTTCTAGAGATGAAAAATACAACACTAGAAGTAAAAATGCACTGGATGGGATAAATAACAATGTTAGACATTACAGAAGAAAATATCAATAATCTTAAAGCTATAGCAATAGAAACAACCACAAATAAAGCAGAGAGAGAAAAAATACTGAGATAAATGAAATCACAATGGGATACCGTGTCACATCTATCTACTAGGTTGGCTATAATAAAAAATTAATAACAAGTACTGGCAAGGATGAGGAGAAATCAAAACCCTCCACTGCTGCTGGGGATATAAAATGGTGCAGCCACTTTGGAAACTAGGCTGGCAGTTCCTCAAAAAGTTAAACACAGAATTATCATTTGATCCAATGATAATTCTACTCCTAGGTATATACTCAAGAGACATAAAAACATGTCTACACAAAAGCTTGTGCACAAATGTTTATAGCAGCATAATTCATAACAGCCAAAATATAGAAGCAACCCAAATGTCTATCAATGGATGAATGGGTAGAATGTGCTATAACCATGAAGTGGAATATTATTTGTCCATAAAAAATAATAAAGTACTGATGATACATGCTACAAGAATGAACCTGGGAAACATGCTAGGTAAAAAAGCTAGTCACAAGGATCACATATTATATGATTCCATTAATATACGGGTCGGAGTTAGCTCAAGCGGTTACCTCCTCATGCCGGACTTTCTATGTGTCCATTAATATAAATTATCCAGAATAGGCAAATCTATTCTATAGAGACAGAAAGTAGATCAGTGGTTTTTTAGGGCTGGGGGGATAGGAAAGTGACAACTAAAGGGTATGGGGCTTCTTTTTCAGGTGATAAAGTGTTCTAAAATTGATTGTGGTGATGGCTGCACAACTCTGTGAATATACTACATACCATACCATTGAATCGTATACTTTATATGGGTGAATTGTATGGTATGTGAATTATATCTCAATAAAGCCGTTATAAAGAAAGACACGTGTGATATTGGTGGGGGAATATACACATAGATCAGCCAAACAGAACAGAGAACCTAGAAACAGACCCGTACAAACATGCCCAACTGATTTTTGACAAAGGTATATAAATAGCTTACTTGAGGACAGACAGTCATTTCAACAAATGGGTACTGGAGCAACTGGACCTCCAGAGGCAAACAAACAAACAAAAGGTTGGGGATGGGGGGATAACCACCTTATTTTTATTTTATTTTATTTTATTTTTTCGAGGCAGGGTCTTGCTCTGTCTCCCAGGCTGGAGTGCAGTGGCGTGATCTTGGCTCACTGCAACCTCCCCCTCCCAGACTCAAGGGATTCTCCTGCCTCAGCCTCCCAAGTAGCTGGGATTACAGATGCGCCCCACCACGCCCAGCTAATTTTTGTAGTTTTAGTAGAGACAGAGTTTCTCCATGTTGGCCAGGCTGGTCTCAGACTCCTGACTTCAACCAATCTGCCCACCTCGGCCTCCCAAAGTGCTGGGATTATAGGCATGAGCCACTGTGCCTGGCCTGATAACCTTATCCTAAGTCTCATGCTCCATACAAAAATTAACTGAAAATGGATCATGAACTTACATGTAAAACCCCTAACTGTAAAACTTTTAGGAAAAAAAATAGAAAAACTTCAGCATCTATAACAGGATTTATCAAAGAGTTCTTGGACTTGACGGCAAAAGCACAATCCAAAAAAGGAAAACTGATTAATTAGATTTAATCAAAATGAAACATTTTTGATCTGCAAAAGACCTTGTTTAAGAGGATGAAAAACTATAGAGTGGGCCAGGTGTGGTGGCTCACACCTGTAATCCCAGCACTTTGGGAGGCCGAAGCAGGCAGATTGTTTGAGGTCAGGAGTTTGAGACCAGCCAGGACAACGTGGTGAAACCTCATCTCTACTAAAAATACAAAAAATTAGCCCTGCCTGGTGGTGCATGCCTGTAATCCCAGCTACTTGGGAGGCTGAGGCAGGAGAATCCCTTGAACCTGGGAGGTGGAGGCTGCAGTGAGCTGAAATTGCACCACTGCACTCCAGCCTGGGCGACAGAGCAAGACTCTGTCTCAAAACAAAACCAAAACAAGGAAACAGACAAACAACAACAACAACAACAAAACCGAAACTATAGAGTAAGAGAAAATATTTGGAAACCAGATGGCCAACAAAGAACAAGTATCTAGAATACATAAAGAACTCTCAACACTCAACAGTAAAAAGCCAAACAATCCAATTCAAAAATGGGTAAAAGATATGAGAAGACATTTTACCAAAGAAGATATACAGATGGCAAATAAACACATGAAGATATTCAGCATCATAAGCCATAGTGAAATGCAAACTTAAGTCACAATGAAATATCTTTACACATATATTAGAATGACTACAATAAAAAAAATAGTGACAACACCAAATGCTGGTGAGAATGCAGAAAACTGGTTCACTCACACATTGCTGGTGGGAATGTAAAATGATGTAGCCATTCTCAAAAACAATTCGGCAGTTTCTTTAAAAAGTAAACATGCAATTACCGTACGACCCAGCAATTGCACTTGTGGGCATTTATTCCAGAAAAATGAAGACTCATGGCCAGGCAAACACCTGTATGTGAAGATTTATAGCAGCTCTATTCATAATAGCTAAAAACTAGAAACAACCAGAGGTTCTTCAATGAGTAAATGGTTAAGCAAACTTTGGCACATCCAGACCATGGACTGCTGCTCAACAATAAAAAGAGACAAACTACTGATATAGTCAGCAACCTGAATGAACTTCCAACAAATTATGCAGAGCAAAAATGAGCCAATCCCTAAGGCAATTGATATTTATAGAATGTTCTACCCAAAATGGAAGGCACATTCTTTTAAGATACATGTGAAACATTTACCAAGATAGATCAAATTTGGGGCCACAAAACACGTTTCCATACGTTTCAAAGGGCTAAGATCATACAATATATTTTTTCTGACCTCCAGGAGGAAAGAGTGGTGTAGGGAGAAGAATTAGGAAACTGTTCAATCCATCCACACAGGGCATGTTGAGACCAAGCTGTGAGTGCGGAGATAGAGGGAATTTGTTGTTTTTTTTTTTTTTTCAGATGGGTCTCACTGTTGCCTAGGTTGGAGTGCAGTGATGTAATCTCACCTCACTGCAGGCTCTGCCTCCCAGGCTCAAGAGATCCTCCCACCTCAGCCTCCCCAGTAGCTGGGACCACAGGTGCACACCACCATGCCTGGTTTATTTTTGTATTAGTTTGTAGAGATGGGATTTTGCCATGTTGCCTGGGCTGGTAAGGGAGACTTTTGAGGGACAGCAAAGTATAGAATGGATAGGCCTCCATTAGCACTTAAATGTGTAGGGTCAGAGAAAGAGAAAAGTCAGAGATAACTTCAAGATTTCTGGTTTGGCAATTAGGGTGTGGTAGTGGAAGTTCCCTTGACCAAGTAGGGAACACAGACAGAAGAACCCCATGAAAGGCATAAGGTGGAAAAGGACTCGTCTGCTTCAGGGAAAGGCTGCGTTTGAGATGTCTGTGAGACACCTGGTTGAAGGCATCCAGAGGTAGAAAAAACTGGGCCTTTGAGCAGGGTCTGGGCATTGATTTCAGAGAATATGTAGAGGAATGATGCTAGAATGCAATGCCAGAAACACCAGAATTTCAGGAATGCTCAGAGGGAGAAGTGGCCTACAAAAGTAGGGGAGAAAGGAGAGAGATCTTTGAGAAGTAAGAAATGGTTGACAGTATCGAATGCCACAGAGAGGTCAAGTATGAGCCCAGCTAAAAAATCGCCAGGGATTCCATGGATTTAACAAGTGGGTGTCATGCTCTGATAGCTTTTGCCCTCTATTAGTTAACCTCAGTTTCCTGTGTAAAGAGGATAACACCACTTAGCTCACTGGGGTCTTATAGGCTGAATTAAATAATAGATGAGACAGTGCAGCGCAGCCCCTGGTACAAAGTGGGCACTCAATAAATCTAATAAGGGTTTCTCTTGGGAGAAGCTGGCAATGCAAGCATGATGCCAAGGTGTTGTAAGAAGAGCTCTGCCAGTCAGTGCCAGTCTTGAAGGGTAGAGACCTTGTCAACACTGAGCACGTAGTAAGTGCTCAATAAATGGTAGCTGTTATTGCCATCTGCTGTTATTACTACAGCCACCCTTCAAGCAGTAGGGAGGCCTGTTGTTAGGAAGGTGGAAAGATCAATGTCTCTGCTTCTCTGGGTGGGGAACGTGCATCAGACTACAGATAGGTTTTACCACTAGGTGATATTTAATGTGGCTTAGATGTCACTCCACTCAAGGTACAGATTCAAATGGCAAACCTGTCTCCCTAGTGTCAACTTTGTCATCCAAGGGTACTAGGATTTTTAAGTCATGGGCAAAGCAAGGTGCCAAGATACTCACAAGGAAAGTGACCTGCCAGCACTTCACCCTGCTCATCTGGAAAACGATGTCCTGGGTCTGGCTGTCAGGCAGGGTGATGCAGCAGCTGATCTCATTATTGCCAACAGAAAGAACAGCTCCAGAGCCTGATTCTGGGTAGTCACAGGTACAAGGATCCAGCTGCAGGTATCCATAGTGCCGTACCTCCCGGGCCAGCTCCAAAAACTGCTCCAAAGAGGGTGATGTGGGGGGAGGGGAGGCAAGAGGAAGCAAAAGACCACTTGAAACAGATGAAAACCTCATGTCAGAAGCTACTGCCATTCTAGGATAATACATGGAACTGAGTCACAGTGAAAGCTCCTTTTCTTGATCCTACACATAGAGATAATGCCCCTGGTGCTCACCAGAAGCCCGGGGGAAATTCATGGAGTGTCCTTCCAGGGAAGGGACCATTCCTGCCTCTTTCACCACTGTGTCCCTGCCCCTGTTATGGTGCTTGGTACACAGTGGAAATGAAAATATTCCATGAGTAAATGAAGAATGAAGAAAAGAGTCCATAAAATGGATGAACAGATATGATTCTGTCTCAGCAGATTATAATAGCAAGTAAACAAAAAAGTGTACATTGGCTTTTTTTTTTTTTAGACGGAGTCTCGTTCTATCACCCAGGCTGGCGTGCTGCGGCACGATCTCGGCTCACTGCAACCTCCGACTCCCTGGTTCAAGTGATTATCCTGCCTCAGCCTCCCAAGTAGCTGGGATTACAGGCACGTGCCACCACACCCAACTAATTTTTGTATTTTTAGTGGAGACAGGGTTTCACCATGTTGGCCAGGATGGTCTTGATCTCCCGACCTTGTCGTGATCCACCTGCCTGAGCCTCCCAAAGTGCTGGGATTACAGACGTGAGCCACTGTGCCTGGCCTAAAATGTTGGCTTTTAAAAAACTAAGCTGAGATCTATGTAGGAAGAAAAGTGGTTCATTTCTACAGGCTGCTTTATATGATGGTGGTAGTAATTGCCAGAGAAAGAGATTTTAGAAATGGCAATGAGGGCACGAGCTGGTCTGCTTTCTAAATAGAATTCCAGAGATTCCCCCAGTTGCCCAGGGAAGACTTTTAAAATTTAGCTTTTCCCTCTGCTTCTGAAGTAACCTAAGAACTGAGGACAGTTGCATTCACACCACTGATCAAGGCATCCTGTCACATTAACGTCTGTCCAGGGCTTTCCATTTTGTTAATGATTGCATTTAAATAAGCTGGTATAGGTTTGGTGAACTCCACTCTGTTCTTCCAGCTTTCGCCATGGGCCTGGCCTAATGGTATGTGAGATGTGCATGTGGAGAACAGAGTTCCCACTTTAGCACATGGTTAAATCAGAAAGAGGACTACCTAGTGACAACTTGTGATCCTTTCTTGAAGCAAGGTAACTCACACCTCCTTTACAAGGACTCCGGAGGCGTTCTCTGATACAGTGAAACAGGCTGAGTCAGAAGCAGTAAGGGACAGCTGACTCCTGATCTCATGCTGGCAGGAGTATTCAAAGCCACTGTCCCATCCAGCCACATGTGCCAGCTCATTGTGCTATGGTCCAGGCTTCAGCTTGGGAGATGCATTAAGGTGCTGGCCTTCAGTTGGGTCAGTGAGAAACATCAGAAAGGACAGGTTGTAAGTACATGGTACTTGCGCAGTGATTGGGGGCAGGAGCTGAGTCATCTTGTCACAGAGCAGACAGAGAGTAGTGTCATGCTTTTGCTACAACACTTTCTAAGTGATATGGTATAAATTTATAATTGTTTATCTTATTGTTTGATAACACTTCTTTAAAATTGTAATAATCTCTTGGCTGCAATGAGCTAAAAGAAAGGAAAGTGTTTGTTTAATTAAAAGTGAAGCTCTATTTTGCAAGAAAGGTGGTGATGAGTAAGTAACTTATGTAAAATGCCTGTTGGCATTTGACATTCGATAAAAGGGTGTTGTGATATTACTAACTATATGAACACCAGAAGACAGAATTCTACAAGGATTCTCTACTTGAAAATTAGTTAAGATTGTACCTAAAAAAGACAATTTAACATACACAGCTGCAGAAAGTATGTTTATATTAATATATTTTCATTTTGATCAGGGATTGGTAAACTTTTATGTAAAGAACCATCTAGTAAACATTTTCAGCTATACAGACATATGGTCCCTGTTGCAACTACTTACCTCTGCCACTGCAACACAAAAGCAGCCTTAGACAATACATGAATGAGTGATTGTAACTGTGTGCCAATAAAACTTTATTTGCAAAATAAGTGGCCCATGGACCACAGCCTTTCTCTGATTTAGATCAAATGACTCTTTCTTAAGTTAATTTCATTCATTTCACTTCCAAGTTTTCTTGTACAGAAAGTATAGTTGTTAATGTGTTTGCTCCATTAGCAGAAGAACTTGACAAACAAATAATGTTGGTTACATATCAGTACATGTAGATGCTTTGAGAGAAAGTAAATCTCAATAATAATTAAATTTTTAAATTCAATTTATGTACTCAAAGCAAAGCTTTTTTAAAATAGCATTATTACAAATAGTATGGTAAATTCAGATAAAATGTTTATCATAGAAGATAAAATTTATTTTGTGGAAAAACTACAAATACACATTTTGGCAGGGCATGGTAAGAACAATAGTCTTACTAAATTAAGAAGTTTATAGGGCAGATATGTGTGAAGACTTGGTTGTGGTGTACACAGTTTGTAATTGCATCTGAAGTAACAGCAATATTCTATCCATCAAAATAGAAGCTGCACTTGTTAAAATTTACAAACACACAGAGAAACTGAACTCTTTTTTTTTTTTTTGTGACAAAGCTGAGGTAGAACACTGGGCTGGCAGGTGGGGGGGATATTAAATTGTGGCAGTATGTGCCTTTCCTTTTTCTCTTTTTGCAGTTCATCAGTAAAAATCTCAAAGGTCTGAGCCTTTGAGGAATTATTTTCTGTTACGTATAAATGAGTCCTCTAAATTTTGGTTGTATTTCGTTCAAAAATCAATGTTGCAGTTGTGAACATTGGCAAAGTCAGAAGAATTTTTAAAAAGACAACACAACAAAACAGAGGCCATTTCTTCTGTTAAAATACGTCTTGTCTGTCAGACACATTCGCTGCTTGGGGGCAGGAGGTACGTGATTTGGTAACACCTTTACGGAAACTTTAAAAATGAATGTTTAGAAATATATCCTAAGGAATAATAGAACACGTACTCAAAGAGGATGCTGGTTGAAATGTTCAGGGACTTCAGCCAGGAACTGTACCAGGTGCTGTGAATACACAGAGTATGTATAAATTATACACAGCCCTGGGCCTCATGGCTCTTGCTGCCAAAGTGATTTATAGCAGCAAGAGCTGGAAACAACCTGACTTCCAATAATAGAAAAGTGGTTAGCCAAACGATAATATAACCATAAAATGGAATACTCTGTAGTCACTAAAAATAATGCGGAGGATCTATATTAATTAACTCAGCAGAGGACTCACAATATACCGTCTGTATTTTTTTTAGAATCTTTAAACAATAAGCTTTTATTAATTCTGTACTCAGAACAATCAATGAAGATATTCTTATTTTTTTAAAAAGAGCCCCACTTTTAGTGCTTGGTAGGTTTATCAGTTACAGAAACAGTTCAATTCTAATATGTTTCTTTAACTCCCTTTCAAGGGATTTCTCTTGGAGCAATATTTGATTCACCTTTGTTTGACTGTCTTCTTTCTGGAAAGCTTCTAATTTCTGCCTCTGTGCCTGTGTGGGTTTGGCCCATCCTTTTTCAATGTCCTGTATTGCCTTAAAATAACATAAGTTGTAAAATTAGCAGTCTTAGCAGAAATTAATCAATCTGACAAAAACATACTCTTGTATGAAGGGATATAAAAACAAACCCAAGTGGATATATATTTAGGGATTTAGCATATTATAAGTCTTATTTTTTAAATTAGTAAGAAGAGATTGTTCAACAGCTTGGGGACAATTGGCAACACTTGGCAAAAAAGAAAATAAAATTAGCTCTTTCCCCACACCACCTAATCAAATAAATTCCAGATAAAGATTTAAATGTATAAGACCATAAAAGAATCAGGAAAAAAATAAAGGTAAATATTTTTATCTGATCTTGAGGTAGGGAATATCTTTTTTAAGATATAAAAACAAAATGTCATAATGAAGAAATAGTCATATATAATTATGTGAAACATAAAACTTCTGTACCTGAAAACCAACAACAACAAAACTAAGAATCAAATGGAAAAACAAGGAAAATGATTGCATCATATATATCAAACAGTTAATATTTATATAAAGCAATAGGAAAAATGTAAGCATCACCAAAAGGAAAATGGGCAACAGCTATGTATTGGCAATTGACAAAATAGAGTTCCAAATAATAAGTATATTTGAATCATAAACACAGATATTGGAAAAAATATATTGATAAGGTCATTACTGCTATTGCTTATAGCAATGAAACATTTTCAACTTGATAGTGGCAAACACATGTACAGTGCTTACTATGTGTCAGGCAATGTTCTAATTGCTTCAGAACAAAAGTCAATCCTTACAGCCACCCTGTGATGTAGGTACTGTTATGAAATGCCCCAAAATGGGTAACTGAGTTTGGGTATAACTAAATAATAGGCTATGCTATCATTAAAAATTACACAGAATATTTAACAACATGGGAAATGTGTGTAATGTTCATGAAAAATATCAAATTGCCAAGTAAGAGTCTAGTAGTAGACCCTAATTTTTATAAAACAACAAAAAATAAATATAAAACAACATAAAACCCTCATATGGATACTTACAAGTCAAGGAAATGGATGTGCAAATACATGAAATGTATGAAATAAATATACCCAAAGAGTTAATCAATAGTTTATATATCTGGTTGATTTAAGATTTGGGGTGACATCTACTTTCATTTTTGAACTCTTCCACATTTGCAAACTTTTTATAAGATAAAAACTAATTTCACATTAAAAAAATTAAAGTTGAATATATTGTTGGGTCCTGTCTGGTCAGCCTAGGGTAACCATCATCAGCAAGTGTTCCCAAACTCCAAATCCCTAATGGGGTTCTTGGTTGCTTCCTAATCCACTGCAGGCTTCAGCAGAACGACACTGGGCTCAAAGGCAGAAATCGCCTTGAAGGCAATGGCCCCCTGTGGAAGCACGTCAGGACTATGGTGAAGCAACATGAAACGTGGAAGTAACAAAGCCTGTTGTCTCAGCCTACCCTCCCTGAGCAGGCACCTTTTCCTGTGCTCTTTCTCTCTCCTCTTGGCACCCAGCTCCCTTCCCCTTTAGCCAGTCTGGCCCTGGGGAGGCCGTGGAATCAGCTGTCCACCTCCTCAGCCACACACACTCGGCCTGTGCTGCTCTAACTTGTCATGACGGGGCAGAATTGGCCATTGTCCCTCAGTTAGGCTGTCAATCCCTAAGGGAAGACCCCGCGCCCGTCGTCTCAGTGTGCCTTGCCCAGTGTCTTACATATGGCAATGCCCAGCAATTCTTTGCCAATCATCAGGTGCTTATTTTCACCTTAGTCTGAACATAAGCCTATCTGCTACATCCCTCAGTGATATTGGCAGGCTATGCTTTATCTCCCAGAGAAGAATGAAAAGCTAAATACGCCTTAAATATTGCTGTTTAGGCTGGGGGAAAAGGACATGGGATTTAGAGAGGAGAAGAAAAATAACAATATTTGTTGAAAACTTGTTTTAGATCGACTTTATCATTGACTTTTTCCCAACTACAGTGGTCCCCCTTATCCTCAGGGGACACTATCCAAGACTCCCAGGAGGGATGCCTGGTACTGTCATGGATAATACCAAACTCTATATATACTATGTTTTTTCCTGCATATACATACCTATGATAAAGTTTAATTTATAAATTAGGCACAGTAAGAGATGAACAACAATAACTAATAAGAAAATAGAACAAGTATAACAATATGCCAGCATCACTACTCTTGCACTTTAGGGCCATTATTAAGTAAAACTGGGGCCTTGAACACAAGTGTTGGGATACCAGGATGGTGATAACTGAGATCACTACTAAGTGACTGACGGGTGGATGATGCAGACAGCACGAAGAAACTGGACAAAGAGATGATTCATGTTCCGGGCCAGCAAGACATTTCATCATACTACTTAGAATGGCATGCAATTTAAAACTTATGAATTGTTTATTTCTGAAATTTTTTCACTTAATATTTTCAGACCATGCTTGACTGCAGGTAACTGAAACCACAGAAAGCAAGACCAAGAATAAGGGGGGCCTACTCTGTTCTGTGGGGAGGAACAATACCACCATTTTACAGATGAGTAAATTGAGGTTCAGAGAGGTTATGATGTTCAAGATGACCCAGCGAGTAAGTGGCAGGAGTTAGAGCAAACCCAGGTCTGGACACTACATCAAGCCCTTCTTCCCTTGCCCAAGCCACTGAATTCTTACCAGGTAGGCAGCTACCCACCCCAAGGCTTTCTCTGTGTCCCCAATTCTTCATCAAACCAAACCTACAGACCATACGAGAAAGCATGGTGTGAAGAATGAAACGCTGCCTTCTTTCCTGAATTGTACTTGATGGTAGAGCCCAGTAAGGGCTGTTGGCACAGGGGAACAATATCGAAAAGAAGGGATGGCTGTGTAAGGATAAACAGGAGTCACAGCAATAAGTACCAATCCAAGACATGTCGTTCACCATCAGAGTAACTGGATCCTCAGACACAGAGATGCAGATGTCTTACAGCAAAGGTAATGTAACTGTTTTGTTTCATTACCTTTTTTTTTTTTTTTGAGACGGAGTTTTGCTCCTGTTGCCCAGGCTGGAGTGCAATGGCGCAATCTCGGCTCACTGCAACCTCCGCCTCCCGGGTTCAAGTGATTCTCCTGTTTCAGCCTCCCAAGTAGCTGGGATTACAGGCATGCGTCACCATGCCCGGCTAATTTTTTGTCTTTTTAGTAGAGATGGGGTTTCACCATGTTGGTCAGGCTGGTCTTGAACTCCTGACCTCAGATACCTCGGATGATTGGCCTGCCTTAGCCTCCCAAAGTTCTGGGATTACAGGCATGAACCACCACACCCGGCCTTTTTTTTTTTTGAGACAGCCTTACTCTGTTGCCCAGGCTGGAGTGCAGTGGTGTGATCTCATCTCACTGCAATCTCCGCCTCCTGGGCTTAAGCCATAGTCTTGCCCCAGCCTCCCGAGTAGCTGGGACTACAGGCATGTGCCACCACACCTGGCTAATTTTTGTATTTTTAGTAGAGACGGGGGTTCACCACATTGGCCAGGCTGGTCTCAAACTCCTAATCTCAGGTACTCTGCCCACCTCTGCCTCCCAAAGTGCTGGAATTACAGGCGTGAGCCACTGCGCCCAGCTTTATATCATTACCTTTGAAAAGAGTTGACCCTGATTGTGGGTTCACAAGTCATCAACTCAAATGTGATATTATACAGTGCCTCACTCTGAGTAGGTCCAGACAATGAGAGTCGAGTCTAGACAAGTCTACTCAGTTACACGGTTCCCTGAACACTGGCTGAGAGGGGAGTATGCAGAATTGAACTTAAAAAATCAAGCATCCTAAAGGTGCTGCAGATAGAAAAAAAGAAAAAAATAATAAAATTAAAAATTTTAAAAATCAAGCAAAATCACATAAGCCATAGTCTTCCTGACCTTCAGTCTCACACGCTCTAGTGTCCTCTGCAGAGGGCACAGTAGTGAGAAATAGAGGTCATATGCCTCTCAAAGGCCGGCACTGGCCACTCGGCTCTGGCGAAAGCATGGTGGAGAAGGGCAAGGGACGTGTGTGCCTGGACAAGGTCACCAGGCCATAGGGGAGTCAGGAAGCCAAAGGTCAGCCCCCCTCCACTCACCAAGCCATGGGCCCCGATGCAGGACTAGCCCCACCTGGAGGATGGGGTGCCTTTTTCTAATTTGCATCACTGTCCAGGCCAGCAATGGCCCCGCTGAAATGCAGGCCCAGAATTGACTGAGCCTTCAAAATGTATACTTACTTATAGTTTTAAATGCAATCTCTCATTTTTAAACTCAGGTTAAAAGAGGAGCAGAAGAAAGGAAACAGGCTGTGGGAATTCAGTTGACTCATTGGATATCACTGGGCACATCTGCTTTAGAAAATCAAAGCTGTGCCCCTTAATAGTTAATTATGATGGATCCATTATTTATCACAACTCAAGAGCTTTTCATGTTAACTTTTTTAAAGAATGACTGCTTCTTAGTCTTTTTTTTTCTTTTTTTTTGACAGAGTCTCGTGCTGTCACCCAAGCAGGAGTACAGTGACATATTCTTGGCTCCCTGCAACCTCTGCCTCCTGGGTTCAAGAGATTCTCCTGCCTCGGCCTCCCGAGTAGCTGGGACTACAGGCGTGCGCCACCGTGCCCAGCTAATTTTTGTATTTTTAGTAGAGATGGAGTTTCACCATGTTAACCAGGCTGGTCTTGAACTCCTGACCTCAGGTGATCCACCTGCCTTGGCCTCTCAAAGTGCTGGGATTACAAGTGTGAGCCACCATGCCTGGCCACTTCTTAGTCTTTCACATATCCCAGACACCCAGGACACAGGAGGAATGAGACAGTCTCTGCCCTTGGCCATTCAGAGTCTGGTTGGGAGAAGTGGGAGGAAGGTAGGAATTTTCTTCTGGGGAGAGCCAAGGCAGGCCTCCCAAAAGAGGCAGTGATTGTGGTCCTGACTCTCCTGCTGACCTTGGACCCACCTTTGACTTCTTAGCTCCTCTACCCAGATTCAGGGAACAATGATGATGATGATGATGATGATAAAGATTATTATGACATCAACTACAATTTTTTGGAGACTTTGCCAGGCAATGAGCTAAGGTTTGTATGACAGTCTATTAAAGCTTGGAGAAAACTTAGAGATTATGTTAGTTCCACCTCATCTCAACAGGGAGATGTCGTGGTTCAGAAGGATGCGGTTGCTGGCCCAGGGTCACCCAGAGAGAGGATCAGTGTCAGAGCAAGGGACAGAATTCATTTCTGAAACTGCAATTCAGTGTGCCTCCCATGAAGCCACGTTTTTTTAGCTTTGAGCAGAGGAAGTACCATCATCTGTTTCCCTCTGGTTATAAATCTTTAATGAAAACAGATTTAAAAAGTCACATTATGATGCTCGAAGCTCTGACCTCTCATCACAATGAGAAGCAAAAGACATGCCATAAAGATGATATTTCCCACAGGAACGATATTAGAATTATGTGATGCAATCTCATCCAAGGTCATGGTATCAAACCAGACACAGCTAAAAATGTATCATAATAGCAAGGATACAGTAGCAAGGATGGGCCTCAATAAACATTTAAAGTGGAAAAATTCTTCTCTAACTCATATCAAGTACACTGAACATGATTTTTTTTTTTTTGAGACAGGTTCTTGGTATGTTGCCCAGACTGGAGTGTAATGGCGTGATCACATCTTAAGTGACCTCCGCCTTCTGGGCTCAAGCCATCCTCCTACCTCAGCCTCCTGAGTAGCTGGGACCACAGGCACACACCATCATGCCTGGCTGACTTTTACATTTTTGGTAGAGATGGGATTTTGCCATAGTGCCCAGGCTGGTCTTGAACTCCTGAGCTCAAGTAATCCACCTGCTTCAGCCTCTCAAAGTGCTGGGATTACAGGTGTGTGTCCCCGTTTCCAGGCTGAACATAATTATACTTGGATTCATGTATAGTACGGAATGAACTCAAAGCTATATTCTAGCCATAAAAATACAATGGTGAACATTAAACATTTAATAAGTGATATTTTGATTTGCCCTCTTAGAATTTAGAAGAGCTTTAGGGTCTTGATCTCTAAAAGTCACTTAAGGAGGCATGGGCTAAGTTTCTTTCCCTCTTCTACGCCCTCTGGTAAGCCAGGGTAACAAAATCCACCCATTGACCTTTTTCTACACCCAAAGTACCACAGTAGGTTTTATTAACATTCCACTTGAAAAGCTCATTAAAAGTAATAACTTATCCACCATCTCTCTCTCTCCTGAGTTTATAAAAGCTACCCAGTGTAGCAGCTTAGAGTCACGCTAAATAAAGGCCACCTGTAAACAAGTGTTGTTAAATTTCTTTAGCTACATCCTCTATTAATCCAAACCCACTACTCAATCTTTTGGCAGCAAATCTAATGTTTTTCTTCCTGAAAGTGTGGATGGTACCAACTGCCTTACAGAGTTGTTATGAAGCTCCAATGACATAACGCACTTAATTAATACGATGCCAGGCCCACCAAAGGGCTTAATGCTGACATCGTGCCCGGAACAATTCCAGTTTCTGGGGATGCAGCAGTGAATGAATAAATACCCACTTTCATGGAGAAATCATTCCAGTAGGGAGAGAGTAAACAAATATACACAACACACACACATACTTACATTGGCAGATGGTAGAAATGCTACGGAGGAAAAAGAACAAGGACATTGGGATTTGGGGTTTAGCCTGAGTGAGATGGAAAGTCTGGGAGGGGGTGGAGCAGGGCAGGGCTGTGACCCACCACCCTGCCTGCTGCCTGAGAATAGACTGTGAGATGTTCTCAGGGAACTCACTGAAAGAAGCTTCTGAGCTTTCTTCCCAGAATTGTGGAGCCAAGCCTGGAAAAGATCAGGTCTCCGAAGATGGCGGTGTGGTGAGTGTGAACACCTGGGGCAGCTGGTGACCTGGGTGTGTATGTTGGCGGCAGCACCGGCTGACCATTCCATGACTTGGCCGAAGCTTCATCACACGAGGCAGGAGAAGGGAACTGAGGCCAAGCTCGAAATTTACTTTATTAGAGGCTGGGGGTAGGAGTAGGTAGGGCCAACTACATAATTTTCAGGGTCTACCTAGTGCAAAATGAAAATGTTGTTCAAAAATTAAAAATTTTGGGTAATGGTCACAAAAAAATAGAATGAAGAAGACCTAGTATTTGCTAGCACAACAGGATGACTATAGTAAAAAACATTAATTGTACATTTAAAAATAACTAAAAGAGTATAATTGGAGTGTTTGTAACGTAAAGGATAAATGCTTGAGGAAATAGATACCTTATTTACCCTGATGGGATTATTACACACTGCATGCCTGCATGAAAATATCTCATGTAACCCATAAATATTATATATATACCTACTATGTACCAATGAAAATTTAATTTTTTAAAATAAAAACTAAAAATAAAATGAAGAATTTCAAGTTGGTAACCGCGATCATTACAGGAGCATGGGTTCTCTGAGCCCAGAGCCCAACGCAACTGTGCAGGCCACATGCCCACCCAGCTGGAGCCAATGGCAGGCAGGTTGCTTGTTGGCTCAGGGGCAAGAAGGCTATGCTAGAGTGAGATTTAAGGATCACGTGTGACTTTAAGTTATCAGGGATATCCTTTCTAGGCTCATGATGACAGTGTGTCAGCTGCAAATTCAGAGATGGATTGTTACAATGGAGATAGAATTCCTTTTCTCTCTCTAAACTCCTCTACTTTTTACATTTTATTGTTATCGTGGTAAAATATATACAACGTAACTTGTCATTTTAACTATTCACAAAATTCAGAGTCATTATATACATTCACAATGTTGGATAATCATCACTGCTATTTAGAGCTCAAACTTTTTTTTATCATCCCCCAACAAAAACTTGTACCCATCAAACAATAACAACTTCTTCTCCACCCCCCACAGCCCCTGGTAATCTCTGTTCTACTTTCTGTCTCTATGAATGTGCCTGTTTTAGGTGTGGAGGTAGAATTACTAACTGCCACATAATTTGTTTAGTGGCTCCAAGCCAACATGGCCTATGATCTACGGTGCTGTCTGAGCTCTTGGTGACCCTCACCTGCATGTAGAGCAAATCTACCGCCACCCTGCAGTCCATCAGCACGGAGTCGAGGGATGGAGCCATATACCTGCAAAATTCAGGAGTGTGAAATTCATTCCTGTGACATGGCCCATGGGCACACCTGGCAAGTGCTTTGGAAAGTGGTGGCCCTCTACCCTATGAACCAGGGCCCCCTTTTCCAACAAAGCCACACCTCCACTTGCCCAGCTTTCACTCTGCCCCTCCACCTCTTTCGTTTCCTAATTTCTTTACACCGTAAGCTCTTGCCTGGAGGGCTCTAAGAGTAAAGAGGCACAAAAATAAAGCTTTAGGGGAATGGTCTGCATCCCTGTTCACATTCAGCCTCACTCTTGGCCACCAAGATGCGGATTCCCTTTCTCCACCGCACAATACCTGGCATAGTCAACTGCCCCACACAGACCTACCCCCATATTCACCACCCTGCAGCAGGGCCACCCTCATCTCTTGCCTGAGCTGCTCTGGGAGCCTCCTTTCCAGGCTTTCTGTCTCAGCCATGTGCCCTTAATCTGATGCTCCACATTCTAACCAGAGTGGTCTTTCCTGTGAAACTTTTCAGACTCTCATTGTTCCTGGAGTTAGATATTTATTCTACTCACTTTCAAGGCCCTTCCGGGGACCACCCCCACTTTCATTTCCAGTTCCATCTCTCACCAACCCCACCACCAACGCTACATTCCAACCATGTTTTCTCTCCTCTCTCCCTGCCTGGAAGACCAAGGCCCTCACCAGTCTCCTCCCCTGACTGATTGGCCTTTCTTTGCAAGCCTTATGCAGTGCCCCCTCCTCTGGTCCCTACTCCCCAAGGCTGTATTAGCCGCCTGTCCACTGTGCTTCCTCTGCACCCTGAGTTTATTCCAATTGCCACTCTGATTAAGTTTTCTTGACACCATCTGTGAAGAACCCCAAGGCCAGGGGCCTATCCAGAGTTGCCCCTCTGAATCTTGACAGAGTGATTTGCAAATAGCAGGGGCTCCGTGTCTGCCTGTCAGATCCAGAATCACGAGGAACTGAAATTAATGACTGTAGAAGCACAGTAGCATGTTAAGAAGGGACTGAAACTGTCAGGAAAGGGTACCTATGGCTGATCTCTACCAACCAGAAGGCAGAGGCAAGCAGAGTTGCTATGCTCAGAATAGGGTGAATAGACCAATGGGGTTGGCTTAGACCAGGAAAGGGATAAATATGGTGCTTGAAGGTCAACTTCATTCTGGGGTGGGGAGAAGTAACTGAAGCATCCCTACTTACATTCCAGGTAACTATGCACCCACACATCCCAGAGGCCCCTGTGTGCAGAGAATAGACCCATCCCAGACTGGGGCTCCCACAGGCCAGCACAGGTACCCTGTGGCCTGGAGGAAGCCATATCATCATCATTGGAGAGATGCACCCAGGCATCTCTCCTTAAGGACAGAGAAGTCCTTAAGACGCCACTTAGGCCTCACTGAGGCTTCACCTGCTGGGAATCACTCAGCTTTTGGAGCTAGCCTTCCAGCTCCCATGCGGCAAGACTTCCCTCTGGAAAGAGGGCAAGGCACCTGCAGGAGCCTATGCCAGAATCTCCCCTCCAGAGACCTGATCCTCAGCTCTGACAATAGAAGTGGAACCTCCTTTCTTCCCAGTTCCCATCAACAGAGGCAATCTGCCTAGATCTGAGATGCTGGCTAATAATTTGGGGTAGACGTTTTCTCTTGCACGTATCATCTAGAGTTTACGTATTTAAAAAAGACATAGGCAATGCCTAATTTCTAATTCAAGCTTCAAGGTAAGAAACAGAATCATCATCTCTCCTTTGATCTCAGGTTTTATGAAGCGCACATGAGTGAAAATCTAAGCCCCAAAGATTTTTTTTTTTTTTTTGCTTCCTATAATCACCATCATCATCAATATAACAGTCACAAACATGACCAAAACTTACTGAGCATATGGGACTATTTTACATAACTCTTGCAATAACCCTTATAATAATCCAATAAACTATTTTTATTATTCCCATTTTACAGATAAAGAAACTGAGGCTTAGAGAGCTTGAACGACTTGGCTAGGTTTACGCAGCTAAGACCTGAGCAAGGCGCAACTTAGATTCACATACTGTAATTCCAGGAACAACTGTGCTCAGCCATTCACTACAGCAAGCAGCTTCCAGAACAGCTGTTCTCTAAACCATTGGATGGAACTGAGTTCTTCTCCCCTTCTCAGGGTTTCACATCTCAAGATCTGGACCATTCCTCAGGATACTTCTGAACAGCAGTATATGAACTGCCTTGCTGGGAATATCCTTCCACAATTCAAAGCCACAAACTGGAGCTCTAGAGCAAGGCATCACAAGGTCAAGGGAATTCTTAGATTTCAAAATACCTTTCTTTAAAACTTCTGTACTCAGATAACAGAATAAATGGGCTGGGAGAGAGCGAGCCTAAGGAGCAATCCCCTGCAGCCACGGTAATAAACACTGGGAGCTGCAGGTTATAGGACTGGGGGTGCATAAGGTCCTGCTGCTCAGCGCTATTTTCTATAATATTTTGTTCTCCACAGGCTCCTGTGTTACTGGAGGAAATGACAGTATTTTCTGCAGAGGGATACTTGTGTCCTACCTATCTAGGAATATGGATGGCCCTGTACACATCCTTTAGGCATGTGTAAGCCCAGTACTTAGAGTTCAAATTCACTGCAACCTGGCTGAATCCACCCTTCACCTTCAGGGAATACCACACTTCTACGGATAAATCAGATCTGGTTGTAATCATCAACAAAGTCCCTCCATTAATGCAGCCAGTGATGCATTGCAAAGCAAACCCAAGGCCAGCCATTTCCCACCATTACCTGCTTTAATCCATGTCCCCTGGCCCCGCCCCTGGTTTTCAAGTCTTACTTTCTTGTTCGCCTATCAGTAGAGATGCAGAAAGATGGCTACCCTCCTCATTTTCATACCCCACCCCGCCCTGAGTATTTACCTGAGACTACTGATAGTCACCCTCAACATCCTATTCTTTAGGACAAATATTCAGAAACCAGTTTATTTCACCCTCTCTCATTTTCATTGCTTTTCTTTTCTTTTTGAGACAGGGTCTTGCACTGTTGCCCAGGTTGCAGTGCAGTGGTGTAATCTTGGCTCACTGCAGCCTCGATCTTCTGGGCTTAAGTGTGTCTCCTGCCTCAGCCTCCTGAATAGCTGGACCACAGATGCACAACACCACATCTGGCTAATTTTTTTGATTTTTAGTGGAGATGAGGTCTTGCTATGTTGCCCAGGCTGATCTTGAACTCCTGGGCTCCAGCAATCATCTTGCCTTGGTCTCCCAAGGTACTGGGATTATAGGCATAAGCCACAGCACCTGGCCTTCATTGCTTTTCTCAGAGCCTTCTCTAAGTTCTTGGTCTCCAGCTGTCAGGCTATGAGCAGGATGTGACGGGACTCTGGTAAGTCCTGATGGGCAATGGCGAAGTGTCGTCAAACGCCTCTGTCACTTTCAGAACCTACTTACCACTTTCGGAGTCCAACCTTACAGTTTTCCACCTCAGAACTTCCAAGACTAACATAAGGGAGTTCAAAGTCAGCCAATTTTTTCACAACTAGAGAAAGGAGAAAGCCGGTCTTACTGGTTGAAACAGCACAGACAGCTTATATATAGCAGCTTTCAAATGAGAAAATAAAACCTTATTATTGGAAATAATAAAATCACAGTAAGAATATCCTCTGTATTTACACGTAATTTTAACTTTCTGAAGTTCATTCAAAAAATAAATATCATTTGATCCTCAAAAAAAAACAGCCCCTTGAGTGGGGGGTGTTTTACACTGTGATATAGATGAAAAAATAGATCCGGAGACATCCAGCGCCTTCGCAGCTCACCGCAGGGCCTAGCAGCCAACCCTCTACACAAGCCCCTTAACTTCCAACTCAAAACCACCTCCCCTGGCTTCTTGAGGACATTTATAAACTACTTTAATATAACTGATACCATTTTACAAAAAAAAAAAACTTGTAATATCTAGAAACATACTGTAGAGAAAACAAAAGATAGGAGAATCAGACTGTCTTCTTACACTATCTCATTACACTTGAAAAAAGAATCTAATAACTCATTGATACCATCCACAAATATTCCTTAACAAGGAGAAATGATGCTGTGGTGGGGCGTCCTGACCCCTGGAGTCTAGCACTCCATTCACAGGAAACGGTGCAGGCGAGTGGTCAGTGGTCAGGCCGGGCCTGCGGTAAAGGGGAGGGGGTCAGGATTAGGGCTGGGGGTACACAAGTGCAGTTACTGGACCACCCAAGGTATGAGCGGTTTGCCCCCACTCTCCCCTAACAAGGACGCAACCTCCTATTCCCTAAACCCTTAACCCAGTGACTGAGAACAGTGGTAGGGATCACAGCCCAGTGGGTGGCCAGCCCCTCAGCTGTGACTCCTATGAGCCCCTGCTCACACCTGTCCACCCCATCTCCTAGCTGATTCATTTGTTCCTTCCTTCTTACCAGAGAGCTTGCCCTCCTTGCCAAACCGAATGAGAAAGAGGCCGAAGTAGCCCAAGAGCTCTCGACACAGTCCAATTTTGTGTGACACCACCTTTAACCAGAAACAAGCAGAAAGGGAAAAAGTTAGGTGTGCCCACCATGCATCCTAACTGTGACATGCAGACTTGGAAATGGCCGGTACACATCAATAAAAAATGCTGTCATGGGTTAGTGAACACTCAAAGAAAGCTTTTTGGAATCAAAAAATGGTATCCATCTTAGAAAATTTTAAAACACAAAAAAATTAGAATAAAGAAAATAAAAATCAGCCCCACCACAATGGACAGAGGCTGGCCCCAAGTTGAGGTTGGTCATCCCATCTCAGATGTGGACTCACTCCCGGATTGTCTTGGTCTTTATTTTCCCCTGGAGGGCAGCAGCCATGTTCCATGAACATCTGTCCTTCTGTGATGTCTGTCCCTGGAACCTGCACACTAGTTTACCTTCCTGTGGGCTGCATTACCAGCTATTTGGAAAAGGATCACTCCCCGCCGCTTGGCTGGCATACAAACGTGCATGCGCTACTGCCCACCTTTGACACGCCAGGCCTGCTTCGCCTTGATGTTTCCTGCGATGGTCAACTGTAATTTACTAGGATGTTTGCAAAATGAAAACCTCAGATGCCAGGCACAGGTTGCCTTCCTTCACATTCCTCTTTGACTTATATCAAACAGCTTTCATTTCAACGCCAGTGGCTTCATTTTTACCATCAGCCTACCAGGGTGTCACCTCACAGCATTGGACATCTACTCACGCTCCCTTAGCAGAAAATTCTACACGACCACAGGCTTCCTCCCTGCCATCTGCCCAGCCCAGCCCCTATTTAACACTGGGCTCTCGAGTAATTTCTTTATACTCCTGGTCTTAACTCACTAAATCACCTCTGTACCACGCAAGGAGAGGCCTCCAAGCACTGCCCTCCAGAGCTGCTTTACCCACGACTCCCAGTTCTCTAGGTGGCAGTTGTACAAATACCAGGCTCACAGGGGGCCTTCTCTTGTCAGAGATACATAAATTACCCCCAGGAAGCAGTCTGATTAGGTGGCTGGTATGAGTGGGTGTTCTCAGCATAGCTTTGAAAATAAAGAGCAGCTGAGGAATAGTTTCACCACTTTCAAAGCAATTCCCTTCCCCTTCTTTCTGTCTCTCTCTTTCCCCCATGTTTTGGGCTGCAAAACACCCAAAAGCCAAACACAGTGGGTAAGTGTGTGGTAGGTAACAGCATAGTAAAGACATCTTTCCCAGAGTAAACCTGACCCAGGTCCACTCAAGTTAGATTTCCTTCTTTTCTGTCTAATTCAGGGAAAACAACAAGCTTACATGCCAAGGCAGACAGAGGAAAGGCATGGGGGCAAAAGGAGAATGAAGAAGCCTTTCGCATTCATAAAGACATAAATATAAACACCTTCTTTTGAGAGGAGTGAGCATCAGCAAAAAAATACGTAATAATATTTTTCCTCTTAGCAAATGTTAATGATGATTCAAAACACGAACGCCATCACTAGCACCACAGTAGTCCTAGATTTTAGCTTGCTGCTGGCCCTTAAAGAGGCCATTGAGGCCCGGCACGGTGGCTCATGCCTGTAATCCCAGCACTTTGGAAGGCTGAGGCGGGTTGATCACCTAAGGTCAGGAGTTCAAAACCAGCCTGGCCAACATAGTGAAACCCCATCTCTACTTAAAAAAAAATACAAAAATTAGCTGGGTATGGTGGCACGTGCTTGTAATCCCAGCTACTCAGGAGCTGAGGAAGGAGAATCGCTTGAACCTGGGAGGCAGAGGTTGCAGTGAGCCAAGATTGTACCATTGCATTCCAGCCTAGGCAACAAGAGTGAAACTCCATTTCAAAACAACAACCAAAAAAGAGACCATTGAAAAGTAAAAGGCAGGCTGTGGGTGAGGCAAACCTGGGGAAGCAAAGTGAGAATGGCAGCAAGTGTGCTGGAGAAGATGCAGAAGGCGATTTTTAATTATAAAACTTAAATTATGGTTTTATGCAAGCTAGAGAATTTCCCAGCTCCTGGAAGGAAATTCACACCTGTGGCTGACCAAGTGACCACTTCACCTGTTATGGAAACTACCACTTCTAGGGTAGAACCTCCAGTTAAACTTACCTGATCTGATGATGTCAACGTCTTGGGTCTGAATTTCTCACAAGCCAACATGATTGGAAGAGAGGAAGCACATTTTTCTGACTGCAAATGTACTTCATCAAATGTATGCTATTAGTTTCAAGGGAAATGGACAAAACAGATGGTACCACAGAACCCTGGAGATACTGCCCTACTCAGTACGTATTCAGCACTCCCTCCAATATCAAGATCAATACCAATACCAATAATGATAAATAAACACAACTGCCATTGTCTCGGGAACGTGAACTATTTCTATAATTATTTACTTAGACATTGTCTGTAAAGTAACTTACCCAAATTCACACAGCCCTTACACAGCAACACTGTGCAGCTGTGTTTTGCTTAATGACAGGAATACATTCTGAGAAATGCATCGTTAGGCGATTTTGTTGTTGTGTGAACACTGCGAAGTGAACTTACACAAATCTAAATGGTATTGCCTGCTATACACCTAGGCTAGACGGTATGGCCCGCTGTTCCCAGGCTACAAGCCTGTTAGCCCAGGTTTATAGTAGTATAGTAGGCATGTTACTGTACTAAATACTCTAGGCAACTGTAACATGCTGGTAAGTATTGGTGTATCTAAACATATCTATTGTTATTATTATTATTATTTTTGGAGACGGAGTCTTGCTCTGTCGCCCAGGCTGGAGTGCAGTGGCGCGATCTCGGCTCACTGCAAGCTCCGCCTCCCGGGTTCACGCCATTCTCCTGCCTCAGCCTCCTGAGTAGCTGGGACTACAGGCACCCGCCACCACGCCCGGCTAATTTTTTTTTTGTATTTTTCAGTAGAGATGTGGTCTCACTGTGTTAGCCAGAATGGTCTCGATCTCCTGACCTCGTGATCCGCCCACCTTGGCCTCCCAAAGTGCTGGGATTACAGGCGTGAGCCACAGTGCCTGGCCAAAACATATCTAGACATAGAGAAAGTACAGTAAAATATTGTATCATAAACTTATGGGACCACCATTGTATATGCAGTCCAATGTTGACCGAAACGTCATTATTATGTGGCACATGACTGTAATTTGAATCCAGGACTCATCCTAAACCCAGAAGATAGGAGACCCCAAACTATCACCACCACCACTGGCTTCAGCTGCAGGCATGTCTAGTTTGGTCAGCAAGCCCAGTGTGTAAAAAAAGAAGTCAATGATGATGTCTTTGGGGAAGGCAGGTGCTCTCTCCTGTTCTATATCTGATCCTGCAGCTGTACCCCAGAGCTACCTGCCTGGCCCCAGACACATGCAGTCTGTGGCTCCCACTCTATCACTGCCTTCCTACTCCTCCTTCATTTATGAGTCTGTCTCCCACTTCTAGATCCTGAGCAATTGAGGTTTTTGTGTTTGGGGTACAAACTCCCTCAAGCATCAAGGGCTTTTGATACTTTTTAGAAAGACTATGCTGGAAATCAATACAGAAGATTAGCAAGACTGGAAGCAGGGAGACTAGTTTAGGGGCAGCTGTAGAGATCTAGCTGGGAAACAATGAGGGCTGGAGCTAAGGTCAAGATGTAGGATCGAGAGGAGGAAACGGAGAGACGATGAATATAAGAGAGACTGGAGATACAGGAATAGGTTAAGTCAAGGCAGGCCCGAAGAGCTAGCAGCCAAAATGGGAGTGCTTCCGTTTCTCAGCTCAGAAAGGGTCAGACACCATAACCCAAGCACAAGAACGTTCTGTCCTTTGAAAGGTCCTAGAAACTTTCTGACTCTTCTTCATGTTTATAACTTTGTCTTTTCTCTTGTATGTTTCTCTGGAGGATTAGAGCTAAAACCTTCCAGAGGAAAAGGGCCTGGGAGCTTGCCCCCAGGCAGCAGGATGTGAGTGTGAGAAGACAGTGTCCCCTCTGCAGCCCCACTCAGCAGATGGAAAAGGGGTCTGGGAGGCAGAGCTGCTGAAGAAGGATGAAGCCTTCTGGGTCTTGTCCTATTAGTCCTCAGACAGTGGACTACAACTCATGTCTGGGCCCTCTGCACCCAGAATTAGCCCTGATGGAGCACTGGTTTCAAGAATTTTCCCTGTGGGAGAATAGGAACCTTCAAGAACTCCCCTGTCACCTGCACACCTAGGTATGACCTGTTTCAGACTCTGCCAAGCCCCACTTTCCTTCCTGCTCCCAACGATGGGACATCCAGTAATAAAGCATTTTACATATTTCCAGGCCACATCCCTGGCTAAGTTCCAAGGAAGTGACAGCAGCCTTCCAGGAGATCTCTGGAAAATTGGTGCCCCCAGGGAGGGTGAAATCAAAGAGGCCCTGGAGGATTGGCTGTATCTTAGGTTCCTTGGTTGTTCTCCCAGCAAATGCCAGTACCTCTGCAGATAATCATCCACAGAGTAAAACAACAGGCCAGAAGCTCCTGGAAGGTAACCGTATCCCATTCTCTGCTTTCCAAACAGAACCATCCCTAGATTCAGTTCTGGAGCTGGAGTTTAAACAAAGCTTACCTCTAGGACTCTTTCAGCAGTGTCTGATGTTATAATTTCGATTCTAATACTCTGTTCATTGGGCAGAAATATGTCCAGATAAGCTTTCTTGGTGGCGATGTCAAATGTATTCTATAAGCAAAAGAAAAGCAAAATAAATTTCCACACCTTTTTTTTTTTTTTGGAGGCGGAGTCTCACTCTGTTGCCCAGGCTGGAGTGCAATGGCGTGATCTTGGCTCACTGCAACCTCTGCCTCCTGGGTTCAAGTGATTCTCCTTCCTCAGCCTCCCAAGTAGCTGGGATTACAGGCACCCACCACCACGTCCAGCTAATTTTTTGTATTTTTAGTAGAGACGGGGTTTTACTGTGTTGGCCAGGCTGGTCTCAAACTCCTGACCTCAGGTGATCCACCCTCCTTGGCCTCCCAAAGTGTTGGGATTACAGGCCTGAGCCACCACGCCCGGCCTCCACACCATTTTTTAAAGCTGCACCATTGCAGCAAGCGAACAATCCACAGCTTCCTTTTTTGGTGCTCTTCTAGCATATGGTACCCAAAGTTCCCAAGAGACAAGTGCAGAGATTGGAAGGGTTGTTTTGTGGGGTATAGTGGAGGCAAGGCAAAGGAGTAACATGAAGCTTAAAGAACTTCCAAGTAAACAACTGAGTATCTATATTGGAGAAAACAGCTTTTGATAAAGTCTGCATCCTTAACAGTCTCATAATTAACTTGCCCAGTTTTCAGTATTTCCAAGCATCCCTAAAGCCCATATCCCTGATTTTTTCTGACACTAATTGTGGGTGGGGGCAGGGGGAAGGTGTTTCCATGTAGCAACCAATTCTCCAGTTCTTGAACATCACAATGGCTGTCCAACAATTCAATTCAATTATGACATGCTTTGCTTGGAGTTGGCATCAGATCCCTCACGTTTAAGGGCTCAGCTCCACAAGACTACCCCCTTCACATGCCAGCAGCAAATATGGGGCCCAAGTTACCCACATTTCTGCCCAGCTGACTACAAATTCTGGTTTCCATGACCCCCTCTCAGGTTTGATAGTTTGCTAGAACAACTCACAAAGTGAAGGAAAATGGTGTACTTACTATTACTGGCTTATTATAAAGGCTACAACTCAGAAACAGCCAAACGGAGGAGATGCACAGAGCAAGGTGTGGGTGGGGTTTCCATGCTCTGTTTGGGTGCCCCACCCTCCCAGCACCGCCACTTGCTCGCCAACCTGGAAGCTCTTCAAACCCCATTGCTTAGGGGGGTTGTTTATGGAGGTGCCGTTATGGAAGCTCCTCAAACCCCATTGCTTAGGGGTTTCTTATGGAGGTCTACGACACAGGCATAATTGATTAAATCATTGGCCACTGGTGACGAAACTCAATCTCCAGCCACTCCCCCTTCCCAAGAGGCCGAGAGTTGTGGGGTGGGGGCTGAAAGTCCCAATCCTCTAATCATGCCGTGGTCTTTCAGGTGACCAGTCCGCATCCTGATACTATCTCGGAGTCCCCCAGCCAAGAATCATCTCATCAGCATAAACTCAGGCAATGTTGAAAGGTGCTTGTTATGGATAACAAAAGGCAGTCCTAACGCTAAGGAAATTCCTAGGAACTCTGTGCCAGGAACTGGGGACAAAGATCAAATTGGTTTTGTATTATGCCACACTAAATATGCAGTAATTTATGATTTTGCTATAGCAAAAATCTGAGCTGCACAAACTGTGAGGCCAGTGAAGGGAAGTGAGTTGCCATCTAGTGAGTGAGTTTCCAGCTGAAGGAGCAGCTCCTGCTGGACACAACTCTGCAGGCTTAAGCATAAGCATCCTGCAAGGGGAAGGATGTGTGCTAGAAGCAGGAACAAATCTGGGGATCTGTGACATTCTTGGGATGGAGCTGGAGACATTGTTAGGCCATCAGAGTTCAGGGAAGCACAGGCTGAATTGTTACTCCAGCTGCTATAGGGAGAGGGAGGACACCAGGAGGAAGCAGGATCCAGAGAGGCCAGCGGCTGCCCACATGGGGCCTTGCAGGGCAGCGATCTGGGGGTGGATTGTTCCTTGGCATCTCCTAAAGGCGATGCTGTCAGTCCACAGACCTGCTTCATCTCTGGCTGATTGAGGTCACAGCCTTTCTCATCCCAGATTCCCTGAGAGGATTAAACTCTAATGCCCCAAGGCATCCACAGTATACAATAAATTAACTTCTCTCCTAGGCATTCAGAATGGTACTGGCCATGTAACATCCTCAGGAAAATGGAGAAAGGAGTCACATCATCTTCTGTGTTTGGAGACTGCTATGTAAGCCAGAATACTAGTCACACAGTGCAGGTGGGAGCGGCCGGGAAGTAACCTCCTTTTTTTTTAAGACTAATACATTTATGGTATACACCTGAATTTGTGTTGCGGAAATCTGATACCCATTGCACACATTCTGTATCATGTTTAAAATAATTTCAACTTTTATTTTAGATTCAAGGGGTACACTTGCAGTTTTGTTACACGGGTTTATTGCGTGATGCTGAGGTTTGGGGTACAATTGATCGCATCACCTTCCAGGTGTCAGCATGTAAAAGGGAAGATCCAAATGACCAATCAGGAGATTACTGGGGGACCACAAAGTTGGGGCTCAGGTCAGCTGACCAGGTGAGACCCTGTCTCCACCATGGGCAACAGCTCCCCTTTCCTCAGGCCCCCTGACCTTTCAGACACAACAGATGCTGCAGTCTTCACAGGGACCTGGGGAGCCCCAGCAACTCAATCACATTGCTCGGTGACCCCAAAAGGCTGATCACATTAGCAACAGGCTTATTTTTCGTCATTTCATTATCAAAGGGCAAGTTTTGACTTTACATTTTAATTCCTCCCCACCACATGCTTACAATTACTAAATTTCTATGATTCTGAATCTAAGTTCTTTAGAAGAGAAAATCTGCTCTCTTCTACATTCAAAGGATTAGTCCAAAAAAAGCACTATATTTGTGTGTTGTATCTACATATATAAGAAGCTGTGTATATAGCACATCATTTATGGATAAAATATCTATATATTTATTGTATACAACTATTTTATTAGATTGTGATCCTGATCATTGGGCTCATTGTTTCACATATAGCAGCTCACTTAATTCTCATAACAACTCCATGAGGCATATACACTTACTAATCCCATTATTTTTTCAGATGAAGTACAGGTTCACAAAGGTTAAATAACTTGCCCAGGCCGAGCATGGTGGCTCATGCCTGTAATCCCAGCACTTTGGGAGGCTGAGGTGGGCGGATCACCTGAGGTCGGCAGATCACCTGAGGTCAGGAGTTCGAGACCAGCTTGGCCAACATGGTGAAACCCTATCTCTACTAAAAGAAAAATAAAAAAGGAAAATACATTTAAAAAAAAATTAGCCAGGCATGGTGGTGGATACCTGTAATCCCAGCTACTTGAGAGGCTGAGTCAGGAGAATTGCTTGAACCCGGGAGGTGGAGGTTGCAGTAAGCTGAGATTGCACCACTGCACTCCAGCCTGGGCGACAGAGCAAGACTCCATCTCAAAAAAACAAAAACCAAAAAATAACTTATCCAAGGACACACTGCTAGTTGGTGGCAGAGGCAAAACTCAAGGCCAGCTCCATGTGACTGTAGGTTCTAAATAGGGTAAACATCTCTCCCAGCTGGCCCAGAAGCCTGGCACCCCAGTGTGATAACTGCAGCACTCTTTTCACTCTCAAAAGCATCCCAGTTTGGATAAGCTATATGGCTGCCCTAGCTCTAAGCTACCATGTGTTAAGCTGCCTCTCTCCATGTAGAAGAGAGTTAATATTTGACTTACTGGCAACAGGTAAGAAATAACGGAGTCAAAGAAAGATTCAGAAAAGTCTTTTCAACACTCATATCCAGTCAAGTTCTGAAACCTCCATATTTCCCATCTTAAATGATCTCTTGAGACCATCTCCATCTTACCACCAGCACCTTAGACCCAGCTAACATCCCCTCTGCCCTAGACTCCCCACTTCAATGGGCTCCTTACAAGTCTCCTTGCTTCCATTCTCCTCCCCTACCAAGTGGTCCTCACACAGCAGCCTGAGATATATTTTTTAAATGCAAACCTAAAAATGTCCCTTTCTTGCTTAAAACCCTCCAACATCCTAACATTATTCATAGGTCACCCGACTCTTTGCCATTGGTCAGGATGAGAGGAATTGGTGGCCCACTGCCCCTTACTTCCTTTCCTCCTCCTGTCTGGCACGTCCTCCAGGTTTCGATGCTCAGTGCAATTCTCACTCCCTCGGAAGAAGGAAGGAAGGGCAGGGTCCTCGCCTTCAGCTGGGGCTGCTAATCTTGAAGCAAATGGAGGGAAGCTCTGTGAGAATAAAGTCAATGTAGAGAAGAGCAGGGTTTGGGGTAGAGGTGAGAAGTGGGAGGCAGCCAACCTTCCACAACTTTTTAGTTAAATAAACAAATTTCTGTTTTGTGATTTTGGCCTTGACAATGAAAATAACCTGACTAATCGGAAGTAGTTGAGTTCTACCTTCTCCACTCTAAATGCTTATTTGTAGAATGTTGTTGGCTTTTTTTTCACGCTTAATTAGTTTAAAGCCAGGTTAGATGGCTGCCTAGAAGATAAGCTCCTACAGAGCAGGATTATGTGGTGAGTTTATCTTGAAGAGTGCCCTGTACAAGTAGACATTTAATAATCTTGGTTCCATATTTCTCAAAATAATCCAAGTGAGAAGAGAAAAAGAACTAGCATAGTAGCGTCCGCAATGGGGCATTTTCCAGGTGTGGTGGCTCACGCCTGGAATCCCAGCACTTTGGGACCCAGCTGAGGTAGGTGGGTCATTTGAGGTCAGGAGTTCGAGACCAGCCTGGCCAACATGGTGAAACACTGTCTCTACTAAAATACAGAAATTAGCTGGGCGTGGTGGCACATGCCTGTAATCTCAGCTACTTGGGAGGCTGAGGCAGGAGAATCACTTGAACCCAGGAGGCGGAGGTTGCAGTGAACTGAGATTGCACCACTGCACTCCAGCCTGGGTGACAGAGCAAGACTCCCTCTCAAAAAATAAATAAGTAAATAAATAAATAAATAAATAAATAAATAAAAATAAAAATAAATTAAATGGGGGCATTTAAAAATGGAGTGTTGATACATGAACTTCCCTCTCTAGCCCTCGACTGCATACTTATCCTACAGATATGTAAGAAGAGAATATTAAGGCTAAAGCCTCCAATGTTTTGTTTGATGTCGCAGTACTGGTTTTGGCTGAGGTAACCTCCTCTCAGTAAAGAACCTGCACATCAAGGGAGGTAAGAGGTTAAAGCGCCACCCAACCTGCTGCCATTGGCCAGGATGGACAAATCAGTTGGCAGCTGCACTCACCTTCCTTCCACCTTCTATCACACCCTACTGGTTTGTATTTCTCTGTTTTCACATTGCTATAAAGAAATACCTGAGACTCGGTAATTTTTATAAAGAAAAGAGGTTTAATTGGCTCACAGTTCTGCAAGCTGTACAGAAGCATGATGCTGGCATCTACTCAGCTTCTGGGAAGGCCTCAGGAAGCTTACAGTCATGGTGGAATGTGAAGGGCAAGCAGGCATGTCTTACATGGCTGGAGCAGGAGCAAGGGTGGGTGGAGGTGCCACACACTTTTAAACAACCAGATCTCATGAGAACTCACTCACTGTCATGAGAACAGCAACAAGGGGGAGGGCGCTAAACCATTCATGAGAAACCTCCCATGATCCAATCACCTCCCGCCAGGCTCCACCTCCAACACTGGGAACTACAATTCAACATGGGATTTGGGGGAGAACAGAAATCCAAACAGTTCCCTCACCCAGTGGAATTCTGACTCACATTCATCTTCAACCTCATCCACTTTCCCCAGGACTCCAGCCACACTCTCCTCCTCCCTCCTTCCCACCAGCTAACCTCACTTCCTATTAGTCACAGAGAAAACAGCAAGATGGGAACTTACTCTGCTTCCCCTCACTGTCCAGCCTTGGACCCTGCCTGTAGCCTTGCTCTATCTTTCTTTGACCTACACTCAATTTAAAAGGTGCCCTTCCTCCACCTGATCCCAGACCTTGTGCAATTCTCCTTCCAGAAGGACTTGGAGCCACTGATAATCAAGGCCCCTCCTTCACACTCCCATCTTCCACTTCTCCTTCTCTACCGGCTCCTACTCACCAGCAGCAAACTTATTCAAGTCTCTGTCATCAAAAGCAACAGAAAGTCAGAGACTTTGGGTAGATCATCTCGAAGGGAAAGAAACTGATGTGCTTGACTATGGGGAAAATTCTGTCTTCAGGGCTGCTATAGGTACGGAAGGAGTTTAGTCATATGTTTTGAGACAACTAAGCATTTTTTTTTCTGTTAAGTGATTCAGTTTTAACTCCAGTTGGGGGGGAGGTGGGGGGATGCGGGGAGGAAAGAGGAAGGTGTTGACTCAGGACTTAATTTTTTAAAATTAAAGTTAGGGGAGAAAGGAAGAATAGAAGTGACACAAGAAAGCTGAAATCCTCACATCCATCACAGTCAGTGGATAGGGTCTAAAAATTGAAGAATAATAGCTGGGTGCTATGGCATATACCTGTAATCCCAGCTCCTGGGGAAGCTGAAGAGGAAGGATCACTTGAGCCCAGGAGATGGAGTCCTGGGCAACATAGTGAGATCCTGTATCTAGAAAAAAATAAAACGAAGAATGAGAGATAGTCATATATGTATATAATTAACCTCCATATTTTTAAGTATCTGAAGAGAAAGCTGTAAGATTTGAAAGTCATTGCCTCTGGAGGACAGGGGAGTGTTATAATCCTTTTAATCACTATTTCACTGCTATTTTTAGATTTTTAACTTTTATTCCATCCATGATGTCTATTTCATTTTTCTAACTATAAGCACATTTTGCTTTGGTAAGTAAACAAACATTTTAGAGCAATATAATAAAGAGGAGAATTGATGGCATCAAAAGATCTTGGTGTGATGAGACCAAAGCAAGCACAAAACAGATCAAACAAGTTTAGAGTGGAAATCAAACAACAATTTGGCTCTATTTGTGATATTTGAATTTTACTAGAATGTTTTAATGTATAATTCACAAAATTAATGAAATGTAAACGCAATACAAAAACCAGCTGGGGGGAAAAGTCAACCTGGTAGAATTGGCTTGTATAAAAAAACAAAACATTAAATGAGCTGCTATCCTTTTTCTTTTTTTTTAAAGTCAGGGTCTTGCTCTGTTTCCCAGGCTGGAGTACAGTGGGCTGATCATAGCTCACCGTAGCCTCAAAGCTCTGGGCTCAAGCAATCCTCCTGCCTCAGCCTCCAGAGTAGCGGGGGCTATAGACACGTGCCACTACCCCCATCTAAATATCTCTTATTATTATTTTTTTGTAGAGACAGAGTCTCACTATGTTGCCCAGGCTGGTCTTCAACTCCTGGCCTCAAGTAATTCTCCCACCTCAGCCCCCCAAAGTTCTGGGATTACAGGTGTGAGCCACCACGTTTGGCCCAGCTGCCATACTTATCTATAATGCAGCAGGAATGAAAAAATGCAATTCATACTAGAAAACTAACAAAAATACATTCATTTTAAAGAAACCTCAAAATCCTCCAATACCATGGGCTGCCTTAATGTTTTAAAATACGTGCTTTGTTGCTATTCTGCTCTGAGGCAGAGGAACATTCTTAAGAATGTTTTCCATTTCCCTTGTAGAGAAATGACAGCGGCCCATCATTGCATGTGATGGAGGTTTAGAGCCTGGTGAGTCCACATATGGATTTTCTTGGATGCGCACCATGGCTATTAGACATTCCTCTGCCTCAGAGCAGAATAGCAACAAAGCACACCGATCTCCTTGAAAAATTAAAAGATTTCTCCAGTTGTTAAATTCAACTCAATTCAACTCAAAAAGAGCACATATTTTGAAAAGTGTTAAGGTTCTGGGAAGTGACTGTTACCTCTGTCCTGCCCTCTCTTTAGAAGCAAACAGAAAACAATGAAAAGGAAAGCATCCTTGAAGAAACTTACAAATAGCCCTGAGCCTGAGGTTTTCAGAAGGGCTGCCAAGTGCGTTGAAAATTGAACCTGGTCAGGAAGGAGGGAATCAGAGGTCTCAAAGTGCTGCAGAACTCAAGCAACGCATAAGCTGCCTCAAAGCAGTTAATCACATGGTGCTCAGCCTGTCTGAGAGCGCTACTCCGGGCCCCACTGGACACCACCTAGTGGCAGGGGATGCTGAAGAGATGTACAGACACTCCATCTTTGCAAAAAGCAATCTCTCAGCATGGCTGGGGAAAGAAAAGGGACTGGCATTAAGATTTTGCTTTTTAAAACCTATATCTTGGCCAGGCATGGTAGCTCACACCTATAATCCCAGCAGTTTGGGAGGCCGAGATGGGTAGATCACCTGAGGTCAGGAGTTCAAGACCAGCCTGACCAACATGGAGAAACCCCATCTCTACTAAAATACAAAAATTAACTGGGTGTGGTGGCATGCGCCTGTAGTCCCAGCAACTCAGGAGGCTGAGACAGGAGAATCGCTTGAACCCAGGAGGTGAAGGTAGTGACTACCTCATATCTATTAACATTGTGCCGGATGATATGCTTTAAGGGTATCAGTTAATTTAATCCTCAAAGCAACCCCAAGAGACAGGAGCTCTTCTCCCCATTTTACAGATGGGGAAACTGAGGTACAAAAAGCCTAAGTAAATTGACCCAAGTCATATAAATCAAAAGTAGGGCAGCCAAAATTTGAACTGAGGCCATCTCACTACTTAGCCTGAACTCTTAACCCCTAGACCAGGTCGGGGGCTGCTGATCTTAGTCAATCAAAATATTTAGAAGGCTAGATCATGATATGAGGAGCTGGGGTTTAAAGCTTTGCTGCTAGACAGTCTGATTAGGCCTTAGGGTAGCATGTTCATAAGAAAGTGCTCAGAAACAAGAAACAAGAACTGGAAATACAACAGATTCGATGAATTCAACTCAGGCCCCCTCCCCAGTACTATGTGTCAGCAAACAGCTAGCTCACAACAGCAGCCTGTTTCAAAGTTGATTGATGACTTAAAGATAACTGGCAAGGGATCTATGCAAAAATCCTGCAAGAAAGGAGGAAAGAAACATGACCAATGAAAGGCAAATAACATATACCAAAAGAATTACATCATTAAGCAGATGAAAATAAAAAGAAGGTGTTTCTGAATGAAGACCTCAAAGAATAGATAAAAGCCTCAAGAAATAAGATAACAAAAGGATATAAAAGTGAGCTGGTAAAGTTCACGGAAGAAATGGAAGAGGAAAATAAAGCCATTACAAAAGTGAAAATTGTGTTAGAAAAAGTAAAAAGAGGCACTGAAAAACACAGCTAGAGGTATAAGGCTTTTGTATGAAGTCACAAAGGCAAAATATTAAGGAAATGAAATCAGGTATAAAACCTTTCAAATTATCAGGAAAATAAGATACACAAAACTGGCTGGGCGCAGTGGCTCACGTCTGTAATCCCAGCACTTTGGGAGGCTGAGGCGGGAAGATCACAAGGTCAGGAGTTCAAGACCAGCCTGACCAACATGGTAAAATCCTGTCTCTACTAAAAATACAAAAATTAGCCAGGCGTGGTGGCACATGCCTTTAATCCCAGCTACTTGGGAGGCTGAGGCAATAGAATCACTTGAAACTGGGAGGTGGAAGTTGTGGTGAGCCGAGATCATGCCATTGCACTGTAGCCTGGGCAACAAGAGCAAAACTCCATCTCAAAAACAAACAAACAAACAAACAGAGATATACAAAACAAAGCTTAACAACATTGAATGATCCCATGAATGATGGAAAGCAAAACCCAGAATGCACCCCAAAAAGACGACTGAACTAAAGTCAACTTACGATTACATGTGCAGATATAGAATGATCTGCAAGACATAGGTCTAAAAGAGCAACGTCAATTTAAAAAAATTTTTTTTTCGAGACAGAGTCTTGCTCTTTCACCTAGTCTGGATTGCAGTGGCATGATCTCAGCTCACTGTAACCTCCACCTCCTGGGTTCAAGCAATTCTGCCTCAGCCTCCCAAGTAGCTGGGATTGCAGGCATGCACCACCACGACCGGCTAAATTTTTATTTTTGCAGAGATGGGGTTTCACCACATTGGCCAGGCTGGTCTCAAACTCCTGACCTCAGGTGATCCGCCCACCTCAGCCTCCCAAAGTGCTGGGATTACAGACGTGAGCCACAGCACCCGGGCATTAAAAAGCAAGGGCTAATATCCAGAATCTACAATGAACTCAAACAAATTTACAAGAAAAAAACAAACAACTCCATCAAAAAGTGGGCAAAGGATATGAACAGACACTTCTCAAAAGAAGACATTTATGCAGCCAAAAAACACATGAAAAAATGCTCATCATCACTGGCCATCAGAGAAATGCAAATCAAAACCACAAAGAGATACCATTTCACACCAGTTAGAATGGCAATCATTAAAAAGTCAGGAAACAACAGGTGCTGGAGGGGATGTGGAAAAATAGGAACACTTTTACACTGTTGGTGGGACTGTAAACTAGTTCAACCATTGTGGGAGTCAGTGTGGCGATTCCTCAGGGATCTAGAACTAGAAATATCATTTGACCCAGCCATCCCATTACTGGGTATATACCCAAAGGATTATAAATCATGCTGCTATAAAGACACACACACACATATGTTTATTGCGGCACTATTCATAATAGCAAAGACTTGGAACCAACCCAAATGTCCAACAATGATAGACTGGATTAAGAAAATGTGGCACATATATACCATGGAATACTATGCAGCCATAAAAAATGATGAGATCATATCCTTTGTAGGGACATGGATGAAGCTGGAAACCATCATTCTCAGCAAACTATCGCAAGGACAAAAAAACAAACACCGCATGTTCTCACTCATAGGTGGGAATTGAACAATGAGAACACATGGACACAGGAAGGGGAACATCACACACTGGGGACTGTTGTGGGGTGGGGGGAAGGGGGAGGGATAGCATTAGGATATATACCTAATGCTAAATGACGAGTTAATGGGTGCAGCACACCAACATGGCACATGTCTACATATGTAACAAACCTGCATATTGTGCACATGTACCCTAAAACTTAAAGTATAATAATAATAAAATTTTTTTAAAAAAGCAAGTTGAAAAAATGTGTTGAGTGTGCGCTTGTTTGTAAAATAAAATGGGTGTGTGTGTGTGTGTGTGTGTGTGTGTGTGTGTGTAGTCATGTACCCCTTAATGACATTTTGGTCAACAGCAAACTGCACATATGGCAGTAGTCCCACAAAATGATAGTACCATATTTTTACTGTGCCTTTTCTATGTTTAGATACACAAATACCAAGGTGTTTCAATTGTCTACAGTATGCAGTACAGTAACATAGTATACAGGTTTGTAGCCTAGGGGCAGTAGGCTCTACCATCTAGGTTTGTGGTGTTCACACAATGACAAAATCGCCTAATGATGCATTTATCAGAACGAATCCACATTTTTAAGTGACACATGATTGTGTGTGTGCATGTATGTGTATATATATGTGTGCATGTACATATATATGTATATATATGCATGCTTATATATGTGCAGAAATGTGTAGCAAAAGAGCACTATAAACTATTAGACTATACACAACAGTTGTCACTGAGGAGGGGGATCATAAGGGAAGAAAAGTTACTTTTCATTGTATACGCTTGGCTATTTGAATTTTACTATCATCACCACTTCCACAGCAAACTTTTCAAAGAATAGGAAAGTGTGTGTATATATAAACCATCAAGAAATTGTGAAAATATGAACCACTACAGAACAGAAGGCTCTAGGGCCATTTCTCAGGTTGACTGGGCCAGTAAATATTCCAACACATTTGAACCCCTGTTTACATGAGATTTGTTGTGAGAACCCAATGGGATTTTATTTTATAAATGAGTAAATGAATGAATGAAATGTGTTCTCATTTTTGCAAATCTGATCATTCCTCCCCTGGCTAAGGATCCAGTTAACTAGTATCATATTACTGCGGAACTTAAATTCTTTCAGAGCTTTTCCAGCCAAGCTCATACATACAGGCATAACAATGTTTCCTTATGTGTCATTAGAATGAGTGTTGTGCTAAACAAACGTACTTAGCAGTTTCAGCCTAGGGAGCAAGTGACCCATGACTCTTTAGACCAACAAAGGAAAGGGAGTTGCTGTATGTCATTCTGTTCATGTTGAATTTTCTCCATGATTCATTTACAATAAAGGTAGGAGTAGAGAATATACAAGGAATAGCCAGCATGGCCTGCTTTCCTGATGTCTTCACTGTGGCCCATTTGGAAATCTCAGCTACAGAAGCAGGGTCACAGACATGTTATGGGAACCCTTAATGATAAAGGCTGTAGTTCTTGTACTGTACTTGAAGGTCCTCTTCTTCATGTCCTGTTTTGAGATGTATGATTCTTAGGCTACAGAAAAAGGGATCTACTTAATAAAATGAGCCAAAGGTCAAGTGACACACTTCATTTTCCATCTAAAATCTAAACCTCCAAAAGAACAAAATAGGAACCATCCCCCAATTGACTTGAAATGAATATATTTTGTCCAAGTCCAGGCTCTGTGGGGCTGTGACCAGTGCACACATGTGTGTGTACCTGCACACTTGGTTCATGAAGAGTGTCCTGCAGAGGAATGATGGCCCCATTAAAGAAGAGCAAGCTTACCAGCTGCGCCAGTTTTAAAAACTCAACGAAGACATCACTTCTCAACACGTTTGGGTCCATGGTTACTGAAAAACATGGACGGTGAGCCAGGTTAGCATGGGCTGGGCTGGGCCCTGCCTATTAATTGCTATGTCCTCCAGAGATCCCTCCATGCCTTGCCAGTGCTCTGTCTCCTCCCTGAAGTGATAAATGTTGAAACCTCTCAAATACAGGAAAACCCCCAAAGCTTGCCTCCTATAGGCAGCCTTAACAACAGGAACCCATGACACCCATCCAGGGTGACAGTGTTCCCAGGCATCTCACTTTATTTATACAAACCCATACTACTGAACATCCATTTTGCTGCCCTACCAGGATGATAATGAAGTTTATATGAAGAATCAGAAAGATCTTAAAACCTGCATCTAGACTCCCAGCCTAGCAAGACACAGGGTAATTTGAAAATTTAATTCAACCAAGAAACATCAACTGAGAGCACCTCTTTGGAGTCTCGCCCAGTCGCCCAGGCTGGAGTGTAGTGGCGTGAGCTCGGCTCACTGCAATGTCCGTCTCCTGGGTTAAGACGATTCTCTTGCCTCAGCCTCTGAAGTAGCTGGGATTACAGGCACTCACCACCATGCCCGGCTAATTTTTGTATTTTTAGTAGAGATGGGGTTTCACCATGTTGGCCAGGCTGGTCTCAAATGCCCAACCTCAGGTGATCTGCCTGCCTTGGCCTCCCAAAATGCTGGGATTACAGGTGTGAGCCACAGCACCCGGCCGAGAGCACCCCTTTGAATGATAGGAGTTCTCGAGATGTTACCAAAAAAAAGCAATGATAAGGCAGTCAGAGAGATTTAAAATATTTCATTCTTCTATAATTAACAAAAATATTTTTACCCTTAGTTTTAAAGCTCCTGACACAAATAGCCAGGAGATATGGGCAGAGCAGATGGGGCAGACACACCCCCATGAGAACTGCAAACCCACAAGGTATGGCCCAGCCTGGTTCCTCCTGGTTTACCCCCACTTGCCACAGATCCTCTCCTATATCCTGCGCTTCAGCTACACTTACATACTTACTAAATGCTGCCAAATTTCTTTCTTCCTTCTGTTTTCATTGCTGTTTTACTTTTTTTTTTTTTTTTTTGAGATGGAGTCTTGCTCTGTCACCCAGGCTGGGGTGCAATGGCGTGATTTCACCTCACTGCAACCTCCACCTCCCAGGTTCAAGCAATTCTCCTGCCTCAGTCTCTCAAGTTTTTGGGATTACAGGAGTGCGCCACCACACCCGGCCTGTTTTACTAATTTTATCAAACATCCTCTACCAGCATTCAAAACTATCACTGACTTCATTGCAGGCTGTGCCTTTCCCAAAAGACATCATGTTTTCCAAAATAAACGAAGAGAGAAAGTCCCTGCAACATGAGAAACTATTTATAAAAAGCATTCTGTCTTTTCTGAGGGGTAATTCCCGGAGTGGAGGAGGGGAAGCCCTTGCATTATTTTCTGCAATGGGGCATATAGTCAAACTACTAATAACTATATTCATTAGCATAAATTCTTGGGAATGAGGAAAGCTGCTGAAAAAGGTATTCACCCAACTGGTATTTACTGCGTGACTATTAAGTACCAGTATTAGGCTAAAAACTTTGTATATTTTAGCTTATCTAATCTTCATGACAAACTCGGAGGTAAATATTATTTCTGTTTCACGGATAAAGAAACTGAGGCTCAGAGAAGGTAGGTATCTTGCCCAAGGTCACACAGCTGGTGAGGAGCTAAAGTGGGGTTTGACACTGGGTCTGATTTGAGAACCTGTGCTCTGAGTCATGAGGCTAAGCTGTACTGTCTTCCTACTGGACCTTGTCAAAGACGGTACACAGGTCATCCTGATAATATGAATAAAGACCAGGCCTGGAAAAGCGAACCCTCAAGCACGGTGATCATCTGTGAAAAGGCCAGGTATTAAAGGAACATTTTGCTAAGACACGAGAAAACAAACTAAGGGAGAGTGAAAATTCAAAAGATATTACATTTTGAACTTGAACTTTGAAAGAGCTCATTCAGCAGGTCTAAAAAGAAGTATGGTCCCATGACAAAAAAAAATTTAATGGGAAATAGATGGCTTCTAGAATTTTTACTTACTATGTTTAAGAAAAATTTGCAGCCATGAAAAATAATGAGATAAATCTATGACTGCTGATGTAGAATGACTTCTAAGATATATATTTTTTAAGAGAAAAAAGTCAACATACAGGAGAAAAACCCTTTTTCTTGAGCTACAAAGGACATTAGTATAATAGTTGGCGATGTTTTATTTATTTATTTTTAGATACAGGGTCTCCATCTGTCACCCAAGCTGGAGTGCAGTTGCTCAAATCACAGCTCAGGAGGTCGAGACTGCAGTGAGCTGTGATTGCACCACTGCACCCCAGCCTGGGTGACATAGCAAGACACTGACTCTAAAAAAAATACAGAGATGAGATCTATATTGCTCAGGTTGGTCTCAAATTCCTGGGCTCAAGTGATCCTCTTGCCTCAGCTTCCCAAAGTGTTGGGATTACAGGTGTGAGCCACCACGCCCAGCCTAAATGTCTCAGCAGTTTTATGTTTGCTGACTTTATTTTATTTTTTGAGACAGGGTCTTTCTCTGTTGCCCAGCATGGAGTGCAGTGGCAAGATCAGAGCTTACTGCAGCCTGAAACTCCTGGGCTCCAGCAATCCTCCCACCTCAGCCTTCCAAGTAGGTGCAGGCACGTGCCACTACACCCAGCTAATTTTTATTTATTTTTTATTTTTGGGTACAGATGGGGTCTTGTTATATTGCCCAGGCTGGCCTTGAACTCCTGGGCTCAAGGGATCCTCCTGCCTTAACCTCCCAAAGTGCTGGAATTGCAGGCATGAGCTACCATGCCGAGCCTAATTGTTGGTGAAGTTTGAATAAGGTCTCTAGATAGATTATTGTATCAATGTTGTTTCCTGGTTTTGATATATTGAACATTATTGTATCAATGTTGTTTCCTGATTTTGCTAACTATACTGTGGTTCTATAAGACAGTCTCTGTGATCTTAGGAAATACACAAAGTATTTTATTTATTTATTTATTTTTTTGAGATGGAGTTTCACTCTCACTGCCCAGGCTGGAGTGCAATGGTGTGATCTTGGCTCACTGCAGCCTCCTCCTCCCGGGTTCAAGTGATTCTCCTGCCTTAGCCTCCCAATTTGCTGCGATTGCAGGCACGTGCCACCATGGTCAGCTAATTTTTTGTCTGTTTAGTAGAGACGGGGTTTTGCCATGTAGGCCGGGCTGGTCTTGAACTCCTGGCCTCAGATGATCTGCCCACCTCAGCCTCCCAAAGTCACAAAGTATCTTAAAATAAGATGGCTGAGGTGTGTAAGATTCAAGTGAGTCTAAAAAAAAGATATAGAGAGATTCATATATACACATACACACACAAGGAAAAAAGAATGATAAGACAAATGTAAAATGTAAACATCTGGGAAATCTGGGTGGCGTATACAGAAATGCTTAGCATTATGTTTGCAACTTTTCTGTAAACCAAACTTTCAGAATAAAAAGCTCTGAAAATCAGCTACAGAAAAGTATGTATAGTAAAGTTCAATTTGTGTTGAGCAAAAAGGGATCTATATACACGCAAATTGCTGCTAGGTAATATACAAACAGCCTGGGGTGGAAAGGGAACTTACCTTTCATTGTATATTCTTTTAGGTAGTTTATATTTTAAGAAATATTATGTGTATACACTTTTCCAATTTTAAAAACTTTAAGTCTTTAAGTGCCAGTTTTGCCATTTCCCCTCAACATCCTCTTTTCCGTGACAGCCTAATCTTGCCAACAACAGTTTTGCTGTACACAGCATTTCTAGGACCCAGGCGAAGGGCAAGCTGTTGTACTGTAAGCCTCACAGGGGACACAGCTGAATGTCCTTGGTGCCTTAGCATGGCTTCCTGGTAAGGACTAACATGAAGGCACAAGCTCTGGCACTGCTAATAAAGACCTCTGACATCTCTCAAGGGCTTTCCTGTAAGTGGTTCATCTCATCCTTTTGTTCATTCCTAATCCAGAAACTTTTTTTTTAACCTCCCAATCAAAGCCAAAATACAGCACCCAAGTGTGACTCTAAACATAAAGTAGGCCAGGCATGGTGGCTCACCCCTGTAATCCCAGTACTTTGGGAAGCTGAAGTGGGCAGATCGTTTGAGATCAGGAGCTCGAGACCAGCCTGGCCAACATGGTGAAACCCCATCTCTACTAAAAAAATACAAAAATTAGCTGAGCATGGTGGCAAGCACCTGTAATCCCAGCTACTAGAGAGGGTGAGGCAGGAGAATTGCTTGAACCTGGTAGGCAGAGGTTGCAGTGAGCCAAGGTCACACCACTGCACTCCAGCCTGGGCGACAGAGCGAGACTCTGTCTCTCTGTCTTAAAAAAAAAAAATTAAATATTGGGTGCAGTGGCTCATATCTATAATCCCAGCACTTTGGGAGGCTGACATGGGAGGATTGCTTGAGGCCAGGAGTTTGAGACCAGCCTGGGCAATATAGTGAGACCCCACCTCTGTAAAAAAAATTTTTTTTTTTAATTGGCCAGGCATGGTGCGTTGCACATATAGTCCCAGCTTCTCAGGAAGCTGTGGTGGGAGGATTGCTTGACCCCCCAGGAGACCAAGGCTATAGTTAGCCACGATTGTGCCACTGTACTCCAGCCTCGTCAACAGGGAAAGATCCTGTCTCAAAAAATAAAATCAGCAAACATATAACTGCTGAGACATTTAGGCTGGGTGTGGTGGCTCATACCTGTAATTCTAACACTTTAGGAAGCTGAGGCAGGAGGATCACTTGAGCCCAGAAATTTGAGACCAGCCTGGGCAACATAGTGAGACCTCATCTCTTTTATTTATTTATTTATTTATTTTTATCTTTTTTAGAGTCACTGTCTTGCTGTGTCACCCAGGCTGGAGTACGGTGGTGCAATCACAGCTCACTGCAGCCTCAGCTTCCTATGCTCAAGCTATCCTCTCACCTCAGCTTCCTGAGTAGCTGGGATTATAGGCATGCACCATCATACCTGGCTAATTTTTAAAATTTTGTTTAGAGACAGGATCTCTCTATGTTGCTCAGGCTGGTCTTGAACTCCTGGCCTCAAGTGATCCTCCTGCCTCAGCTTCCCAAAGTGCTGAGATTACAGGTGTGAGCCACCATGCCCAGCCAGACTTCATCTCTTAAAAAAAAAAAAAAAAGGTATTTTTAAAACCAAATACAAAGAACACATATTATATAATCCCTTATATATGAAACGTCCAGAATAGGCAAATCTTTAGAGATAAAAATTATAGTGGTAGTTGCCAGGGCGTGGTGGGGGAGGGAAAGAGGAAGTGATTGCCAATGGGTATGAGGTTTCTTTTGGGGGTAGTGACAATATTCTAAAATTAGATTACGGTAATGGTCGCACAATTAATTACATAAATATATTGTAAAAGAATTGTACACTTTAGCAGGTGAATTTTGTGGCATATAGCTTACATTGCAATAAATCTGTTTTTTAAAAAACCCTGCAAATACATACCATTTTGCAAATATTGTTCCAGTTGGTCCCTCCTCTCATCAGCCATAGCTGTGGTCATTGCCAGATAGTACTTTGGTGGGAAGGGTGGCAGGCAATTTCCAAAGACCCGCCTTAGCTGAAAGATCCAGGAAACACAGTTAAGGCAGGTGAGCCGCCAGTTCAGGGTTGATGAGATTACTAAAGTCTCCTTTAGGGCAAGTCCCATCCCAGCACTTTATTTCAAATTAAGCTTTCCTGGTAGCCCAAAGGGGGAAAAGAGGACAATCTGATTTTCTTAAGGAGGAATTTATTTCAGTATATATTCTGGAGACATTACTAGACATATCACAGACCGACAGCTCCAGTCTAAGTTTGGTAGAGCTGAGATGTATTTTTATTTTTCATTTGTTTTACAAGACTAGCCACTGCTCACATCATACAATATTATCTTGATTCATTCCACAACAGTGTCTGTGATATCAATTACAACGGGAATTAAATTCCTCAGCCCTACCGCCACCAAATCTGAACTTGACAAATGCTTACAGCTGTGTCACCTAAAGCGGTAGCCACCAGTCACCTGTTGTGAATGAGCACTTGAACGTCGCTAGTTTGGATTGAGATGTGTTGTAGGTGTAAAATACATTCCAAATTTCAAAGAAAAGAGAATGTAAAATATCTCGCTGATAATTTTTTATACTGATTACATGTTGAAATGATAATATTTTGGATATATTGAATTAAATAAAATATATTATTAAAATTAATTCCATCTGTTTCCTTTTACTCTTTTTAATGTGCCTATCAGAAAATTTTAAATTACACAGGTGACTCATATTTCTTTCTTTCTTTCTTTCTTTTTTGAGACGGAGTTTCACTCTTGTTGCCCAGGCTGGAGTGCAATGGCTCAATCTTGGCTCACTGCAACCTCCGCCTCCTGGGTTCGAGCAATTCTCCTGCCTCAGCCTCCCGAGTAGCTGGGGTTACAGACATTTGCCACCAGGCCAGGCTAATTTTGTATTTTTAGTAGAGATAGTGTTTCTCCATGTTGGCCAGGCTGGTCTCAAACTCCTGACCTTAGGTGATCCACCTGCCTCTGCCTCCCACAGTGCTGGGATTACAGGCGTGAGCCACCACACCCGGCCGGGTGACTCACATTATATTTCTATTGGACCAGTGCTGGTTACAGAATTCCAATAAGGCTGACATATGATCCCAAGTAGAAACCAGCCAGGCCCTTCTCTCCCACTTACTCATATATGACCCATGACCATGGCAGTAATTATTTTTATGGAACCTAAAAAGTGGATGCATAAAAAATAATTTTAAAATTAAGAACTAAAAATGTGCATCTTTATTCCAGCCCAACACTTGTAGTGGCAGCTTGAAGGTAAGGCACAGATTCATTCTCCTGAAAATAAGAGAAAGGAAACCACTCAGAAACCCAATCAGGTTTTGACATGGTACCTCTAGAGCAGGAGGGCTGAAATCTTACTATTACCATACTCAGTGGCTTAAAGAAAATGAAAGATGGAATAAGAAAAATGAGGCTGCAAACAGCAAGATTTTTTAATTCCATGGCCTTTGTCACAAATACAGTGAGTATCTGACAAATATTTACCTTGCATAGACAGGCCCTAACTTCAGAAAAGTCAAGAATCTCATGACTTCTCTCCATGCCCACTACCATCACCCTGGTCCAAGTCACTATCATCTCTTTTCTAGATTATTGCAATCGCCTTCCAACAAGTCTCTCTGCTTCTACCCGTGACTCCTTCAGTCTATTCCTAACACAGCATCTAAAGCGATACTTTATTTTTATTTTATTTTATCTTTTTGAGACAGAGTCTCGCTCTGTCGCCCAGGCTGGAGTGCAGTGGCATGATCTTGGCTCACTGCAACCTCCACCTCCTGGGTTCAAGTGATTCTCCTGCCTCAGCCTCCTGAGTAGCTGGGACTACAGGTGTGTGCCACCACGCCCAGCTAATTCTTGTATTTTTAGTAGAGACGGGGTTTTGCCATGTTGGCCAGGCTGGTCTCAAACTCCTGACCTCAGGTGATCTGGCTGCCTCGGCCTCCCAAAGTGCTGGGATTACAGGTGTGAGCCACTGCACCCAGCCTAAAGTGATACTTTAAAAATGTAAGTCAGCCAGGTGCAGTCATGCACACCTGTAGTCCCAGCTACTTGGGAGGCTGAGGCAGGAGGGTTGCTTGAGCCCAGGAGTTCAAGGCTAGCCACTGCCCTCCAGCCTGGGCAACAGAGCAAGACTTTATCATTTCTTAAAATAAGAAAAGTAAGTCAGATCATTCCACTGCCTTTCTCAAAATCATCCTCAACTTCTCATCTCACTCAAGTAAACCCAAAATTCTTACAATGACCTAGAACTGTGCCATCTAATATGGTTGGCATTAGCCACCTGTGAGTAAATTTAAACATAATTAAAATAATTTGAAATTTTAAAATTCAATCTCCAGTCTTGCTAGCCACATTTCAAATGCTTAATAGCCACTTGAAATATTGTAATTTGCTACTGAGTTGGGCAAAGCAGATATACAGCATTTCCATCAGCACAAAAGTTCTATTGGGAAACATTGGTCTAACATCTGGAATGGTTATTAACTGCCTGCCCGTGGGCAAAACACACTTCCCTGATGCATTTTTTTGGTGGTTGGTTGTTTGATTTTTAGATAACTGGAATTTGGTACCAGCAGTTATTTGTGTGACTTAAAATTTTAAAAACTTGTATCTTGAAGAGAATACAGAATATTACAACCACTTTGAAAGACAGTTTGGCAATTTCTTACAAAGCTAAACATAGTCTCACTCTATAATCCAGCGATAAATACCCAACTGATTTGAAAACTGTCCATACAAAATGTTTATGGCAACTTAATTCATAACCCCCAAAATTTAAACAACAAAGATGTCCTTCAGTCTGTGAATGGATAAGCAAACTGTGATATATCCATACAATGGAATGTGTTATTCAGAAATAAAATGAAATAAGATATCAAAACACAAAAGACATGAAAGAAACGTAAATAAATATTGCTAAGCGACAGGAGTCAGTCTGGAAAAGCTATATACTATATGATTTCAATTATATGACTTTCTGGAAAAGCCAAAAGTATAGAGACTTTATAAAAAGATCAACAGCCACAAAGTTTTGGGGCAGGGAGGTACAGAATAACTGAAACACATGGAGTTTTTTAGGGCAATAAAACTAGTCTATGTGAAACTAGAATTGTGGATGCATGACACTATGCATTAGTCAAAATTACAACAGAACTTGATGTTTTCTGAACTTTACAACAGAAGCTTCGTGTTTGCAAATATTTTTAGAAATAATTTAGGAGGTTTGGGGAATCCGAGGATGGAATGTAGAATGTGATAAAACTATGTTACAAATGTATGAAACCAACTCACTGAACGTGGTGAGAAAAAAAGTGCTGACCTAAGTCACTTTGAAAATGAGTGGAGTCTGTAAACTAAAGGCAAAGAAACTAACTGTACACAGGCATTGGACTCTGGCTGATAAAGTTGTTTTCCACAGGAGTATAGGTTAACAGCACTATACTGCCACATGTGTATACAGAATCAAACAAGTAAATGAATGGCAGATAGTGGGAGTCAGGTTTCCAACTGTTGTAGTGGCAGTTTACACATAAGGGGAAGAGGCTAGAATGATCCATGTGGTAATGCACTAGAGTTGAATATATTAGTATGACCACATGTTTAGTTTAATATAGATGACTACATATAGAAATATTTATTCATGTGTCTGTATACATGGGTTTGTATACACACATATATTTCCTTGCTCTGTCAGCTGAGAGGACCTAGATGCAACAACACTCCAGTAACAATGAACATATCTAGTGCCCAGATCTTAGATTGCAATACCATTCTACAATCAGTGCAACCAAGGATCTATGGAGAAATGGCTGATTTCTAGGACTGAGGCAGGAAATATATAAGATGGGCCTGGAGTACCTTGTAGCTCCAGAAAGTAAGGAAACATTCAAAACAAATGAAAAAAACAAATCAGGAATGGGAGTATGTCAGAGACAAGGAGCAAAATGAAAGAGCTTCCATGGGCCAAGATGGAACAATTTGACCAACCAAGTAGTAGTGAAATATGACCCAAAGTATAAAGTGAATATCCATGAGTCCTTACAGACTTGTTTTAAATAAATAGGAGCGACTAGACAAATCTCTTGTGCAGAAGAACATCAGATAATTTCTTTTCTTTTCTTTTCTTTTTTTTGGAGACAGAGTCTTGCTCTTGTTGCCCAGGCTGGAGTGCAATGGTGCCATCTTGGCTCACTGCAACCTCTGCCTCCTGGGTTCGAGTAATTCTCCTGCCTCGCCTCCCGAGTAGCTGGGATTACAGGCATGTGCCACTATGCCTGGCTAATTTTGTATTTTTAGTAGAGACGGGGTTTCTCCATGTTGGTCAGGCTGGTCTCAAACTCCTGACCTCAGGTGATCCACCCACCTTGGCCTCCCAAAATGTTGGGATTACAGGCGTGAGCCACCACGCCCAGCCATATCAGATAATTTCTATAGATACTTCTCAAAAAGGGGGAGCATAAATCCCCACTCTCAGTGTGGGCTGCATGTAGTGACTTCCTTCCAAAGAGGATACTATGGAAAGAGAGGACAAAAGAGTAACTTTACAGTGGAGAAAACTGACAAATACTACCTCACCCAGGTGATGAAGACCAACATCAAGAGTGTAAGTCAGATGATAGTAGGTACTCTTGATACGATGTGATTAGTGCGGCACTTTATCTCTGGGGTCTTCATCCCCCCAACCCATAACCCCCATCTAATTATGTAAAAAATATAAGACAAATTCCAAGAAGGATATTCTACAAAATATCTGACAAGTACTCATCAGAATTATCAAGGTCATTAAACATAAGGAAAATCTAAGAAACTGTTACAGACAAGAGGAACTTAAGGAGACCTAACAACTCAATGTAATGTGGTACACTGGCCAGGGTCCTGGAAGAGAAATAGGACATTAGGTAAACACTAAGGAGGTCTGAAAAGTTATAGATTGTAGTTAATAAGAATGTATCAATACTGATTTGTTAATTGTAATGAATGCACCATATTAATATAAAACCTTAATAATAGAGGAAACTGTGGATTATATGGAAACCCTCTGTCCTATCTTTTCTGAAAACTAAAACTGTTTCAAAAATTAAGTTTATTTAAAAAAAAACTGATGTTCTGGCTTCTCTGGAAAACTGAGATCTGGAATCAATGGGTTCACATTCAGGCAACTGTCTGGTGAGGGGACCTAAACCATTCCCACCACTCTCCACTGTTGTTCACCTGATCCTCATCTCTCATTTAAAGTACCTGCCAGTTGGCTGCGGTGGCTCACGCCTGTCATCTCAACACTTTGGGAGGCCTAGGTGGGCAGATTGCTTGAGTCCATGAGTTTAAGACCAGCCTAGGTAACATGGCAAGATGTTGTCTCTACTAAATATACAAAAAATTAAGCCAAGTGTGGTAGCATGTGCCTGTAGTCCCAGCTACTCAGGAAGTTGAGGTGGGAGAATAACCTGAGCTGGAGACTTCAAGGCTAAGGCAACAGTGAGCCGAGATCACACCACTGCGCTCCAGCCTGGGCCACTGGAGTGAGACCTTGTCTCAAAAAAAAAAAAAAAAAAAAATATATATATATATATATATATATATATATACACATACACACACACACGCACACACGCGCATATATATATATATATATATATATATATATATATGTATGGTACTTGCCTGTAGCCATTTAAGTTTGCAATCTCTCATCTAAACCTAGTATAATTTTTTTTTTTTTTTGAGACAGGGTCTCACTCCTGTGGCCCAGGCTAGAGTACGATTAAACCTAGTATAAAATATTATAGGCCGGGCGTGGTGGCTCACGCCTGTAATCCCAGCACTTTGGGAGGCCGAGGCGGGCGGATCACGAGGTCAGGAGATCTAGACCATCCTGGCTAACGCGGTGAAACCCCGTCTCTACTAAAAATACAAAAAAATTAGCCGGGCTTGGTGGCAGGTGCCTGTAGTCCCAGCTACTCGGGAGGCTGAGGCAGGAGAATGGCGCGAACCCGGGAGGCGGAGCTTGCAGTGAGCCGAGATCGCGCCACTGCACTCCAGCCTGGGCGACAGAGCGAGACTCCATCTCAAACAAACAAACAAACAAAATATTATAAAGACAATTCTGTTTCTTTTAAACTCAAGGAAATTTTTCGGCCCTTCCAGAGACTGTCAAAAGGCATCCCAGTTGGAGCATTATCCCAGGCAGGGCTGCTGAAACAACCTGGGATTGATGCACCCATCTCTGCTAATTCCATTAAATAGAAGCAAAAATTTGACTTCTTTGCATGCAATTATTTCTTGGCTAACTGATTAAGTGATCTTTAAAAGGCCATTGTCTTCATTGGCATGTGTTCGTAAATGTCGCAGATGTTCCCGAATCAGTTCTAATCACAGCAGCCTTGAATCAACAGGGCTGCCTGAGTTATCCATCTGCAAGACAGTATCTTGGGGAAGCCCTGAGGCCAAGATCTGGGGAAAAATCAACAAGGATTAAGGTTCTAATACCTATCACAGAGCAGAAACCTTCCCAGCAGGTTTTTACAACCTGAGCTGACTTGTCAAGGAATCTTTCTCCTCCCTTCTCGGATACTGACCTAAGGGGGACAATGAACATAAAGGAAACTGAGTAGTTAAATGTGCCAAAAGTCAACAATCAAATCCAAATTCAACTCCACCAAAAGAGGACCTTTTCCATGGGTCTCAGTACACAGTTGAGCTATCAAAACCACCAGCGTACTGAGAAGTATCTGGTACTACAGTTCAGCCCTACCTGTCTTTCAAAAAACTGTTTAAAGAGATCAAAAGGAAAACATATCTGTTCTGCTCTTTTATTATGTGGTGTTTTTGTTTGTTTGGAGTATTGTGGGTTTTTTTTAAGACTGTGATCTGACAAATATTTTCATAAACCCCAGAACAGGGCGGGCGTGATGGCTCATGCCTGTAATCCTAGCACTTTGGGAGGCTGAGGCAGGCAGATCACCTGAGGTCAGGAGTTCAAGACCAGCCTGGCCAACATGGCAAAACCCCCTCTCTACTAAAAATACAAAAATTAGCCAGGTGTGGTGGCAGGCACTTGTAATCCCAGGTACCCGGGAGGCTGAGGCAGGAGAATCACTTGAACTTGGGGGGGGTGGAGGTTGCAGTGAGCTGAGATCGCACCACCTCACTGCAGCTTAGGTGAAAGAGCGTGACTCCGTCTCAAAAAAACAAAACAAAACAGAAACAAACAAAAAAATCCCAGAACAATCTCCTGTACCAACTACCCCTTCGTACAGCTCTGCCTTTTAACATGAAGAGGCCTTTACAGGCCAGTTGAAAATGTCACCTACTTCCCCCACCTTACTGCATTCACACCCCCCTATACCTATGCCAAAATGGTGATGGCCTGGGACAAGTAGAATTACAGACACAAAAGGTGTCTGTTTCTAATGTCGACTCATTCTTCCCACCTCTCCAAGTCCCCTTGTAGTTAAAAACCCAAATTCACCAGATAAAGGGCCACAGCTCAGAGTCTGGGTGGTGGCATCTAGCACCTAAGAGCATGGCCTAGAGCTTGCATATTATCCCATTTGTTCCTCAAAACAGCACTACGAGGTAGACAGATCCTCAGCACCATGAACCTTGAGCGGGAGCAACCCCAGACTCAGGGAGATGAAGTGACTTAAAACTAGGACATCCAAGCTGATGACTGGCAGAAGATGGACTCAGTCTTCTCACTGCTGTCATCATCATCACCATCACCTTTTCCACCAAATCTCTGCTAAGCAACTACCAAGGCAGAATTCCATGCTGGGTGTTCCATACCCACAAGCCTTCATTCTGTCCCTTCATTCAAATATTTGGATTTTGCTTATAAATAATCAGGGGAGACAAAATATAAACACAAAAAGAGGAAGGAGCATGACAAGGTTGAAACATGAAGCGGCACAGCAATCAGAGAAAGGCATCTCATGCAATCAAGGAGGACTTCCTGGAGGAGATGGGACTGAGGTGGGCTTTGAGAAACGATTGCTCCCTTGACAGGTAGACTAAAACCAGGAGTCATCCCAGGCAGAGGAAGTGAGCCAGGCAGAGACAAAGAGTGGGCCAGCCTGATAGGAACAGGAGGTATGGGTAGGGAAAGAGGAGATCAGGTTAGGTCAGAGGGGAAGCAGCCAAGTTGGGTCAGCACTTGGCAGGGAGGACAACTGAACCAGCGCACACAGGCTGCACAGCCCTCCCCTCCTACTGACGGGTCCTTTGCAAGCTTTCCCAACTTGTCCCCATTGCCATGTCTGATGCTGGCAGAGTGCAAAGAAACAGAGCCCCATATCACTGTTCACAGAGCCCCATATCACTTACACAGGATGGCCTCATCTGTAACTTGGTCAAAATGAGCTGATTAAATGTTTCCCTCACAGATTTCTTTAAATCTATTTGGGCAGGGTGGTGCCAGCAAGAGCAGGGGCATAAATCAAACTGGTTTTGTTTATCTAAAGGCACAGAAAATGTGGGGCCAGCCAGTTCACACAGCAGGAAGATGAGCAGCACTGAGCAGCAGAGGGTCAAAAAGCTGCCAGAGCCCGAGGGAGCCTCACTGGGGACAGGACTGCAGGTGAGGATGACAGAGGGCGCAGGTCACAGCAGAGCCCATGGAAACACATCCACCTCTTCCCAAGGTCCAGCTTTTCTTTGTTTTGGTTTTTGTTTTGAGACAGAGTCTCCCTCTGTTGCCCAGCCTGGAGTGCAGTGGTGGGATCTCAGCTCACTGCAATCTGTGCCTCCTGGGTTCAAGCAATTCTCGTGCCTCATTCTCCCAAGTAGCTGGGATTATAGGCACATGCCACCACACCTGGCTAATTTTTTGTATTTTAGTAGAGACGGGGTTTTACCATTGCCCAGGCAGGTCTCAAACTCTTGAGCTGAAGTGATCCACCCACCTTGGCCTCCCAAAATGCTGGGATTCCAGGTGTGAGCCACTGCACCTGGCCAACCCAGGTCCAGTTTTTATGCATTAGCTCTCCACATACCCTGGCTGAGATGGAGTAGAGGCCACCTCACCTGTGCCAGGTACTGCCCCTCAATCTCAGTTATCCAACATGCAAAATATAAGTCCAATTCTTAAAGCCAAAGATCACACATGCTAAAGTAATAGTCCTAATTTAACAGAATGCGTGGCATATAACAGAAACTTAGTAAACATTTCTTAAGCAAATAATCAGTTAATTATATAGAAGAAAACTATTCTATCAGGATGCAGAACTTCCCAGAAAATAAACTGGAAATAAACTCATATTCCCCAAACACACACACAGATGGGACCTTTCTACTATTTCCTTCTTTACAGTGCTCTGTGTTAAATCAGATTAAGAATTCTGAGCTGTTTCACATCCTCCACTGAATAGGAGAAATAAAAACTAGCTGAGAAATATCTGGGAGAGGTCACCCAAACTTTCAGCCTCAGACTTAGGGTGGCCAGATAAAATACAGGATGCTCAGTTAAATATGTATCAAGTGGTGCATGGGGCATACTTATACTAAAAAAAATTGTTTGTTGTTGATTTGTAATTTAAATTTAATTGGGAGACTTTGTATTTGTATTTGCTAAATCTAGCAACCCTACTCAGACTCTTCATTTTTTTTTTTTTTTTTTTTTTTGAGACAAGGTCTCACTCTGTCACCCAGGTTGGAGTGCAGTGGCGCAATCTGAGCTCACTGCAACCTCCACCTCCCAGGCTCAAGCGATCCTCCCACCTCAGGCTCCTGAATAGCTGGAATTACAGGAGCACCACCATGCCTGGCTAATTTTTTGTATTTTTGGTAGAGACAGGGTTTTGCCATGTTGCCCAGGCTGGTCTTGAACTCCCGAGCTCAGGCAGTCCACCCACCTTGGCCTCCCAGAGTGCTGGGATTGCAGGTGTGAATCACCATGCCCGGCCTCAGACTCTTTACCTATAAAATGAGAATGATGATGATGATTGAACTGCTGACCTTACTGGGGACTTGCTGGAACAAAATCCTGTGTCTGGAACTCGCATGACAGAGAGTAGATGTTGGAGGCCTGGGGTCAGGGCTGAATGAAGGGGATTGAGAGCAAAAAGACTATCGGGGCCAAGGGTAAACTTCCCCTTCATCCTCTGAAGCTTCACTGAAAAACCACCTGACAAAAGGCAGATTCATAGGAGGAAAGGCATACAAATTTACTAACATGCGCGGGAGTCTTACAAAATAAAAGATCTCAAAGAAATGGCCAAATAGTTGATGGTTTTATACCATCTTGAGATTACAGAAAAAAGCGGCATGGTCAAAAACAGGTTATGGTGGCAAATCAGGTTATGGTGGCAAGACAGGTCACGGGAAGAAGAGGAGAGACCCGGCAAGCAAAAGTGGTCTTAGTATACAGAGGAAACCCACAGGTAGCAGCTCTCAGAAAGAACAGTTGGTAAACATTTGTTTCAGACCTTTAAAGGTGTCAGACTCTCTGTGATTCTTTCCTAAATCTGAACAAGAGAGGACTTCAGAGAAAGCCTGGCTGCATCAATACAGATTCTCTCTACAGGTGCAAATCTCCTCCACAAAAGGCAGCTTTTCAGCTATTCTGATATTTCCAGCTTTCTACACAGCCATCTTGAAATATGTCATAGTAGTACATTTTGGGATAAAATATTTTGGTTTCCTTCAAGGACAAGGGGACTTTTAGAGTGAGGCAAAAAAAAATTTTAACCTCGATCATGGTGGTGGTAATTGTATACATTTACCAAAATTCATTACACTGAACCCATAAAGTTGGGGAATTTTATTACATTACATGATTCCAAAATACAGTAAAAGTATGTTAGTTTAGGACTCAGTCATTTGACTCATTGTTTTACTGATACGATTTATTTTATCAACGTTAGAAAGAAATCACATTAATGTAATAGGTCAGAGCAGGTTCTAGAAATCAAGTCCTGCCTCCAACATTAACAATATGACTTTAGGAAAATTGTGCCTCAGCTGCTTCACCTGTTAAATTGGACTAATTCTAATGCTAGCTCATAAGGCTATTATAAAAATTAAGCTATTACAGGTAAAGTGTTTGGTACCAAACTCAGCACACAGTAACTACTTGTTATTGTTTCAGATTGATTATAAATACCAATAGCCATCTAAGATCTAAATAGTTTCTTTAAAAATGTAGTAGTTTGTATAGAAAGGGGGAAAATGATAAATATTCATATGCGATATATGGAAGTTGGAAACTAGACAAAGAAATTTCCATTTTACTATTTTGAGAAATCTGGGATAAATATGAAATATTTATTAAAATCTATTTTATTAAAATCTATTGTATGTCCTACTGAGGGCACTGAGCCATGGTAATTCAATATTTAAAGGCCCCAATAGTAAATAACAGACAATTTCTACTTCATGTCTTACCAAATAGAAGATCAAGAATAAAATTTACTCACTCTATGCCTCTGCTTCTGGACCTGCTAGGATTTGGTTCATCTGAGTTTTCCTGAAAATAAGCATTTTCCCAAGTCTATTGGGTAAGGAGGGCCAGATTCAGGAGTGCTTGAAGCCTCTTGAGTCCACAAATGTTTGCTGAGCATATATTATGTACCAGGCTCTGCAAGCAGCTGGCCCCTAATCTTCACAAGCACACTGTGAGGCTGACATCCATAAGGACCCATTTGCTTATTATTTCTGATGAGAAAATTGAAGATCAGAGGAGAGGTGAGGTGATCAGCCAGGACGCAGTTGATCAGTCACAGGCTCTCTTGCTGCCTCCTGCTCTGCTCCTGCCCCTTCCCCACCTCAAGCTGCAGGAAAACAGAGGAGGGTAGGAGAGGATACCCTGCCTCCCCCTGCCAATGCCTAAGACACTCATCCTTTCTCTTCCTTTGAGATCCCTGCCTCTGCAGTCCTCACAATTCCCCATGTGTTTCAGTCACAAGTAGCTTCTTATCTTCCAGAAGTCTGAATCTATGCCATTCTTCATTCAATCATTTGACAATCGTTCCTAAGGACCTACTGGGTCACAGCACTAGTAATACAAAGATGACCACTCAAATTAACTAGTAACCACATTACAACTGTTCTTGGTTGACTCCAAAGATACTTAATCACACCTTGAAAATGGACTTTTCCAATGCACTGTGATGTATGAGCAAGAAGGCTTGCTACAGTGACAATTTAATAGCAGAAAAAACAAACTAAGCTGTCGGTCAACAGAAGATGGTTAAATGAAACATGGTGTATCTAACTCACTAGAAACCCAGAGACTGTCTGAAAAAACTCTCTCAAAACAAGCAAACAAACAAAAACAGCTGTTACCTCTGGGAAAGTTTTTTCAGTTTTCTCTACACTTTTTTTTTTTTTTTTTTTAATAGAGACAAGGTCTCGGCTATGTTGCCCAGGCTGGTCTCAAACTCTGGGACTCAAGTAATCCTCCTGCCTCAGTCTCCCAAAGTATTGGGATTACAAGCATGAGCCACGGTGCCTGGCCTATACTTTTGTTTTTAATGTTAGGTATGTGCTGTTTATAACCTAAAATCTAAAACAAAAAAACAAAAATCACTATTCATGGGGGAGTGGAGGAGGAGTGTAAAGTTTATTTCTAAACTTTCATTTACTTCTCTAATCCATTTTGAAGACTTATAACACCTCCTTATAAGAACAATGAAACCCATTAGAGCAGACTAATAAATCAGTCTGCCTCCCAGAGAAAATACTGTCAAGACAGCAGGGTGAGAAACTATCCTAGCTTGGTAAGTCATGTTCCCTGGTTCCCAGCCTGCCAGTACTTGAAGCCTCATGGCCATTCAAAAACAAAACTAGAGACACACCTTTTTAAAGGGGGCAAACTTAAGAAACTCTCGAGACAAAGGAGATTAAATACCCATGTACAAGACTCCAAAGACTCTAGGCCTTGATCTAGACCCAGTTTCCAAATTTTGGAGGGAAGCATTGTCCTGGGGAACAGCGGGCACTGAAATGGGGCCCAGCATAGCCCCAGCGCCCTGCCAGGCGGCGCTAGCGGGGATCACCCGGCTGCAACTGCGAGGGGCTTGGAAGAATCACCTGCGCCCGGTTCCCTCATCTCACAGCTGTAGGCGACCAGGAGCCGCAGCATGCATTCATCCAACTGTATGCCAAGCAATTCAGTTCATCCTTACCAGGACCCTGTTTCACAATAGGAAGCCCGAGGCCGTGAAAGGCCCAGTGTCTTGCCAGAGTCAGAGGAACAGAGCGCTTTGGGGACAGCTTTCTCCACCTGTCTCAGTGGATGGGCTCGTACCCGCCTCCAATCTGCTCACCTGTTCGTTCCAACCGTGCAGCTGGCTGTAGCGCACCCTGCAGAAGAGGAACCCGTCCAGGTGCACGGAGTACAGCTGCAAACACACAGACACCCCGTCCCTGGTGAGCCGAGGGATAAGTGAGCATTGCCACCGGCCCCCTCCCTGCCCACCCTGACCCCAGCCCTGGGCGCACCACGTAGCGGCCCCCCAGCGCGTCGGACCGCTGCTGGGACACCGGGATACAGAAATGCATCTTCATGGCTGAGCGGTGTCTTGGGAGTAGCGCTGGGAACCCGACCTGCGGCGGCGGGCGGTGCGCGGCTCTGAACTCGGCAGCGGTGGACGCAGCGCGGCCTGCCACGCGACTCAGAGCGAACCCCGGCGCCCGCTCTCGCCGGCCGGGGACATCTACAGGTGGGGCCGGGGCCGGGCCGCGCCGCCTCCCAGTCCCCGCCCCATCCAGCCCCGCCGCTCTGGTCCCGGGATAGGTGGCGCCTGGGGCTGGGGCGCATCCACGGCCACCCCCACCCCGGACATCGGCCACTGTTGGCATTTTCTCCAAGAAGGCCCGTGAGGGGCTTGAAAACAGTTTGTGTCCCATTACCTGCCAACGCTGCCTGCAGTGCACTAATTAAGATTTCTGTAATTACATAGATCTAGTAACTGCCTTATGATTAGCAGAGTTATGTTTGGTCAGTTTTTTTGTACTGACATTTGTTAAATGTAACACAAGACATGCAGCAATATATGCAACCTTGCTTTCGTATTATTCTTTCAATCTTGTTTTTTCCCCTTAAAATACCAGAAGCCCCCCCCAAATGGAAATGGCTTGGGTTTCTCTTGATCCCTGAGAAGCCCTCATTTTTAGACAGGTGCATTCACATAAACACTTGGTTCTCTGGACTACCCAGTGCAAGTTCTTTCAACAGTCTCTCATTTTTAGTTGCTGTGGAAAATAATCTTCCTAATTCTCTATTTTAGTTAAATGAAACTAGAATTCCTCCCACCTTGCCGTGATCACAGAGCACAGAGATGCTGCAGCTCTCACCAGCCTGTTCTGTAGCAAGCCTGGGCTGGCTCCGTTCTTCCCTCTCTCCTTTAATCTACCCGTAACTCTTCCAGGTAAACAGAGGACATCCTACCACGGACAAAACAGGCCCAGGGGGTGGAGGAACTTGTCCAAGCTCACAGGGCATTTTTTTCATGGGTCTGAGTCGTTTACTGCAGGATTTCATCAGGATCATTGAAAGTCCTTTCAAATGCCAGTCATCCCTGGGGTAAGAGCTGCATGCCTGAAACGGGAATCCGAGACTAAGGAAGGAGAAGCGACGCCTGCCAAACACCGGTGCCTCCTGCGTGCTTGCTGGGTGCCAGGACCTGACATATGCTATGCCATTTAATTTTCACAAACACCTGTGGGCTAGGAGCCATTGACAGTTCTGGTCTTATAGAAAAGGAAATTGAGGCTAGGGCCATTAAGTGAGGGAAGCAGTATCATATAGTAGTTAAGAGAATGGCAACAGGAATTCATGTCCCAGCTTAGTGGCTTCTAGTTGAGAGGCCTTGGGCAAATTAGTGTTTTTTGTGTTTTTTTGTTTTTTTTTTTTTTGTTTTGAGACAGAGTTTTGCTCTGGTTGCCCAGGCTGGAGTGCAATGGTGCGATCTCAGCTCACCACAACCTCTGCCTCCCGGGTTCAAGTGATTTTCCTGCCTCAGCCTCCTGAGTAGCTGGGATTACAGGCATACGCCACCACACCCGGCTAATTTTGTATTTTTAGTAGAGACAGGGTTTCTCCATGTTGGTCAGGCTGGTCTCAAACTCTTGACCTCAGGTGATCTGTCCACCTCGGCCTCCCAAAGTGCTGAGATTACAAGTGTGAAATTAGTGCACTCTTTAAGCTGCAGTTCCTTCTTATGAAATCATGTTAATAACTCTACTTACTTCAAGGGAATTTTCAGTCCAGGATAGATGGGCCTTAGGGTATTTCCCCTGCCCATAGGCCATCTCTGATCTGGAAGGCCTCCCTATACCAAGGCCAGGGGTATTCCTGAGTGCCTCTTGGGACAAAGCCTGATCACGGCAGCTCTGGAATCTGGTCTGATCTTCAGGGCAAAGCAGAGCATTTTGGTCAGACCCAGAAGTGGCCCCAGCTTTCCTGGAACTTTCCTGCTCCAGTGAATGGCCTGGACCCTGGTTTCACCCCATGGCATGTCCAAACAGGGCCATTTCCTTCCTTTCACTAAGTGCCCCCCTGGAGTTGAACTGGAACAGGACAGGCCTCTGTGCAAGTCACCGTCCTCTTGCATCCCTGACCTCTGCTGTAGCCAGTCAGCTCTTATTCAGTCATTCAGTCAGTGAACATTATTGAGCTCCTTCTGTGTACTCCACACTGTGCAAGACAATCTTCAAACATGACCAAGAGAGAAGTATAATAATGGTAGCAGCGATTGGAGGCGCTGCTCTGAACACTTTACATGAATGAAGTCATTTAATTCTCACAATTGCCTGAAGTAGGTACTGATATTATTCTCATTTCACAGATGGGGAAACTGAAGCATAGGGCAATGAAGAAACTTGCTCTGAATTGCAGAATTTGTGAATAGTAGATGGGGGATGTGAAGTAAGTGATCTGCCTCTAGAGCCTGTGCTCTGTGAAGCTGCTTTTCAGGGGTGCCTGGGGAAATCTGTACCACGACTTGACAAGCGCACCCTTTACAAGTTTTTAATTCTTTTTTTTTTTGAAACAGTGTCTTGCTCAGTCACCCAGGCCGGAGTGCAGTGGTGTGAGCTCGGCTCACTGCAAGCTCCACCTCCCGGGTTCATGCCATTCTCCTGCCTCGGCCTCCCGAGTAGCTGGGATTACAGGCACACGCCACAATGCCCGGCTAATTTTTTGTATTTTTAGTAGAGACGGGGTTTCACCGTGTTAGCCAGGATGGTCTCGATCTCCTGACCTCATGATCTACCCGCCTCGGCCTCCCAAAGTCGTGGGATTACAGGTGTGAGCCACCGCGCCCGGCCCACAGGTTTTTAATTCTTGATGGAGTTTTAAATAAACATTTATGATGCTCAATTTCTGAATCAATCCTATATTGTTTCCAAGGGGTATTTTAATTTACTCTGTGCCTGGTGCATGGTCAGCACTCAATAAAAGCTTAACATTTCTTCATTCAGGGAGTATTCATTGAGTGCTTCTTATGAGCCAGGCGCTGCAGTGAGGCTGTTAGACATGGCAGCCTCAGTCCCCTAACCTTATGGAGCCTAAGCTTATTTACAGATTTTAAAAAGAGGCCATTTCTGTAATATGGCCCATAGTATTACAGAACAAATGCACTATTTCCTACTTTGAAAGCCTTAGGCATTATTTGCATGTTGCCTCTCATCTACTTGGTGTGTAATCTTTTTGGCTCTTTGATATCTGGTACCCACACTCTTTTGGAGGTATGGATAATGAGGTATGGCTCTGTCTTGTTCTGGAACTTTCCACGTCTCCTGAGTCCTTCACACCCTTGGGCCTCTGGGATGGGGAGGGCAGTAGGGTCCACGAGGGAGCCAGTGAGATGGATCATAATGTCTGGTGCTCTACACCAGAGGGGCCCAGCCAATGTGCATTATGGGTTCCTTTGCTGCATCTTTTCTTATAGCCCAGGTGTTGCGCACATCACCCCAACAGTCAAGGCTGTGGCCATATGAAAAAAAGGGTCTTGAGCAAACATGGAAGAGATTCCTGGTTGGTGGACACCTATTTTGAGCAAACACAGAAAGGGATAGGAGCTGGAAGGTTGGGCATGCAGAGTTAAGTCTTCGCATCCTGTGTATTTTTCTTCATCTGCCTGTGTCCTCCTCACTCTCTTGAGGTTCAGACGAGTGAGTCAGAAAGGTAAGGCTGGATGGCTTGGGATGTGTATCTTTCTCTGTCTTTACTTGTATTGGTCTGTGTTGGGTGCTCTAGGGTCTTTGGAATTTGAGGAAATATATAAAATTATACGATACATAGGAGAACTACAAAATCACACCAGTGGTTCTAAAATGTCCATGGTTCCTGGAGGATTTTCTGGTCCAGAACACCTACTCAGAGACTGACTGTAGTTGGTTGAATAGTGTCCTGATTTGGAAATAGGGTCTTGGCAGACATCATAAGGTAAGGCTCAAGATGAGATCCTACTGGATTAGGGCAGCTCCACATCCAATTAGCGTATCCTTATAAGGCACAGAAAAGGAAATACAGAGACACAGAGGAGAAGGCCACATGAAGACGAGGCAGAGCTGGAGTTGTGCTTCCAGAAGCCAAGAAGCGCCTCAGGCCACCAGAAGCTCAGGAGAACAAGGAAGGAGTCAGCCCTAGAGCTTTCAGAGAGAGCACGGCTCTGCCGACACTTTGATTTCAGACTTCCAGCCTCCAGAACTATGAGAGAATTCATTTCTGTGGTCGTAAGCCACCCAGTTTGAGGCACTTTGTTATGGAAGCCATAAGGAAAACCTACACTGATGCTGTGGCCACAGTCAGCCTCATACCAGAGAGCAGAGGGCTGAGCCCCTGGCCGTGTGCGCATCTGTGGAGAATGGAACAGAGGAAGAGCAGCTCAGAGGAAAGGAGACAGTGTCCTGCAATCTGAGGGACAGTGTCCTGAATGTAGTAACAAGACTGGCTAACCCTATGCAGCACTCACTCTTGGCCAGACATAACTCTGTGTAACATGCACAAACTCATTTAATGCTTGCAACAACCATCTGAACTTGGTGGGTTTTGTTTTTGTTTTTGTTTTTGAGACAGGGTCTTGCTCTGTTGCCCAGGTTGGAGTGGAGTGACATGATCATGGCTCACTGCAGCCTTGACCTCCCCAGGCTCAGGTGATCCTCCCACCTCAGTCTCCCAAGTAGCTGGGACTACAGGGGTGCACCATCACACCCGGCTAATTTTTTAATTTTTTTGGTAGAGATGGTGTTTTGCCCATGTTGCCCAGGCCAGTCTCTAATCCCTTGGTCTCAAGTGCTCCTCCCACCTCAGCCTCCCAAAGTGCTGGGATTACAGGCGTGAGCCACTGCCCTGGTCTTTGGTGTGATTGTTATCCCTATTTTATAGGAGACGAAACTGAGGTGGAGGGAAATCAATAACTCACCCGAAGTCACACAGTTTGTAAGAGAAGAGTCAGGATTCAAATCCAGGCTGCCTGGAAAGTCTCCAAAGCCCTTGCTCCTAATCACTTCTCCAAACAAAAATAACGTTTCAGTCTGTACTTACTCATTTGAGGAACTCTGGAAAATCAAGAGTCCCCAGATTTGAGGGATGACATCAGGAAAACACCACTCTATGGAAATGAAACTGCTGGGAATCGAGCCATGGCAGAAGTGACCCCCACCCCAGGGGACCTGGGAATGGGCTGCTGAGAAGCACACGTCCCTTTCAGGGCCTCTGTGAAGGCATCACATTCAATGTGGGAATTGAAAGATGAAGATGGAAAAAGTAAAGATGGGGCCGGGTGCAGTGGCTCTCACCTGTAATCCCAGCACTTTGGGAGGCTGAGGCATGCGGATCACTTGAGGTCAGGAGTTCGAGACCAGCCTGGCCAACATGGTGAGATACTGTCTCTGCTAAAACTACAAAAATTAGCCAGATGTGGTAGTACACACCTGTAATCCCAGCTGCTAGGGAGGCTGAGGCAGGAGAATTGCCTGAACCCAGGAGGCAGAGGTTGCAGTAAACTGAGATTGTGCCATTGCACTTCAGCCTGGGTGACAGAGTGAGAATCCGTCTCAAAAAACAAAACAAAACAAAACTGAAGACAGAAGGTGGGGCCAGTTACAACAACCTTACTGCCTAGGAAGAGGAGGCAGACAATATTCAAAAACTGCTAAATACCAGCACCTTGGGGAAGGGGCACGGTGACGTCCGGTCTGCCACAACAGCACACAGGAGGGACATTGACCCAGCAGGCATGAAGGGAGGAGCAGGGAGGGAAAGGCTTTCTGGAGAAGGTGATGTTTGAGAGAGATTCTTCAGGAAGAGTTAACTGGTAAGAGCATTTTAGGAAGGCAACACAGCAAAGGCCTGGGATAAAATTAAAAGAAACAAAAAGCCAGGTGATATGGTTTGGCTGTATCCCCACCCAAATCTCATCTTGAATTGTAGCTCCCATAATTCTCACATGTTGTGGGAGAGACCCTGTGGGAGATCACTGAATCATGGGGGCAGTTTCCCCCATACTGTTCTCGTGGTGGTGAATACGTCTCACAAGATCAGATGGTTTTATAAGAGGAAACCCCTTTTGCTTGGCTCATTCTCTCTTGTCTGCCACCATGTAAGAAGTGCCTTTCAGCTTCTGCATTCTGCCATGATTGTGAGGCCTCCCCAACCATGTGGAACTGTAAATCCATTAAACCTCTTTTTCTTTATAAATTACCTAGTCTCGAGTATGTCTTTATCAGCAGGAGTTTGTTGTTATGGAGAAGTATAGGTGAGGCCTAAGAAGTGGACAGTGAGGCTGGGGAGGGAGGCAGCCTGATCTTTTGAAGGTTGCAGCTGCTGGGCCAAGAAGCTTGGAGTTTGCCCTGTAGATGAAGAAGAGCTACCTATGGGAGAAGGTGTGGACAGCATGTGTTCTAGATGGAGATCACTGTGGCCAGTGTGCAGGGAATGAGGGGGGCTGTCACATAACTAGAGGCAGTCAGACCAGCAAGGAAGTTTTTTGAGAGAAAAGATGGTAGAACATGAGTCTTGTAAAGTGCTCCTCAAAAACTGGGTGGGAGGCCTGGGTGGCATCATCTGTGATAATCTCTCTTGGATGTTCACAAAGTGCTTTAGTGTATGGAGGGCTCTGAGATATCTGCAGCAAGGAAACCTGGGACTCTGTTTTACATTGTACCTGTTCACATTGCAGAGGCTAATGTCCCAGGAATGGCTGTCAACAGAAGACAGAGGCCTAGGCAAGGGCAGTGTCAAAAAGGATGGATTTAAAAATATTTAAGAAGCATGCTTGGTCTCTCAAGTCACCTGCTTGTCCCTCTTCCAAGTGTACTTTCCTTCCTTTTTTTCTTTCCTTACTGTTCTAAAGATTTTAAAGAAACTTCCACTCCTGCTCTGAAAAATAAATAAATAAAAACAGCCAGACATGGTGACTTACACCTGTAATTCCAGCACTTTGGGAGGCCAAGGCAGGCAGATCACCTGAGGTCAGGAGTTCAAGACCAGCCTAGTCCAACATGGTGAAACCCTGTCTCTACTAAAAATACAAAAATTAGCCAGGCGTGGTTGTGGGTGCCTGTAATCCCAGCTACTCGGGAGGCCAAGGCGGGAGAATCTCTTGAACCTGGGAGGCGGAGGTTGCAGTGAGCCGAGATAACGCCACTGCACTCCAGCCTGGGCAACAGAGTGAGACTCTGTCTCAAAAAAAAAAAAAAAAAAAAAAAAAACCTTTAAGAGCAAAGCACAAACTGTATAATTAGCTAGAAATGGCTCCTGTCCTCAAAAAACCAAAAGATAACCATTTAGGCTTTAACGATTTGTTGACCCTAAACCACTTTGGGATCCTTTCACAATGTGTTGCAAAGTTTGGCTACTTGTACTTGATCCACATTCTGGAGGTTTTCATTTCCTTTCTCTTAGATCCTCTCTTCATGTGTAATGGTTGCTGCCGACAATGATTCCCAGATGTGACCCTGCTCTGTCCCAGTCTGGCAGCGAGAAGTATGGAAAAACTGAACCAGGCATTGAATTCTGAAGAAATACAGGTGCAAGAGCAAGCATTCGACAGTCATCACCATGCTAATGAAGCTTACACAGAAAGATGGCGTGCCATTGGATATTGTACCTTACAGTAAATTAATATTTTGTTAAAATGTAATTTTAAAAAATGAGGAGGGAAAGTGACACAAGACTTGAATTAATCAGGCATGGGAAGTAAAGAAAAGAAGGGAGGCTGGGCATGGTGGCTCACACCTGTAATCCCAGCACTTTGGGAGGCCGAGGCAGGCGGATCACCTGAGGTCGGGAGTTCAAGACCAGCCTGACCAACATGGAGAAACCCTGTCTCTACTAAAAATACAAAATTAGCCAGGTATGGTGGTGCATGCCTGTAATCCCAGCTACTCAGGAGGCTGAGGCAGGAGAATTGCTTGAACCTGGAAGGCAGAGGTTGCGGTGAGCCAAGATCGCGCCATTGTGCTCCAGCCTGGGCAACAAGAGCAAAACTCCAACTCAAAAAAAAAAAAAGAAAAAAGAAAAAAAGAAAGAAAGAAAAGGGAGGGAAGGGAGCCCCGAGGCTGCCTCTGGGTTTGGGTGGAACAGGCTTGCTGGCCAAGGAGACCTCATTTGGGGAGGCAGCAGGTATACCTGTGGAGTCCAGACTGTGCTTGGATGTGTGGGAAGGAGGTCCAGCTGGAGGGCTTGGGAGCCAGTCTGAAGTGGAGGGACAAGATGGGGATTGGGAATACAGGTGAAGATCAGGGTCACGGGAGATGGTGCAGTCACCTGGTGAAGGTCCAGAGGTGAAGAATGAAGTGGACTACTTGGGAGGCTGAGGCAGGAGAATCCCTTGAACCTGGGAGGCAGAGGTTGCAGTAAGCCAAGATCGCCCCACTGCATTCCAGCCTGGGTGACAAAGGTAGACTCCATCTCAAAAGAAAACAAAAAAACAAAAAATAACAACAACAACAACAACAACAACAAACAACTAAAAAAATTGGTCACCACCTGTGATTTGTTACCACTGTGAAAAATCACAGATCCTTGGCATTTTGTTTAGACCTCGGCAGGTCAGTTCAGCCCAGCCTGGACTGACCATGGGAATCATCTGGGAAGCTTTAAAAAAATGCTGATGTCCGGGTCCCACCTTCAGGGATCCTGATTTAATTGTTTTTTGGAGGATAGCCTGGGCATCGGGATGCTAATGCTCCCGAAGTGTGAAAACTACTGGCGAGTGAGTAAAACCCACTGTGGTCAGAGCCCCTCACAGCTCTGAAGATTCTAAAGGCTGCAATTTTGGCTCAGCTTGCTGTCTAGGAGATGGAGGCTACTGTTGGAAAAATGCCTCCCTGGGAAGCTACGTTAGAATCTCATCCAAGCAGCTTGCAGGGGCAAAACTGCAGTGAAACATTGCCTGAGATTTTATTCAAAGTCTTTTTCATTCATGTGCAGAATGAAAGTTCATTTCTTGTGCTGCTAGAAACCTACTGAGCGACAGTGAGTGGATGCTCAAATGCTGCTGCAGAGGCATTAGCCAGTATTTAAGAGCATAGTTTACATGTAGTGGGTACTTCCCATGTGTCAGACACTACTCAGGGCACTTTACAATATTACTTCACTTGATCCACACAACAACCCTATGAAATAGGTACTACTGTTTGCACTTTACTGATAAGGAAACTGAGATCAGAGAGGTTAAGCATCTTGCCCAAAGTTGCACAGCTGGTAAGTCCCACAGCCAGGATTTGAAACTCGAGTGCCCAGGCTCTGCAGTGATCTGTGGGACACTAGGACCACAGTGGGGCATGGCCAGTGTGGACTTTGTGTAAGCACACACGAGATGCTTCCGGGATCACCATACTTTCAAGAGGTTCTTTGCGATGAGTCGAGGTCTTGGTTAGGGGTGAACCAATGACTGCTGTTTGATCACTCCTGGTGGGACCTACTCTGTGCCCACTGGCTGCTAGGCTTGGCGGAATTCAAATTTGAATACAGTTGTTTCCAACTGCATTGTACAGGTGGAAAATATGTTGATTTAAGAAGAACTTAGATTCATGTGGGATTCACACATGGATTACAAAGCAGGATCAAGAATTAAGTAAGGGACATAAGAAGGTGTGGGGGCTGGCCGGGCACAGGGGCTCATGCCTGTAATACCAGCACTTTGGGAGGCCGAGGTGGGTGAATCACCTGAGGTCAGGAGTTTAAGACCAGACTGGCCAACATGGTGAAACCCCATCTCTACTAAAAATATAAAAATTAGCCGGGCCTGGTGGTGGGCACCTGTAATCCTAGCTACTCGGGAGGCTGACGCAGGAGACTTGCTTGAACCCAGGAGGCGGAGGTTGCAGGAGCTGAGATCACACCACTGCCCTCCAGCCTCTCCAGCCTGGGCGACAGAGCAAAACTCCATCACAAAAAAAAAAAAAAAAAAAAAAAAGCGTGGGGGGACATCACACTGTTCTTTTCATTCAGGGTCAAGGAGCACAGCAAGACATTTCTGAGGCTGTCCCATGTACGGGTCTCAGAGACAGATATCTAAGATATTTGGTTTGAGGCATTTTAATTATTTTTGCTTGCTTACAGATGGCTATCTTTATTGGTTACAAGTAACGAGAATGTTTCCTGCTTTTCTGAACAAAGGTAGCAACTCCATAGACATCAGAACTATTTTTAAGTGTTTTTTTTGTAAAAGCAATATCCATCCATTGTATAAAATTTAGAAAACACAGATAAACCAAAAGAAGAGAGTAAAAAGTTTCCTCAACCCCAAGACAAAGAGTAATTACTGTTTGTGTTTTGGTTTGGATCTTTTGGCAAACATTTGGTACAATTTTAGTTTATATCTTTCCAGTCTTTTCAACTCTGGCTTTATAAGTTACCCCCAACCACAAAATGAGGTCTTTCAAGACATACAGTTTTAGAGCTTTTGTTTTTTTTTCACTTAATCCTTTTCCTTTTTCTCCTTATTCTGCTTTCATAGGTAAAATGAGACAAACTCTTTGATCTACTGACACCTCTACTGTATCATTTCTCTATATAATGAAAAAGATAATAATAGAAGGATTAACAATAGATAGAAAAATGACTTAGGAACTACAGGAGAAAAAAGAATGAAAATATGATTAAGATCACTCTTTGGCTGAAAGTAAATTATGCCAGTGAAATGATTTTGCTCAAATTATATATCAGTTATTATGATTATTAGTTACCTTTCTCTGAGCACTTACCATCTTCCAGAGAACCATTTTACGTAAACTACTTTGTTCAATCTTCACACCTACCCACAGATTAGCTAATGGTATTAGCAGTAGTAATAATAGTAGAATGCTGATTTTCAGATTAAAAAACTAAAGCAGAAAGAGGTGAGCTTGTCCCAGTCACATTGTTTAAAAGTGGCAGGGCCAGAAATTGAATCCAGGCTCTCTAAGCCTAAACTCTTTGCAGCAATTTTTATTATTTATTTTAAATTTACTTCATTTGAGTTATCAGCCACTAATGTATGCTGTTTCCTGTAAAGACAATGTTTTACCCATGCCCGCAGGCTCTTCAGAGTGATACTAAATGATTGTGTTTTACACAAGAGATCAAACCAGGTCCTGCAATGTCACTCAGCACGGGGCTCTAACTCAAGTGGCAGGCGTCCCTGACCTGACAGAAGAAGGTTCTGTAGGGGTCAAACTTGATGCCCAGAAAGTTCCTATATTCAGCCTTCCCCACTAACACTGGCCTGGCCTCTCCCAGCAGCCTGGCCTGGGCCTGTCAAACTCCAGTGTACTTGCTCTGAATCCCTCCTCTCCACAGACCCCAACGATTAGCCATAAAATGAGCTCACAAAGGCATTTACACTAGAATCATAAATCTGAATAATATTTGTAAAAGGGCTGCTTTGAGAGGTTCTACTCAGTATCGGGTTCTGCTGGCAGACCAAGCCCTGGCAATCACACATTCGTGCTAATGCAGCATGGATCATCCCTTTATATTTTCCTCATGCCATACAGTTTTTAGGAGCATTCTGATGAACATTCAATCTTCACAACAATCCTACCTGCCAGAAAAGCAGGTCGATATTTTTTTTTTTTTTTTGAGACAGGGTCTCTCTCTGTCGCCCAGGCTGGAGTGCAGTGGCGTGATCTCGGCTCACTGCAACCTCCGCCTCCCAGGTTCAAGCGATTCTCCTGCCTCAGCCTCCCGAGTAGCTGGAATTACCGGCATGTGCCACCATGCCCAGCTAATTTTTGTATTTTTAGTAGAGACGAGGTTTCACCATGTTGGCCAGGCTGGTCTCAAACTCCTGACCTCAGGTGATCTGCCCGCCTCGGCCTCCCAAAGTGCTGGGATTACAGGCGTGAGCCACTGCGCCCGGCAAAAGCAGGTAGATATTATAAGTTCCATATTACTGATGAAAAACACTAAGGCCCAGAGAGGTTCAGAGGATTAGAAAGTTATAGAATCATAAATTCTCATAAATGCAAGAAGATCAAAAAAGTCCATCAAAACCAGGAATAACAAGACTGGAACTGAGTGTTGGCTCTGATTCAGGTAGCGAACACCTGAGGCCCTGTGTTAAAAAGAATGAGGTTAGTGGGAAATAATGATAGCTAATATATATATATTTTAATCTAGATAGGGTCTCACTCTGTCACCCAGGAAGGATTATGGTTCACTGCAGCCTCGACCGCCTGGGCTCAAGTCATCCTCTCACCTCGGCCTCCCAAGGAGCTGGGACTATAACATGCACCACCACACACGGCCAGTTTTTTTTTTTATTTTGTAGAAACTAGGTCTAACTATTTTGTTCAGGCTAGTCTCAAACTCCTGGGCTCTAGCAATCCTCCTGCCTCAGCCTCCCAAAGTGCTGGGATTACAGGTGTGAGCCACTGCATCCAGCCACTGTTTTTTTTTGAGACAGAATCTTGCTCTGTTGCCCAGGCTGGAGTGCAGTGGCATGATCTTGGCTCACTGCAACCTCTGCCTTCCAGGCTCAAACAATTCTCGTGCCTCAGCCTCCGGAGTAGCTGGGATTACAGACATGCACCTCCACGTCCAGCTAATTTTTGTATTTTTAGTAGAGACAGGGTTTCGCCATGTTGGCCAGGCTGGTCTTGAACTCCTGGCCTCAAGTGATCCACCTGCCTTGGCCTCCCAGAGTGCTAGGATTACAGGCATGAACCACCGTGCTCAGCCGTATTAAATCATTTAACCTCATGACATGTAGTAGGTACTCTTCTGCTCCTCCCTTTATTGATGAGCTCACTGAAAAACTCCATGATTGAGAAAACTGCCCAAGGTTATGCAGCTGTTAAATGACAGAGCCAGGATATGAACCCAGACAGTGTGATTCTAAAGCCGGTATTCTCAACTGTCATGTTAAACTGCTATGATCACTCAGCAATGCCTGTCAGGGGCAGGAGTAGGGAGAGATGGCACTTGTACCATGTATTTGCAGCACCCAAGCTCTTAATAACTGCAATGCTGGGTCGGGCATGGTGGCTCACGCCTGTAATCCCAGCACTTTGGGAGGCCAAGGTGGGCGGTTCACCTGAGGTCAGGGGTTTGAGATCAGCCTGGCCAACGTGGTGAAAACCCGTCTCTACTAAAATACAAAAATTAGCCAGGCGTTGTGGCAGGCGCCTATAATCCCAGCTACCTGGGAGGCTGAGGCAGGAGAATACCTTGAACCCAGGAGGCAGAGGTTGCAGTGAGCCAAGATCGCGCCACTGCACTCCAGCCTAGGCCACAGAGCAAGACTCCGTCTCAAAAAAATAAAATAAAAATAAATAACTGCCATCCTTTCTCATCTAAACTGTCCTACCAGATGTTTAAGTCCCCTCTACAATATCAATTTCAGCTGTTGCTTGAATGGAGAGCATTTTGAGGTAGGAATTTGCTCAGTGCTAGAAATATTTGTTCCCAAAAATAGAGTATCATAACACACTTGGCCTAATTTAAAAATACATATTTTTGACTTTTGAAAATAAATCAGTGCTCTACTATTAAAAAAACAAGAAGAAAATCGTGCTCCTTGCAACAACATGGATGTAGCTGGAAGCCGTTATCCTAAGCAAATTAATGCAGGAACAGAAAACAAACTACCACATGTTCTCACTTGTAGATGGGAGGTAAACATCAGGTCCACACAGACACAAAGCTGGGAACAACAAACACTGGAGGCTCCAAAAGGAGCGGGGGTTGGAAACCTACCTTTCGCGCAGCGCGTTTGCTACTTGAACGACGGGACCATCAGAAGCCCAGACCTCAGCACCATGCAATATACTCCGTCTAACAGAGCTGCGCAGATACCCCCCCCAATCCAAAATTAAAATGAAAAGATAAATAAATGAAAATTAGGAATGTTTGATTCCCACTGAGCAGTATCTTTGTATTTGAGAGTTAAAAGACAGAAATAGCTCTTTTCTCGACAGTACAACTGGAAATAACCCAACCAAGCCTTTTTTGAATGCACAGGGCTTTTGAGGAATGCTTTTTCAGAGTTGTTTTGTTTCTGCTTTTGGTGCTTTTTGGCTCCTCTTCCTCAGTTGCGAGGATACCATGTGAATTAAGACGGCGATGTCCCCCAGCTCTGAAGCAGTCACAGTGGAGCCCTCTGGAAACCCTATCGGAGTAAAAGGTCCTATAAAGAAGATTTTGTTTCTTCAACAGAAATGAGAACCGTAGCTCCATGGCCGGAGAATAAAGGAAAGGCGTTTTCAGCCATGCCAGTGTGCACTGTAAATAAGAATGTGGCTGGGTACGTCCTGCCTGCTGAGCTTGTCTTACTATTCAACTATCGGACTTTGATTTTGGTTAAGTAAACATGAACTTGGGGACAACCAGCTTTTCTGCATCTCTAGTCAGGGAGTTGTAGGCGCAAGGTTGAGCTGGTGGCTCTGGCAGTGAGCTGGCCAAGCGAGGTGGCCTGGTTTTCAGCCAAGAAAGGAGAGAATGAATATATAGTGGATACCTATGGCGGATCTGGCACTGTGGATGGGCTGTGGGTCCCACAGTAGATGTCTCTGTGCTCACACAGTCTTACAGGGAAGCCAGACATTCAGGAAGAAAGAACACAAGTGGATTCGATTCCAAGCGTGATCCACTCTAGGAAGGGCAAGCACAGAGAAAAAGGTTGCCTCTTGAAAGGGAGACAATGGAGTGAGGCCTGAGTCTGCTGTTTCCACATAAATCTTATGGAACTAGTTGATTCTTTAACCTGTATACAACTACAGTCTTGATAAAAAATTTTAAAATGAAAAATAAAATCAAGTGAGGGGTGGGACTAGATAACCTCTGTGCTTTATCAGAATTTCTAAGATAATCTTAGATCTGAAATTCTAAGATACTGCCTGTTGTGCTAATGCTTTGGGAAGAACTGGTTAACAGCTAAACACCCTGAAAATACTGGAGTTTACCTCCCCTCTCCCCACCTTTTTTTTTTTTTTTGAGACACAGTCTCACTTTGTCACCCAGGCTGGAGTATAGTGGCACGATCTCGGCTCACTGCAACCTCTGACTCCCGGGTTCAAGTGATTCTCCTGCCTCAGCCTCCTGTGTTGCTGGGATTAGAGATGCGCACCACGACGCCCAGCTAATTTTTGTATTTTTAGTAGAGACGGGGTTTCACTATGTTGGCCAAGCTGGTCTTGAACTCCTGACCTCAAGTGATCCACCCTCTTCAGCCTCACCGAAGTGCTGGGATTACAGGCGAGAGCCACCACACACGCCCCACCCACTTTCCTTTTCTTGAAATGTGGTAAGGAGGAAAGGGGAAGTCATAGGAGAAACAATGTTTGGGCCCTGACTTACACCCAGGTGCTGAGCTAAGCACATTTGTCTTCGATCATCTCAGTTAGCTGTCATGGTTATTATTGTCCCAAGTTTAAAGATCAGGAGAGTCTGAAGTAATTTACCTAAAGAAACACAGCTGATGAGAGTCCCAGCCTGAATTTGAACCACAGCTCCAGTTGTTTCTTGTGTTGACATTTGATTAAACCCAAGGGCAACACATTACCTCCCCACCCTGAGCCGGACCCCTTGAAGGCAATTTTGCAGGAGTTGATCCTGCTTTGCAGTGTGGCTTTATGATGTAATCTGATCTAATTCTATCTAATTTGATGTGAGGAGAAAACTTAGAATACCTATAGGAGTGAGATGTGGGCTTATAACTCTTTAGACACTAGTCCTAGAAACTCATTAGAAATATCCTAATTTTTTTTGTAAAGATGGGGTTTTGCCATGTTGCCCAGGCTGGTCTCGAACTCTTGGACTCAAGCGATCTGCCCACCTCAGCCTCCCAAAGTGCTGGGATTACAGGCGTGAGCCACCGTGCCTGGCTGAGACATCCTGAATAAAAAGGGGAAATGTACTTAGTGTACAGGGGTTCTTTTAAGAACTGTAGGACAGGATATATATAGTTGGGTCTTGAGAAGGGATGGATCTTGAAACTGGAAAGTTTCTGAAACTCTCTATATCTCTTTTCTCTGCACATCTGCTAATCCGTTTTCCCTTCTTCCCAAAATAACCTGGCAGAGTATAGTCACTGTGTAACTCTTGCCCTTCTCCATCCTCGTTTTCATGTTACCTGTAACAGTTCCAGCCTTAGAGAGTGATTCAGTCTGCTAGTAACCTGGTTTGAAGTTCCTGGGAAAGAGAATTTGATTTGTCCATGCCTGGTCTAATCAGCAGAGAATGTGGCCATCCTACATGAATATGCATGTGTGTGTGTGTGTGTGTGTGTGGTGTATATGTGTGTGTGTGGTGTGTGTGTGTAGCAGTTCCATGAGAAAAAGAAAAGGTAGGGCCATGTGCTCACAGGCTTTACTAAGTCTGACCTGCTAGGACATAGCACCCTGGAGTTCACTTCCCCTTTCTATTCCTACTTTACAGGACTAAAAAATAAATTTGTGATAATAACAAAATATCATTAAAGAAGCAAAACAAAAACGTTTAAATTATATGTACAGTGGCCTTTTGAAATACGTATTAGTCTAATTTTTGGTTGTATATGTCAGAAACTAAACTCAATGTAACTCAAGCAAAAAGAAAATTGACATTCATGCAAACTGGGAAATACAGATGTGATCTGACATCATGCATACATGAATCTGGGATCTCAAATAATATCTTCGGGGCTTTGCCTCTCTCTTATCACTTCTCATTTCTGCCTTCCTCTCCACGTTGGTCTCAATTGCTTCTTCTATAGATGGCTGTTTCCATGAGGCTGGGAAAGATGACTACAAGTAGTTCCGGTTTGCCAGCAGTTACAGCCACTCATTCCGGGAACAGTGCTTCTTCGTGTGTGGAAGGGGAGGTCAGTAGCACCCCCTGAAGAGCATTTTGGGAATTTGTGGGGATGGTTTTTGTCGTCACAATGATGGTGGAAAGCTACTGCTTAAATTTTATGCTAGACTTGCTGTGAAGCATGGAATAGTCCTACACAAAGAATTATCCTGTGTCTCACACAAATTTATAATGTCCAACTGGACATCTATGTGGGTGGAAAGCCTATTTGTAATTAATTGAGCCTAAACTTAACGCTATTTTATATATAAAGTATTTATTGCACAGTTTTAATATACATTGAGTTGTCCATACATACTACCTTGTGTAAAACAAAGGAAAGTTTTCTTTTGTTTGAAATTTTGCCAAGGGCTGTTCATGATTTCACTGTTTCAGAAACCACATCGCCGATGGCAATGCCACTTCCGGTGTTGGAGGTATCACACAGCACACCTGCATATGGCTTCATCTGTGGCTGTCACACTCACGGTAATTCTACATGTTTGAGCAAGCATCCGACTCCCTCATTGTGTCTTCTAGTGTGGGCATAACCATGCATTTACTTATTGATGCATTATTATTTTATTATATGCTATTTTAGAAATGATTTTATTTTATTATACGCTATTTTAATTTCTCTTTTCTACTACAGTTAGGGCATCATATTGATTTTTTTTTTTTTTTTTTTTTTGGTATAGACAGTGTCTTTTTTCTGTTGCCCAGGCTGGTCTTGAACTCCTGGCTTCAAGCCATCCTCCCACCCCCAAAGTGCTGGCATTACATGTGTGAGCCACTGCACCCTGCCTGAGGTTTTAAATAACATGTACATTATCTATTACCTTTCAGTATATTAAAAGGATAATAAAGTATTTGTTTATAAGAAGAAAGTGTTAGATTTTAGAACCACTGTCTTAGAGGAAGAGGGCTGTGTACTCCCTCCTAATGAGCATCACCTTGCCAACTTGCAAGATTGACCCAGATGGTCTAGCGTGGGTCATAGTCCACCCCTGAACCCAAGGGGTGACCAAGAAAGGAAGTGCTCCTGGCTAGCTTGGTTAGTGGGGCACCCTTGGGAAAGGGGTAAGAAGGGAGGCAGAACAGGCAGGACCCCAAGATACATAGCTTCTCAGGGCGGCATGGAGTGGGGAGGGGCTCCACAAAGGGAAAATGGGGTGCTGTTACTACATGAAGGCAGAAGGGAAGCTGGACAGGCTAAAGCGACAATTATGGACAAAAAAATTTAAAAAAAAATATTCATGACTTAGAAACCTAAGAAACGGAAAAGTGTTGACGAAACATTCCCTGCTATAGCCTGCAGGGCTTACAGAACAAGTCCACTACAAATCCAATTGCTAAGGATGGAGAGAAACAGAAAATGATCATTGAAATGCAGAAAACTGCAAGAGAAAAAGCCAGGATCCCCTCTAAACAACATCGATGATGCAACATAACAAAGCTTCCTGCCTAAGATTGGCAGGAATTCCAGCTATGCTGTGCACAGCGGGAGATGGCCACGCCAGAGAGCTGGGCTTGGCAGCCAAGCTCCTCGGCTGAATGTTGAATCAGTCCCCAGGACTCCGCTAGTGGAGCACTAATTTTGGTAATCCCTGACTGCATATAAGCAGTTGTACATAATAATGGCACTCCAGGGAATTGTATCCACTCACTTGGAAGAACCAAGCAAAGGATTTGCATTGTTCTCATCAACTGGTTGCCCATCTGGACATCCTCCTTGTGGGCTGAACTCTATATTTTTTTATAGAAACAAAGCCTTAGGAGAGCTCCATAAATATCACTTCTTTCAGTTGGGTTGTGCCTGGAGCTAGGGAGTGAACAACTGAGCCTAGAATATTGATATTCTAATTTGCTGATGGAGGGGCTGTACGGGTTAATCATTATTTTTTCTTTATTCAATAAACATTTATACAGCATATTCCATGGCCTGGTACAGGACCGAGTGATACAAAGACTTGAGACTCATAGCTAGTGTGAGATCATGATCCATAAGCAGAAGTGCTGGATGACACCATGGGCTCATTCCCCATTCACTCCACCCCATGCATTGCTGCCCTCTTCTTCTTGGGCCTATCAAGCTGACTCCTGCCTCAGGCCCTGGTTTTTGGCTGTTTTCTCATCCCTAGATAGTTTATGAGTCCATTCCTCTCTTCCTTCAGGTCTCTGCGTAACTGCCACCTCCACAAAGAGGCCTTCCCTTCCCTAAACACCCCAGCTAAAAGAACCCCTCTCACTTCCCCTCCCAACCCTTATTCTCTTATTCGTGCCTGTTTTATCCCCTAACCTAGTTTGATTTTTCATCAAAAGAGTCTCATTAATAAAGCTGGAGAAGAAAATATTATCAATATCTTATGTTAAAATAATGGTTACTTCTTACTAAATATTTTCTATTTAGGCCGGGTGCGGTGACTCATACCTGTAATCCCAGCATTTTGGGAGGCTGAGGCAGGTGGATCACCTGAGGTCAGGAGTTCAAGACCAGCTTGGCCAACATGGTGAAACCCCGTCTCTACTAAAAACAGAAAATCAGGCAGGTGGTGCACACCTGTAATCCTAGCTACTCGGGAGGGTGAGCATGAAAATTGCTTGAACCCGGGAGGCGGAGGTTGCAGTGAGCCAAGATCGCACCATAGCACTCCAACCTAGTTGACAAGAGCAAAACTCTGTCTCAAAAAATATATGTGTGTGTGTGTGTGTGTGTGTGTGTGCGCGCACATATTTATCTGAAATTGCTGTGTTTTAAGTATATTAATAACTTTTTTTTTCTTTTTTGAGACAGGGTCTCACTCTGTCACCCAGGCTGGAGTGGAGAGGCACTATCATAACTCACAGAAGCCTCGAACTCCTGAGCTCAAGCAGTACTCTGGCCTCAGCTTCCCAAGTAGCTGGGACTACCGGCGCATGCCACCATACTCAGGTAATTAAGGGCATTAACACTTAATTCTCTCCCAATAACTTTATGAATTGGTTCTGAGCTTGTTCTTATTATCTTTTTTGAAAAAAATAATAGGCCGGGTATGGTGGCTCATGCCTGTAATCCCAGCACTTTGGGAGGCCAAGTTGGGAGGATTGCTTGAGGCCAGGAGTTTGAGACCAGCCTAGTCAATATAGTGAGATAAAACAGGTGGGAATATAGTGGGAACATAAATAAATACATTTTAAAAATTAACAAACGTTACTTTTTAGATCAGTTTCAGGTTCACAACAAAATTGAATGTAAAGTGCAGAGAATTTCCATCCAAATACTCCTTGCTGCCCACCCCACAGTCTCCCCCACCAGAGTGGTACTTTTGTTATAATTGATGAGTCTACACTGACACATTATTATCATCCAAAGTCCATCGCTTATATTAGAGCTCACACTTTTTTTTTTTTTTTTTTTTTTTGAGACAGAGTTTCACTCTTGTTGCCCAGGCTGGAGTGCTCACTCTTAATGCTGTATATTCATCATCTTCTTTTTACAAATAAGGAGGCCAGGTGTGGTAGGTCATGCCTATAATCCCAGCACTTTGGGAGGCCGAGGCAGGTGAATCACAAGGTCAGGAGTTCGAGACCAGCATGGACAACATGGTGAAACCCCATCTCTACTAAAAATACAAAAAATTAGCTGGGCACGGTGGCAGGCGCCTGTAATCCCAGCTACTCAGGAGGCTGAGGCAGAAGAATCGCTTGAACCTGGGAGGCAGAGGTTGCAGTGAGCCAAGATTGCACCACTGCACTCCAGCTCGGGGGACAGTGTGAGACTCCATCTCAAAAAAAAAAAAAACAACAAACAAACAAATGAGGAAACTGAGGCAAAAGGGGTAAGTAACTTGCCCAAAGTCACACACAGCCAGGGTTTGGACTCCAGCCAGGTTGAGTCCAGGCTCTGAACCACTAGGCTGTACAGCTGCTCTCCACATTGTCACTTATCTATTGACTTCGTTTGACTGCCAACCACCTCCCCTCTAGAATACAATCTCCAACAGGACAGAGATTTGTCTACTCCACTGCTATACCCCCAGTGCCTTGGGGAGTGGCTGGCACAGAGCCAGCACTCAACAAACCCTAGAGGAATGAATGGATAGTGGCAGGAGGCAGACAAATCCTAGGCAGACAGGGATGGGTTCCCAGTGGAACCCCACCTTCAAGCCGAGGACAGTTTAAAGCCCAGCCATAAGTCCCAGATAAATCCACGGACTGGATTGAGAACCTTTCTTCTTGTTTGGCACACTTTCCTCTGATTGATCCCCACTCTTCACCTATTTTACATATGCCTGCCCTTCCCTAATTAGTTTATTACACTGTTGTGCCCACCTTTGAGTGGCACTTTTGTTTTAGCCTTTTTTGCATACTCACAAACCAATCAGCATGCAGTCCCCAATTCTTAGCCCATAAAAGCCCCGGACCCAGCCACACTGAGAGAGAGACCACCTGACTTCAGGTGGTGGACCACCCTCATGTCCCCTCTCCACTGAGAGCTGTTTTGTCACTCAATAAAACTCTTCTCTGCCCTCCTCACCATCCAGTTGTCAGTGTAATCTCATTCTTCTTGGATGCGGGACAAGAGCTTAAGACCCACCAAACACAGATATGAAGAAGTCTGTAACACTATAACCCTCCTGGCCTCTGCTGGCAGAGGGTAGCTGCCCCACATGGCAGGAAGCAGTGGTGGGTCTGGGCCAGTCCCAGAGCCTAGGACCGGAGTGGAGCAACAGGACTGACAGAGCTGTTAACACACCCCCGTTCATCGGGCCATGGATGGCAGGACAAAAGAGCTATTAGCATGCTGTAACACCCACTCTAGGGCTTCAGGGTCATGGGCATCCCTGTTTGGGTGCCACTGCATTCCCCTTGTCTAGACGTTGGAGTCCACCGCAACACGCCTGGTCCAGTCACAAGCCCTGCACAGAGCCCACTCCTGTGCCAGTGCTTGGAGCAGCTGGCCGGACCACACACTCACTCACATGTTCGCTCCTGCTGCAGGCTGAGTGTGCAGTTGTGGAGGCTGCAGGATCCACCCCAAAGCGCAAGTCAGGTGCAGTCCAGCAGGCCAAGTGAGCAGGGACACTGCCAGCTGTGGAGGTCTCCAGCTGGCAAAGCAGCATTAAAAAACATCCTGCATCATTTCGACATTGGTAAATATTCCTGCCCTGGCCCCTGAGGTACTCCAAGACCCTAAAGAGTTCTCTGAATTGCCACATGATCAAGACTTGGGAAGCTGTGGCCTCACACTTAACAAGAGTAGCACTTTCTACCAACAGATCTCAAGGCTGGCTGCACACTGGCATCACCTGGAAGCTGTTAAAATGCCAATGCCTTGGCCTCACCCTAGATCAATCAAATCAGCATCTCTGGGTGGGACACCAGTCTCAATGTTCACAGAGCTCGATTGTTGATTCCACTGTGCAGCCAAGTTTAAGAACCATGTTCATAGTTGAATCCCATCAAGTGGTAAAGCAACCTGAGTGGAGTTATAAAATATTGTCTCCTCAAATCTGGGGATAAAGTCAACAAAAATTACACAAGAATTAAGCAATGAGTATTTGAGTAATTTAAATTTGGGGACTGTTAAACCCCAACCCACCATAACCTTCTGGGAGAGCAAGAAATCCTTTCCTGTAGGCTCAACTTGTTCCTCCTTGTCATTAAAAAAATCAAACCAAAACAAAAACACACAAAACTCTGCTTAGATCTCTGTATCTTCAGAACTTGTGTCCTGGCCAAAACTATCTGATTGGTCAGTTATCTTAGCCCAGTCAATAGAAGGTACCCTCTAGTTTGCCTGGGATGTTTCCTTCCTGGGTATGTGACTTTACCCCTGGAAACTCTTAGACTTAATCTTAGAGATGATAAAATTAAATCCATTGTATCAATGTTTTTGTGTTACATTTAGAAGTGGTCTGTGTAATATTTATCAATAGGCACCTACAATGATACAATGTTTGTGATGTTTGAGAGGACTTGGCATGGTAGAGTATGCAACATATTAGCCTTGTGAGTCCAATGTAAAATGTGTAATTGAGTATTCAATTGTAGACTTTAGATTTTAAGTTGAAAAATAAAATAGCATTTTTTCAAGTTTATTAACAATATTGTAATGTTTGAGATAACTGGCAAATCACTGTTGTTACTCATTTACTTCATTAGCTTTCCTACGGTGGCTTAAGTATTTGGGGAACGTTTTGCTTCTTAGTCTGGCATTCGAGGAGCTTAAAGTTAAATACGTTTAATGTGTAAACACAGCTTAAGATATTAATATTTACAGGACTTGAACTGTGTTGTAGAAGGGGGCCAGTGTTTGCTTTGGAGACACCCTGGACTCTCTCTCTCCCTCACGTACTCCATAACTCATCCATTGACAAAGCCTGTTGGCTTTTCCTTTAAAATATATCCAGAATTTCACCCCCTTTCACCTTCTCCTACACTCACCCTGGTGTAACCACCATTCTCTCTCACCTGGATTAATAACATAGACTCCAACTGGTCCCTCTGCTTCTATCCTTTTCCCCTCCTATAAGCCAGGCCATGTCACTCCTACCCATCTTCCAGCAGTTCATATGGGGTAGTAACTCACCCTGCTCCCATCCTTTTCTGACCTCATCTCTTCCCGCTCCCCATTCCTTGGGGGCAGTCACTCTGGACTTGCCTGAAGCAAGCACATCCCCACTCTAGGGCCTCTGCACTGGCTGCTCTCTCTGCCTAATGTTCTTTCCCCTGGTGGCCACATGGCTCATCCCTCACTTTCTTCAGGCCTCTGTTAAAATGTCACCTCCTCTGAGATGCCTTTTCTGAACATCCTATGCAAACCCCTCCATGCCCTCCTCTCACCCCTTCAATCCTGCCCCGCTTACCCTACTATTCTTCTATAGAGCACTTATTGCCATCTAACAGATTATATACTGAACATCAGAGGCATCCAAAAAAGTCACACTGACATGACAATGGGAAATCATATTACATTTAGAATGATGTCAGCATTAATTGTTTTATATATATATAAAATATATGTAATATATATATATTTTAAATAGGAACAAGGTCTCACTATGTTGCCCAGGCTGGTTTTCAAACTTCTGAGCTTAAGCAATCCTCCTACCTAGGCCTCCCAAAGTGCTAGGATTATAGACATGTGCCACCATGCCCAGCTGTTTTATACTTTAACATTTATTATTCATATGTTTTAAAAAATAGAGAGCAGCACCTTGTAAATAAAAACTAACAAAGCTCTTCCAGTTGGTAGGTATCATTCTAAGTAATTTAATCACTTAATTCTCACAAGCATGTTAGTTGGTTATTACTACTAGTTCTATTTTTCAGATAAGGAAGTTGAAGCACAAAAACAAGTGTGTTGCCCAAGTTCACACAACCACAGGTGGCACAACAGGGATGCCAGGCCAGGCCATCTGGCTCCAAGGCCCATGTTCTTAACCACTTTGCTAGAATATTCTATTGAAGGCCCCTTCCCTGTGAGAGATAGAGAACAAGTCTAGGCTAGTCTCTGCCACCAGTCAACAGGGTGACCTTGGACAAACTAACTGCTTAACCTCCATCTTATCTGCACAATGACTCCCTTTCAGCTCTGAGTCTTGATTAATTGACATCAAATAACAATTATCTGAGTTGCTGCAGAAAACTCAGGATAAGAGAAAATTGATTTAGAAGACATGAAGGATCTGGCTCACATGCCCACTTAGAATAAAGACCCACTCTCCAGGAAAACTTACATGTGCCTACGATTTTGTAAACTATTTCAGGTTTATAAATTCCCTACTGCCCTAAGTCCTGGGTTAAGAACCCTTATTATAAACAATAAATTTCAGACCCTGGAAAGAGTTCTAAGGAATATGGGTTCTCGGCCGGGCGCAGTGGCTCACGCCTATAATCTCAGCACCTTGGGAGGCTGAGGCGGGTGGATCAAGAGGTCAGGAGTTCAAATCCAGACTGGCCAAGATGGTGAAATGCTGTCTCTACTAAAAATACAAAAATTAGCTGGGTGCAGTGGCAGGTGCCCGTAATCCCAACTACTTGGGAGGCTGAGGCAGGAGAATCACTTGAACTCAGGGGGCGGAGACTGCAGTGAGCCAAGATCATGCCACTGCACTCCAGCCTGGGCGACAAAGTGAGACTGTCTCAAAAAAAAAAAAAAAAGGTTGGGGGAATATGGGTTCTCTTTCTCTGGAGGGGTTTTTAAAAATAAAGCTGGCCTTCCTTCTTTCCTTCCTTGAGAGACAGGGTCATGCTCTGTCACCCAGGCTGGAGTGCAGTGGTGCGATCACAGCTCACTGCAGCCTCGACCTCCTGGGCTCGAGCAATCCTCCTGCCTCAGCCTCCTGAGTAGCTGGGATTACAAGCATTCACCACCACACCTGTCTAATTTTCTTGATTTTTTTTTTTGTAGAGACGGAGTCTTGCTATGTTGCCTAGGCTGGTCTCTAACTCCTGGGCTTAAGCAATTCTTCCCCTTGGCCTCCCAACGTGCTGGGATTACAGGCATGAACCACTGCACCAGGCCAAGGCCGGAGGTTTGAAAGGTTGGAAGTTGTCTAGATGTGGTTCAGCTGGAAGAAGGAAGAATAAGGACCCTCAGGGCTCCCCAGACTCCTAGCTGTGCACCTGAGTCACCTGGGGCAGAGATTCTCAACCCCGGCACTACAGACATTTCATAGGATGACTACTGTGGAGGCTGCCCTGTGCACTGTAGGATGTTTAGCAGCATCCATGGCTGCTACCTGCTTGCTGCCAGGACCACCCCTCCTCCAGGTGTGACAACCAAAAATGTCTCCACACTTTGCCTAATGTCCCCTGGGGGTTCAAAATCAACCCTGATTGAGAGCCACTGACGTAGGGGAGCAATTTATTTTTATTTTTATTTTTTGAGACAGGGTCTCACTCTGTTGCCCAGATTGGAGTGTAGTGGTATAAACATGGCCCACTGCAGCCTCAACCTCCTGGGCTCAAGAGATCTTCCTGCCTCAGCCTCCTAGGGTAGCACTTTTTTATTTTATTTTATTTTATTTATTTTATTTTATTTATTCTGAGACGGAGTCTCACTCAGTCACCCATGCTTGAGTGCAGTGGCGTGATCTCGGCTCACTGCGACCTCTGCCTCCCAGGTTCAAGCAATTCTCTTGCCTCAGCCTCCCAAGTAGCTGGGACTATAGGCATGTGCCACCATGCCCAGCTAAGTTTTGTGTTTTTAGTAGAGACAGGTTTCACCATGTTGACCAGGCTGGTCTTGATCTCCTGATCTCAGGCGATCCACCCTCCTCAGCCTCCCAAACTGCTGGGATTACAGGTGTCAGCCACCATGCCCAACCAGGGAGCACTTTAAAAATAAGCCTTGTTCACACAAAAACTTGTACATGAATAATCATACCAGCATTATTAACAATAGCCAAAAAGTGGAAAGAGCCCAAATGTCCATCAAATGATGAACTGATAAATAAAATGTGGTATCCATACAATGGAATATTATTCGTCCATAAAAACAATGGAATATTGATACATACTACAACAACACGAATGAACCTGGAAACATTATGGAAAGTGAAAGAAGCCAGTCACAAAAGATCACAAAGTATTAATATATGACTCCATTTATATGAAATGTGCAGGATAGGTAAATCTATAGAGACAGAAAGTAGATGAGCCAGGCACAGTGGTTTACACCTGTAATTCCAGCACTTTGGGAGACTGAGGCAGGCGGATCACCTGAGGTCAGGAGTTTGAGACCAGCTGGCCAACATGGTGAAACCCCATCTCTACTAAAAATACAAAAATTACCCAGGCATGGTGGCAGGCACCTGTAATCCCAGCTACTCGGGAGGCTGAGGCAGGAGAATCACTTGAACCCAGGAGGCGGAGGTTGCAGTGAACCGAGATCGCACCATTGCACTCCAGCCTGGGTGACAAGAGTGAAACCGTTTCAAAAAAAAAAAGAAAGAAAGAAAGAAAGTAGGTGAGTGGGTGCCTAGGACTGGGAAGACTGGGGAGACAGGGTGATTGGGGAGTGACAGCTAATGGTCACACGGTTTCCTTTTGGGGTTGGTTAAAATGTTTTAAAATTGATTGTGGTGCTATTTTGCATAACTCTGTGGATATACCAGAAAACATTTAATTGTACACTTTAGAAGGGTGAATTGTATGCTATGTGAATTGTATCTCAATAAAGCCCTTTACCAAAAAAAAAAAAAGTCCCTACCATGCCCCCAACCTCCTGCCTCAGGCCTATTAAATCAGATTCTCCAAGCGACAGGCCCTGGGAATCGAGTACATGTCAAAGCTCCTGGATGACCCTGATGCAGCTGGGGAGCCTCCTCTAACTCTGTGGGTGGCTCAGACTGAGTGACTATAATTTGTTTTTTTTCCATCAACCCTTGCCTGCTAGTCAGAAGAGGAAAGAGGAGCATGAATTAATGAAGACCAGCAAGTTTCCCCATTGAGACAGTAATGGAGTTGTCATTTGTCTATGTCCAGGAGTTGTTTTTCATCTTCTGGTGTCTAGCAATGGAATGGAAAATTCCACAAATTATGAATTGGCAAGCAATGCCCCCCTGTGGACTGTCACAATAAGAAGTCCCAGTGTTTACATTGCTTTTAGATCTTTTAACCAAGTATCTTTCCTGCCTGCATCATTTTATCTTCAGTTCATCTGTCTTAGAATCCGGATAGAGAGCATATGTTAGGTCTTGGAAAGTACAAGAGGAGAGAAAGCACTTTGAAAGGTGACATTCCCAGAACTGGTGAAAGTTCAGGAACAGATTTCTTGAAGGTAAGTGAGGTCTGGTCATATGGTTTTCTTTCAGGTTACCACTGGAAAAGGCTCCAGCTGCATCCGCGGCCTTTTCAGTCGGTGAAACAGTACAACATGGTCATGTTAGCACAGCATCCTTACCTGCTTCTGGCAGAGGCAATCTTAGTGCCCTCTTTTCTCCTCTTTTTTTTTTTTTTTTTTTTTTCTGAGATGGAGTTTTGCTCTGTCACCCAGGCTGGAGTGCAGTGGTGCGATCTCGGCTCACTGCAACCTTTGCTTCCCGGGTTGAAGCAATTCTCCTGCCTCAGCCTCTGGAGTAGCTGGGATTACAAGCATATGCCACCACGCCTGGCTACTTTTTGTATTGTAAGTAGAGATGGGGTTTCACCATGTTGGCCAGGCTGGTCTCGAACTCCTGACCTCATGATCCACCCACCTCAGCTTCCCAAAGTGCTGAGATTACAGGCATGAGCCACTGCGCCCGGCCTTCTTCTCTTTTGTTGTCTGTTCCCTCACCAAATGGACCTTGGCTTCAAGTGCTTCCTAGCCACTCAGACCGCCCTGGGCTCCAATGCTGGCTTGCTAAAGCAATGTGGCAGTGTTTTTCAGGAGTTATCCTAATTAATTATCAAAACAATCCTATGAGAGAGGTGCTGTTCTTTTTTTTTTTTTTTTTTTTTTTAAGACAGGGTCTCACTCTGCCACCCAGGCAGGAGTGCAGTGGCACTATCTTAGCTCACTGCAGCCTTGACCTCCAGGCTCAAGCGATCCTCCTGCCTCAGCCTCCTGAGTAGCTGGGACCACAGGTGCATGCCACCACATCTGACTAAATGTCCTTAGGGTCTTCAGATGTGGAAATTGGGCTGCCAAGAGCTAGGTCAATTCAGTGCAAGAAGCACAGTCCACGGTGCATGGTATGCAGCAGGGTTGCATTATCATTTCCCTCATTCTCCAAGTCCTATTATGCTCTTTGCTGATCAATTTAACTGACCCTTGATAAGTGTCCACGTCTTCCAATGACCAATTAAAAAATATAAATAAAAGTATTAGCACTTTTAGGCCAGGCACAGTGGTAGCTCACGCCTGTAATCCCAGCACTTTGGGAAGCCGAGGTGCGTGGATCACTGGAGATCAGGAGTTCAAGACCAGTCTGACCAACATGGTGAAACCGTGTCTCTACTAAACATGCAAAATTAGCTGGCCTGGTGGCGCATGCTTGTACTCACAGCTACTTGGGAGGCTGAGGCAGGAGAATTGTTTGAACCCAGGTGGCGGAGGTTGCAGTCAGCCAAGATCATGCCATTGCACTCCAGCCTGGGCAACAAGAGCAAAACTCTGTAGCAAAAAAAAAACAAAAAACAAAAAACAAAAAAAAAACGTATTAGCACTTTTAAATAGCATGTATACATTTTAGCAGGGGTCTTCCAGCAATCAAACCATAAACCCCAAACTGAATCCCTAATGCTGGGATTTCAAGAGCTATGTCTCATGGGGGTGAAACAGTATGATCTGGGCCTGGGACTTTCCAGGTGGACTGCAAAGTATCACCTGGGCATATGGTAACACTTACTTCAATTTGCAGAATGCTTCTCTGCTGGGGAGTTTATGTATTTTATCTCTGTTAATCCTCCTGATTACCCACAAGGGCATGATTATCCCCATTTTACAGCAGAGGAAACGACGTAAGCCCGAGTGGCGGTGAGCAGCCGAGCCGACATTCACACGCAGGTCTTCCTGGCTCCGAAGCTTGTGCTCCTGGGCGTGCTGCCTGGCCCCTCAAGCAGCCTTTCAGGAGTGAGCTCCGTCAGAGGTCTGGGCACTTTCTTTCTTTCCATTTATGTCTATGCCACACTCCCTAACAAACTGTTATAAACCTCTGCAGGGGACTGAAGCTTATTCACTGTTTCCTATAGCATCTGTGTTGCTCATAGGTGCACAAGGCATGTGTGATGCATCACCGGATGGCTGCTTAGACATGTGGCTGCTTGTTTGTTGCAGACATGTACTCTGCATTCAAATGAAATATTTCCGCCATGCCACAAATGCTTGCCAGCAGGTTAGGAACACCTTTCCTATGGCAGATAGCAATGGGCATCTGTGCAGTCTAATTGTAGTAGGCAAAGTTAGCCACATCAGATACAATTTTAAATTCACCTTTAGGCCAATTTTTTCCCTAATGTCCTAACCTAATGTCTCTCCAGTCCTGGATCTCTAGGCCCAGACTACTGGGTTAACTTGCCTTAGCCAGAGATCTTTATTTTGTGAGTGACAAAACCCAAACTCAAACAAGCTTGCATAAACTGGAGAGCTATTGGCTTTCACAACTGGGAATGACTTGGGAGGCTTGGAGAACTGAAGGAAGAGTTCCTGACCCCAGGGACCTGGGGATGGAAATGAGGGACCCTACCTGGCAGGACCTTCTCTCCTCTCCACTTGCCAGGTTTTATTTTGTAGACAGGTGACCACATAAGGCAGGAAAGATAGTCATCTGCAACCCAGAACCTGCCTCCTTGTATCTTAGGATCCCAGAGGAAAGGAGAACAACTCTCCTCCCACTTTGATTTGGGAAATTTGGGGGAAAGGCTCCAGTTGGCCTGATTTATGTTGGATGCCCACCTCTTGGACCAGTTCATTCACTGTCAATCATTCAACAAATATGAGCAAAAAATGATACTGGGCCTAGCCCCATGGAGTTCATAATCACTGGGGAGACAAACATAAATCAATTAGCCAGCAAGTGTGAAGCTGCACTGTGGCGAGTGCTTTGCAAAGGAGATAGGTGGTACCTGGAGAGTATACATGGAGGATTTGACCTTGGAGGTTGGGAAAAGCTTCCCTAAGGAAATGATGCTTGCACTAAGACAAAAAGGATGAGTTACCTAGGTGGAGGGTTAGGGAAAGGGCATTTTGGATGGAAGAATCGCTATGCACAAAGCACCATGTTAGTTAATACCAAAAACTGGGGCTGCAAGAATGTCTAGTAGCTGAAACAGCAGAGAGCAGGACAAGGTGGGACAGGAGAGGCGGGGGGTGTAGTCCACGGGGCTTGTGGGCCACATTAAGGAATTTTGTCTTTATCCTAAGGCCGTAGGAAGCCAAGACCAAAATTGGGGGTGGGTAAGGTGTCACAATCATATTTGTCCTTTGAAAGAATGACTCTATGGCAGGGCACAGTGGCTCACACCTGTAATCCGAACACTTTGGGAGGCCAAGGCAGGTGGATCACCTGATGTCAGGGGTTCGAGACCAGCCTGACCAATATGATGAAACCCTGTCTCTACTAAAAATACAAAAATTAGCCGGGCATGGTGGCGGGCACCTGTAATCCCAGCTACTCAGGAGGCTGCGACAGGGGAATCACTTGATCCTGGGAGGCGGAGGTTGCAGTGAGCCAAGATTACACCATTGTATTCCAGCCTGGGCAACAAGAGCAAAACCCAATCTGAAAAAAAAAAAAAAAAAAAAAAAAAGACTCCAGCTGCAGTAGGCTGCATGGAGGTGGCCCGGAGCAAATGTGAGAGTATCAGTTAGGAGGACACTAACTAAGAAGCCAGATAATAACAGCTGGGACTTGGGTGATTGAGGAGATGGACAGGAAAGAGATCCAGGAGGCAAAATTCACAGATCTGGGAGCTTGGATATGGCAGGTAAGGGACAGGATGTTGTCAAGGATGACCTCCAGCTTTCTAGCTTACACAACAATGTCCAAAGGGATGCAGGACTAAGTTTGGCCTGGCTGGGTCCCATTCTCACCCCTATGGACAGGATCAAGTACTGTGGCTCATTAAAATTACTGGATTCATGTAGAGTTTGGGAGAGATTTTCTGAAGAGAAGTGGTACTGTTACCAGGAAAAGAGGGATGGGAAAACCACAGCCACTGCAGGGAAAACATAGAGTGGCCAGTCTCTGGCCACCCTGAGATACTTAGCAGTAAGTGCTACATTTATATTTGCCATTAAACATCAGTTTGCATATGCCACAGGGCAAGACACCAAAGGTCACGTTCCAGCTGCTTCAGGAGCCCCCTGGGGGAGGTTTCCTGCTGTCAAATTCACTGTCATAAGCACTCGCCAGTAGGGGCACTGTTACTCTTCGCAGCCACTTCCCTGGCCCCTGAGGTGGCCAACCAGGTGGCATCTTGGCCCCAGCTTGAGTTGGAGGTTAAAAGGACAGAGAGATTAGTTCCAACAGTTTCAGCCAGCCTTGGAAGTGGCAGAATGAGCTACAGTCATACTGCACAGGAACATTTAGTCCTAGTTTTGCATAAAGACCCACAATGCACTCATGCACTCTTTGGCATTCTTTAAATCTTGCCCCATTGTGACGTGGAGACATGGATCTTAAGAAGAAAAAATGGTCTTTGTTCATCTTAGGTATTTCTTTCAGTGGTACCTAGAGGCCATTGGCAAATATGTTCAAATTATAAACCAAAATGATAAGCCAGGGAGGAAGTTAAAAGAATAAGAACTGGTCTTTCAAGGTCCCCTAAGGTATTCAGCCAAACCGGTTGTCTTAATGACAAAGTAAAAGAAGCCAAACTGCCCAGGATGTTTGTCTAAGAAAATGATAGGCCACTTTTCACATATCGAGTGACGGATGCAGACTTGCGAGGGTTTGCTAAGTTCTTGTAAAGGGGCAGGGGTGGCTGCAAGTTTCGTCATGCAGAGGATGGATGCAAAGTCAAATGCTCTATCTAGCAGGTCAATTTGTTTTCTTGCTTGTTTGTTTTTTTTTTCCAAAATACTGTTTAAAAAAAAAATCTGTTGGAAATAGTTTGAGCAGTCAAGAAAAACAAAAGCAAACTCAGGGAAAGACAATATACTGTCTACACGATACCAAAACAGGAAAGTCCTGGGTATCTGTCACAGAGGTGTAGAATGGCAAATGGAGCTGGCGTCAATCTCCTCCAAAATGGTGGAAATCCTGGGCTTTTTACTTAATACTTTAGTACTAAGTAAATCGATGGCACCTCCAAGTTGGTGGTTTCTGTACTTCCTGCAGAACGGGTCTCTGGGCCTGAGCCCACCATCAGGGTTGGCAGCCACCTCCGGGGCGGTGCTATCTTTGCTATGGTATCTCTGCTTAGTAATAAGAACTAAGGTGTATGGGAGCTCACTGTGGGCCAGGTGCTCCACGAGCTTTGCATAATAGTTATTTCCATCAAATCTTCACAACAACCTGTGAGGTAGCCCTATATCTATCCCATTTTTTTTTTTTTTAAGATGGAGTCTCACTCTCTCACCAGGCTGGAATGCAGGGGCGCAATCTTGGTTCACTACAACCTCCTCCTCCCGGGTTCAAGCGGTTCTCCTGCCTCCCAAGTAGCTGGGACTACAGGCACGTACCACCATGCCCAGCTAATTTTTGTATTTTTAGTAGGGACGGTATTTCACCATTTTGGCCAGGATGGTCTCGATCTCTTGACCTCGTGATCCACCCGCTTCAGCCTCCCAAAGTGCTGGGATTACTGGCATGAGCCACTGTGCCTGGCTTTTTTTTTTTTTTTTTTAATTTTGTTTAAATAGAGATGGGATCTCCTTATGTTGCCCAGGCTGGCCTCAAACTCCTGAGCTCAAGCCATCACCCCCCTCTCGGTCTCCCAAAGCACTGGGATTACAGGCATGAGCCACTGCACCCAGCCTCATCCCCATTTTAACACAAGTACACTGAGCCCTAGCAAAGAGCTATAACTTACTGAAAACCCCACAGCTGATAAATGGTGGCACTGGGATTTGAACCTGAGCAGTCTGTTTCCAGAGTCTGCCGGCTGAGCTACTGTGCGAAAACAGTGCCTTCCAAACATTCTTTTCTACCTTATTGCTCCTTGAATTCTGGCCCTGGCTCCAGTTTGGGGCCAAGCAGAAGATAGGGTTGGTGGGCATGATGGTAACAGGGTCTATCTGAAAGTGAGTATTTGGGGCTGGGCGCAAGGGCTGACATCTGTAATCTCAGCATTTTTGGGAGGCTGAGGTGAAAGGATCACTTGAGGCCAGAAGTTCAAGACCAGACTGGGCAACACAGCAAGATGCCATCTTTAAAAAATAAAAAAAGTAGCCAGGCATGGTGGCATGTACCTGTAGTGTCAGCTACTTGGGAGGCTGAGGTGGGAGGATCTCTGGAGCCTGGGAGTTCAAGTGTGCAGTAGGCCACGATTGCACCACTGCACTCATGGAAAGAAGGAAAGAGAGAAAGAGGACAGGTGTGGTGGCTCACGCCTGTAATCCTAGCAGTTTGGGAGGCTGAGGGGGGCAGATCACATGAGGTCAGGAGATCGAGACCAGCCTGGCCAATATGGTGAAACCCCATCTTTACTAAGAATACAAATTAGCTGAGCTTGGTGGCACATGCCTGTAGTCCCAGCTTCTTGGGATGCATGAGTCCCAGCTTTTTGAGGCACAAGAATTGCTTGAACCCGGGAGGTGGAGGTTGCAGTGAGCAGAGATCGTGATGCTCAGAGAGTGCACTCCACTCCAGCCTGGGTGACACAACAAGACTCTGTCTCAAGAAAAAGGAAAAAGAAAGAGTGCTCACGTTGGCAGCATAGGTACTAAAATTGGAATGATACAGAGATTAGCATGGCTCCTGTGCAAGGATGACACAAATTCCAAAGCATGAGAGAGAGAGAGAGAGAGAGAGAAAGAGAAAAGAAAAGAAAGAAAGAAAGGAAAAGAAAAGAAAAGAAAGAAAGAAAAGAAAGGAAAGAAAGAAAGGAAAAGAAAAGAAAAAAGAAAGAAAAAAAGAAAAGAGAATGAGAGAGAGAGAGAAAGAAAAAGAGGGGGTTGAGGTAGGGGTTTTACATTTGTCCTTCAACTATGGGCTAACCATAGTGACTTCCCTGCTGTCCACATAAGGGTGATTGGTTGTTGTGCCCAGTGTTGGCTGCTGCTGCCAACAATTTCCCAGTATGCTGAGAGGACACACAGGCTGCTACCAAGTAAGACCAGAGGGGCAGAGACTCTTATAACCCACCCAATAGCTAGCATCTCTTTTTTTTCCTTAGAAACAGAACATTAAGGCCAGGAGCGGTGGCTCACACCTATAATCCCAGAACTTTGGGAAGCCGAGATGGGTGGATCACCTGAGATCAGGAGTTCGAGATCAGCCTGACCAACATGGTGAAACCCCATCTTTACTAAAAATACAAAATTATCAGGGTGTGGTGGTGAATGACTGGTAATCCCAGCTACTTGGGAGGCTTAGGCAGGAGAATTGCTTGAACCCAGGAGGTGGAAGTTGCAGTGAGCTGAGATCATGCCACTGCACTCCAGCCTGGGGAGACAAGAGCAAAACTCCAAGCTCCATCTCAAAAAAAAAAAAAAAAAAAAAAAAAAAACATTAATTTTATTTAGCTGGGCAATGCCCCCCAACTAAAACACTAGATTTCCCTGTCTCCTTTGCACGCAGGCATGTGACTAAGCTCTAAACAATGAGACATTAGCAGAAGTGTTCTGAAAGACTTCGGGGATTAAAGGGACCTAACTCAACAGGAGGTGAATTCTTTTGCTCCCCTCCTCCTTCCCGATGGCCGAAATGAAACGTGATGGCTAACATGCAACATGACGGCTGACACTCAAATAGCTAGATTGGACAGTAGAGTCTACTCTGTAGGTGAGCAGTGCTTCCAAAGCTTTAAAGTGCATGTGAATCCCCTAGGGATCTTGTTAACACTGCAGACTGATTCAGTAGGTGTTGGATATGTTTCCTATATTCCCTAGTTCTGTTCATAAAGGCAGCCTAGGTTCAGTGACTGCCCTAACGTATAGGAGCACACCTGGCACCCAGATATTGGCTTCTAAATGCCACACTGCACTAAAAGAAACCAGGGCTTCTTGGAAAAATGGCTAATTGCAAAGCAGGAGCAGGGAAGATATAAGAAAAGACTGGTACATCTTGTGCCATAAAGCCAGGAAGTAGGCCGGGCGCAGTGGCTCATGCCTGTAATCCCAACACTTTGGGAGGTTGAAGTGGGCAGATCGCAAGGTCAGGAGTTCGAGACCAGCATAGCCAACAAGGTGAAACCCCGTCTCTACTAAAGCTACAAAAATTAGCCGGGCGTGGTGGCAGGCACCTGTAATCCCAGCTGTTCAGGAGGCTGAGACAGGAGAATTGCTTGAACCCGGGTGGCAGAGGTTGCAGTGAGCTGAGATTGCGCATCAGCCTGGGCAACAGAGTGAGACTGCGTCTCAAAAAAAAAAAAAAAAAAAAGCCAGGAAGTACTAAAAAAATAATGGGGATGGGCCAGGCGCGGTGGCTCTGGCCTGTAATCCCAGCACTTTGGGAGGGCAAGGCAGGCAGATCATGAGGTCAGGAGTTTGAGACCAGCCTGGCCAATATGGTGAAACCCTGTCTCTACTAAAAATATTAAAAATTAGCTGGGTGTGGTGGCGCACACCTGTAGTCCCAGCTACTTGGGAGGCCAAGGCAGGAGAATCACTTGAACCTGGGAGGCAGAGGTTTCAGTGAGCTGAGATCACACCACTGCACTCCAGTCTGGGTGACAGAGTGAGACTCTGTCTCAAAAAATAAATAAATAAATAAATTAATTAATTAAAATAAAAAACAATAGGGACATGTCAAAAGGTCAAAGAAGCCAACTTGAAGGAGCTGCCACGAGTCACATCAGGGAAAAACTGAGCACTAAAATTAATAGTGATAGTCGTCGTTTCCTGCTGGGGAGCGAAAGAAAGCAGAAAAAAAAATTTAAATAATGATAGTAACAGATTATAACTCATTGACTAAAATGGGAAACCATAAACTCATACAGATATAAATAAATCAGTGAACAAATGGAATGTTTGATGGGCAAGCAAACATTTACATAGTTTCAAAATACCTCCCTACAACATAGTAATTATAAAGAGAAAAATAGCAACTTTATAGTGGCAGATAACAACTTAATCAAATGCTCAAAACAAACGCCATTGGTAATGAGATAAAACAGAATCACAGGCCACCAGACAGGATGTAATGAGAAGAATGCAATGTCAATTCTGTGATAGTTCCACCAAAATGTATCATTTCAATCTAATAATAAAGAGGTATCGGACAAACCCAGATTGAAAGATATTCTATTGAATAACTGGTCTATAATGTTCAAAAGTGTCAAGGTCATGAAAATCAAGGATAGACTGAAGAACTGCTCCAAAGTGAATGAGCAATTCTTACGTTTTAGGCATGACAATGAAATGTAACTCCCGATTTTGAACTAGATCCTTTTGCTACGGAGGACATTATTGAAGCAATCAAGGAACTTGAGTGGGGCGTGAGGATTCGACGGTGCTGATCGTTTTCATGGCGGTGTCATGGTTATGGAGGAGAATGTCCTTGTTTCTAGGAAATAAATATGTGTTTGGGTACGATGCATTAGGTTAGCAACTCTCAAATGGTTTAGAAAATAATTTTTTGTACTGCGTTTCCACTTTTTCTATAGCCTTTGTCATTGCTTCAAATTAAAAAATTAAATTCCATTTATAAAAAAAAAAGCTTAGCACAAAAGCAAGACATTTTGATTTTGCTACTCTGCTGTAGGGGGTTTGGAGGCTTGGATGTGGATATGATTGTTTTGATTTGTTTAAAAATGTAAAACCATTCTTTAGCTGCAATGGACTTAAGTTTCACTTCAGACCTAACTCCCCATCTCACCCTCCACCCCCCTCAATTATGAAGGACTTTTACTTTCTGCTGAATTCTGAGTTAGTTTTTAAGAGGAGCTATTATTTTTAAAATAAGAGCAAGAACAAAACAATGAAGACACCTTTAAAAAATATGCTGTAACTGGGTTAGCCTCTAAGGTGGTGCTGCTTGGTGCCTCCTCATACCTCACCTCCAAACAATTAAAAATATTATTTTAAATGGTTAAAATTTAAAATATTAATAAACATATAATATATTATAGTATAATTAAGTATAATATATAATTAAGTATAATCTATAAATATAGTATAATTAAGTATAATAAAATATACTTAAAATATTAAGTATAACACGACCAGGGGCAGTGGCTCATGCCTGTAATCCCAGCATTTTGGGAGGCCGGGGTGGGTGGATCACTGGAGGCCAGGAGTTCAAGACCAGCCTGACCAATATAGTGAAACCCCCTCTCTACTAAAAATACAAAACTTAGCTAGGCGCGGTAGCCTGTGCCTGTAATCCCAGCTACAGAGGAGGCTGAAGCAAGAGAATCGCTTGAACCTGGGAGGTGGAGGTTGCAGTGAGCCAAGATCGTGCCATTGCACTCCAGTCTAGGCAACAGAGTGAGACTTCATCTCAAAAAAAAAATACACTGGACTTTACCCAGATTAAAACCTTATGCTCATCAAAAGATGCCATGAAGAGAATGAATTGACAAGTTGTCTATTAGACATATAGAATGGGAGACTATATTCAAGATAGATGTATATGACAAAGGACTTGTATCCAGAACATATAAAGAAATTCTACATCTCAGCAATGAGGAGACAAAAACCCAATTAAAAATAACTGGGCAAAAGTCTTGAACAGACACTTCATAAGAGATATGAATGGCCAATATGCAAGAAAAAAAGTGCCCAGAATCCCTAGTCATCAGTAACAGGAACCTTTAAATTAAAAGAGGCTTAAGAGATATGTTGACCAACACAAATAACTAGACTTATTTAAATCCTAATTCAGACAAATAACATGTAAAAAAATTATAAAACAACTGGAGATGTATGAACACCCACTGGATATTTTATATTAAGGTATTCTTGGCCAGGCGCAGTGGCTCACGCCTGTAATCCCAGCACTTTGGAAGGCTGAGGCGGGCGGATCACTTGAGGTCAGGAGTTTGAGACCATCATGGCCAACATGGTGAAACAGTCTCTACTAAAAATACAAAAATTAGCTGGCCATGGCGGCACACGCCTGTAGTCTCAGCTAATCGGGAGGCGGAGGCAGGAGAATCGCTTGAACTCAGGAGGTGGAGGTTGCAGTGAGCTGAGATCCTGCCACTGCACTCCAGCCTGGGCAACAGAGTGAGACTCTGTCTCAAGAAAGAAAAAAAGAGAGAGAGAGAGAAAGGAATTCTTACTCATTTATTTTAACTGGGATAATAGTATTGTGGCAATAATTTTAAAAGTCTTTATCTTTTATACACACTTTGAAATAGTTACAGATAAAATGACATGAGGTTTGAAATTTGCTTCAGAATAATCTAGGGACATGTGAATTGGGGGAATGTAAATGAAAGAAAATGAACCAAATGTTGAGAGTTGTTGAAAGCGGGTGATAGGAACATTGGCTTTATTACATTACTTTCTATACTTTTGTACACATTTGCAAGTTTCCAAAATAAAAACAGAAAAGGGCAAAACAACAAAAAAAATTGAGAGGAGAAGGGAGAGAGGAAAGAGAAGGGAAAGTAGAATAAGATCATTGAGTGTTAGATTGTTAGATAGTTGATACTATTAAAAAATTGACAGACCAGATAATAAAAGGTTTAGTTAAAAAAAAAAAAAAAAAACGGCCAGGCACGGTGGCTCACGCCTATAATCCCAGCACTTTCGGAGGATGAGGCAGGGGTATCACGAGGTCAGGAGTTCAAGACCAGCCTGACCAACATGGTGAAACCCCATCTCTACTAAAAATACAAAAATTAGCCGGGTGTGGTGGCACATGCCTGTAATCCCAGCTACTCGGGAGGCTGAGGCAGGAGAATTGCTTGAACCCGGGATGCAGAGGTTGCAGTGAGCGGAGATTGTGCCATTGCACTCTAGTCTGGGTGACAGAGCAAGACTCCGTCTTGGAAAAAAACAAACAAACAAAAAAAACAGGTGGGCTGGGTAGTTCATGCTTGTAATCCCGGCACTTTGGGAGATTGAGGCAGGAGAGTCGCCTGAGCCCCAGAGTTCAAGACCAGTCTGGGCAACATAGTGAGACCTCATCTCTTCAAAAAATAAAAAATACGTTAGTCAAGCATGGTGATGAGTGGTTGTCTCAGCTACTTGGAAGGCTGAAGTGGGAGGATCACTTGAGCCTGGGAATTTGAGACTGAAGTGAGTAGTAATCACACCACTGCACTCCAGCCCAGACAACAGAGTGAGACCCCATCTCAAAAAAAAAAAAAAAAAAGTAACATAATTAGAACAAAAATGCAATCTTTTCTAAATACCAAAAGATGTAGTACATAAAGAAAAACATAACATTACATATCTAGCAATAAGGTATTAAATGTGTCAAAGGACATGTTTAATACTAAAAGACACAATTAATAATGGATATGCATACATGAACATACATACACGTATATTTTACTTTATTCAAAATATATACATCAGTACATATACTTACATGTACGTATCTCCTATATAAATTACACGTGTGTGTGTAGGTATATGGAGATATATATCTCCATCCTAAAGCTGGCATCTTACGTAACAGTGAAATACTAGAGACTTTTCGACTAAGGTCAGAAACAAGACAAAGATTCCTACTGTCTCCACTCCTTTTTTTTTTTTTTTTTTTGAGATGGAGTCTGGCTCTGTTGCCCAGGCTGAGTGCAGTGGCGGGATCTCGGTTTACTGCAACCTCCACCTCCTGGGTTCAAGCAATCCTCCCACCTCAGCCTCCCAAGTAGCTGAGATTACAGATGCCTGCCACCACTCCCAGCTAATTTTTGTATTTTTAGTAGAGACGGGGTTTCACCATGTTGGTCAGGCTGGTCTCAAACTCCTGACCTCAGGTGATCTGCTGGTCTAGGCCTCTGTGGCCCAAAGTGCTGCGATTACAGGTGTGAGCCACCACACCCGGCCCACTAGTATTTACACAACAGGTATTTGACCAATACAATTAGACAAAGCAAAGGCATAAAAATTAGAAGAAAAGAAAAAGTGAAACTATCTCTATTTGTACATGACATGATAGCACACCTCAGACCCTGGGAAAAAATGATAAAATAAACTCAATTTTAAAAAAATCAATGTAGCAGTATATAAAAATTAACATACAAAAATCAACACAAGTAATTTTTTTTTCATATACGCAAGTAATAACCAGTTGGGATATATAATGGTGGAAGAAAAAAACCCATTTACAAAAGTAACAAATAGCTAAAATAGGAATGAAACTTAACAAGAAATGTTCAAAACCTATATGAATGAAACTATGAAACACTCCTGAAATACCTGAAAGTGAACTTGAGCAAAAAGAAAGACTTCTGTTCTTGCCTAGGATATCTCAGCTTCATTAAGATTTCAATTCTAGACTGGGTGCAGTGGCTCATGCCTGTAATCCCAGCACTTTGAGAGGGAGGACAAGGTGGGCGGATCACTTGCGATCAGGAGTTCAAGACCAGCCTGGCTAACATGGTGAAACTCTGTCTCTACTAAAAATACAAAACTTAGTTTGGTATGGTGGCCCACACACCTGTAGTCCCAGCTACTTGGGAGGCTGAGGCACGAGAATCGCTTGAACCTGGGAGGCGGAGGGCTGCAGTGAGCTGAGATCACACCACTGCACTCCAGCCTGGGCAACAGAATGAGGCTCTGTCTCAAAAAGAAAAAAAAAAAATTTCAATTCTAAGTCAATATATAAATTTAATGTGATCCGAATATAATTCTCAAAAAGTTTTTTTTCTGGAGATAGGCAATTGAAATGATCATATAGAAAAATAAATATGAGAAGATAGCTAGGAAAACTAAGAAGGAAGGGCTCTGAGGAGATACCAGTCCTGTAAGACATTAAACCACATTACAAAGCTGGTATGATAAAGAATATGGTTGTGGAGCATGAATAGACAGACTAATGGAACAGAGTAGGAACCCCAGAAATAGACACAACTACAAATAGAAATTCAGTGTATGATAAAGGTGGTACCAAAAGTTACCAGGGAAAAGCTGGGTTTTTAAATAAATGATATTAAAACAACTGAACATGCCAAATCTGTCCAGCTTAGGGAGAAAAGAAGAAAGAAAAACAAACAAAAAACTGGACAGCCATTTGGGAAAAGATAAAATTAGATCCATTCTTCACACGATCTTTTCACACAAGCATAAACTCCAAATAGATCAAAGATCTAAATGTAAAAAACGAAACTAAAAATAGTGGAAGAAAACGTGGGCAAATTTCTCCATAAAATGGGTGTAGGAAAAGTCTTTCTCTCATTATGACTCAAAATCTAAATGAAATAAAAGACTGATAAATTTGACTACATAAAAAAACTTTTGCATGACAAAAAAATCACTGTAAATAAAGTTAAAAGACAAAATACAAATTGGGAGAAAGTTTTCCCGACATACATCACAGACAAATGGTTACTATCCCTAATACAGCACATAAAACTGTCTTTAAAATTTAGGAGGACAAAAAGTCCAAAAACCCAATAGAAAAATGGCCAAAAGGCATGAACAGACAATTCAGAAAGATATAAAAGTGGTCTACATATATATGTGTGGGTCACACCTGTGGTCTCAGCTACTTGGGAGGCTGAGGTGGGAGGATGGCTTGAACCCAAGATGTTAATGTTAAGGCTGCAGTGAGCCATTTTCACCCCACTGCACTCCAGCCTGCCTGACAAAGAGGGACCCTGTCTCAAAAAAAGAAAAAGAAAAAAAAAGCATATATATATATAAAGATATATATAAAGAGATATATATATAAAGAGATATATATATACACACACACATACATAAATGTTTAACTTCACTTAGAGAAATGCAGATTAAAATTACACTGGGCCAGGCACAGTGGCTCACACTTGTAATCCTAGCACTTGGGAGGCTGAGGTAGGTGGATTGTTTAAGCCCAGGAGTTTGAGACCAGTGTGGACAACATGGCGAGACTCCCATCTCAACAAAAAATAAAAAAAATTAGCCAGGCGTGGTGGCATACACCTGTGGTCCCAGCTACTCCAGAGGCTGAGGTGGGAGGATGGCTTGAGCCCAGGAGGTCAGGCTGCAGTGAGCTGTAATCACACTACTGCACTCCAGCCTGAGTGAGACACTGTCTCAAATAAATAAATAAGTAAAAATAAATAAATAAATAATAAAATTAGGCCGGGCACAGTGGCTCATACCTGGAATCCCAGCGCTTTGGGAGGCTGAGGCAAGAGGATCCCTTGAGCCCAGTAGTTTGAGACCACCCTCAGCAACATGGGGAAACCCTGTCTCTACAAAAAAATAAAATAAAAATTAGCCAGGCATGGTGGCACACACCTGTGGTGTCAGCTATTTGGGAGGCTGAGGTGGGAGAATTGCTTGAGCCCAGGAGACGGAGGCCGCAGTGAGCCTAGATTGCACCATTGCACTCCAGCCTGAGTGACAGAGTGGGACTCCATCTCAAAAAAAAAAAAAAAGAAAAAATTGGAGGTTGAATTGAGACTTACCAGCGTGAACTTTTATAACTCTTATATTTCCTAACTCTGAAAGGGCTTAGAAGCAATGTCAAATCAGTTGCAATGAGCACACCTAAAGCCTTATCTTGGTTTTTACTCCTTAGAGGAATGTCTGGTCCCAGAGCTGGGGTAAGGAAAGTTCAAAATAAACCTCGAACATCTTGTTAAGCCAAAGTGAGAAAGTGTTCAAAACATGATGGGAGATTGTTAAATGCACACAGGACCCAATTTGAACGGGTTCCCCCTGGCCAAGTGTGAGAAAATGTGAGCACCAAGCTAAGAATATAATGGATTATAACCCTGGTTATAAAACAGGAATTCTTTAGGTCATACTGATAATCAATCAATCAATAAGTGTGGGAGGTGCCCTTCCTTATACCAACTTATACATGTAAAGGAGTTGTGAAACTGGAAAATCACCATTCTCAACCATCCTCGTAAACGTTGGTCCAAGCAAGAATAATTAATGAATGCTAAATCTAGGGGGAAAGTTTGGTGAGGAACAGAATATTTATATAGTTTCAAAGTCTCTCTCCACAGACTGCTAATTAGTTACAAAAGGTAAAACAGTAACTCTTCAGTAGAGAAAACAGACAACATCTTGATCAAAATGATCACCAATGAGGAACAGAGGAACAAAGTGTGCCTCTGGATGTGATACACTGGAAAAAATACATTATTTGGGTTGGGAATAAGTTAGCTGAAATCTAATCTTAAGGAAATGTATAACAAACTCAAATTGAAGAACATTTGTAAAATAAGGAGCGATATAATGAAAGCTAATAAAAGGCTGAGGAACAGTTGCAGACTAAAGAAAACAAAACAAAAACAAACAACAAAATGCAAAACATGATCCTGGACTGGAGGGAAAAAAATTGAAAAAGTTGAGGTACAAGACTTATGATTTTCTCAATGTTAAATTCCTGAATGTAATAACTGATTTATAGCTATATAAGAGAATACCTTTGTTCTCAGGAAATACACAAATAAGATGATGGGGCTAGGCGCAGTGGCTCATGCCTGTAATCTCAACACTTTGGGAGGCCGAGGTGGGAGAATTGCTTGAGCCCAGGAGTTCAAGACCAGCCTGGACAATGTAGCAAGACCTCCATCTCTATCTATTTATATATATATAAAATTTTTAAAGATAATAAGAGGTAAAGGGAAATGATATATGCAACCTATTCTAAAATGGTTCAGAAAATATATATATATATATATATATATATGAAGGGAACGAAAAAAGTATATGTGGCAAAATGTTAAACATTGGTAAATTTGGGTAAAGGATATATAAAAATTCTGAATATTATTCTTGCAATTTTAAGTTTGAATTATTTCAATGAAAAGTAAAAAACAAAAGTATGCCAAGTCTTAGTAATCAGTTTCTAATTTCAGAAATGCATACCCTGAAGAAAAATGGTATCTCATGTTTGAACCATTCATTCAAGTATTTACTGAATTCATTCAACAAGTATTTACTGAATGTGCCAAGCAGTAAAGCGAGACAGAATACCCCAGTCATGCCCCTACTCTTAAGTGCTCTTACAGAGATAGGCCTGGCTCTATGTGTTTTTTCCAATTTTGCTGGAGTCACCTCATCTAGGATCCAAATATCAGGGGTGGGTATCAATGCAAATCCCTGAATCATCGTCATTGTTTTTATCATTGTAGTTGTCATTATCGTTGTAGTGTTTTTCTTCTTTAAATAGCAAAACCCCTTCCTAACACTTGAGAAAAGGTGAATTAAGAGAAACGAAGTTATATGTACCTTTGTTTAAAGTCACGAAGTAGTAGTAATAGCATCCATTTCAAGACATTTCATTTTATGAGGACAGTAATTGTTCACATTTTAAGACTTGCTCTGATTTTGCAGAGCTTTTGAAGACATTTTCCCCTTGTTTGGGAATCAATATGAAAACATTGATTGTCCTGCAATTATCAATGTTACATTGTCTCTGGAGTTTTTGGCCTTGTTTCAATGCAATAAATCAAGTTGTAGATTGCTGGTGGCCTTAGCAGAGCAATTATCACTGCAGCACATAATATCCAGCTTGCTGCCTTATTGTGATTCAGAGACCTAGTCACAAGCTTGCTTTTTGTCTAAGAGCCAACAACTAAAAACCCAAGTTTCCATCAACAGAAGGAATAAATTGTGGTATATTCATACATGGAGTACTATGCAGCCACATAGGAGCTAACTACTGCTACATATAATACGGAGTAATCTCAGACATGATGTTGAACAAAAGCAGACAAGCACAAGTCAATATGTGTGCATTTATTTATATGAAATTCAAAACAGCTACTACAAATATAGGACATAGGAAGAATGTCTACCTTTGGGGAAGGGGGCAAATATTAACTGAGTAGGGACCCAAGGGAGCCCTCTGAGGTACTGGAAATGCTCTATATTTTTATATGAGTGGTTACAGGGTATAATCATTGGTCAGGGCCAGGCTCATGCCTGTAATCCTAGCACTTTGGGAGGCCGAGGCGGGTGGATCACCTGAGGTCAGGAGTTTTGAGACCAGCCTGACCAACATGGCAAAACCCGGTCTCTACTAAAAACACAAAAAATTAGCTGGGTGTGGTGGTGGGCGCCTGTAATCCCAGCTACTCAGGAGGCTGAGGCAGGAGAATCGCTTGAACCCGGGAGGTGGAGGTTGTAGTGAGCCGAGATCCCGTCACTGTACACCAGCCTGGCGACAAGAGCGAAACTCCATCACACACACAAAAAATTAATTAAAAATAAATAAACATTGGTCAAAAATCATAAAGCTGTATCAACTGTATATAAATAATTCAATTAAAATATCATGCATAAAATCTGGGTGTAATAAAAACAAAGAATAATTTTTTTAAAACCCAAAGCAAGGCAAGGGGTGATGTTACCAAACTGCCATGTATCAGAGATGTGATTAGAAGGAAATCCTTCAAGGGGAGCTTATTTATGGTACGCTAGATGTCTTCTGGCTCCATTCACACATGATAAATAACACCACCTCTCCAAGTCCACTGGTTTGTTTCTTCAAGGAAAGAGTTGGAACAGGATCAATGTTTACACTCACATGACACAAAACATCTATGTCATCTCCATCTGAGATCAGATGAAAGCTAAGTTTAAATGACAGTAGTTGTTATTCATTAATATAATTGGTAAAGAAAATATCAAACATTCTTGTCTGCATAAATAGCAAGACAAAAGCAAAATTAAACAAGTTAATAGCACAGACCCTGAAGTCAGAGAGCCAGGAGTTCTAGATGGGGCTTTGCTACTTAAGTGGCAGTGTGTGTTGCTTATCTGAAAGAAAACATTACCAATTTGTTGGAAAGTTCTTCTTTAGCAGTAGTAATCGGTGTTTTATCCAACATATTTCTTAATAACTGTTGAGAAAAGGTTGAGACATCTTCCCAATTGGCACAGAAGTGCAATACAAGGCCAGAACATTAATTTCACGTTTTATTAAAAATTCATGGTAATTAAAAGGTTTTCGTTAAGTCTATTTATCAATTCTAAGAGAACCTAGAACAGGAATATGAACAAGCTCAGCAAAATGATCACAAGGCCACTAAAAGAATGTCTGATATTCCCCAGGCAGTCAAAGATGCTCAAAGGAAGAAAAGTATCCTGACTTAGAATTTTATACCCAGCACGGTTAAAGATCTCCTTTTTCTTCTGTTTTTTAACTTTTTTTCTTCTCTTTCAAGACAACTCGTCACTAGGATTCCTTTTCTTCTAAACAATGACTTTCTCATTCTTTTTGGCTGTCTTAAAATGTGACAACAAAAAAGCATCTTTGCACATTAGGAAGCCGAGGCAGGCGGATCACTTGAGGTCAGGAGTTCGAGATTCGCCTGAGCAACATGGTGAAACCCCATCTCTATTAAAAATACAAAAATTAGCTAGGCATGGTGACATGCGCCTGTAGTCCCAGCTACTTGGGAGGCTGGGGCAGGAGACATGCTTCAACCCGGGAGGTGGAGGCTGCAGTGAGCTGAGATCGCACCACTGCACTCCAGCCTGGGTGACAGTGAGATTCCGTAAAAAATACAAATTTAAATTAAAAAAAAGAAAAAGGAACTTTGTTTTTGCTTTATATTTCATGCTTTAATAAACATAAAAATTTGCTGTCTCCCCATCCCCCACCTCTCAGACTGAAGGTAGTCCAAGTACCTGAGATTTTATGGAGTTTTACTTTTTTATAGTTTATAGGCAGTTTATGCCAAGCCTAAAAGTGTGAACTCTAGTCTGTATGTAGGCTTGGATTTAAAGCCCAGTTCCACCTCCACTTACTATGTGACTTTGGACAAGTCGCGGTTCAGTTTGATGCTTCAGTTCCCTCATCTGTAAAATGGGAATATATTACTGAACCAATTTCATAGGGTGGTTTTAAGAATTAAATGATATAGTGCAAGTAAAGAGTTTACTTGTTAAGTAAACACATACATATACTCAATATTAGCAGTTACAAATGTTAATTCCGAGTTGGCTCTGGTAAATTTTTTAAAAATTGGTTGATTAAAAAACAGGCATATCGGCCGGGCACAGTGACTCACACCTGTAATCCTAGCGCTTTGGGAGGCCTAGGCAGGATGACTGCCTGAGCTCAGGAGTTTGAGACTACCCTAGGCAACATGGTGAAACCGTCTCTACTAAAAATACAAAAATTAGCCGGGCATGGTGGCAGGCGCCTGTAGTCCCAACCACTTGGGAGGTGAGGCAGGAAAATCATTTGAACCCAGGAGACGGAGGTTGTAGTGAGCGGATATCGCACCACTGCACTCTAACCTGGGCGACAGAGCAAGACTCCATCCCCAAAAAAATCACTACTCTATACTTCTAAGAATCTTCTAAGAATCCCTGCTTCTTTTTAGTGCACATGAGCTTGGTTCCTCAGGCAATTATTTTATAATCTTCATTGCTGGCCATAATTGCAGTGCCACCAAATTACCACTGCATCACAAATGGATTTGTAAAGAATAGTCACCCATACTTATAAATGATTTGCTTATAAAAATATCTGTTAAAGCCGGGCGCAGTGCTCACGCCTGTAATCCCAGCACTTTGGGAGGCTGAGGCAGGTAGATCACCTGAGCTCCCGACCTCAAGACCAGCCTGACCAACATAGAGAAACCCCGTCTCTACTAAAAGTACAAAATTAGCTGCATGTGGTGGCACATGCCTGTAATCCCAGCTACTCAGAAGGCTGAGGCAGGAGAATCGCATGAACCCGGGAGGTGGTGGTTGCAGTGAGCCAAGATTGTGCCATTGCACTCCAGCCTGGGCAACAAGAGTAAAACTGCATCTCAAAAAAAAAATCTGTTAAAAATATTAAGTTAAAAATTTAAAGGACTTGTTTAGCATATAATCTGGCATTTAATCCATTTTATATTATAACTTTTTATTCTTAATAGTAAAAATGTCTTCTACTGATTTAAATAGTTTGGGAAATATTAACATTTAGGGGCTGATAAAATAATTTTGAATGTCAGGCTGGCCATCTACCTGGCAATACGAAATAAGCATAATAAAAAATATTCCATGTACCACACATTTTTTTTTTACTTGGGGTGGGGTATAGAAACAAAAACCCATCACCAATCATAAATCCATCTGTTCACGTATGCCTTATCAATGATCATGTATCTTGTGGGAACTTTCTGAAAAGGACAAATGTTCCAACATGTAGAGCTTTTTCTCTGCAGAAAAAACATCAGAGCTAATCAAAAGCCCATGTTGTTTCCTTTTCTGGGGATATTGTCAGTAACAAAGTAAATAAATTGCATGTTTTTCTACCTTTTTAGATAATACAATATTTTGCAAACTTGCCATGATTGTGAGGGTCAAATAAACGAATACTATCTAAAATTTAAAAATTAGGTTATCCTGGCTGGGCGCGGTGGCTCATGCCTGTGATCACAGTACTTTGGGAGGCCGAGGCGGGTGGATCACCTGAAGTCAGGAGTTCCAGACCAGCCTGGCCAACGCGGCGAAACCCGTATCTACTAAAAATACAAAAATCAGCTGGGTGTGGTGGCACGTGCCTGCAGTCCCAGCTACTCGGGATGCTAAGGCAAGAGAATTGCTTAAATCTGGGAGGTGGAGGCTGCAGTGAGCCGAGATTGCACTACTGCACTCCAACCTGGGTGACACAGCGAGACTCCATCTCAAAAAAATAATAATAATAAAAAATAAATAAAAATTAGGTTACCCTGCAATTCTGCCATGTATCTCCCTAGCATGTGAAACTAGGTGGTAGAGAAGATACAGCAACAGGAGATGTATCAAAGTGATCTGAGTGTTACAGAAAGTGGTTAACTAAAAACCCTTAAATCTAACTTAGTAGAAGACAGGCTATATTTACTGAAGAGGGAGAGTCAGTATGAGGCCTAAAAATAGGAGACAAATAATTCATTGCCAGGCATGATGGCTGACACCTATAAGCCCAGCACTTTGGGAGGCCAAGGCAGGAGAATCGGGAGTTCGAGACCAGCCTGGGCAACAGATCAAGACCTCATTTCTACAAAAGTAATAAATTAACCAGATGTGGGAGTGTAACTGTAGTCTCAGCTACTCAGGAGGCTAGGCGGGAGGATGGCTTGAGCCCAGGAGGTTGAGGCTGCAGTAAGCTGTGATCACACCACTGCACTCCACCCTGGGTGACAGAGCAAGACTCTGTCCCTATAAAAAAAAAAAAAAAAAAAATTCATCGGTGTAGGGCCAAGTGCAGTGGCTCACACCTGTAATCCCAGTACTTCAGGAGGCCAGGAGTTTGAGACCGGCCTGGGCAACATAGCAAGACCTCCATCTCTACAAACTAAAATATTAGCTGGATGAGGTGGTGAGTGCCTGTAGTCTCAGCTACTTGGGAGACTGAGGTGGGAGGGTCTCTTGAACCCAGGAATTGCAGGCTGCAGTGAGCTACAATTGTGTCACTGCACTCCAGCCTGGGCAACAGAGACCCTGTCTCTATAATACAAAAAATTAAAAAAATTCATTCGTGTAGCACTGGCATTGTCCAAAGGTACGTCTGCCCTGACTGGTTTATTCAAAGATGTCCCCATGACTGGTTAGGTCTCCTAGCAGAGATCCATGCAGATTATCATAGCTGGACAGTGTTAGGCAGTATATTGACCAGCTCCACCCATGGTGCTTCCAACTCGGACTTAGGATTTAACTTTGCTTCCATGACAACTTGTCTAGTGCACTCATTAAACGTTAAGTATCCAGATACTCTTCAAAGTTATATACTTGCTTTCAGCCAGGCATGGTGGCTCATGCCTGTAGTCCCAATACTTTGAGAGACTGCGGCAGGCAGATCACTTGGGGTCAGGAGTTCAAGACCAGCCTGGCCAACATGGCGAAACTCTGTCTCTACTAAAAATACAAAAATTTTAGCCGGATGTAGTGTTGTGTGCCTGTAATCCCAGCAACTCAGGAGACTGGGACACAATAATTGCTTGAACTCAGGAGGCGGAGGCTGCAATGAACTGAGATCGCGCCACTGCACTCCAGCCTTGGTAACAGAGCGAGACTCTGTCTCAAAAACAAAAAACAGACCAAAAAACAAAGCCATATACTTGCTTTAAATGAATAATCTGGGATCAAGATTTTAAACCAAAATAATAAGCAATTTTCAAAGTACTCTCCATTAACATCTCTCACATAACCAAAGATAGCATACTATAAACAAGGCACATTACTTAAGCTTATTTCATCTATGCAAGTCTTAGCATACGTGTTGAAACAAAGAAAAGATTCCAGAAGTTTCCAATTAACCATTATACATCTAGTATCCATAGAAAAATGTCACCTGTTAGTTTGTGTCAAAACTGTCAAATGATGCAGTCATACACATGCTTTAAAAGATACACGGTAGCCCAAAAAATGTCAGTTGTCTTGTTCTGTTTTGCATCTCAAATTCTGCTATGAAACTAGGAGTTTCAAACAAACCACTGTGGATTATGAACTACGTTATTTACCATATACTACAGTCAGTTCTTTTTACTCATAGCAGTTATGTTCTATGAAATCACCATGGGCCGGGCGCCATGGCTCACGCCTGTAATCCCAACACTTTGGGAGGCCGAGGAGGGTGATCACCTGAGGTCAGGAGTTTGAGACCAGCCAGGCCAACATGGTGAAACTGTCTCTACTAAAAATACAAAAATTAGCCAGGTGTGGTGGTGTGCGCCTGTAATCCCAGCTACTTGGGAGACTGAGGCACGAGAATTGTTTGAACACGGGAGGCAGAGGCTGCAGTGAGCCGAGATCGTGCCACTGCACTCCAGCCCAGGCAACAAGAGCAAGACTCTGTCTCAAAAAAAAAAAAAAAAAAAAAAAAAAAAACAAAGAAATCACCATGAACACTGAATTATTAAATACAGGTTGAGTATCCCTAATCCAAAAAGCTCCAAACCCCTAAACTTTTGAGTGCTGACATGACACAAGTTGAAAATTCCACACCTGACCTCATGTGATGGGTCAGTCAAAACTTTGTTTCATGCACAAATTTACTGAAAATACCGTATAAAATTACATTCAGGCTGTAACATGTATGAAATAAATTGTTTAGACTTCAGTCCCGTCCCCAAGATCTCATTCTGTATATGTAAATATTCCAGAATCCCAAGCATTTCTGAAAAGGGATAATCAACCTGTACTGACAGGGTTAGGTTCCTGTAAGCCTGTGACATTTCCAGCAATTAATACATGACCTTGTTTTATGTGTTTGTTAAGATACCTTAATATACATTAATACTGAATTCATGTAACTCATGTCACCCATGCCTGAAAAAAAGCCTCCCTAACATCCATTTTCTCCAAAAGGCTCATCTCTTCCTTCTTGTGCTAAGGAACACCAGGTAACACTTCTGCGCTATGCTTGGGGGCCATTTTAAACAGCAAAATCCACCCACAAAAGGCACAAAAATGTCAAGAACATAGCACTCAACAGACCATGAAAGGGATACTCGTCTGGGAAGTGTGTTATCAGGTGACGCAAACTTTTTGTTGCTCTGCACACATCCATGAAAGCAGCATGCACACTGATTTGGGGGTTACAAATAAATTTTAGTGAGTAGGCAAATTTGTAAATACGGAATCTGCAAATGAGAATCAACTGTTTCCTTAATTCCTGCAAGAATCCAAATGCCTACTCCCCAAATCTGTTGGCTCTGGCCACTTAAAGTTTGCTCTATCTGAAAAAGCAGACATTTCAGGAACAGATGAATATGACTTATCTTCGAATCTCACAACAAATACTGACTTCCAATCAATCAGCTACCTAACGTATAAAGCTATGAACCCAACCTGGCACTAGATTTTGGTGTGTGAACTAGTGTGTGAACTTTATAGATTTGACTTCAAGTGTCTCAAAATAGCCGGCTCTTTTAAAACCTCAAAATTTGAACCATTTTGTATTACAATTTTGAAAAAATATGGTGTTTCTCTGCCTTAACACAATGAAGAAAATCTTTCAAAAAAAAAAATTGTAATGAAGCATCAGCCCCTGAGAGGGTATGTCTGTTGTGAGGCAAAATACAAAATGATCAGGATCCCCACTGGATGCACTGTTCTATGCTAAAGGGTAGGAGGGTGGAGTTTGTATTATCTTGAGTTTCAAAACAAGAAGCCAAAGCGAAAAGCATTCTAGGTACAGAAGCATCACTAGGCTTCATCAGCATTGAGGGCTGCCACTGTCACAAGCTAGGGTTTTGTTTAGATTTATTTAATCCCGAAGGTTAATAGAATTGTTTGTTTAGCATGGAATGAGATAACCACACGTTTAACTTAGAAAGCTAACTCTAGCAGTAGTCCACAGAGAATGATCGGTTAGAAATTAAAACCTAAAAGTGTAAACTGCCTGGGTTATCAGTTTTATGCAGATACCCTATACTCCAGGCTAGATCTTCTAAATCCATCCTCCTAAAAGAACCCCACATCTTCACCTTTAACAAGTACTTTGGGTATTACACTAAAATTAAGCCACAATCATGAACTACCAAATTAAAGACGTTACAAGAATAAGGTTTAAAACTAATCATAACTTTTAACACTTTAATATTAAAATCATACCAAAGCCTATCTTATCTACATCCTCTTCAAGAGTAGCTATCATTGTTTTATATCATGTAAGGGTTTAAGCTAATAATCTCATAGCCTAGAAACCTCAATATAATCATCAACTGGCAGGCCAGGCATGGTGGCTTATGCAGGAATAAGCCTTATGCTTATGCTTGAGCCCAGGAATTCGAGACCAGCCTGGACAAAATAGGGAGACCCAACCTCTACCCGCAAAAAAAAAAACCCCATAAACTGGCTTATCTTCAAAAGTGGATGGGTGTCAGTCTTGTACATGAAATATTAAGATCATGTAACAAATACATGTAACAAATTGTTTCAATAATCCGTATGGAAACCTTAACTCATAAAATGCACTACAGGAATTGTCTTGTGCCTTTTACATAAAACCAATAGACCCCCTGAACTTAACAGTACATTTTTCATAAAAGATTCTTATGTCGGCTCAGCACCATTAAGATATTACCTATTTATGCATGGCAATTATAAAGACTTTGAAAAAAAGCAAATCCGTGCACTGTTTAAGGAATTTTTATTAAAGCAAGAATTTTATAATCCAAATTACGTTTCCTTGCTCAGTTATCAATTCTGTTACTTAAAACAGAACTGACATTCTGAGCTATTCCACAGTAAAGAATTACAAAATTAAAGAAAGGAATGCTTTAAATTTTTGTACTTTGCTGAAAATTCTTTTTCCCAGGGTCTATAAAACATTAATTTGTTTTTATATTTTACTATTTTTTTGTGTTTTTTTGTTTTTAAATCAATAAGTAATCTAGGACTAGCATTATGTTTGCTAGACCTGGCATTTGCTCGGTACATAAGGTTCAAAGTTTCCTTTCCTTTTTTTATTTATTTTATATTTTGCAATGTTTTTTTTCCATAATATTTAAGTTTTTCGATGTTTAGATATTTTTCTTCGGTGAAGCACAAGTTTCTTTTCATGGTCCCTGATCAATCTGTAAATGTTAAAAAAACAAATTAAGACCAGGACTATCACTTGTCAGTAGCAAATTAAAGCCCTTAGCCAAATGCAATGTGGTTGTTTTTATCCATAGTTTTACTGGAACACAGCCATACCTGTTCATTTGTATACATACTATCTATGGTTGTCTTGACATGGTAACACTGGAACAAGATCATTTCAGAGATAACACAGTCCTCAAAGCCCAAAATATTTCCTATCTGGCCCTTTACAAAAAACATTTGCCAATCCCTGGTCCTGATCCTGGCTGCACTACTCAATTTCTTGGGAGTGATGAAAGACAGTAGTAGAGACCCAAGGGCACCACCCAAAAAGGAAAGGTAAAACTATGAAAGCCAACCTGTGACAGGTCATTTTATATATATATTACTATACAAAATCTGGCAGGGCGCAGTGGCTCACGCCTGTAATTTCAAGACTTTGGGAGGCCGAGGTGGGCGGATCACTTGAGGTCAGAAGTTCCAGACCAGCCTGGCCAACATGGCAAAACCCCAAGTCTAGTAAAAATACAAAAATTAGCTGGGCACGGTGGCAGGCATGGGCCTGTTAATCCCAGCTGCTCGGGAGGCCGAGGCAGGAGAATTGCTTGAACCTGGGAGGTGGAGGTTGCAGTGAGCCGAGATCGCGTCAATGCACTCCAGGTTGGGCGACAGAACGAAACTCCATCTCAAAAAAAAAAAAAAAAAAAAACACCACCTGAAAGTCCTGGGATTTTAAAAATCCAACAGTTAACGGGTAAAATTCCTTTAATTCCTCTATAGTTAGTTCCACTTTTCCTTGAAAAATTAGCAATACATTTAAATGAACTGTAAAATGATCTTTTGCTATGTACATTTCAAAATATGCTCAACAAACTTTATAAAAGATGAAGAAAACAAGCTTAAAACAACAAACCAGAGGGAAAAGCTCACTTTAAACAGTTGGAACACCGGTGGCACTGTTAACTGCTTTCTGGGCAGCCTCTTTAGCTTGGTGGGCTTGTAGTACAGCTACAGCTTCATCAACCTAAAAAAGGGGAAAACAGATAAACTGGTTCAGGAAAGGAATGGAAATAAAGAGTTTCATAATGGTAACATACCAATTCCCAACAAAGATAAGTTTCTTCCCTCAAATGAAAGTATAAATTGTTACACTAAACAACTATATCCATTCAATTTTGAGTTCTATTACACCACTATTCTAGAATTATGAATCGCTCCCCTGCACTACTCTTTCCTTGTCCTCCCCACACTCGAAAAATATTTCTCTTTCTCCACTAGAGAAAGCAGCAGCAGTTGAGAGTATGGCTGTTGGAGCTGATGGGATTTGAAGCCAGGCTCTGCCACTTAAGAGCTGTGTGAGCATTTGGCAAATTATTCAGCCTGTTTCAGTTTACCTATCTATAAAATGGGGATAAATAGCGCCACAGGTTATTATGCAGACTTTACAACTGTACATGGCTTATATATAACACGATGTAAGTGTTCTGTACAATTAAGTCCCCATAAAAAGCCACGTAATAACTGTGTAAGAGGCAACTTGGTAAATAAATTTAAATCACCTTAGAACGGAGTGACTCTGGAGACTCGAGCATATGAAGAAGTTCTGAATTATCAATCTCCAACAACATGCCAGTGATTTTACCAGCAAGAGTAGGGTGCATGGCTTGAATAAGAGGAAACAGCCGTTCACCTAGGAACAGAAACATTCAAAAACTCCCTTCAATAAAAAAAAGTTTTTAACTGCATTGAATTACCACATTAAACTGGGGTTTAAGAACCATACTTCTGTCTCACGTATATAATAACCCATAATCCACAATTTCATTATGTCTTCATGGGAAGACAGAATAAAATCTGCCACAAGGCAATTAACTCTTGATATTATCAGCTTGCCAATTAAGCAATGTTACCATTAGGTTGTTAAATCGGTGTTCAGGCAAAGTCACAAGTTTTCTTCTCATTTGCTTCAAATTCCTTCTCTCAAAAATGTAGTGAGGGCCCATGGTGAGTAATGCCCTACTACCCTATTTATTACTAACAATACATTTTCTTATTGGCTTTCCAGTGGTTTTAATTAGGCAGACCAACTGTACTATCATAATCATTCATGCCAATTCAGATCAATTCCACTGCCCTAGCTGTCAATTGATTGACCTAGTGCCTAAGTGATTCCTATATTTTCTAGTCTTTCTGAACTGACAAGGTGGGACAGAAGTACTCACCCAACATTTGCTTTTGCTCTTGAGGAGGGGCAGATGCCAACATGGAAGCAGTCAAAGGTTCCTGACCTTGTACATGAACAGCAGGCTAGACAGAAAATGAGAACTCTTAAGTTTAAAGCACAGAAAAAGATGGCAAATACAAATAGTCATCAATGGACATCTGCTGAAGTGGTAGACTTCCATCGAAACATGAGGTGGAGAAGTTGAGTGAGCGAATTAGAAAGAAGCCAAAGTAGTTATTATATACTATGTATCACAGATACATTTTTTTTCTTTTTGAGATGGAGTCTCACTTTGTCGCCCAGGCTGGAATGCAACGGCACAATCTTGGCTCGCTGCAACCTCCGCCTCCGGATTCAAGCAACTTTCCTGCCTCAGCCTCCCCAGTAGCTGGGATTACAGGCATGTGCCACCAAGCCTGGCTAATCTTTATATTTTTAGAGCTGGGGTTTCACCCTGTTGACCAGGCTGGTCTCAAACTCCTGACCTCAAGTGATCCACCTGCCTTGGCCTCCTGAAGTGCTGGGATTACATAGAGGTGTGAGCCACCACGCCTGGCCCATAGCTACTTGTAATAGTTGTTTCAGACCAGGCGTGGTGATTTAGGATGTGAATTTCTCGCTGCTTGTCCAATTCCAAAAGCGTAAGACATTTTACATACTATCATATTAGCAGAATGTTCCAGATAGGCTAAGCTCTCAAGAATCTATCATGCAGCTGTCTTCACATTTTTTCTTTTGAGACAGAGTCTTGCTGTCACCCAGCAGGGATTACAGCTTGCTGCAGCCTTAAACTCCTGGGCTCGAGCAATCCTCCTGCCTCAGCCTTCCTAGCAGCTAGGACTACAGGCTTATGCCACCACACCCAGCTAGTTTTCTTTGTGGAGACAGGGTCCTGTATGTTGCCCAGGCTGGTCCCAAACTCCTGGTCTCAAGCAATCTGCCTGCCTCAACCTCCCAAAGTGCTGGGGTTATAGGTGTGAGCCACTGTGCCCAGCTGTCTTCACACCTTTGATTTCACCCAAGAAATGTGATTTTTATTAAGAAATCATTAAATCCATACCTGTTGCATTGTAACTTGTGGCTGTGCATTAAGATGTTGCTGAGGATTGCGAACTCCTGCAGCATATTTATACTGTGGAACGGTGCGGACAGCAGGAGTAGCTGCAGCGGCTGCAGCTGCAGGACGTGGACCCATTGTCTGTGTTGATGTGTTAGCTAAAAAATAAGAACATTTTGTATTTTTATCTTGCTCTTTCAAATTGGTGATCAATTTTTAAAGGAAGGATTAAGACTCACCAACACGCTGTGTTGACATGACTCGTGGAACCTGTGAAGAAGCTGGTCTCATAGTACTAAATGGTGGTCTAGGAGCAGCTGGGCGGATAGCACCGGGCATATTTTGGAATGCTGCATTTTAAAGATGTGAATATACATTAACTGGGAAAACTTACTGAGTGAAAAGTGTTTATGCTGTCTTCTTCGATCTGAGGTTTGCATAAAAGACTAAAAAGTGACAAAACTTTTTAAAGCTGAGTCTTAACACTTGCCATTTTCCCAGACTCAGAGCATCAATAAGTAAAAACATTAATTCATACAAGGACGAGTACTTATATGTAGCGACCAGCCCCACAGGGTCGGTGGGCTTCTCCCTGTATGCAGCGACGAGAGAGTGCAGAAATAAAGACACGAGACACAGAGATTTAAAAAAAAAAGACAGCTGGGCACGGGGGACCACTACCACCAAGACGCGGAGACCAGTAGTGGCCCTGAATGTCTGGCTGCACTGTTATTTATTGGAAACAAAACACAAGGGGCAGGGTAAAGAGTGTGAGTCATCTCCAATGATAGGTAAGGTCACGTGGGTTACGTGTCCACTGGAGAGGGGGCCCTTCCCCGCCTGGCAGCCGAGGCAGAGAGGGAGAGGAGACAGAGAGAAAGACAGCTTACGCCATTGTTTCTGCATATTAGAGACTTTTAGTACTTTCACTAATTTACTACTGCTATCTAGAAGGCAGAGCCAGGTGTACAGGATGGAACATGAAGGCAGACTAGGAGCGTGACCACTGAAGCACAGCACCATAGGGAGACGGTTAGGCCTCTGGATAATTGCAGGCAAGCCTGACTGATGTCAGGCCCTCCACAAGAGGTGGAGGAGCAGTCTTCTCTAAACTCCCCAGGGGAAAAGCAGACTCCCTTTCCCGGTCTGCTAAATAGTGGGTGTTTTCCTTTGACACTTACGCTACTGCTAGACCTCGGTCCGCCTGGCAACGGGCGTCTTCCCAGACGCTGGCGTTACCACTAGACCAAGGAGCCCTTTGGTGGCCCTGTCTGGGCATAACAGAAGGCTCGCACTCTTGTCTTCTGGTCACTTCTCACTATGTCCCCTCAGCTCCTATCTCTGTATGGCCTGGTTTTTCCTAGGTTATGATTATAGAGTGAGGATTATTATGATATTGGAATAAAGAGTAATTGCTACAAACTAATGATTAATGATATTCATATATAATCATATCTAAGATCTATATCTGGTATAACTATTCTTATTTTATATTTTATTATATTGGAACAGCTCGTGTCCTCGGTCTCTTGCCTTGGCACCTGGGTGGTTTGCCGCCCACACTTATAAATATACCTGAAACATAATCATGATAAAATTCTAAGTGCTCCCAGCCTGGCCAACAGGGCAAAATCCCGTCTCTACAAAAAATTTAAAAAATTAGCTGGGCGTGGTGGCGTGTGCCTGTAGTCCCAGCTACTTGGGAGGCTGAGGCAGGAGGATCACCTGAACCCGGGAGGTGAAAGCTGCAGTAAGCCAAGACCATGCCACTGCACTCCAGACTAGAAGAAAGAGTGAGACTCTGTCTAAAAAAATAAACTCTAAGTGCTCTTGGAATATAACATACTGTTCCACAGGACAAGACATAAAATACCACGACTCTGATTCTCATACATGATTAAATGGAACGAGACCTTTAAAACTGTGGCCTGACAAAATATGAAATTGGCTGGGTGCCATGGCTCACGCCTGTACTCTCAACACTTTAGGAGGCTGAGGTGGGCAGATGACCTGAGATCAGGAGCTCAAGACAACCCTGGCCAACGTGGTCAAACCCCATCTCTACTAATAATGCGTAAGTTAGCTGGGCGTGGTGGCGGGCACCTGTAATCCCAGCTACTCCAGAGGCTGAGGCAGGGAGAAATCGCTTGAACCTGGGAGGTGGAGGTTGCAGTGAGCCGAAACTGAGCCACTGCACTCGAGCCTGGGGCAACAGAGCGAGACTCTGTCTCGAAAATAAATAAATAAATAAATAAATAAAAAATGAAGAGCTGTACCTATTCCCAAAACTTTTATAAAGGGAAATCAAACCACTGTAGACATTACTATCTTAGCACTGCTTTTAAATGCTATAAAAATGAACATCCATAACCACAAATTATGTGAAATGCAATAGTTAACCTAACATTGACATAGAAGAGCTGATTTACCCAATGTGTTATTTTTAACTCAATCCCCAACCTTAATTAAAAGAAAAAAGACTTACGATGAGGTCTGGCACCCTGAGCAGTCCAGCGAGGACTTGGTCTTAGTTGAGCAATTTGGCTAGGAGGATAGTATGCAGCACGGTTCTGAGTCTGCAGGGAAAAAAAGCACATGAGTTTATCAGTTGAAGAAAAAAGCAAATAATGCAATAAATTATATGTACTTTTTCAAAACATTTACCAGGACTTCACACTCAAGCATTTTTTCCTACTCAATCATAATTCCCCTTTCTTAATGTTTCACATTTGCGGGGCGAGGGGCACAAAAAACACTAGAAATGACCAAATACGAAAACCTTCATGGTTCTGGTTGCCTTCTAAAACCTACCTGTGGGATAGCTGCCATGAAGTAACCTGAAGGAGGTGCTGGCTGGTAGGGGTTGATTACAGGGTTGGGAACAGCTCGTACACTTGCCATTCTCTGCATATACTGGTTAGTGAGGTGAGCCTGGCGCTCTTCTTTGCGCTGAGCTAAAGCTACATACAATGGCTTTGTGGCCACAATTCTACCGTTCATTTCTGTAACTGCTTTAGTGGCTTCTTCTGGGGAGGAGAAACATACAAAACCAAACCCTTTGCTGCGACCACCCTCCATCATAACCTATTAAAAAAAAGAAAAAAAAAGTTAACGTAATGGTAGAATGAGGAGCAAAAAAAGAGCGTTACAATTTAGACAATTATAAATCACTGAATCAAATAACTAAACCCTGTTAATGCTTAATCATCTTGTATTTACCCATTGAGTTCACAATTTTTCCTTAATACCCAATTATTAAGGGCAAACTACACATATGCATTACCCTAGCCAGGTCAGAGAACTGACAGAAGTGAAGGCTGCACAGAAACTTTTAAAGATTTTAGATACTGAATTTGATTGGATTTTCAATATTGAAATTTAATTATCTAAATAAATACATCCCAGGCCTACTAAATTGACTTTTGGGCACCACTGGAAGCATTTCCCAATTAAATTTTGACTATTCTAACAATTCAAGCTGACAAGATGCTTCACTATGCCTTTGAGAAAAAAGTAGTTGAATCTTACAATACCCACATCTTAAAATAAAAGTTTTTACATTCAAGAGCAGAGGATCCATAAATATTACGGTATAAAGAACACTCAAGAGGAAGGTTCTTCTAAAATTGATTGCAAAGACCTTTTAAATGAGCAATGAAGACTTGCAAAGAACCACTCGCTAGGCCAGCAATATATATAAGCATGCTATAAAACTACATTAACAGTATGCGAGTGGCATAGGAACAAACGGTAATAAAACAGAGGCCAGAAATATACCCAAGCAATTATGGGAATTCACTGTGCTAAAGTTAACATTTTAAAGTACTGGGGAAAAAGGACTTTGGGCTACTCAATACATGACACACTGGGACAAATGAAAAAATGTAGAACTCTTAATTCACATTACATTGAAAAATCTTAAATGCCAGGTAGATTCTGAATCTGAACATAGAATGTAGAAATAGAGAGAAAACCTTTCTAAGATGACACACACACAAAGTGAGGTCTATAAAGTGGAAAATTCGAAGAAAATATTTCCAATATAAAACAAATGTTTGGCCGGGCGCGGTGGCTCACGCCTGTAATCCTAGCACTTTGGGAGGCCAAGGCGGGTGGATCACCTGAAGTCAGGAGTTCGAGACCAGCCTGGCCAACGTGGCGAAACCCCGTCTTTACTAAAAATACAAAAATTAGCCGGGCATGGTGGCAGGTGCATATAATCCCAGCTACTCGGGAAGCTGAGACAGGAAAACTGCTTGAACCCAGGGGGTGGAAGTTGCAGTGAACTGAGATCACACCACTTCACTCCATCTCAAAAAAATAAAACAAATGTTCCCTTAATCAATAAAAAGACAGACAACCAGCCAGGCACGGTGGCTCACGCCTGTAATCCCAACACTTTAGGAGGTCACCTGAGGTCAGGAGTTGGAAGACCAGCTTGGCCAACATGGTGAAACCCCATCTCTACTAAAAATACCAAAAATTAGCTGGGCGTAGTGGCACATGCCTGTAATCCCAGCTACCCAGGAGGCTGAGGCAGGAGAATCGCTTGAACCCGGGAGGCGGAGGCTGCAGTGAGCTGAGATTGCACCACCGCACTCCAGCCCAGGCGAGAGTGAGACTCGTCTTTAAAAAAGACAAAAAAAAAACACCTCATAAGTTTAAGAATTTGTGTTGCACTGCATTAAAAGCATTCTTGGGCCGCATGTGGCCTGCAAGCAGCGGGTTGGACAAGCTTGGCTTAAGCCCAGGAAAGGCTGAGGCTGCAGTGAGCTGTGATTGTGGCATGCCCCTGCACTCCAACCTGGGCAACATAATGAGATCCTGTCTCAAGAAACAGAAAAACATGCATGCTTCATACATTCAAAATATGCTGATGCACAACACTCAATTTAAACAATATCCAGGGAACACACTGAAGACAAAAACATTCAGGAATAAATTCTATCGTACTCCAATACTCTTACATAAAAAGCATAATCTGAAACACAAGACAACCATGGCACTTCCATCTTACTTGTATTCAACCACCTTTCCCCTAACATTTCCTCACTCTCACAGAAGCTTCCTCGGACTTGCCAGGAAAAGCTGACTAGAAAGATCAGCCACAGCGTCATTCCAGTTCAGTTGAGTTGTAATTTTTTTCTATGCACTCTTCCCCAACCCCAGCAAAATTATGTATGCACAAAACCTTGCATATAGGGGGACTCTTGGCCCACGGATGCTAGACAAAAACATCTAGAAGAGAACTTCTTAAATCAAGATTTCAGAATTTGTACTAGAATACTACTGCTTTGTTTCTTAATCTCTGATTTCAAATAAAAGAAAATATGATCTCTATTCTTACTGCTAGGGGGCAGGGGAGGGAACTGGGGCTTGACTACCCAGAATGAATTGTAGAAATGAATAAACAGATCAGAACTATAGTAACAATTATAAGTCCCTAATAAATTGCTTGCTTTAGCAAAATGACTAGTTGTTGGAATAGTGCATATCATGTGAGGATATCAGCCTTCCTTAGCAAAGAGTTCAGTGCTTGCCATTTTTAAGTTAACCATTAGGCTATGACAACCAGTTCAAATGTGAATTTAAGTTTTAGAAGTAACGAAGCAAACACCTCTCTAGTGGCTATAATAATACAAAATTTATATACATATATCTACATGTATGAATTTTTACTAGACCTCAAATAAATGAACCATATGTTTTCTTACCTTTGCACTAGTGATTGTACCAAATGGAGAAAACTCTTTCCGGAGACGTTCATCATCAATACCATCATCAAGATTTTTCACATAAAGATTAACACCCTAAAAAGAAGAAAAGAAAACTATAGAAAAAGAAAACCATGGTGGTACCTAAGTACATCGGGTCTATTATTTTACCCCATATTTCTTCTCCTATTCCCCTCTCAAACCCTCCAGCTACCTGGAAGTAACTGAAATCAACGTAAAATAGGTTTCCTCATCCCTGTCTTATTTTGGTTGTTCAATTAAAAATGAACCTGGTATCTGGTGATCCTATCTTGTTTCATCTGTTCAAATTTGCGCTTAAGTTCCGTCTGCCGTTCCACCTTTTTCTGAGCTCGACCAACATAAATTTGTTTTCCATTGAGCTCCTTTCCGTTCATCTCATCCACAGCCTTCCCCCCAAAAAAAAAGAAAAAAAAAAAATCACAAAACTTTCAACTTACAGTTCATTTCCTTAACAGTTAAGACAAATTTGTTAAGTCACAAAAGCTAAAGACAAACCCATCCCAAAATCTCAAGGTTTTGGGACAATATAGGTTACCAATTTATACTCTCAAACCTAATGCATAAAATGCAAATAACTGAAAATATAAGAACATGTCAAATAGCTATTAGTATGCACATAGACTTCAACACAAGAGCAACTCAACTTTGTACCCCCTTCTTCCTGCTGAATACAGACCACTTACTTTCTGTGCATCTTCATGCCTTTCAAAGCTTACAAATCCAAATCCTTTGGATTTTCCACTTTCATCAGTCATTACTTTCACACTTAAGGCAGGCCCTAAAAAATTTTTTTACATAAATCAAAGATATTCCATACAACATTCACGTTATACATTTCAAATTTCAACATACAAAGCCATGAAAAAAATTTCAAAGCTCCGTAACTTGACTCCTCCCTCCCAGCCTTCTATGCCCCAGGTAGGTATACTTTTCCATTGAAAGACCTTTTATTATTAAGAAGGTAAACACCTTCCCTCCCCTGAAGGATTCCTCCTTCCATTTAAGGAGGTACACTTTAAACGGCTGTAAAAAGTTTTATTCTCAGCTCTAGCACAAAAGAGTTGCATTTTTTACCCAATAATTTGATTTTTTCCCTTTTCTATAGAGACAGTATATCATTCCATTGCCCAGGCTGAAGTGTAGCAGCACAATGAATAAGCTCACTTTAACTCAACTCCTGGGCTCAAGTGATCCTCCTGCCTCAACTTACCAAGTATCTGGGACTACTGGCCCACATACCACCATGCCTGGCTAATTTATTTTTTGTAGAGATAGGGTCTTGCTATGTTGCCCGGGCTAGTCTAAAACTTGTGGCTTCAAGTATCTTCCCTCTTTGACCTCCCCAAGCGCTAGGGTTACAGGCATGAGCTATTGTGCTAAGACCAATTTGATTTTCTTTGTATCAATTAAGAAACAAGTATTTATTAAGCCTTGGCCTACCCGACTTTCAACAGGAGTGGAAGGAATACATAGTTGGACTCTTTGGTAAGACATAGGTAATACAGGAATTTGAAAGACAGGGAAAAAAAATTCTTTTTAAAGACACAGGTGAACTACCTGGAAGAGGAAGCATTTATTTCTGAAGACATGTTTTCCCCTAACTCCCTCTAAAGTAGGAGAGACAGGTAACTGAGGCGGGTGGTATCTCAGGCAAGTGGGGCAGAAAAGGTTAAAAATCACATTTGATTACAGAAATTTAGAAGATGTATGGGCCAAGGCAGATTTTCTTCTGAATGTGCCTCTCTCCTGAGGCCAAAGTCAAGAAAATATGACATATTCACATATTTGTGGTCAACTTATGCAGCATTACTCATACGGT